>NC_000015.10:94958492-95596919 GCF_000001405.40 Homo sapiens
ATAATCTCCTCTGAGGCATATTACAAATTCTTAAAAGGCAAAGATAAAGAGAGAATTCTAAGAAGTGCAAAATAAAAATATCAAGTCACATATAAGGGACTCTCCATCAGACTATCAGCAGATTTCTCACTATAAATCTTGCAGGCCAGGAGAAAATGGGATGATATGTTTAAAGTGCTAAAATTAAAAAAAAAATGCTGTGAGCCAAGAATATGATATTCAGCAACACTGTCTTTCAGCAGTGAATGAGAAATACCTTCTTATACAAGGAAAATCTGCAATAATTCATTATCACTACAACAGCCTTACAGTAAATGCATGAAAGTGTTTATCTGGGAATAAAAGGTTGATAATTACTGTTATTATAACACATAAAAATATAAAACTAACCACTAGAAATAAATTCACAATGAAACTCAGAATATCCCCGTGCTGAAATGGCACTATATAAATCTTTCAGTCCTCTGATATGAAGGTCTAAAGTCAGAATAGCCAAAACTAACAATAGCTACAATTAGTTGCTAAGGAACACATGATAGATAAAGATGTAAATTAAGGCAACAAAAAACAAATTTGGGGGTGAGAAGGAAAAATTCTGGTATATTTTTATGAAAACAAAGTTAGGTGTTACCAGCTTGAAATAGTCTAGTGTAACTACAAGACTTTATTTTAGGTACATGATAACCACAAAGACAGAAATTACAGCAGATACACGAATAAGAACGAAACAGAAGATAAAGTTAAGCACAACTTTATCTGAATACAACAAAAAACAACAAACCATAGAAGTAAACAAGAGAGGAAGAAAGAAACAAAGGATCTACAAAGCAACCAGGAAAGAATTAACAAAATGGCAGAAGTAAGACATTTCCTATCAATAATAACCTTGAATGTCAATGGATTAAATTTCCCAATTTAAAGACATAGAATGGCTGAATGACTTAAAAAAAAAAAAACAAGGGCTAGGTGCAGTGCCTCATGCCTGCAATTCCAGTATTTTGGGAGGCTGAGGCAGGACTGCTTGAAGCCAGGAGTTCAAGAACAGCCTGGGCAACAAAGGGAGACCCCATCTCTACAAAAAAATTTTAAAATTAGCCAGTTGTGGTGAAACCCACCTGGTTCTAGCTACTTTAGAGTCTCTCAGTCCTCTTATGCTTTGAATCCTCTTTGGAGAGTTACTGAAAATTCACACAGTTATGCTGCATCAGAGTTGGGGCCAATCTTGCACTCCCCACCCCTGTACCCTAAGCTACTACAACATAGTACCATTTTGAAACCAAATCCACTGCTAGACTATGTCCTGCTCTTGGGATCAGTGACCACTGACTCTCCATCCATGAGGTCCCAATGTAATTGGCTGTAATAGGCTCAGGTGGGAGGATCACTTGATCCCAGGAGTTTAAACTGCAGTGAACTATAATCATGTCACTGCACTCCAGCCTGGGCTACAGAGCAAGATTCTGTCTCTAAATTAATTACTTAGGGGGAAAAAAGCAAGGCTCAACTCTATGCTATCTACAAGAAACTCAGCTCATCTTTGTAGGCAAACATAGATGAAAAGTGAAAGGATATAAAAAGATATTCCAAGCAAATGAAAACCAAAAGCAAGGAGGAGGAGCTATTCTTAGATCACATAAAATACTTTAAGTCAAATACTGTAAAAAGAGATTAAGAAAGTCATTGTATAATGATAACAGGATCAATTAAACGAGGATGTAACAGTTATAAATATGTATCTAACCATCACAAGAGCACCCAAATATATAAAGCAAGTATTATATCTAAAGGAAGAAATAGACTGCAAAACAATAATAGTAGAGAGCTTCAACACCTCACTTTCAACAATGGATTAGATTACCTAAACAGAAAATCAACAGATAAACATTAGATTTAACCTGCACTATAGAGAAATGAATCAAACAGACATTTACAGATTATTCCATCCAACAGCTAGAGAAAACAGATTCTTCTCAGCTACACATGGAGCCTTCTCTCCATGTGAGGTAGATTATATGTTAGGCCACAAAGCAAGTCTTTAACAAATTTAAGTAGATCGTATGAAGTATATTTTCTGAACACAGTATATAAAACTAGCTATGAGCAATAAGAAAAATTACAAATACACAGACATTAGACAACATACTCCTGAATAATCAATGAGCCAATGAATAAGTTGAAATGGAAATTAAAAATTCTTAGATAAATTAGAATTGAAGCACGTCATTCTAAAGCCTATGGGACACAGCAAAAATAGTTCTAACAGGGTGGTTTATAGCAATAAATGCCAATATCAAAAAAGAAGGAAGATTTTTAATAAAAACCTAATCCCCTCAAGAAAGTAGAAAAACAGCCTAAACTCAAAACTGGTAAAAGAAAGTAAATAATAAAGCTTTGAGCAGAAAAAAACCAAATAGAGACTATAAAAACAACTCAAAAGATCAGCAAAATGAAGACTTGGGTGTTGGAAAGATAAACAAAATCTACAAACCCTTAGCTCGGCTAAGGAGGAAAAAAAGAGAGGACTTAAAAAATAAAATCAGAGATGAAAACAGAGACATTAAGCTGATACCACAGAAATACAAAAGATTTTAAGAAACTATTATTAACCACTACATACCAACAAATTACATAACATAGAATAAATAAATAAATGCCTGGACACTAAAATCTACCAAGATTAAATTGCGAAGAAATGGTAAAATCCGAACATAACAAGTGAGAAAATTAAATCAGTAATAAAAATTCTTTTGTCAAAAGCAAGCCCAAGACCTGATAGCTTCAGTGCTGAATTCTACCAACATTTAAAGAGAACTAACACCATTTATTCTCAAACTATTCCAGAAAATTGAAGATGGGAGAGTACTTCTGAACTCATTTAATGAGGCCAGCATTACCCCAATATCAAATCAGACAAAAACGTCACCACCACAACAAAACTACAAGCCCTGATGAGCATAGATGCAAAATTCTCAACAAGATATTAGCAAACCAAATTTCAAAGCAGATTAAAAAGATTGTTTACTATGATCAAGTGGAATTCATCCAAGGAAAGCAAGGATAGTTTGACACATGTAAATAAATAAATATAACATACCATATTAACAGAAAAAAAGACAAAACCTATATGATCATTTCAATAGATACAGAAAAATTATTTAACAAAATTTAACACTCTTTTTATGATAAAAACTCTCAGCAAATTAGCTATAGAATGTATCTAATATCATACTGAACAAGGATAAGCTTATTCCTTATCAGGAATAAGATAAGGTTGCCCAGCTTTACCACTTTTTTTCAACGTGGTACTGGAAGTTCTAGTCAGACCAATTAGACAAGAGAAAGAAATAAAAAGAATTTAAATTGGAAAGGAGGAAGTTAAATATCTGTTTGCAGGTAACATGACCTTATATGGAAAAAAACATGACCACCAAAATACTAATAGAAGTAATAAATTTTGTAAAGTTGCAGTATGCAAAGACAACATACAAAAATCAGTAGCATTTATATACACTAATAGTAAAATATCTGAAAGATAAATCAAGAAAAAATTTATTTACAATAGCTACAAAAAATAAGATCTAGGAATACACTTAACTAAGGAGGAAAAATATTTCTACACTGAAAACCACATAACACTGTGAAAGAAATTAAAGAGGGCACAAATAAATGGAAAAATAGTCCATATTCATAGATTGGAAAATTTATTGTTAAAATGACTGTACAACACACAATGGTCAATTTAATGCAATCCTATCAAAATGCCAATAACATTCACAGAAAAAAAATTATAAAATTCATGTGGTACCACAAAAGACCTTAAATCACCAAAGGAATCCTGAACAAAAAGAACAAAACTGGGGATATAATGCTGTCTGATTTTGAAATATAGTATAAAACTATAATGATCAAAATAGCATGATATTGGCATAAAAATAGACACACTGACCACTACAGCAGAGAGCCCAGATATCAATTCACATATCTACAGTCAAATGATTTTTGATAAAGATTTTAATAACACATACGGGGGAAAAGGCGGTCCCGTCAATGAATAGTGCTGGGAAAATTGGATATCCACACACAGAAGGATGAGAATAGACCCCTACTGCTCACTGTATTAAAAAAAAATGGATGAAAAACTTTAATGTAAAACCTGAAACTCTTGAAACTACTAGAAGAACACATAGGGAAATGCTTCATGACATTGGGCTGGGCAAGAAATTTTAATATAAGCACAGGCAACAAAAGCATTAATAGGCAAATGAGATTACATTAAACTAAAAATCTTCACAGCAAAAGATGTAATTATCCGAGTGAAGGGACAATCTACAGAATGAGAGAAGCTATTTGTATACGTCTGACAAGTAGTTAATATTCAGAATACATAAGAAACTTAAACAACTCTGTAACAACAACAACAACAACAAAAACCCCCAAATAACCTGATTTTAAAATGGGTGAAAGATGCTCATAGACATATCTGAAAAAATATATATAAATGCCCAACAGGCATATGAAAAATACTCAACTAATCAGCAAGGAAATGCAAATCAAAGCCACAATGAGATACTATCTCACTCCAATTAGAATGGCTATGATCAAAAAGATATGAAAACAAGTGTTTGTGAGAATGTGAAGAAAATAGAACATTTACACAGTGTTGGTGGGATTGTAAACTAGTACATCCATGAAATAAAACAGTATGGAGTTTCCTTTTGTTTGCTGGTTTTTGTTTGTTTGTTTGTTTTTAATCAAACTTATGGAAAAGGTACAAGTAGGTTACAAAGAATTTTCCTTCCTGAACCATGTGAGGGTCAGTTGCTGATCGTCTCCTGCCTGCCCACGATACAGACACTGAATAGGAAGTCAGCATGGGCATAGTACTCCCAGCTGGTCCTCAGGATGGTGTCATGTCCTCTAGGAAAAGGATCCAGTTCGGGATCATGAGTTGCATTTGGTTGTCATCTCTTTGGTCTCCTTCTGACTGGAAGCTTTTTGACTTTCAGGATGTGGACACTTTTGAAGTGTTCTGAATTTATAGAATGTTCCTCTGTTTGGCTGGTGTTTCCTCATGACTGAATTCAGGTTAAGCATCTTTGGCAGGAGTGTGACAGCAGTGACACTCTTGGGTGGCACATACTTTCAAGGGGCCCATTATTGATGTGCATTTTTACCACTTGGTGAAGATGGTGTCTGCTGGGCTTCTCCAGTGTGACTTTCCCTTTCTAACTAAACAGTGTTTTGTGGGGGACTCTCAAAATCTGTAAATACCCCATTCCTCAGCAAACTTTCAGATCAATTCATATGTATTGATATGAGCATGTAGTTCCCTATAAAAGGCTGTACTGTATTCCATTAATAGTTAATTGTTTTGATGCTCAGATTGTCCCAGATTTGGCCAGTGGAAGCCCCTTCACATAGGCTCCTGTATCCTTAAAAAATTAAAAATAGAAACATCATATGATCTAGCAATCCCACTGTTGGGTATATATACACAAAAGAAAGGAAATCAGTATTTTGAAAAGATATCTGCATTCCCATGAGTTTATTGCAACATATTCACAATAGCAAGCTATGGAATCAACCTACTGTCCAAAAACAAATGAATGAGTTTTTAAAATGTGGTATATTTACACAATGGAATACTATACAGCCATAAAAAAGAATAGAATTGTGTTATCATGACAACATGGCAGAACCTGGAGAATATCATGTTAGGTAAAATAAGCCAGACACTGAAAGACAAATACTATATGATCTCAGTCATATGTAGAATCTAAAAAAAAGTTGATATTATTGAAGCAGAGAGTAGAACAGTGGTTACCAGAGACTGGAGAGGCAAGGGGAGAGGCAAGAATTGGGACAGGTTGGTCAATGCATACAAAGTTACCATTAGGTAAGAGGAATAAGTTCTGGTGGTTTTTTGTTGTTGTTGTTGTTGTTGTTTTTGAGATGGAGTCTCGCCTTGTCGCCCAGGCTGGAGTGCAGTGGTGCAATCTCAGCTCACAGCAAGCTCCGCCTCTCGGGTTCAAGCAATTCTCCTGCCTCAGCCTCCTGAGTAGCTAGGACTACAGGTGCCTGCCACCACGCCTGGCTAATTTTTTGTATTTTTAGTAGAAACTGGGTTTCACAGTGTTAGCCAGGATGGTCTCGATCTCCTGACCTCGTGATCTGCCTGCCTCGGCCTCCCAAAGTGCTGGGATGACAGGCGTGAGCCACCGCGCCCGGCCAAGTTCTGGTGTTTTATTGCAAAGTAGAGTGATGAAGGTTAACAGTAAGATATTGTAATGTTACAAAATAGCTAGAAGTGATGCTTTTGAATGTTCTCACAACACAGAAATCATAAATAATGAATGAGGTGGTGAATATACTAACCACCTTGTTTTGATCATTACGAAACATATATATGTATCAAAATGTACAACTGTACTGTGTAAAGATGAAGAACTATGATGTGTAAATTAAAAAAGAACCTGTAGAGCTCTGTTTTCCATCTGATACAACCTTGAATATATGAATAGCTACGATGAGCTTTCTCTTTCATTATGACCATGAAGTGTGAACCAGAAATCAAGTTTTACTGGTTTTTGTTCTAATATTTTGATTTTGGTTGCTGCCACAAAATGATATAGTTTATTTTTCATGATACATATATTGACTGATTTGAAAATGTATTCTTGGCACATTGTCCCACTGAAAGGCAGGTTAGAAAATATGTACCATATGATTTCATTTATCTGTGTGTGGCAGAGGCAGGGTTAAGAGAGTTTGAAAGGGTTAAAAGTAGCTGTCAGTGAGTAGGTGAAATTATGTTTTCTTTCTTTCTTTTTATTTTTGTTGATGTTTTATATTTTTTCTATAGTAAACATACTTTTATAATAATGAAGATAAATTACTGAACTAATATACCAAGTATCCTCCTCACCGTAGTTTTGCCCAGCAGATCACAACAAACACAGTCTGTACTGGTCAGTCATTGGCACATCTGATCCGTGGCATTTTCTTACATCACAAGTTCTTGGAAAAGTTTTGGCAAAAGGGGCAGTGCAAATAACCCTCAATCCTGGAAACCTATGCAATATGTTATTTTTCCTTTCTGGTTAGTAAATACTGGAATCCAAATACTATTTTTTAAATCATTAAAGCTAAGAGTTTTTTTTGTTTGTTTGTTTTTTGTTTTTTTGTCAACCAGCTTCAGCTGAATTGCCTGCTACTTCCATTTACTGACAGCATATAAATAAATGCGTGTATGGTGGCCATAAGGACAAGTTGTGGCAGAACATCTCGTACCCAGGCAGAGAGGCTAATCTTGGTGGAGTTGTTGACATCCTGTGTGACCTTGTGTGAATCATTTGACCTCTGTTTCTGCCTGTCTTTCCTCTTCAAAAAATGGGACACATAACAAAAGCTTGATTTGGAGACTAAACTCGAGCAAGAAAAGAAGTTTATATTATAGTAACAAATACAAATGAATAAGCTCAAGAAACAGGAAACAATTAAGTTTGACATTAGGAAAATAATTATTCACAAATGGAATGATAGTGGTTTTGGATATGGGACTTACCTAGAAATTCTAGAGGTTTTTAGTAAATGCAGATCTGACCTACAATGAGTATTTTAAGTAGATTCAATTTTTGAAGCAATTTTTTCTTTTCTTTCTTTCTCTGTCTCTCTCTTTTTTTTTTTTTTTTTGAGACGGAGTCTTGCTCTGTGGTGCGACCTTGGCTCAATGCAACCTCTGCCACCTGGGTTCAAGCGATTCTCCTGCCTCAGCCTCCTGAGTAGCTGGGATTACAGGCATGCACCACCACACCCCGCTGATTTTTGTATTTTTTAGCAGAGACAGGTTTCAGCACCTTGGCCAGGCTAGTCTTGAACTCCTGACCTCATGATCCACCTGTCTCAGCCTCCCAAAGTGCTAGGATTAGAGGCTTGAGCCACCACGCCCGGCCTGAAGCAATTTTTTTCTACTCACACAGATTTAAAACAAAGAAGATTTTTTATTGTTTCATTTAAATTATTTTCAAAAGATGCTTGGAGTTGAACACTGTCATTTTTTCCAGTATTTTTTCATTTATTTCTAATATTAAGATGCCAGTGATAGAAAAATTTATTACTTAAGATTTATCGGGTGATCACGATGTTTCCAGAAACTGTGCTAGATTCATTCACTTGGTAACCTAGCAAATATCTGTTGAGTGCCAACTACGTTAGACTCTCTGAATTAACTACGCACTTCCAGCTGCTGTGAGAACCAATCTATGCTGTGATATAAAGACGGTATTTGCATTGAAGAAATTTCCCATCTAAGTGAGAGAACAAATGGAGAAAATAAGCCATTTAACTTCAGGGCAAGAACAGAAGTTCACACTTGCACTAATGCAGGTGAGAAGAGATGTGATGAGAGCGTGGACCACAATAACCTTTACAAAGGACACAGAAGAGGGAACAAATTCGTATCTGCTTTAGATACTTGATCTCTCTCGAGTTGGTGGTCAAGGGAGTGGGACAGGGAAGGAATGGAGAGTTTTGTCCTGGGTAATCTTCATTAATACAGATTGTGAATGAGAATGTTGGGAAATTGAAGGGGTGTTCAACTAATTTGGGTTATTTTAAATTTGGGACGTATATTAAATACAGAAGGTCACTGAAACACTTGAATATAGGATTCTGGAAGCACAAAGTTTGGTCTGTCCTAGATACAAAAGGTACTTGAGTATAAATACTTGCTGGAAATTTCTATTTTTGTTTCTTGTATTTGGCTATGGATAAATTCTTCTTTGGGAATACAGAGACAGAGTAGAGACTCACGAAGAACTATTCTGCTGGTAATTCTTTATGTTTTAATAGTCTGTTTTGGTGGGATAAGCAGAAGGTTTACAGTAACAAGGTCAAATTCAAATAAACTTTTACTTGCAGGATAAATGACCATGAGGAAATAAATTTCTCCAGGATTCCGATTTCTCATTGGTGAAATGAACCAAAGACTGTCCATTTTCATTTTTAGACCTCATGTTTCTTATTCAGAAAAAAAAAAAGAAATTAAAGCAACAATTTGCTTAAGCCATTAACTTTCCAGCTGCACTTGGATTTAGGGCTGGCAGATTGTTTGCATCTTGAGAATCTGCACTTCTAGTATGAAGTCAAAGAGGAAATCCATATTATTACTTATAAAGTCAAATCCAATTTATATATTTGACTGTTGACTCCAATTGTCTGGCAATTTCAGGTAGATGCAGTTTGGTTATTCTGTCTGAATTTGACTTAATTTTTCTTGAGGGTCACAAAGGTACCATAAGTGTGTTTTATTCTGTAAGATATAAAGGGCAGTTATTCAAACAAAAAAGATCTATAACCAGATCCTGGAGCATGCGTATTTCCACAGGGTTTTCTTCAATTTAGAGATAAAGTGAAGCTCTCAATTTACCAGTTAAAGTAATTTACATCTGATATTAGAGCGGTAGTCTCCAGGGGCCCTTGGTTATTTATTTAAAACTCTTATATCCTCTTTTCCCCAACATTTTTCTCCTTACATTTTTCTTTTTGATCTCATTCACTTGTAAAGTAATGTGGGAAAGTGTCACTTCCTCTCCATTCTAATACTTTTTAACAAGCTTGTACTATCAATACAGTTTCTGTTTATTTATGCAGTCTTATTAACTCATTTATTCAAGCAATATTTATTGAATACCTACTAAGTGCTAACAGGCTGCTGTGCTGGTGCTGAGGATGTAATGATAATAGATAATTACGTGGCCCCCTGCCTCCGCCCCCGTGAAATTTCCAGTCCAGCCCTCCCAGCGAGTCTGAAAGTGCAGTTCATTTTGTAACTGACATAGCTGAATGATCAGTAGTCAGGAAAGGGGAGGAAAGCTGCATGTACCATCTGTCCTGAAAACTGCAGGGGAATTTTAGGGAAATCAGACGTAATCACAGATTATATTTAGAATAGGATTGAACAGAGAACATTAACTTAAGGTCATAACATCCCTTGTAGGCATTTATTCACTGTTGTGACATGACTTTATTAAAGCACTTAGAATAACAGACAAAATTAAGTCTTAGTTTTTGTAAGATTAAAAGTTGAGTAGAAAAAGCAAATATAGGTTGGCATGATATTTCTACGTATAGTATTGCTGAAAGTGTTCATTTTATAAGGATGCTCTCAAGTAAAGGGTTTCTTAAGAGTAGGGTTATAATCCAAAACTGGGATGATATTCTAGATCAATTTAAGCAAAAATGAAATTGAATAAATATTAATGAATTGTCAAAAACAACTTTATTCTGTATACTCTGCTTGCTCTTATGAACATGACTGTATTCAAGTACCTTATGAAATATTTTGTTTTCACCCAATTTCTTATGTCAAATACACCATAAGTTTTGAAAATGGAGATGGTAAAAGCTACTTTTTAATGATCAAAATGTATCTTATCAGGAAATTATTGACCTGCACTTCATTGTGTTGAGCTGAATAAGAATGATTCCAAATCTTGATTTCTCCCTCTAAAAACATTTATCATTCATTTTCTTAATATGATTTTTTAAAAGAAAGACACTAAACTTTCTTGAAAATAAACTAAAATGATTGTTAACAATAAACAATTAGATAACTTAAGTGAAGTAGGGTCTTCTAGGTGGGCAAATGACAATGCGTAAATAATCAGTTCTGGGACAGGATAAGGAGAGGGAGCTGGGCCTTAGGGACTGCATGGTTCATATTTATAGTTGAAGGTTCTGAGGAAGCTCACAGATGTGATCTTTATTAATCCCAATATTTTATTTTATACCTGAATTTATAATTGGGTCTTAAAATCAAATGAGATGTCATTGCATGACCATCTGTTGTTTCAAAAATAAGAGGCACACTCAGATGTTGTCAATGGCCACTTTAAAAAGATGAATTCTCATGTTCCAAAGCTGTTTTTGAAATATTTTCAGAAAATTTTTCATTTTAATAGAAAGAAAAATTATGAATGTAAGTGGAAACATTCCAACAGCCTTCTGTCTACTGCTTAGAATAAATAAATGGCAAGATATGTTTTATTTCCTAGTGCCCTTCCTCACTCACTCACCACCCCATCGTGGTGCTCATGACGATTTGAGTTTTTAGATGATAGAAAGACTGCAGTCTTCCATGCTCAGGCCCAGCCTAGAAGTCAACAACATGGCAGAGAGTGGATACCATTTTGTTCCCAGAGGCAGCCCCTTTATAGGCATTAGTGGTGACATATCTGGCAGGGGGCTGGGTTGAGAGATTCTACATCATGTATGCATGGTGTGATTGGCAGGATGTCTGGAAGGATTATAGTGTCTCATTTTCTAGATCTGCCAATCTGACATCGGGCCAAAACATGGGAAAATAGAGGCAAGGATGTTTTCTACCTTGTTTTGATTTTCTTTAACATACACCAAATAATTTTATAGCAATCATTTTATTTTGTCCTCTGAATTGTGCTGTAATTATTTCTGAGCTGTTTATCAAGTTATGCAAACATGTGTGCATATAGATTTTTTATTTATGGCTACCTAAAATTTATGGATGTATATACATACCATATATAATCTTGGTATTACATATGTGTATGTGTATGTATGCATACACACATGCATACAAGCAATTCAATACCATGAAAGCAATAATCCCAAATAAAAACACATTCCCAAAGCATGACTTGTCATTCTTTATTCATTTGTCATTGTAACTCAAATATGAATTCAGGTTTCTAAAACCAAAAGACTCAGTACAGAAACCCAGGGTATCATGTGCAGGGGTGGGGGTGAAATGTTCTGTTCATTCTGACCTGAGGGCTGGTTGCACCTGTCAGAAGACCTCAATTTTAACAGAGCTAACATCCATAACTAGTATGTAGCTTTCAAATCCCAAAGCCTGCATGTTCCTGAATCACACCATTAAATTCCCCAGGAGAGATCCCCTTGAATGGTGTTCTGCTTTAATGGAGGAAATTTCTGCCGATCACAAGTTTAAGGAATAACCATTTTCTCTTGGTTCCACCTTCCCTACCTTCTTTTACCTATCTGTCATGCCTGGATAGGCCATTCTTCGTTTGAATGTCTAAACAAAGCATAGAGGAAAAACATTTAAAGAAATAAAAAGGAGGGTAACCATTCCAGCAATTTCTCATCGGAACTTTAATGGTATATCTGTGAAAAAGTAATAAATGGGCTATAGTTCATTAGGCAAGAATAAATTTCCCTCCATAATTTTATCTTTGTTTAATTGAATATTTAATTAGTATAAATATAAAACTAATTTTTGAATGTGTTCAGTACATTTAGCAAGAAGACTTGGTGCTGAGCTCTGTAGAGAAGCACTTCTGCAGATGCAGACAGCCACCGTGCCCTCCGTGTCCTCCTCGGTGTGCTGATAGAAGTGAGTGGGTCATTTGGCATTAGCAAAGGAGTAAGTTCGCATTTGCACTGAGCTGGATCTTGCCAGACTGTGCATATTGGAACCCGCAGACAGAGGCTGCTTTCACGTTGATGAATGGGTTTTTTCAAGCGTTCTGCTCCCTAGTTATGAGAAGGGTGACCCGGTCAGGAGACAACTTTATGAAGCTATAAAAAATGTATGTCACTTTGGACTCTCTAATGTCACAGGGAAGGGGAAAAGAAATCTGTGCAAAAATGGCAGGGTAATAAGGCTGTTTTCAATGCTCGAAATAGCTTTCTGTCTACAGTCACATGCAGCCCGAAACCCGGGCCATAGAGGGTGTCCTGGATGCATTGTTGTTGAATAGATTAGGAAAAAACAAAATACACATATATATATATATACACATATATATATATATAGCTTTGTTTGGCTTTTCTTGCCTTCACAAAAATGCTTATGGTGATGACAATAAGACATTTCAAAATGCAGGTCTGGTGGTTCTGTGTCAGCACTAGGAAAGGTGCAATGTCTTTTTAAAAGCAAGCAATCTACTCAAGGTGGTGATGACTTTTAAGTATGCAGAGAAGCCAGAAAGGGAGGCACTACAAAGCAAACACATTTTGAAAGGGGTCTTTTCATCTAATATTTTATAAAGTCTTTCCTCTGTATCACAAAGATGTTTCTTTTTTTTTTTTTAAAGGGAGGTTTTCCAGGTACACTTACCCCTTATGCTTTCCGTTGAATACTCTGGGGTTTACAGATAGGGACATGTCAATTTCAACAAAAGCAGCCCTCTGTAGACCCATAATTTAGCATTCATTGAACTATTTCATTACTCTCATCAATATGCATATTTCCCAGTATCAGGTGCTTTCCTTTTGGATATGTCACGCATTTCATAACTCATGTTCAGATGTTAATTTACACAAGATAGGGAACCACGGGAGCAAGGTCAGAGGTTTTGCCTTTATTAGGGCTTCAGTTAGTCACAGGTGAACTTTGGAAAGTCTCAACTGGATTCAAACAACTGGGTGAATCTTACAACAGTGGAGCATCCCCTTCCAAATCCAGATACACTTTGTCATTCCTTTTCTGGAACTTTAAACTTTCCCCATTAACATACCTGGAAAGAGGAAAAATATGTAAAAGGCTATGAGCTCAATATTCCAGTTATAGCAAATGTGAGGCTCATAGATAGTTCTGAAGAGAGAGGGAGAGAACTGAATTTTTCACCCGTGGACACTAATGTGATATTTCTTTATCTTTTCCTCATGAAGATGTATGACTATCAGGTAGCTTTCTAGCCCCGGCCATGGATGTTGATTTTGCTTGCACTGGTCACTATGCTTTGCAGTATGCAATCTCTCCATTCTGCCCAAACTGACCCAAAGCCCATGAAATACCATGCTCTAAGAATATTCCCCCAAATGGGAAACTACTTTGTGCAACAACAAAACCACTCAACGAAGTCCGCTTTCCTGAAGAAATAGGAGTATTAGACTCATACAAGGAGCTGGCAGTTAAGCAGGCAGAGAGAAAAGAGAGACAGGAAAATGCTGAATCATAGGGAGGCAGAGACTACTGAGATTGCTGCCTGCACCAAAACAAGTTATGGCATCAGAGCACATTCCAGGCCTCCCCAGGACCTCACTAATTAACAGCTCATTCTGACCTCCCTGGGAGTTATAAAACTCCATCACCTGGAAAGTCCTGAGCTGTTTTCTCTTTGCTGCCTGAGTGAGCTGACCTAATACAAGAGCATATGTTCATATTTTAAAAAGAGGCCTCATCCTACTAAACAGTATTTTTGAACTTTACATTAAAAGCAATCCAGAAATAAAAGGGGAACAGACCTATACTTGTCTTTAAAGTATTTTAAAGAAGAGAGTAAATATGTACTCAATGGAGGCTTAAGATGCAAGTTAAGATGGGAGACCCTGCCGGGCACAGTGGCTCATGCCTGTAATCCCAGCACTTTGGGAGGCTGAGGCTGGTGGATCACAAGGTCAGGAGATTGAGACCACCCTGCCTAACAAGTTGAAACCCAGTCTCTACTAAAAATACAAAAAATTAGCCTGGTGTAGTGGCACATGCCCGTAGTCCCAGCTACTCAGGAGGCTGAGGCAGAGAATCACTTGAACCCAGGAGGCAGAGCTTGCAGTGAGCTGAGATCGCACCACTGCACTCCAACCTGGGCGACAGAGTGAGACCCCATCTCAAAAAAAAAAAAAAAAAAAAAAGAAGACCCATGAGGTAAAAGAAAATAAAAGCAGATTCATTAAAATTGCAGTGGACGCTGATATAAGAGGGAGATCCCGTGGCATTTTCAGTCCCGGATCTCATCGGCCCAACGTATTATCATGGTTTAATATCATATGAAGGGTGGGTGAGCAAGGAGCACCCTCTGCCCAAGAAACAGGCAAAAAGGGGGTGCATTGTCTGTAAAGAATCTTAAAAGAATCATAAAACTGACTAAAGTAGATCTTTTTATTAACACAACCATTCCCTCCCTATCCTCAACCCTCAGAACTCTATTGCTATTTTGCACGGTGAAGAATGTGAGTCTTCACAGTATAAAATGGAGAAGTTCTTGAGTAGAAAATTTGTGACTTTTCAGCCTCAAGAAATCAGAAGGTCTAACTTTGTCACAACAAATGCTCCCAAGAGAACTCTGAAGACAGATATTTAGTGTGAGGTTTCATTTTTTCTAAGTACCCACGCTCTCCAAGTCTTTTAGTCGATAGCATAAAACAGATATTTTCTCAAGAAAAATTCCGCATCACTTAAGAATTTATTAACAATTTACATAATTGCTTAAGTAATCTGCATAATTGACAGAAAGTTTAATATGACCCTAGTTCAACTGTAACACTTACGGTTTTAAACTGAAATTGGTATAATTCATTTATGAGAGTAATTAAGCCATGGTGTCTAACAAATACATCGCATGCTGCCTGAGGCCCCCAAGACCAGAACATGCTATTAGAATGTTTTATTTAAATATGTCAAATCTGTTCATCTCCACAGTCACCCATGTTAAACTAGAGCAAATGGTTTATTTGACCTTGAGCTTCGTGCTTTTGAGAAAAGGGTATTTGAGGCACATAATTCAACTGTTTTTCTAGACAAATCCACAAGCCAAAGTATCTAAGAAAAGGCTAAGATTTACTTATATTTTACTTCTGGAAAGTGTTCACATTCTACGATAATCACAAAAGTTCTTAGACGTATATTTTTGTAGTAGCAAGACCAAGTAAAAAACCCCAAGATAATGAATTGCTGGGTTATAACAAGATGACTAATATTCACAAGTGTGAGAGAAGTGGCAGATCTATCTACCTTCCCTGAAATGCATACTTTTTATATTTAAATGCATAATTCATTCAACTAATTGAAGGGCACTCATCTCAAACAGAAAATAGTACTGCAAAGAGCCGCTGCATGTGCCTAGGGAAGGGCAAAGATTAATTTGACCAAGAGTTGGTGGCAGGTAACATCTCTTCACTTGGAAAACATCAGATCTCGACTTCACTTTGTTGCTGCCACCGGTGCAGCATTAGGGACCTAAAGAATACAGATGAGGGCCAGCCTTCAGTGGCATGGTTACATAGACAGAGTCGCTCTTGGGCACACTCAAGGTGTATCGTTTTGCAACATTCCCATGAATATTCCAAAGAAAATCCTATAATGCAGCCTCGTGCTTGAATGCTTGACACCAGACTCCAACACTGCAGGCATCTTCATTCCCTCCCCTGTTCTGTCCCTAGCACTTTTTTTTTTTTTTGAGACGGAGTCTCGCACTGTCGCCTCAGCTGGAGTGCAGTGGCGCGATCTCAGCTTACTGTAGCCTCCACTTCACAGATTCAAGCGATTCTCCTGCCTCAGCCTCCCGAGTAGCTGGGACTACAGGGGCCCGCCACCATGCCAGGCTAATTTTTTGTACTTTCAGTAGAGATGGGGTTTCACTGTGTTGGCCAGGCTGGTCTCAAACCCCTGATCTCGTGATCCACTGGCCTTGGCCTCCCAAAGTGCTGGAATTACAGGCATGAGCCACCGCGTCTGGCTAGGACCTTTTTTTTTTTTTTTTTTTTTTTTTTTGAGATGGAGTCTAGCTCTGTCCCCCAGGCTGGAGTGCAGTGGATCGATCTCGGCTCACTGCAAGCTCCACCTCCCGGGTTCACACCATTCTCCTGCCTCAGCCTCCCGAGTAGCTGGGATTACAGGTGCCCACCACCACATCTGGCTAATTTTTTGTATTTTTAGTAGAGACGGGGTTTCACCATGTTAGCCAGGATGGTCTCGATCTCCTGACCTTGTGATCCGCTCGTCTCGGCCTCCCAAAGTGCTGGGATTACAGGCGTGAGCCACCGCGCCTGGCCCGGGACCTTTGTATTAATGTTCCTTTTTTCTCAGTGATCCTTCACTTTCTTGCTCAATTTTTTGATTGCCCTCATTTCTCATATTCTCTCATATTATTCACTTCCTTCTGAATCTAGATTCTCTACCCAGCCCTTAAGTTCCACCATTTAGTTGACAATTATAGTTATCATTCAATAAGAATTTCTCCAATGCCAAACACCGTGTGAGGTATTTGGCATAATTTATCTTATTTAATCATCATTGCAGCCCTGCAAAGTATGTTTATTGTGAAGATGAGAAAATAGAGACTTTAGAGGAGTTAAATGACATGCCCAAAGTGTCAAAACAGCCTCAGTGGCTCCATGATCTTGTGACCATATACGCACTTGGAGAATTCTATTCTTTTACATAACATCTGTGATTATGACATCATTTCCATTTTATTGTAAAATAAAATAATAATAGTAATAATTGCCATTATAGTAATTTAAACAAATACAAATAGGGAAAACCACATAAAATAAACTTATAGCTTAATAAATTGTTGTAAGTTGAACAGCCTTCTATGTAACATCCTTGTTGACAAATAGAATATTGGTCAGCCACACAAGAAATCCCTTCTCTGTATCCGGTCCCAGTCACAGTCTCTCTCCCACACCACCACATCATTACACCACCTTCTGAATGATAAGGATTACTTCTTTGCATTTCTTTATAGTTTTATCATCCAAGTGGGCATCCTTACATACTATAGTTTAATTTCTTTTAAAATTCTATGTCTTTTAAACTTCTTTTAGCCTATTGGTTTTCTTTCTATCTCTTATTCTTATGGTAAGCTATTGAAGACTTACAGTTTCCCACAGTCTACATGTTGCGGATTGCATATTCACAGTATGGTATTTCAGGCTCCCATGTCTCTGAATTTTTTGAAAAGTGTCAATTGAAGCCACAGACTTGACGAGAGTCAGGATTGGTTCCCTTGGCAAGAGTGAAAGTGGTACTCTGCTCTTTTGACAAAAGGCTTCTAGTCTCTTCTTGTCTTTTTGTGATGTTACCAATCATTGATGCGCAATGTCTAGATCCATTCATTCACTGGAGATTTACAATTTGAGAGCTATCCTAATTTATTATTTATTTATTTATTTATTTATTTGAGACAGAGTTTCGCTCTTGTTGCCCAGGCTGGAGGGCAATGGCGCGATCTCAGCTCACCGCAACCTCCGCCTTCTGTTTAAAGTAATTCTCCTGCCTCAGCCTCCCGACTAGCTGGGATCACAAGCATGTGCCATCACTCCTGGCTGATTTTGTATTTTTAGTAGAGATGGGGTTTCTCCATGTTGTCAGGCTGGTCTCAAACTTCCGACCTCAGGTGAACTGCCCACCTCGGCCTCCCAAAGAGCTGGGATTATAGGCGTGAGCCACAGCACCCAGCTCTTTCATTTATTTTTTATGTGTTATCTAAAATATTCTTTATAAAGAGATATTTTTCCTTTGGTCATGTAATGGAATCATTCATGTAGTAAGGCAGGATGAATGCTTGAGTCTTTATCACTTTATATAAAATGAATATGTTCTTATCATTCTTTTGAAACAACGAATTAGTTTGTTTTTAATATCCCTATGAACTAAGGCATTTAAAACCATTTGATGGCTTTCAGTCCATTGTAATTATTATCTTTGCTGATGCTCACATTTTCACATCTTTTGCAGTGTGAGTTTTTAAAAATTGGCTCTTTAGTCCCTTTGACACAATGTTGGTAATATTTAGTGAACTTTGATAACTTTTATGCTATTTGGTAAGGCAAAATGTTTAAGGCTTATATTATATATTTCTTGCCCTAATCTGGAATCAGCCATTTCTCCTTTAGTGGGTGTTATGAATTTAATTGTTTCCACCCCAAATTCATGTGAAGTCCTAATCCCAATGTGGCTGTATTTAGTGATAGGGCCTACAGGGAGGTAATTCAGGTTAAATGAGGTCATAAAAGTGGGATCCTGATACAACAAGATTAGAGTCCTTGCAAGCAGAGGAACAGACACCAGAGATCTTTCCCTTTCTGTAAGGCCACCTAAGGATGCAGTGAAAAGGTGGCCATCCACAAGCCAGGAAGAGAGCCCTCACCAGAAACCAAGTCTGCTGAAACCTTGATCTGAGACTTCCAGACTCCAGAACCACGATAAAAATATATTTCTGTTGTTTAAGACCCTCAGTTTGTGGGACTTTATTATGGCAGCCCTCACAGACAACCACAGTGGGAAAAGGTATTTCAATACAGGATCTGTGTATTCAAGATAATTACTGCTCCTGGGATGGTCACTGTTTCAAACCCTATTCAGAGGACAGAGCTAGGCCAGCTGGATAGATATGTAGATAGCTAGCTAGCTAGCTAGATAGATAGATAGATAGATTGAAAATATATCAATTCATATTGATAATTCTAATTAAAATTCAGCACTACAAGATTTTACTTAACTGATCTTTGCTATTACATCATGCCACCTTTTTTACAGAACAAAAATTCTGGCTCCTAAGGGTATAAGAAATGATAGAAGTGGGCTGGGTGTGGTAGCTCATGCCTGTAATCCCAGCAATTTTGGAGGTCAGGTGGGTAGATTGCTTGAGCCCAGAAGTTCAAGACCAGCGTGGGCAACATGGCAAAACATCGTCTCTACCAAAAAAAAAAAAAAAAAAAAAAAAAAAGAGAAAGGTGAAATTCCCTAGATTTACTACAAATATTACCAACACTCATATGATTACTGAAAACAGTAAATATTTTTGCATATGTTCTCACTTTCCCCAGATTTTATTTTTATGGTGGTACTGCTTTTATAATATTTGAGCATATTTTCATGACATACTACACTTTCTGCTTTTTAACTCTCATGCAGTCATGGTTATCAAATAACTGCATATTTAATGCTCACAGCCAGTCTTACATCAGCACCTCTCTAGTCGTTTTAGATATTTCAAAACTAGTTGCTAGTATATTCATCAGGAAGATTTTATAAAAAATTTTCTGAGTTCTTGCATGTTGATAAAAGGTAATTTATCCCTCTTATTATATGTATTTAAAAGGTAATTTCTCTGGAAATTTTTCGACTTTTGAATATTTCACCCCATTTTCCTCCGAAATAAGCATTGATTTAAAAATCATAATCTTATTTTTTTCTTATGTGACTTTCAGTATTTTCGTTTTTAATTTGATTTCTCTATTTATTCTATATTTCATGTATTTTTAAAATATGTTAACCTTCTTTTGAAATAGTAGAATATAAATGGAATCTCTTTGGTGAGCAGATCTTTCTGATATACTTTGTCTATAGGAATGCTGTTATCTTTCTTGTTAACTTTTTTCCTCTCTGCATTGCATGATCTTTGAACTAGATAAATTTGTATTATTTACTTTTATGTGACAGTGATTTTATGAACATTCAGAAGGAGGTGCAGTATATATCTGCTAAGAGTCCAGTATCCAAAATATATAAAGAATACTTAAAACTCAATAACAAAAGAGACAAGCAACCTTATTTAAAAATGGGCAAATGGGCTGGGCCTGGTGGCTCACCCCTGTAATCCTGGCACTTTGGGAGGCCGAGGCGGGTGGATCACGAGGTCAGGAGATCGAGACCATCCTGGCTAACACGGTGAAACCCCGTCTTTACTAAAAATACAAAAAATTAGCTGGGCGTGGTGGCGGGCGACTATTGTCGCAGCTACTCGGGAAGCTGAGACAGGAGAATTACGTGAACCCGGGAGGTGGAGCTTGCAGTGAGCCGAGATCGATCCACTGCACTCCAGCTTGGGCGACAGAGCAAGACTCCATCTCAAAGAAAAAATGAAAAAATAAAAAAGAGCAAATGTGACTTCAAACTACACTACAATCCTAAAGTAATCAAAGCAGCATGACAGCATGATGCTGGCACAAAAACTGACACGGAGACCAATGGAACAGGTTAGAGAATCCAGAAATAAAGCTGCAAACTGACAACCATCTGATCTTTTACAAAGAAAACAAAAACAAACCACGGGGAAAAAACTCCTAGTCAGTAAATGTTACTGAGATAACTGGATAGCCCTATGCAGAAGATTCAAACTGGGCCCCTACCTTATACCATATAAAAAAATCAATCCAAGATGGATTAAAGATTTAAATATAAAACCTGAAACTACAAAAGGAAATAAAGAAACAGAAGAAAACCTAGGAAATACCATTTTGGATATCATCCCTGGCAAAGATTTCGTGACAAAGACTCCAAAACAATTGCAATGAAAACAAAAATTGACTAGTTGGGCCTAATTAAATGAAGAGCTACTGCACAGCAGAAGAAACTATCAACAGAGGAAACAGAAAACCTACACAATGGGAGAAAAAAATTCACAAAGTAGGCATCTAACACAGGTCCAATATCCAGAATTGATAAGAAAGTTAAACAAACAACAAGCAATAAACAAATAATCTCATTTAAAAAAACAGGCAGAAGATATGAACAGACACTTCTCAAAAGGTATACAAATGCCAACAAACGTATATGCTTATCATCACTAATCATCAGAGAAATGCAAATCAAAACCACAATGAGATACTATCTCACACCAGTCAGAATAGCTATTATTGAAAAGTCAAAAAATAACAGATGCTGGAAAGGCTTCAGAGAAAAGGGAACACTTATACACTGCTGGTGAGACTGTAAACTAATTCAGCCACTGTGTAGAGGGGCTTGGAGACTTTGCAGAGAACTTAAAACAGAATTACCATTTGACCCAGCAATCCCATTATTAGATATATACCCAAAGGAATATAAATCATTCTTCCATAAAGGCACATGCACACATATGTTCATTGCAGCCCTATTTATAATAGAAAAGACATGGCATCAACCTGAATGCCCATCAATGGTGAACTGGATAAAGAAAATGTGGTACATATGCCCCATGGAATCCCACACAGCCATAAAAAAGGAGATCATGTCCTTTGCAGGAGCATGGATGCAGCTGGAGGCCATTATCCTAAGTGAATTAAGACAGAAATAGAAAATCAAATACCACATGTTCTCACGTATAAGTGGGAACTAAATATTGAGTGCATCTGAACACAAACAAGGGAACAATAGGCACTGGGGCCTACTTGAGGACGGTGGCTTGGAGGAGAGTGAGGATCAAAAAACTATCTATTTGGCACTATGCTTACTACCTAGATGATGAAATAATCTGTACAACAAACCCCCATGACATGCAATTTACGTATATAACACACATGCACATGTACTCCTTGAATTTAAAAGTTGGAAATTTTTTTTAAAAAAACTAAAACTAAAATAAAAATGAGCAAATTAATTGGATAGACATTTTTCCAAAGAAGATACACAAATGGCCAATAAGCACATGAAAAAATGTTCAAGATCATTACTCATTAGGGAAATGCAAATCAAAACTGCAATGGGATACCTCTTTTAGACCCACTAGATTTGTTACAACAACAAAAAATAGAAAGTACCGCATATAGGCCAGAATATGAGAAACTGGAACCCTCTTACATTGCTGGTGAGAATGCAAAAGATGTCACCACTGTGGAATACAGTTTGGTGGTTTCTCAAAAGCTTTCTCATAAAGGTTCTTGTAAGTTTTTGCTTTTGCCCTCTAGTTGCTCTGTTTATAATGAAGGAATTTTGGGGGAGTTGAAGAACTATGCCTCCTCGAAAGAAGATAATCCCTCTTTGCTCTTAGAATTTAGTGGAATCGTTTCTTTCCAAGTTTTTTCTTGCCTCTGCCATTCCTTACACAATTCCTCTCAAGTGTTGATGCTCATCAAAGCACAGTAATCATTTATATATGTTTAATATATGCATTTTTTCTTTTTTTCTATACATTTTCACATCTACTTTCCACTTGTTTCCTCGCATACACATCCCATTTTTATCATACTTGCAGTTTTCTGACTATATCATGCTCTTTAATTATACGCGAATGTGTTTAGCTATGACCTTAAACTTAATACTTTATCCCTCAAAGCTTTTTAAAGGAGAAGGAAAATTTGACAGCTAAGAGGACAATTGAATTCCACCTCAAATCCCAGTTCCAACACTTTTTTCTGGTAACCAAGGTTGCCAGAATTAGTTACTTAAATTGTATTAGTCTCTATTTAATCTGTAAGATGAGAACAATCATTTTCTATTAACAAAATCTATATGAATATTTCCTGGGTAAAAAGGAATTTACTCTTATTTTCAACTAGCTGTTCATAAGCACATCACATTAACACCAGGTATGCCAGGCTATGTATTGCCAGTTTAGACTATTGTATACCTTCTCTCTTCTCTCCTGTATTTTGGGGCTGAAAACATGGGAATCACACTTCCCAGAATCATTGAAAGCAAATCGGGTTTTAGAGTCTGTCAGAAAAATTAATTAAAATGCCACATATAATATTTGAAAGGAGGAAGTAAAGCAGAAACAGAGCTCTTCAACAGCACCTGGAAGGTAAGGGGCTTTGTTAGAAACAATCAGGGGTTAGGAACTGCTGATGGCTTACAGGAATTCTGCTAATCAACCACTTTAGTGCAGAAGGGTGCTGAGATTATTGGTGACTGTCTCCTATAGTTCCCACTACCTCTCAAACCTAAAATCAAATGGTGCTTCCCCTGAGATTTGTTTCCTTAAATCTTCTAAAGGTTTTGTAAGTAACTACAGTCATGCATAGCATAACGATGTTTCGGTCAACAACAGTATAGATGACTCAGGTCCCATAAGATTTAACACCATATTTTTATTGTACCTTTTGTACATTTAGATATGTTTAGGTACACAAATATTTTCCACTGTGTTATAATTGCCTACAATATTCAGTGCAGTTACATGTTGTACAGGTTTGGAGCCGATGTGCAATAGTGTGTAGTAGACTAAACCATCTACATTTATATAAGTAAGCACACTCTATAATGTGTGCACAATAATGAAACTGCCTAATGATGCATTTCCAGAAACATATCCCCATCCTTAAGTGATGCACAACTGTGTTTTCATCTAATATCTTCCAGCCTGGACCATCTAGGGAACTTTCTGTTTCTGAAAGAACCTCAAGAGGTACACGGAGCATGCTTTTCTTCTGCTGCTGGTACATTTCCATCAGCCTACATTTTACCAAACAGACCAGTTTTATTAACACTGGAAATCAACTGAAGCATGCGTTCCTCTTCTTTTGTGAATTCCACAAACTTTCTCAGGAATGCCTTAACAGCTACAGCTTCCCAGTTGGTGCTTTCATCAAAGCAGTTTCACATTTAAAAGGGCTTTGAACCTGTAAAACTTTCACTGTTAGTCTTTAAGTTCTCCAATAAATTCCCAGATTTCTTCAGAATTATCGTCAGAAAACCAGACATCCAGTGTTGAAACTGACCTTCTAGTCACACCCTTGGAGAGTTTTCTTTTTCCTTTTTGACAATCCCTTGTTTATGTATTTTTAAAATTACCATCTGTTGCACAGATTAACACATTTTATATGTTTTATGATGTGTTTTGTGTCCTTCAAAATATTTCTCATCATTTTTCAGCTTCAAATTATGTCCTGGAGGATTTCCACTTAAGAAAATATAGAGTAGACTTTTTAAAAAAATTGTCTCACTAAATACAACTGAAAGCCCTGGACATTATGTAGAGAACAAATAAAAGAAGACCCTGAAATGTCAGAGTGGAAGGTAGACAGGCTAGGAACCTCAGGGGAGCTCCCTGAGTTTCCTTTTTGCTTCATTATCATAAACCAGGAGCTAAAAGAAATGAGCGACCCGGAAATTCCAGAGGTCCAGAAAGTAAATCCTCCAACGAAGGCCTTATCTCTGTAACTACAGGACCAAAAAACGGGCAGCTTAGCAAGACATAAAAATAGTAGACAATAACCACACTACTACAGCCCAACGCCACAGTAAAATTGTGGCTTCCTTTCCTCCTAAGCCAGCGAAGCCCAGCTGGGCACCCTACACTTCCTCCTTCATGAGGCTCTGATAAGTGTCCAACACTTGCTGAAGTGATGTCAGAGAAGTTGAGCAAAAATCTGGGACTTTCATCTCCATGAGGTAGTAATGATGCTTCCTCATATGGTGTCAGTGAGAACACATAGGACCTGAAATTCCTCCCCCACTTGGCAATAATGAGGCACTTGTTCCTCTCCTTTATCAAGTGATATCAGAGGAGGCCTACTGGAGAGTCAGGATTTTCAGAATCATCCACAATAATGAGGCCTCCATCACTCTGTGTCAGCGAAGATCATGTGGGGAAGCCAGGCCTCCTACTCCTACCAAAGAGTAAAAAGAACGACTCCTGTAGTACGACAATAGAAGTTGAGAGGTAAACCTGGACTTCAGTTTCCACCTGGCAGTAATAAGACCGTGCCTCCCAGGCAAAGGTTTTATGACAAAGATGCCAAAAGCAGTCGCAACAAAAGCAAAAATTGACAAATGGCGTCTGATTCAACTAAAGAGCCTCTGCACAGCAAAAGAAACTATCAACAGAGTAAATGACAACCTACAGAATGGGAGAAAATTTTTGCAATCGATCCATCTGACAAAGGTTTAATATCAAGCATCTACAAGAAACTTAAACAAATTTACACCAAAAAAAACTAAGAAGTGGGCAAAGGACATGAACAAACACTTTTCAAAAGAAGACATACATGCAGCCAAAGAACCTATGAAGAAAAGCTTAACATCACTCATCATGAAGGAAATGCAAATCAAAACCACAATGAGATACTGTCTCACATCAGTCAGAATGAGTATTATTAAAAAGTCAAAAAACATAGATGCTGGCAAGGTTGTGGAGTAAAAGAAAGACTTTGACATTGTTGGTAGGAGTGTAAATTAGTTCAACCATTGTGGAAGAGAGCGTACCTATTCCTTAAAGACTTAGAAATACCATTCGACCCAGCAACCCCATTTCTGATTATATACCCAAAGGAATATAAATCATTCTATTATGAAGACCCATGCATGAGTATGTTCACTGCAGCACTGCTCATAACAGCAAAGACTTGGAATCAACCTAAATGCCCATCAATGATAGACTAGATACAGAAAATGTGGTACATATACACCATGGAATAACATGCAGCCTTAAAAAGGAATGATATCATGTCGTTTGCAGGGACATGGATGGAGTTGAAGGCCGTTATCCTTAGCAAACTAATGTAGGAACAGAATACCAAATGCCACATATTCTCACTTATAAGTGGGAGCTAAATGACGCAGGAAGGGAAATAACACACACTGGGGCCTGTCAGAGGAGAGGGTGAAGAGAAGGAAGAAGATCAGGAAGAATAGCTAATGGAGGCTTGGCTTAATATCTGGGAAACGGGATGATCTGTGCAGCAAACCACCATGGCACACATTTCCCCTTGTAACAAACCTGCACATCCTGCCCATGCACCCCTGAACTTAAATAAAAATTGGAAATTAAAAATAGAAAACACAGTGTCTCTCTTTCTGTTGCTGGAGCAGTGGCAGAGAAAGCCACCTAAAGCAGAACTTTAAATAAGATCCAGACTCTCATAACATGATACCATATGTCCAGGTTTCATACTGTGAAGCAAAGGATTAACCTTGCCTGAAGAAAGGTTTGGCCTTTCCCCCTGGATCCTGGGTGCTAACCTATAAGTTCTCAGAATGTCCTGCTTGATAAGGGTATCTTCGATTACACTGGAGCCTTGTGCCATGCAGCATAGTCTGTGATAACAGTGTGATTTACAGTGGGCCTTTGGGCCGTGTGACTTCATCTCTAAAGGGGCTAAAAACTAAGGTCAACAACAAGAGCAGTCAACCACATCTATGTAACCAACACCCAAAGAAAACTATAGACACCAAGGCTTGGTGGAGTTTCCCTGATTGGTGAAACTGCATGTATTGTCACACACCACTGCTAAGACAAATAAGCACTGCCTTCCCACCTCCAGTGGGAGAAGACAATTGAAAACTCCAGCGTAATCCCATCACTTTGGGAGGCCAAGGTGGGCAGATCACCTGAGACAAGCAGTTCAAGGTCAGCCTGGTCAAATGGCGAAACCCCACCTCTACTAAAAATACAAAAATTAGCCAGGCATAGTGGTGGGCACCTGTAATCCCAGCTACTCGGGAGGCTGAGGCGGAGAATCTCGTGAACCTGGGAGGCGGAGGTTGCAGTGAGCCAAGATCATGCCACTACACTCAAAAAAAAAAAAAAAAAAAAAAAGGAAAAGAAAAAGAAAACTTCAGTTGAAAACTCCATCTCCAGTGAGAGAAGACATCAAAAACATATCCCTTGCACCCTGCTCTATACACCTTTTCCTGTTGCTGATTTTAATCTGTAACTTTTCTCTGCAATAAATAACAACTGTAAGTTGCTTGAAGACATAAAATGATCTTTTTTGAGTTCTAAATTCTGTGCATCCTTGTAGTGAGTTATTGACTTGAGGGTGATTTGGGAGACCTCCTAAACTTCTCATCCTGCTGAAAACCAAGATGTCTCAAACTGTATTAAAAAAGACAATAAATAGATGCCACCATTGAGATCACAGAAATATTAGAACTATCTAACAAAATTCCAAACCAGCTATAATTAAAATGCTTCAACAATCAGGTATACAAACATTGTTGAAACGAATGAAAAAGAAAATAGATGGCCTCAGCAGAGAAATAGGAAATCTCAACAAAGAAGTAGAAAATATAAAGAACACGTTTTATAAGTTTTAGACTTTTGAAATTTTAAAACCAAAAAATACAATGACCAAATTAAAACAAAACAAACAGAAAATCTGTGAATGAGCTAAACTGCAGAATGGAAAGGTCAGAGCAAGAAATTAGTGAATTGGAAAACAGAATAATAAAAGTTGCCACATTTGAACAAAAGTTAAAAAATAGACTGAAAAAAATGAACAAAGCCTCAGGGACCTGAGGGACCACAGCAAAAGATCTAGCATTTATGTCACTGGGATCTGAGAGAATGGAGGAGAGAGAGCAAAGATGAAAAAAATACTCAGAGAAATAATGACTAAAAATATAGTTTGTTTTTTGTGGATTAAAAAAATAAGAACAGCATTAAATGTTGAAAAAGAAGCCCAAATTTTTCAAATTTGGCATAAGATATAAATCTACCATTTCAAGAAATTGACAAAACCTCAAACAGAAGAAGCCCAAAGAAATACATGCCAAGACGGGTCATAATTACAATTCCAAAAGTACATAAAAACAAAAAAAAAATCAAAGTGGTGAGAAAGAAAAACAAAACCTTACCTATAGGAGAAAAAATTCAAATGATAGTGAATTTATCCTCAGAAACCATGGAAACCAGAAAAATGTAGCACCATATTTTTCAAGTGCTGAAAGCAAATAACAGCCATCCCATAATTATATATCCAACAAAATTTCCTTCAGTAGTGAAAAGAAAATCAAGATATTTTCAGATAAAGAGAAACTAAGAAAATTTGTTGCCAGTAGATCTATTCTAAAATAATAGCCAAAATAACTCATTTAAACAGAAAAAGCAATAAAGAAAGAACATTAAAATATAAGGAAAGAAGAAAGTATATGGTAACCCAAAATATGAGTGAGTTCTACAGAATGCCCTTTTTTCAGTTTCCTATATTATTTCCCCATCCTCCTTGTGTGATTCTAAATGTATGTAAAGAAAATATTTAGGATAATTATATTCTAATTAGGGGAAAGTAAAGAAATATAAAGGTAGGCAAGGTTTCTATAATCGAAGTTGTAAGATCACTACACTAGTAGACTATTAGTCATGTATATTTAATGTAATTAATGTATATTTAATGTAATACCTAGAGAGAACACTAAAATAGCTGTAAAGGAGACACATTCAAAACATTATATCAAAAGGGAATTCTAAAATGTGTTCAAGTAACCCATAGGAAGATAGGAAAGATACAACAGAAACAAAAAAACAGAATGAATAAAAAGAATGCAAAACAATAACACGTCAGACTTCATCCTAACATACAAATATTACATTAAATATAAATGGTCTAAATGCACCAGTTAAAGTACTGGTAGAGTGATAGTAAAAGGAAGAAAAAAGAGATCATGCAAACATAAAGTAAAGCAGTAGTGGTTATATTAATATCAGATAATGTCAATTTTAGAGCAAGGAAAATTACCAGATATAGAAAGGGACTTAATAAGAAAAGAGTCTATACAAGACTCTTTAAGAGTCAATACAAGACTCTTTAAGAGTCAATACAAGAAGATATAACAATACTAAATGTGTGTATAGCAAATAACAAAGCTGCAAGATATGTGAAGCAAAAACTGATAGAACTGAAAAGACAAAGACAAATTCACAATTGTAGTTAAAAAACTCAACTTTCCTCTTTCAGCAACTGATAGAATACCTCGACAGGAAATCAGCAATGATATAGAATAACTCAACACCATGAACGAACAGAATTCAGTTGACATTTATAGAACCCTTCATGAAACAGCATGATATACATTCTTTTCAAGTACTCACAGAACATATACCAAGATAAAGCATATCCTTAACCATAAAACAAACCTCAACAAATTAAAAAATAATAAAATCATACATAATGTGACATAAGATTACAATAAAACCTAAATAGAAATCAACATAAGAAAGATGGCAGTAAAATCTTCAAACACTCAAAAACTAATTAATGCATTTCTAGATAGAAGGTCAAAGAGAAAGTCTCAAAAGAAATTAAAAAAAAACTAAATTGAACCAAATTAAAATGAAAAACAAGAAATCAAACTAGTGGGATGCAGCTAAAGCAGTCTTGATAGGAAAATGTGTAAGTCTAGATGCATACATTAAGAAAGAAGAAAAGTCTCAAAATAATCTAATCTCTCACCTCAAGGACTTGAAAATAAAAACGGCAAAATAAACACAAAGAAAACAGAAGGAAGAAAGTAATAAACATGAAAACAGAAAATGAAACTGGAAAAAAGAAAGGCAATAGAGAAAATCAATGAAACATAGCTGGTTCTTCATAAAAAGTCAATACAATTGACCAAACTTTAGCATGATTGACAATGATAGAAGAGAGAAAACACAAATTACCAATATTAAGAGTGGAACAGGAAATATTATGGCAGATCCTGCAAATATTCAAAGGATAAGGAAATATTTTCCATAATTTTACACACATAACTTTGATAATTTAGTGAAATGGACCAGTTACTAGAAAAACACAAACTTCCAGAACGTACTCAATATATCATAGATAATTTGAATAGTTCTATAATTATTAAGAAAATTAACTGCATAATTAATTAACTCTCAGAAAAGAAATAGTTAGGCGTGGATCAATGACCAAGTGAGGTTTATTCTAAGGATGCAGAATGGTTCAATATTCTGACATCAATCCATGTAAGCCATCATATTAACAATCTAAAGAAAAACATATTGCACCACTATATCAGTCTGTGCAGGAAAAAGCATTTTATGAAATGCAACACCCTCTCATGATTAAAGGAAACAAATAGACAACTCTCAGATTAGTAGGAACAGAGGGAAAATTTCTCAATTTGAGCTATGAAGAAAAATCTACAGCTAACATTGTACTTGATGATCAATAGGACAGGGCAGAGAACTCATACCCACACAAATAAGCCAAATTAATTTTTGACAAAGGTGCAAAGGAAATTCAATGGAAGAAAGCCTTTTCAAGAAATGGTGCTAAGGAAATTAGCATACAGAGGCAAAACAGAGAAATGAACTTTTAAATAACCTACATCTTGTACAAAAATTAACTCAAATGACTCAAGGATTTAAATGTAAAATGTAAAACTATAAAACTTTTAGAAAAAAAAAACAGGCGACATTTGGAATCTAGGGCTAGGCAAAGAGTTCTTAAACTAGTCACTAAAAACAAGTTTTATAAAAGAAAAAATTGATAAATTGGACTTCCCCAAAATTAAAACCTTTTTTTTCTGTGGAACAGCTTGTTAAGAGGATGAAAAAACAAGCTTCCGACTGGGAGAAAATATTTGCAAACTGAAAAAAGACTGGTATCTAAAAATATATTAAGTACTCTCAAAACTCAACAGTAAATAATGATAATCCATTTACAAAATGTGGGGGAAAAAACATGAAGAGATATTTTACCCAAGGGAATATACAGATGGCACATATACATATGAAAAAATGTTCAATTTGATTAGTCTTTGGGGGAATATAAATTAAAATCACAAGATAGCCACTGCACACCTAACAGTATGGCTAAAATTTAAAAACTGTATACATATGTGTGTGTACATATATATGTAGAAACACACATAATATACATATGTACACACAATATATGTATATACACAATGAATTATGTATATGTATATATGCAAAACCAAAAAATAGTGAAAGGCAAATATATATATATAGTCAAAAGCAAATATATGTATATATTTTGACTATATAGATAGATAGAGAGTCAAAAGCAAATACTGGCAATGCTGCAGAGAATCTGGATCACTCATACATTGCCAATGAGAATGTTAGATGTTACAGCCATTCTGGAAAACAGTTTGGCAGTTTGTTAAAAAACTAAACATGCTATTAACATGTGGACATGTGCTATTAACAAGTGCTGGATTTATACCAGAGACAGGAAGGCTTATGTTCACACAAAAACCTATACATGAATGTTTGTGGCTATTTTATTTATAATAGACCAAAACTGAAAATAACCCAGAATGTTCTTCAATGAGTGAATGGTTAAGCTAACTGTGGTTCATCGATACAAAGAAGTATTCCTAAGCAATGAAAAGGAATGAATTATTGACACACTCAACCTGGATGAATCTCCAGAGAATTGTGTTGAGTAATTAAAAAAATCTTCAATCTCAAAAAGTTACATAGTTTATAATTTCCTTTACATAAGATCCTTGAAATGACAATATTATAGAAATGTAGAACAGATAAGGGGAATCAGGGGTTAAGGAAGGGGTTGAGAGAAGGTAGCTAAGTGTGACTATAAAAGGGTGCCATTATAAACCCTTGTGATGATGAAAATGTTCTCTATTTTGACTGTATCAATGCCATTATCCTGGTTATAATATTATATTATAGTTTCCAATATGTTACCATTGGGGGAAACTGGAATAAGGGTGCAAGAGAGCTCTTTGTATCTCAAAATTTTAAAAAGTTTGGTAAAAAAAATAAAATTGTTGATGTTTTCGTTATAAGAGTATGTATTTTTTTACCAGTAGTTCCATTACTTTCAGTGCTTTTACATGTCTCCCACATGATAGGCTTAATAATGCTGATAAAATGCTTCACATCTCAGCACAAGCACAATGCACATGCTGTAAACTAGAAAGCACAATGGATGCAAATGAAATTGCTCTTCTGCCAACCCTGCTTTAAGTGACTATCCTTTACTCATACCTCAGGGCTCGGGTTATATGACTTCACAAGATCCACCTCTTTATCAGGTCAAGTGTTCCTGATACTATTTTAATTATGGGTTTTTATTTTGTTTATATTTATTTATTTTTGATATGGAGTTTTGCTCCTGTTGCCCAGGCTGGAGTGCAATGGCACTACCTTGGCTCGCTGCAACCTCTGCCTCCCGGGTTCAAGTGATTCTCCTGCCTCAGCCTCCCAAGTAGCTGGGATTACAGGCATGCGTTAACATGCCCAGCTAATTTTTGTATTTTTAGTAGAGACAGGGTTTCATCATGTTGGTCAGGCTGGTCTCGAACTCCTGACCTCAGGTGATCCGCCCTCATTGCCTCCCAAAGTGCTGGGATTAAAGGAGTGAGCCACTGCGCCTGGCCTAATTATGGATTTTTATATGACTTCTTTGCTAGAGTGTAAGCTTTTGGAGGGTAGGTTCCATGATTGTGTTCTTCATCACTATGTTCCAAATGCCTAGGTCGATGTCTGCCTTAGAAAAGGCAATCAACAAGAAGACATCCAGTGATGTGCCATGCTATTCTGCAGAGCATGAGGATGACATGGTGCTGTGGTACCAGCACTTGGGAGTGATCTGTGACAAGTTTGAAAGTTTCAAAGGAAAAAAATTAAATAATGTAGTTCACATACGTTTTAAGTTTAAAATGTAAGCTTTATTGTTATTTTAATAGAAATTTTCTTGCCTCATTATTATCAGTTTCTTAAAGATAGTTCTTATCAAACAAAGAGTGAATTAGTCAGATAATGTTTATTTATATCAATTTACCAAGGTACAACTCATCCCTGCTAACATTTTACAAATCATTAGAAATTTTATTTTCTATGTTTCATTAACTACGTAGTTTTTAATTTTTGCTAGCATGACTATATTAGGTTGTTCTTGCATTGCTGTAAACACCCGGGGCCGTATAATTTATAAAGAAAAGAGGCTTAATTAGCTGATAGTTGTGCAGGCTGTACAAGCATGGCGTCAGCTTTGCTAAGCCTTTGGGGGCCTCAGGGAGCTTTTACTCATGGCAGAAGGCCAAGTAGGAGCAGGAATAGAGCAGGAATGTCACATGGCAAAAGCAGGAGCAAAGGGGCGCCATATACTTAAACAAACAAATCTTGCAAGAACTCACTATCGCGAGGACGGTATCAAGCCATGGGGAATCTGTCCCCATGATCCAATCACCTCTTACCAGGCCCCACGTTCAACACTGGGGATTACATTTCAACATGAGATTTGGACAAGGGCAAACATCCGAACTATGTCAATGACTATACTGCTTTGTATCTTCAACTGCCCAAAATAGATATTTGGCTAGTTCATTGAGCTGTCAAAAGTAGTGCACTATTACAACCTAGAATATTAGCATCAATAGAAACAATGCCGACGTCTCCAGTGTGAATACATATTGTGAACCTCCATGTACTGTTACAATTGAATTTGGCCTGGTGGCCAAAAAGAAGTGTAATTAGAAGCATGACAATGAATATCTGAGAATTGAATTTTACAGTACATATTAACCTTTCACTGGTCCCCAGACTGTTAACTAGTGTCAAGTTCAGTCAAAGACTAACAAGAAACAGGAGCTTTGTGTTCTTACAAAACATAATCTATCACCTTTATGATAAGCCAATTTAGTTCTGTTTTTTTTTTCTCCCTAAAATGAGCACAAAATACCTGTCATGCTTTTTAGTAAAAATAAAGAACAAACTGGAATTACAGAGGGGTCTTTCAAAGTTGCACAACTTTCACCTTGAATAGCCACAAGTTACACAGGAGACTTGTGAAATTAGTCACATGTAAAAAATATATATTATTTTTGGAAGAAAAACAAAACTATCAATTGATCATTAGTTTTTTTAATGGAGTTTCACTCTTGTTGCCCAGGCTGAAGTGCAATGGCACAATCTTGGCTCACTGCAACTTCTGCCTCCCGGGTGCAAGCAATTCTCCTGCCTCAGCCTCCTTAGTAGCTGGGACTACAGGCGTCCGCCACCATGCTTGGCTTTTTTTATTTTTAGTAGAGACGGGGTTTCATCTTGTTGGTCAGGCTGGTCTAGAACTCCTGACCTCAGGTGATCCACCTGCCTAGGCCTCCCAAAGTGCTGAAATTACAGGCATGAGCCACTGGGCCCAGCCAATAAAATTATTTTATCAAGTAATATTATCGTTGTGTAGGTAACACTGATCGTAAGGTGGGAGCTGCAGTTGTATGACGAGGGTGTTCTTGCAGCTCTGGCATGGGTATACATAACTTACCTGGAGCCAAAAGAAAAAACTTTATTCTCTCACACCTTCCCTCCATTATTCTTCACCCTTTCAAACTCACACAGTGGGGCTTGCCATTTCCTGGCCCCTGAATTGAAAGCTAATTTGAGTCCTATGATTTTCAGACTTGAAAAACATCCTTTAATCTTTAAGATTTAAATAATCTCTGTTCAGGAATTAAATGCCTAGTCAATAAGCAAAAACACATCTCAAGTAAGCTCCTTCTCTCCCCTTGGTTTGAGTCAGCTTTGATAGTTTCGCATAGAACCCATGAAAAGTGGCCACCACCTTCTTTATTCCCTTGATGAGTTTTTCTTCCCCTCCCTCATCATTGTGAGCCAAGGCTGTGTTTTCCTCTTGACTGGGGTCAGTATGATTTGCTTTCCTCTGGCCATGTTGGATTGGTTTCCTCTGGCCATGGTGGATATCTTGAGCTAACTTTGTTTGGTCTCTAATGGTAGATAAATTCTCCTTCTTTGGGGCCTAGTAAGGATTCTACCATTAGCCCCCACGAGACCTTAGAGTCTACTTCTCATGATGGGAACAATTTAGTTTCTTCCAAAAAGTCACTCACGTATCTATCAGCTATGCTGTGTTTCATCCTATGTTAGTTCAATATTTCCTCCAGGCAGTTCATCTGGGAAAAATTAATATGTCTCCAGGCTGCTCCCTCTCCCTGACCTTGTCCCTATCTAGACTGTAAGAAAACCCTCACTGATTCTGGTGGCTTCATGAGTGTAAGTGCAACAGGCTTCTAACATGGGCCATTTAGTTCCCCTTCTTTCTCCTTTGGCCAGTAATGACAGACTTTCCTACCTAGATTTTCCACTTGGTTAATATATACTTAGCCTCCTGTTTTTAAATGTTGTCCACTATGTGCCACCTTAGCCTTCCAAACTTTAAGAATTATATACTAGAATTCTCTAAGTAATCTCTATGAAGCCTACCTCAACGGATTTAAGATAAGGAGAAGTATTTCATTCTTCTGCCCTTTAGGAAAAGTAGTGAAAAAAACAGGCTGTAGCATTAAAAAAATTCTCAAAGAAATCCTCCAATTTCTATCTTAGATTTTATAGTCTGGAGGTAGGTGATAGGAGAAGGTTGCAAAACAAGTTTTTATATATACTCTTTGCAAAGATTGCCTAATTTTTTTTTAGGGAATATGGATTTGATGGATGCTATTTTTAGGGATGGGTAAGAGGGGACTCCGAGAAATTGAGACAAAAACCTCAATTTTAATACTCTGTTATATATAGTGCATATATGAAAGAAGAGTGCTTGATGAAGTTGTGTTTATTGTTGACAAGCTGTGCTCCAGAAGATGTGAGTATTTAATTAATTATTGATCATTGGGCATAAGGTGAAGTAAGATTAGAAAAGTCACATTGGAACCAGGGACAACAGACCACCCTCTAAGTGTGCAGCAATAAACACCATTGTTATAGGAATAAAGTAGGTTGTAGGAGGACAACAGAGAATAGTTGGCCAACAAGTTTACCCCAATGTGCATTCAGTATTAAGAAGTTCTATAGAAAGTTGTTACTATGATAATATTGAGGCCAGCCTCTTCAGTGTCCTGGAGGAAGAAATTATTAGTGAAGCCAAGAATCTCATTTTCCAAAGAAAACAATATTTCATCCATGCTAATGAAACTTTATCATTTGGGTTTATTAACTGTAAAATTATATACAAAAGCTTTTTTCATGAGATGGATAAAGCCAGAAGACTCTTTTTATGACTTCAAAAGATACATCTTAGTTACTCATTATTTTGAATTACCTGAACCTAATTATATGGTATTCATATAATGATTATTATTTTTGAAAAGAAAAAGCATTAACATTTTTAAGGGGGCTCAATATTTTTCATTTTAACAAAAATGAACTGATGATATATTATTGAGGCTATTAAAAGTACTTTAAATTCTGTACTACACATGAAGAAACATTTTTCAAGGCTGAGTACAACCAAGAGAGGATTAAGAATCCAATGCAGCCATCTCCCATTCCAGCTTTTGAATGTCAGGTGAGATTGAACATGGCATCTGATGTTGTGCTAAAAGGAGTCTTCTGGGAGAAACATCTTCATAATTCAGGGCACATATTAGATCCAAATATACGGAATTGTCTGACAGATGCCACCAAACAGTTGCTGCCATTACTGATAATCTGTAATTGTGACTTAAAATATTTTCCAGTTTAGTAAAAAGAAAAAGAAAATAAACTGATAAGCAAACATATGATAGTTGATCCAGCTGTAGTTTAGACAACAAAATAGTTTCCATAGCTTTGAGACTATTTATTTCGCTTTCTTTGTTCTACATAAGAAGATTTCAAATGTTTAACTATTGTTACTAAATGGGTTATCATGCCTTTTACTTTATATAATTTCCTAAGGTTTGTGATCATTGCTAAATACCCATTACATGACATGAGCACCAAGATCACCATTGGTGCCCTTCCCCATATTTGTACACCTATCTCCCAGCACTCTGTGCAATGTGTAATTGTGCAAAATCTGTGTCAGATCCAAAGAAGCAGAGACAGTGATTTACTCTTCAGCCCCTGACCATAATCATGCTTTCTGCAAAGATCTCCTCAATATATTTAAAGTTTCATCAGCATGGATGAAATATTGCCATCTTTGGCCTCAGTTAATCCTTTCACAAATCTTATGTCATAGATTGAGTAAGTATTCCTGTACTACAAATGGAGAAATTGGGGGTGGGAGAAACTGAATGACTTGCTGCTGTCTATACAGCAAATTATAACTGAAATTAGGCCTGACACCTATCGCTCCTGTGGCTTATACTTTATCACCAATACATTGAGAACCACAAAGATCCTTGGCTCTGAGAGTGAATGAGTCTTAGCATGGTAAGGAATGTGAAAAAGTGCAAAAGTATAACACATTTTAAAAAATCATCTTCATTCTTTAAGAATTTGAACTTATTGCCCATCATGTTCATAAGCCTCCCCTCCCCAGCTTTTTTTCAATAAACTACATAAAATTAATCTATAGTTTTAAAGTTAGGAGTTTCATCTGGGGCACCAAATATCAATTGTACATAATTCACAAAACAATTAGTGTCTATAAATGTATATATACGTATATATATTATTTTGAAATAAAACAATAGGAAATTATTGAGTTCATTTAAAAAAAAACTGGCCAGATTCCTCACATTCATCAGAATGGCCACTGCCAGAAAAAGCATAAAACAATTGTTGGTGTGGATGTGGAGAAATTGAAATGCTTCTGTACTGTTGGTGGGTGCCATGGACTGAATTATATTTCCCCAAATTTGCACATTTAATCTCTAACCCTCAATGTGGCTGCATTTGCAGATAGGGCTATCAGGAGATAGTAAATTTAAATGAGGTCTTAAGGATGGGCCCCTAATTCTATATAGAATTTGTGGCCATAGAAGAAGAAAACAAGAGTCTCTTTCTCTTTCTCTTTCTCTCTGCATCATGTAAAGACATAGTGAGAAGATGGCTGTCTGCAAGCCAGGAGGAGAGCCCTCACCATAAAAGGAACAGGTGAACACCTTAATCTTAGACTCTTCAGCCTCTAGAACAGTGAGAAGATAAATTTCTGTTGTTTAATCCACCCATTCTCTGGTATTTGTTATGGCAGCCTGATCTGGCTGATAGAGTAGGAATTTAAAATCTAACACATTTTAAAATATCTTCATTCTTTAAGAATTTGAACTTGTCCATCATGTTCGTAAGCCTCCCCTCTCCTCCTTTTTTTCAATAAACTACATAAAATTAATCTGTAGTTTTAAAGTTAGCGTTTCATCTGGGTCACCAAATGTCAGTTGTACATAATTCACAAAACAATTAGTCTCTATAAATGATACGTAAAAATATTATTTTAATAATGAAAGAATGGGAAATTATCATTTGAAAAACTAGCCAGATTCCTAGTGGTACAGTCACTATGGAAAGCAGTTCAACAGCTCCTCAAATAATTAAAAATAGAATTACCATATAATCCAGCAATTCTCCTTGTTGGTATATGCCCAAAAGAATTGAAAACAGGGTCCCAAAGCGATATTTGCACACCCATGTTCATAGAAGTAGTATTTATAATAGCCAAAAGGTGGGAATCACCCAAGTGTCCGTGGACAAATGAGTGGATAAACAAAAAGGTGGCACATACCTACAGCTGAATATTATTCAGCCTTAAAAATGAAGGAACTTTTGATGCGTGTTATCACATGGGTGAACCTGAAGGCATTATGCTAAGTGAAATATACCAGTCACAAAAAGACCAATATCATATGATTCCACTTATGTGAAGTATCTGGAGTAGTAAAATTTATAGAGACAGAAAAGAATGGGTGATCCCAGAGGCTGGAAGAAAATGGAAGTAGGAGGTTATTGTTTAACGAGTACAGAATTTCAATTTTCCAGGTGAAAATGTTCTGGAGATTGCACTACAATGTGAACATGTTTAATATGACTGAATTGTACACTTAAAATGTAAATGTTATGTTATATATATGTTACTTAAATTTAAAAAAAAGTTAATTGAGCAGATCTACAGTTGAGATCTGCCGTGAGCATGGCCCTTTGCAGTACTGAGCACTTTTCTAACATTCAGAACCACCAATTCTTAACCACAGTTGATCACGATTGCAAAGGTCCTGTAAGTTTATACGTTTATCTACATTTAGATTCCAAATGTTCTCAAATAATGGCTTTAGCTCCCTATATTTTGCTTGTGTAGGACAATTGTGTTTATTCTTCACTTTGATGGAAAGGGGAGTTAGAGGAAGAAAATAATGGGAAGCCTCTCCACCAGGAAATTAAATGCTGCCTTCTGCATTATTTGTGGATCTGAGATCCTTGGGCTTATATTATGGCATATGTTTTTAATATGTGTACATCAGCAGACACTTTATTCTTTGTATTTTTCGTGCTGGAGATTTCAAAGCACTTTGTGAATAACAATTTCCTGAGATGTAAGCTTCTGGAAGCTAATTTTTTTTTTGTCGTGTCTGAGAAGAGAACATGAGCTTTATCTTGAAAAGTGTAGGGGAATGTTGAAAAGAAAGTTTATCTGTGTGTCGGTGCAGGTTGTGGAGTGTGAGGTGTGAGGGAAAGACACAGGAAAGGAAGGTCCCCCTTCGGCCTCTTGAGGTGAAGTTTATGAAAACAATATAATAATAATTATGCTATTTATAATGGGATTTAATCATGATAACTCATTATTGCCTCCCTTGAATAAATTAAAGATCCAAAGAGCATACAACCATGGTAACATTGAACCCTTGTTAAGAATTGGGACTTGTGAATGTGGGTGAGGAACAAAAAGGAGAAAAATAGTTTCAGTTTCTGACACTGAACAACTTCCAATGTGTATTAATGTTCTGTTGCTGTGTAATAAATCACCAAGAATGTAGCAGTTTAAAACAACAAAAATTAGGTAGTGAGCCTGGCCTCTGCCTTCCAGCAGAAGACTAGTGTGGTTTAATGTCACAAACTCTGCATGGACTCTCCTCAGCTGCCAATGTCTGCAGCAAACACATCATACCTCATAGTCTCCAACTTCAGCTGAGCCTCAGTGTCACTTGCTAGTTCTTTTAAGACTCCAGTGGCCTCATATTGGCCAGGATTTCTTACATCATCGACTCTGGTCAAGAGCTCCTCCTCTGTGCCTCATGGCACCTGGAGCATACAGCTCCCATCGCTTACCATTTTGAAATGACACCTTATCTAGAGATGTCCCTCTCTCCTTGAATAGATAGTGTGGTAGGCAGTATTCTAAAACAGTCTCCAGGATCCCTATCCCCTCCTATGCATGCCTTGTCTTAGTTCCTCCTTGTAAGTGTGAGTGAAACCTTTAAATTAGATGGGACATCACTGTGATTATGTGACCTTACATGGCACATGGGGATATAGCAAATATAATTAAGGTCGCTAATCAGTTGGCTTTGAGTTAATCAGTAGAGAAATTATCTGCTGAGCCTGACCTCATCACCAAGCCCTTAAAAGAGGCAGGGCCTTTTTGAAGTGAGAGAAATTCCACAGGAGGGATGGAAGAGCTGGTTTTGAAAATGGAAGCATCTTTATCACCTGAACTTAAGAACTGCCTATAGGGGTTGAGAGAGTCCTTGGTCAAGAAACAGGACCTCAGGTCAACAGCCACAAGGAGATGAATTCTGCCAACAACCAACCAGTGAGCTTGGAAGGTGATGTCGAGATGGGATTAGAAGCACAGCCAGCCCACAACTTTGTCAGACCCTGCTGGAAGGCCAAGGTCAAGGATGACTTCCTCATTTGTGGCACCTAGTGCAAAATGAATATAGGGGCCCCTTGTTCAAAAAGCAGTGAAGGCTGAGTGCGGTGGCTCATGTCTATAATCCTGGCACTTTGGGAGGCTGAGGAGGACAGATCACCTGAGGTCAGGAGTTCAAGAACAGCCTGGCCAACGTGGCCAAACCCCATCTCTACAAAAATACAAAACTTAGCCAGTCATGATGGTGGGTGCTTGTAATCCCAGCTACATGGGAGGCTGAGGCTGGAGAGCCGCTTGAACCTGGGAGGCAGAGGTTGCAATGAGCCGATATTGTGTCATTGCACTTCAACCTGGGTGACAAAGCGAGACTCCCATCAAAAAAAAAAAAAAGGCAGAAGAAAGGTATTTTCCTTTCTTTCATGATCTCTCTCTTTACCTGTGAAGGTATTTTTTATTGGCCATTTATTGCTGAGATGCTCCCTGTGGCTCCAGGGTACTCTTGAGGTTGGTGTAGACACCCATAGCTCATGACTTGAAGTGCAGGTGCCCAACCTCGATCATCTTGTGTGTTTCTCCAGGATTCAGTGCAGGTGAAGGGCAGCAGTGATTTTTTTAGTAGAGGTGAGGGAGCAGACAGGTAAAAACTTATCCCAAGGTGGTGAACAGGTGGTGGCAGGTAGGTCCATGCATGAACAGAGGGTCCCAGCCCCTGACACATGTTCATTGACCCATTGGACTTCACCAGCAAAATACAAATGCAAAGACAGTTATACAAAATTTTAAGATTATGAGTAGAAAATCATAAGCCACTGATGAGGGCCACCTTCTGAGGATGTGGTGCTATGTGGGTGTATGGTCTCATGCCCTTGAGGCTGGCCCCAGCAGAAGTAGAAGGTAGAGAGCATGAGGCCATGGATAATGCCGGTTTGATGATATTTGGGATATTATCCATAGAGTTCTAGGTTAAGCACAGAAAGGAAAAGACGCCAGGAATGTCCTGAGAGTAGAAGTGCAGGGATCAGGCACTAGAAGTCTTGGTAAAGTTGAAAAGTAAGTGGAGTGTGGTGTATAGAGTGAGAAAGGGCCGAAAAGCCAGGAAGTAGTGATCTAAGATTGAAATGTGAGTCTGACATTTTTGTGGCTGTGGTAAAGGAGGCTGAGGTGTTATAAAAAGCAAATAATTCTGTATTGGGGGCAGTGAAGTTGCCATGAAGATGAGTATCCACAGAGGCTGGTCTTCACACCTTCTTCGTTCTCCTCCTGAACAACAAACCTCTCTCACCCAGATCACCGCAGAAAGTCACGGGAAAACAGAGTCACAGTGTTTTAATAACATTACTGTGGCCAGGCACGGTGGCTCATTCCTGTAATCACAGCACTTTGGGAGGCCGAGGCGGGTGGATCACGAGGTCAGGAGTTCAAGACCAGCCTGGCCAAGATGGTGAAACCCTGTCTCTACTAAAAACACAAAAATTAGCCGGGCGTGGTGGCAGGCACCTGTAATCCCAGCTACTCAGGAGGCTGAGGCAGAAAATTGCTTGAACCCAGGAGGCGGAGGTTGCAGTGAGCCAAGATTGTGCCACTGCACTGCAGCCTGGGCAATAGAGCGACACTCCATCTCTCAAAAAAAAAAAAAGAATGCAGCCATGTTGTTGAGAAAGTGTCACTGAGAATGTCCCTTTTTATTTCGTAAATGCATGAGTTGCTTGTTTCCCAGTAGCTTCCTATGAGACATAGAATTTTCAACTGGATATTTTTATGATAAGAAGAAGGTAGTGGAGGAAAGAAAATAGTGATAGGGGCCCTGGAGCATTTGAATGCCATCTGGATTCCTAAGTGTAACCTTGTGGTGAAACTTTTCTGATTAATGTAAGAAACCAGTAGGGACCCACTAGCAGTCTCTGGTCTTCCAGATGGTTAGTTTCACGGCCTCTCCTAATGCTGTGGCTGAATTCTTGGTAAATTCTAAGTATCAAATTGTTTTTGGAGTTTCAATATAGATGTAGTCATGCACAACTTGGATTTTTTTTAAAAATGACCTGTTTACCTGTTGCATGGAGATTCTCAGTGCTAAACTTTTCTGGGTCTCTGTTCTGCTAAATGATAGTGTTTCTGTAGAGGAAAACAAAATCCCATTCACGATTTTAATGAAAGTAAATTTCTGGTATTCAGGTGATGAAAAATTTCAATTCAGGAAAAATGTACATTTATGTATTTGTATTATCAAAACATCATTCAAAAACAGGTTTAAAAAGCATGTATTCTTGTAACCAGTGTAACGAACCTGCACGTTCTGCACATGTATCCCAGAACTTGAAGTAAAATAATAACAAGAAGTATGTGTTCTAAAGAGTTTGTATCTTCTTGAAAGAAGCACGAGGTTTTTTTCAAAGTGTACCATTTCAGCTTGAAGCAATATTCTTGCTGTTCACCTAAGAAAAGCAGGAAAAATCCATCAAATCATCTGACATTAGGGGTTTAAGTGCAAGTGAATCCTTTTCAGCCCATTCCAGTGGCTCCAACCAGGCAATGAATTTGCATCTCAGCACCATTAGATGGCCTGGAGTTCTTAATTACCAAACAAATGGAAAGTTGCTGCCTAGTGCTGACAGCTCCTTGTGTATCATTATTCGCAGAACATGAACGATTAATGGAATTTTCCCAACACAGTCAAAGTTGTTTACTGATGGAATTAAAGCTGAAATTGGCAAGGTCCTAGTGGGAAGACTTTTGCTATAATGTCATGGACCTGCCAAGCTCTTCAGATGAAAAATAGGAACAATTAGTGATGGCTCTGAGCAGTTCTGGATATTCTTAAGGCTTGGTCCCAAATGAAATCATCTTTATTTGGATGTTGTATTGGGGAAAGGTACTGACATTTAATCTCTCCATGTGGATTATAAACATCAGTGACAGGGTCTGTGTCCTGATCAAAGCAATGTGCCCAGGTGGGCAGTAAGTTGGCATCATTCCAAAGCCTGAGGCAGAGAGAATGATCGAGATCCAGATCATCCATTTCAACTCCACTACTCTGGAAGTCCCAACACCTTTCTACAGAGGCTCAAGGGTGGTGGCCAGGGTATCAGGGGAAGATGGGGACAATGGTTAATGCCTTGCTTTATGAAGAGTTGTGGCTCTGGAGACAGAATCTTCTTAGTGATTTAGTTAAGGAAAAAAATAGCAATAAAAAGCAAGGTACAGACTAAGAGCATAAATAGGCAGGCATAATAATAAGGAGAATCCTACATCTATTCTAAGGTTTTCTCTCAAACTCTGCCCGGAACACAGGGTTACATACTTGTAATTCTGTATCTAGTAACTCCATCCCAGAGTACTGCAAAACCAAAATCCACTCTGACCCAGCTTTGCACCCCACATCCATATTTCTGTCCCACCTTCTTAATGAAGATCATTGCAAGCTTTCTTTTTCTTTGCCAATAGTAGCGTGCAAATAATCCTGCCTCTTTAATTATTTCCAAAATTGACAGCAACTTCTGTGGCATGGTGGTGAATAAGGACTGATGAGTTCAGTGTTCCGGACACTTGGCTGTGACCGTGCAGATGGCACTGATCCTGGGCTCTAGGGCCAGAAATTTGCCTCATTATTAGGAAGTGGCTTGTGAATTTACGGCCATTGTTTCTGTGATGTAAAACCGATCACACCAAGTATACCTAGAACTGACAATTTCTCATTGTAATTAATCAATGCTGCCATTTTGCAATGAAGGAAGCTCTCTTTGGCAGAGCATCCAGCCTCTTAATCACCACGTAGGTGAAAGTTGCATATGCCTCTGTTACTGGTTTTGATTGGGCATTATTAGCCTCTGACTTGTAATTTTTGGATTTCCTTAGACATACGAGTGCATGGTGTTACACATGTAATTTATAGATTGGTATTGATTCTGTATATATTATACCTGATGATACGGAGTTTAAACTTCTTTGAAGGTGAGCTTTGTCACTATCTCCTGGAGGGAATAGTGGCTTCTGAATATTAAATATGCTACATCATGTAAAGTGCTGAATCAGTGTAGAGTCAAAGGCTCTGGATATAGTCAACCTGCTTAGTTTTCCCATATAGGAGTTTCTGAGAAAACAACTGTCACACATCAGTATCTTTGCAACACTTAAATTTGCAAGATAAAATGAGCTCACTTGTGAACATAAATAATACTTTGCATTCACAAATTAAACAGTCTGGCATTGTTAGGTTGAGCCTTAGACAAGAAAGCAAATACGCTCTTAGAAGATGATGATTAATTTGTATAACACCAACCAAGTCCCAGGTAGGATTCGTGTTTGGTAAATGTTACTGGTGGTGGTGGTGGTGACGTGAATAACAGGATAACAGATAGTGTTCTGTTAATTCCAATTGGCAATAAACTCTGCCAAGTATACTGGATACCGTTCTGTGTTGTTTTCCTGTTGCTTGTTCAAATCAGCTCCAAGTGGGTAAAGCAAAGGGCATGTTTTGATCTTCTAAGAGCTCTCTTTAGGAGATCTAAAGTCTGTGCTCTGCAGACCTTTCTATCTCTGAGTGGGTCAGTGAAGTTTCACAGCTTCAACTATTCCACCGAATGTTCTCTGTGCCATGCAGGCAGGCAGGTGATCAGCTAGAATACCATGCAGAATGACACCCTATCTCAGTGTATTTCCAACACCATCAGAGACATATACTCATCCCTTGGAGAGCAGAAGGAACAACAGACCCCTACGTGTCTCAAGTCACCAGGGAAATAGTTATTTTATAATAACCACATTCTCTTTTTCATCATTCTACTATTTGTCCATAACAGTGGATGACTTGGACAAACCAGGATGTAGAACACAAAATCTTTTCAAGAGAAAAGATTTTACTTTTTTTTTTCTAAATCAAAATTTAATTGTTTTTATCACTGGCTTTACTACATAGCTCCTGGTTAGAATGAGGTGAGTATACACAATAAATCAGTCATAAATTTGAGGATTTCCTTCCATCGGATGTGTAGATTCTGGTGAGTAGTAATTTGTTGAGATGATGTAAGAATCATAGAATATCCTACAGAGCATAAACAAATGATGGCCCACTGTTTGGTAAAGTGGGATCTGCAGATAATGTTGATACATTCCTTGAGGTACACATATCAAGCGAAACTAATATGTGAGAACCTTGATGTAGCTCTTAAGAGCTTGATGTCCAAGAAAAACTAAACGTAGTTCTACCACTTCATCGCTGCATGACTTGCAAAGTTCGTTTAACTCTTTGAGCTTTGATTTCCTCAAATCATAAATGCAGTTAAATGCAGTTGTAAAACTTGAGGTACAATTATGATAGGGATTAAACAAGGTAATCTATGTAACTGCAAAGCACAGTGCCTGGAACATGGTAAATACTCAATAAATTGGCCATATTATTGCTATTCTGATATCATTCTTATTATTATGGCATGAAACCTCTGATTCTTCAATAAATATTCCATATTGAATGATCGGGAGTTTTCTTGTGTAGAGGTGACCAAGTAGACTTAACGCTACATTTAAAAGTATGTGAGTGTGTAAGTGTGTGCATTTGCCAGGCCTGAGAGGAGTTCAGCACTCTTCATGGCTCAGTGACCCTTGTGATAGAAAGTTGAAGCCTCTAGAGTTAAAAGCCAATGCGTTATTGCACCCAGTGATTCCGTAAAACTTATGAGTCAGAAAAAGTGGAGAAGGAGTCATTCTCTGAACTTGTTACTCCCTAATTACTTACAGTTAGCTCCACTATTTTTCTCTTTCTGCCACAACCAAGTTTTCTCGAATGTCCTGTTACTGTGAGTCTCCTCTCTTATTTCTATGCTTGCTTGTTTATAGCAAACCTGAAAATCTCATGATAATACCTACAATGAGGGATTGGGGCTACGTGTTAGTATGTAGAAACTATCCGTCCACCAGAAAGAAGGCAGCCTGACAGGAAGTGCTGCCTTCTTACCCAGGCCTAAGCGGAAGAAACTCACTCAACAAATTTTGTAGGGAGACACAGTGAAGTAAAGAGAAAAAAACTAAGGAATGTTTCTTTTCTCTCTCTCTCTCTCTTTTTTTTTTTTTTTTTTTTTGAGACAAGGTTACACTGTGCCACCCAGGCTGGAGTGCAGTGGTGTGATCACACGTCACTGCAGCCTTGAGCTGCCCAGGCTCAAGTGATCCTCCCACCTCAGCCTTCCATTGGGACCACAGGCATGCGCCACCATGCCAGCTAACTTTTTTGTATTTTTTGTAGAGACCATGTTGCCCAGGTTGGTCCCAAACTTCTGGGTTCAGGCAATCCACCCACCTCAGCCTCCCAAAGTTCTGGGATTACAGGCATGAGCCATAGTACCTGGCGAGGAATTTTTCATTATGTCAAATTTTGACAAAACTTTCTTGAAATAAAACTATTACTAGCTCTGTTAACTTGGATATGCTATATAACTCCTTGTGATTCAGCTCTCTCATGTCTAAAATAAAGATAATACTACCTAACTTATTAAGTTGTTGTGAGGATTATATGAGTTCATTTCTGTAAAACACTTAGAACAGTGTCTGGCACAAGGTAAAAGCTATATAAGCATTATTAAACATGTGATAAATTAATGAATAAAATAGGAGAATAACATTTTTCTATATCATTGCTTTTCTTCTTGCAAAACTGTATGCATAATTTTTATATCCAGTTGGCCCTCTATATCCATGGGTTTTGCATCCATGGATTCAACCAAATACAGATTTAAAAATTCCAGAATAAAAACTACATCTGTAACAAACACGTGCAGCCTTTTTGTCTCATCATCATTCCCTAAACAATACAGTATAGGCAACTATTTATAAAACATTTACATTGTATTATGTATAGTTTTTAGCCTAAAGCTGCCTTCTTACATATTTGAAGTTTAGCCTAAAGTTTTTCCATACATAGGTGATCTCTAACCCAGCTGGATATGTAAGCTGACTATAACCTACCTTTTTTTTTTCTTTAAAAAGAGCTTAGTACATTGGAATTTTCCCTTCAGATTTCTTTTTTTTTTTTTTTTTATACTTTAAGTTCTAGGGTACATGTGCACAACGTGCAGGTTTGTTACATATGTATACATGCACCATGTTGGTGTGCTGCACCCATTAACTCGTCATTTTCATTAGGTATGTCTCCTAATGCTATCCCTGCCCACTCCTCCCACCCCATGACAGGCCCCGGTGTGTGATGTTCTCCTTCCAGTGTCCAAGTGTTCTCATTGTTCAGTTCCCACCTATAAGTGAGAACATACGGTATTTGGTTTTTTGTCCTCACGATAGTTTGCTGAGAATCATGGTTTCCAGCTTCATCCATGTCCCTACAAAGGACATGAACTCATCTTTTTTATGGCTGTGTAGTATTCCATGGTGTATATGTGCCACATTTTCTTAATCCAGTCTATCATTTTTGGACATTTGGGTTGGTTCCAGGTCTTTGCTATTGTGAATAGTGCTGCAATAAACATACATGTGCATGTGTCTTTACAGTAGCATGATTTATAATCCTTTGGGTATATACCCAGTAATGGGTTGGCTGGGTCAAATAGTATTTCTAATTCTAGATCCCTGAGGAATCGCCACACTGTCTTCCACAATGGTTGAACCAGTTTACAGTCCCACCAACAGTGTAAAAGTGTTCCTATTTCTCCACATCCTCTCCAGCACCTGTTGTTTCTTGACTTTTTAATGATCGCCTTTCTGACTGATGTGAGATGGTATCTCATTGTGGTTTTGATTTGCATTTCTCTTGTGCCAATTACCGAGATTTGGCCAATCACAGGTAGCTAATTGTTCAAATCAGTTAGCTATTTAAGTAAGGCAAATTCTGAGCTAGAACCAACCCAGCTGTTCCTGGACCTCACTTCCATTTTCTGTTTGCCACTTTCCTTTTTCTCTTCCTAAATCTTCTTCAACCACATGGCAGTGCTGGGTTCTCTCTGAACCTATTCTGGTTCAAGGGCAGCCTGATTGGAAAATCATTCTTTGCTCATTTCAAGTCTGTTAAATTTGATTTGTAAAGGTTTTTCCTCTAACAGTATTGTAGGTAATATAGAGATTATTTAAAGTATATGGGAGGATGTGCATAGGTTATATGCAAACGACATGCCATATTGAGCATCTGCAGAGTTTGGTATCTGAGAAATCTCCTGGGGCAAATCCCTAACAATGACTGAGGGATGGCTGTATATAAATGCACACACATACACACACGAACACACACACACACACACACACACACACGTGCATACCAAAGATATATGCATTTCAAAAAGAGTGAGTTAATATTTTAGTCGGAAATCTAAACCATAATTTGATTGATTCTGGTTTTTATTCATATGTAAATATTTCAATGCACTAAATTTAATAAGCATTTCCAAAATTCTCTTTAGAACTCTAAGAATGTGTGTCTTCTCTCTGGACTAAGTTTTTTTTTTTAATCTTTCAAACTCTCCAGGCCTTTTCAAGTCTAAATGTCTTTGATGGTTAACGACCTTTATTATTATATAGAAGGCCACTCTTGCTCTATTTCCTGGCATGAAGTGATCAGTTGACTCCTGTCCTTTAGTGTCTGTGGACTTACCATATAAAGCCAAGCATGCTATATTTGTTGGTATTATTATGTTCTGTGAGCTGATTGGTTATTGCTCCTGTCTAATTAGTGAAAGTGAGAAAGTGAGATTCATCTTTGTTTTTACTTTTTTACCTTCTTTAGAAGTTGGATTTGTGGAGTTTCTGAAGCCCAAAATGACGTGGGAATTTTAGTTTTATTTCTTATAAAGAAATTAATCAGAAAAAAAATCAGTCAATCCATTACCCAGCTATCAAGGCTAATCTCAACTCCTTTCCTTGGCTCCTCTTTCTTGGACACTTCTCCTGTGGGCCTAAACAGCTGCTTCTCAGTCTTGCTTATCATAATCATATTTTGATAACAGCACCAATGATTCCATCTGCATTAATATCAGAAATGGAGCTAAGGAGAATCTCAGAGGCTCCTGATTTGGTGCAGCAGCTACTAAGAGAATCTTTGTTGGTACAAGTTAGGGGAAAGGCCAGAAGTGAGGAACAAAAGGAAGAATGGCAGAGAAAACACACTCTATTACCATCCTTGAGATTGCTCTGTGGCCCATCAGAATATCTTCTGAATCTAGGACTTTTTAATAGCAGGCATGTGATCCCCCTCCCAGAACATTTGTCATGCTATTTTAAACATTTAGAAAAATGGATCAACAGACACTACTAAAAAAATAAGCCAACGGCACATTCAAACGTCAACCACTGTGAACCTGTCTACCCCATTGTTTTTTTGTTTTTGTATTTGTTTTAATGAAAAATTGAGGGAAAAGAGAGACAATTGGTTATAGGAAAAATGCAAACAAACAAAGCCCTATTAGAACTCAGACTTTCTACCCAAGCAGGAAAGACTCCCCAAAAAGAATTGCCTGCTGGGTTAATAATCAAGAACTGAGTTGACGGTTTCATCACACAATAATGTTTGACCTGATATTCATTTTTAACTCACAGTGGTAAGAGTAAAGTGAAATCTTACAACAGCTGTCAAATTCTCATTTTTAATCCCCCAGTAACTGCTTTGGTACCATTCTGGAGATGTAAGATACCATATCAGCTGTCCAGGATGTTGTTAGTGCACTATTAACACTCTGCTCTTAGGACATTGGTGAGTGAGGCTGATGTTTAGAAACTTCCCCTTAGGTACTTAAGAGAGAGACCTACTAATGTATCCACAGACGACACAATGTACACATTCCACAGTAGTGAAGAAATGTGTTTCCAAATCTTTGCAGGTTAGCACTTCAGAGGCAGGCTCTTGGGAGTGTATCTCTAGTTGGACTCGATTTTTGAAATGCAGCTGCTAAATTGCCATTCAGGTTCATGCTGTGCTCGTAGGTTGGTGCAAAAGTAATTGTGATTTTTGCCATTACTTTCAATATTATTAAGTTGGTGCAATGTTATTATAACAACTTAGTGTGCTTAAACTCTTCATATGTGATGAGTAGATACTACATGAGGAGGTTTCACTATACTCAGTGGAAGTCTGTCAGATGTTTACTGTTGGACTTAGAAAGAGAAAGGATTGAGCTAAGATTTTGTATTATTGGATTCATTAGTCAAAGGCTGTAGCACAAAGTGTGATAGTATCCATTTTTCTTGAGCTGTGTGTTATTGGAGACTTTAGATATCTGTCTCTTGATGTATTTCCCACTGAGTCTTGTATTACAGTGAAAAACAACTCTAGATTAGTACTTAGGAGACCAGATCTCCAGGTGTCACTCTGGCTCTACCTATTTGACCTTTGATCAGCCTTCTTACCTCTATACTCAGAACCCCGAACCTGTACAATGGAGATACTGGATTAGATCATTTCAAAGGCCTCTTCTAGCTCCAAAAATCAATGACTATCACTTTAATAAACGTGTTAATGAAGTAAAATAACTGAGCTACATTCATGAACTTCTAATTATGACTGGACAATATAGCCTCAATTTTTCTTAAAATTAAATGATGTTAGAACAACACCAAGGAAGGAAGGAAGGAAGGAAGGAAAAAAAAAAGAAGAAGAAACCTTGTCAGCACCACTAACACAGTAACATTGCCACAGGGCAAGATAAAAGGATGTGCATTTGTGCCTGGATGCTTGTAGGGTGTGGTTAAAAGAAAAGATTCAGAAAGCAGACTACTTAGGTCCTCACCCTTCCTACCTACAAACTGAATGACTTTCAGCGAGTTACTCATTTTCTATGCCTCAGTTTTTTCATCTGCAAAATGCTAATAGTAATAGTCTCTACCCCATACAAATTATGACATCTGTGTCAGAACAAGAACAAAGAAGCCACTCTATGATTTCTAGGATATATTTTTAGGTAAAACAATTAAAGTATATAACAGTAGTGAGCTACTTTAATGTAAGAAATAAAAGGTGATATAGGTGTACGTTATTTTTCCAAAGAGAAATGTTTGAAGGATTATCAGCAAATGCACAGGAAAATTCTCAATAGAAAGGGAAACAGCACATGCCTGTAATCCCAGCTACTCAGGAGGCTGAGGAATGAGAATCTCTTGAATCCAGGAGGCGGAGGTTGTAGTGAGCAGAGATTGCGCCACTGCACTCCAGCCTGGGTGACAGAGTGAGATCCTGTCTCAAAAAAAAAAGAAAGGGAAACAGGGTGGAGGTGGTAGTAATGAGGGAGCAACTTGACAGAGGACACCTTTCTTGTAGGTTTAACTTCTGAATGACAGAAACATTTTATATATTCACAGCATGACATTAAATCAAAAAGAAAAAAGTCACCATAAAATTAAATAAAACAAAAATAAACCTAACATTTTATAAAATTGATAACATAACAACACAGAAGAAATACTTCTTCCAAGTAATTTTTGAACACTACTCTGACTTTAGGTTTTTTAATGAGGTATATTCTGAGAACAGAGAGAATCAAAAGTCAATCTTAAATATACACAGAAAGATCATTGCTGATTGTAATTATGAATATATTTTTTCTGTATTGTAGGATTAGAAACCAAGAATTTCATTGTCACAAGAAAAGTACAAAATTTAGGAAAAATTAAGCAAAACCCTACAATATTAATATTAAATTTGAATTGGAAATATACGTATAAACTCATGATTTATACATGACTCTATCTATCTATCTATCTATCTATCTATCTATCTATCTATCTATCTATTCACTCCTTGCCTAAAAATCTTAATATCCCAGTAGCAGTGACGCACCTAACACTCAAATCTTGAGTTCTAAGTTCCACTGCTGTCTTTGAATAGAGGGGTGAGAGAACAGCTGATTTCAAGTCTCCTTCAGAGAAAAGTGCAAGGTGAGCAGTAGCATGTGCTTGTAGCAGAAAAGAAAATAAGGGCATATCTCAAAAGGACTTAGGATCTTGATTTAAGGGACTCCCACTGGCCCAATTTGGTAGATCAAAACCAAAGATGCTGATAATGTATTATAAAAAAAATCTTCTGTTGCAATGAACAAATCCAGCAGTTATAACATTAACAAAATTAATAAATCAATTTATTATAATAATTTAAAAACCCAAGAGCCCACAGTGAAAAAAGGAAGACAGATAGATGGAGGAGATAATGTAGAGCATTTCTTTAAAGAACAATACTAGCTCATAACTGTAGAAGGAATAATATAAGTAGATCACCAGTGCTTGCACCACCCAATTACTGACAAAACCAAGGATTATCAATGGAAGTTAAAACTATTAAGTGATATGTTGTTGGGAAACAGGTTATTTGCACAACGCCGAAATAGCATGTTGAAGGTAGAATAATGGCCTCCCCAAAAATGTTGGTGTCCTAATCCCTGGAACCAGTGAATATGTTAGATGACATGGCAGAAGGGGATTAATGTCATAGATGGAATTATGATAGCTTGTCATTTGATTTTAAAATAAAGAGATTACACTGGATTATTTAAATAGATCCAGTTGAACCACAAGGGTTCTTAGAATTGGAAGAAGGAGGCAGAGAGATGGTAAGACTGATGTGATTTGAAAAGGACTTGACCGCCACTGGCTGTGAAGACAGAGGAAAGAGCCAAGTAATGTGAGTGGCCTCTAGAGGCTGGAAAGTCCAAAGAAACTGATTCTCCCCTATAGCATTTAGAAGGGAATGCTGTCCTGCCAACACATTGACTTTAGCCTACCGAGATCTGTTTTGGACCTCTCATCTACGGAACTGCAAGATGATAATTTGTTTCGTTTTATGCTCCTATATTTGAAGTCATTTGTTACAGCAAGAATGGAAAAATGAATGCAATCACCCTACACAGTAATTATAAACTACAAAAGGAAAAAGCTACTGTTATAATGGATAGATCCAGCAGTTATCATATTAACAAAATAAACAAGTCAAACATCTTAATCAATAAAAAGAGTACTTGACATTATGTAGTTCCTCACGTGATGCAACGTGAAGTACACGTTATCAATGGATTAACCTCACCAAAACTATTGAGCACAAATCCAATCAATTCTATCTAATTTCTAGTTTATAGGAAATACCAGGGATAGGAGAGAAAAATGAACAACACTTTGAGAAAGTTAATTAGATAAATAAAAATGAAGCATATTCTACAATCAACTGGCCTGGAGTTTTCAAAATGTCCATGTCTTGAATAAAAAGGTGGGGTAGAATTCATCAAATGCAATTTGTCAACATTAATTGGACCTTAGCTGAAAAATTAATTTATGGAAGATATTTTTGGGTGATTTGATAATTTGAATATAGACTAGAAATTAGATATAGTACAATTTTGTATATTCTTAGATGTCATAAAAGCCTTGTGGTTTTTATAGGAGAATACCCTTATTTTTAGGAGATGTATATGAAATTATTCAATAGTGAAATGTGAATATCTTCTTTAAAATCTCTTGCTTTTAAATGATTCAGGAAAAAAAAAAGTGAAATGTGACAAGAGGTTCACAATTGCTAAATCCAAGTGAATAATATGTGTGTATTTATTTGGCTATTATGTTATTGTGATATATTTGCTATTCTTCAAAATAAGTGTTAAGACTGGGTGCTGTGGCTCATGCGTGTAATCCCAGCATTTGGGGAGACTGAGGTGGGTAAATCACCTGAGCCCAGGAGTTGGAGACCAGCCTAGACGACATGGTGAATCCCTGTCTCTAAAAAAAATATAAAAATTAGCCAGGCATGGTGGCACATGCCTGTAGTACTAGCTACTAGGGTGGCTGAGGTGGGAGGATCACCTGAGCCTGGGGAGGTTGAGGCTGCGGTGAGCAGTGATTATGCCAATGTGCACCATCCGGGGCAAGTTAGACCCTGCCTCAATCAAACAAACAAACAAAAACCACATATGCACACACGCACACACACAAATAAATATTGAGAGAAAAAAGTAAATTCTTTCAAACAGTGGGATGTTCTTAAACAGAGACTTGATCTAAAAGGTTAGAAGGGTTTGAGGAACCTGGAGTTTAGGTTGTATTGACAATTACGTTAATCATACAACTAAAGTGCTTAGAAAATGTTCAGGCACTAGTGAGCCTCGATAAATGTTACCTTGCACTTCCATACCTCGCCTGTGTGTCATGTGCTTTGTCAGGCCACTGAGGGGTTCCTGAGACATTTGGGCAAAGAGCACCCAACTAATAGCAACCCAAATGGTGAGGCAAAGCAAGTACAAAAGACCCTAACAACCAACAAAAGTAAAATGTTATTACAAACTTAGTAGCAATTAAAAAACAAGAACAACTCAATAAGGCATTAATGATGCTCTGATAACAAAGCTTATTTCCTGGAAACTATGGGAATTCCAACAATCAGCTTGCCTCCCTAAATGGTAGGAGCTTCACAGCAATGCTAAGCTTTTTGTAGCAGCCAGACTTCCTGGCACCATACTAGATTAAGGTCTAGAGTAAACTCCCTCAGCATGCTAATTTTAGTTTATCAATATCACATGTTAGTGACTCTTCATAACTCTTTTAATAGCTTCCAACTTCCAATGGAATTTCATGTCATTTGCACATAAACAGTGCAGGAGGAGATCAAACTTGGGGTAAGTTCTTGGCCCTTCTAGAAGACCTTTACAGCCCCACCAAAGGGCCGAAGACTTAACTTTGAGAAACACTTCTTTAGAGCCCAATCATTCCAACAAAATATGTTACTCTCTATTTCTATGTAACCCCCGTTTAAGATCAACATTGAAATATAGTTACAAGGATTCCAGTGATGCACAAATAATATTGGGTTCTTCTTACTCCTTTTTTCTGAAAGGTTCTTTCAGTAGGCCATTCTTTCTCATATTGGTTAATTTTCCCTTTAACCTTTCCCATGATTCCTAACTCTGAAAAGGCTGAATACTATCAAATCAGAGATACTATAGAAAGAATCAAAATGAGAGAATTCATTTGCTTAGAAACAGAAGCCCACTTATCCCAGACAGAAGACAACTGGATATAATTGGTATCAACTTCTTTGACCCATTTTAGCAAACACTTTCGGATTGTTGTAATGATCTTAGTGAACTCCTTAAAGACCCTGCCTGTAGTGATACACAACCCTTCCAAGATTGGGAATTCTATTTTGAAGAAAACAACCTCCGCAAGCGATTACCATAGCCTTTCCCTTTTAAACTACATCCCTGCAACACTTGAGTGATTGTAACAGACTCAAGGCCTCTGAAAGTAATGGGATTATTCTGGCACCACAGTTCACTGGCTAGCCTTATTTTGGAAAATTCATCTCTCTTAATGTTGTTAAAAGAAGGTGAGGCAGCCCTAACCTATGTCTGTTACTTTGTAAAGGAGGAGCTTAGAGTAAACCAGGAAAAAATGCATGAGCAGACTTGGGGAAGCAACTGAGTCAAACAGTGTAAGATCTCCACTAGGCTCAGAGGAGTCAACTTTTTCAGTTACTCGTCATATTCACTGAAGACAAGAAAGAAGCCGTGATAGTGAGAGATAGAGTTCACAGTGTGCACTGCCAGGGGTGCAGACATTCATACCTGCCCACTTCTGGTATGGTCAACCGGGAGCAGAGGACATTCTTTTATTTGATTTAGCAGCCATTCATGTCACATCTACCATGTAGCAACCACTGAATTAAGCCAAGAAATCCATTATAAACTCTACTCTTGGATTTATTAACCAGTAGGGAAGGAAATTCAAGCCAGTGTCCAAATATTGTAATTGAGTATAGTGTCAGATTTTGTGCAGAGTAGGGATTGGGAAGGAGAAAGTGGAAAGAGACATGTGATGATGCTTAGGTATGGGTTGAAGACGCAATGCTCCGAGCACTGCTTGCTCAGGCCGAGGGAACAGCCCGAGCAAGTGCTGCTGTCAGGCAGTCACAAGGGAATAGGCATAGCATGGGGAAGGAGGCCGTGCCAGTTGATGTTGAAGCTCCTGAACCTTTGTGTGCCAGGCTGAAGGAGTGGGTCCATACTTACATGGGCAGACTGGCATTTTAGGTACACCCTTGGGACATCAGTTTGCTAGCAATTTGCAAGGGGGAAGGTGTTGGAGGGAAGAATAAGAGTCTGTTGAATCCAAAGATCTGTTGAAAAGCGGCTAGTAAGACTGAGGAACTCAGTCTCCAACTTTATTTAATTTTAATTTCTTTAAAAACTAACATATATTTCTTTTGTACTTATAAACAAATAAACAATAATTTATTTACAACTTATAAAAATAAAAAGTAGCCTGTAATCCCAGCCCTTTGGGAGGCCAAGGCAGGCAGATCACAAGGTCAGGAGATTGAGACCATCCTGGCTAACACGGTGAAACCCCGTCTCTACTAAAAACACAAAAAATTAGCCAGGCATGGTGGCAGGCGCCTGTAGTCCCAGCTACTCGGGAGGCTGAGGCAGGAGAATGACGTGAACCCGGGAGGCGGCAGGGCTTGCAGTGAGCTGAGATCACATCACTGTACTCCAGCCTGGGCAACAGAGTGAGATTCCGTCTCAAAATAAATAAATAAATAAATAAATAAATAAATAAATAAATAAATAAAAATAAATATAAAAAGTAAAGGAGTGTGCACAAAGGCCCAGTGTGATTTTTAAATCTCTGAGTTTTAATTTCTTTCTTTTTTTCTTTTTCTTTTTCTTTTTTTTTTTGAGACAATGTCTCCCTCTGTCACGCAGGCTGAAGTGCAGTGGCCAATCTCGGCTCACTGCAACCTCCGCCTCCCAAGTTCAAGTAATACTCCTGCCTCAGCCTCTGGAGTAGCTGGGATTACAGGCGCTCACCAACATGCCCGACTATTTTTTGTGTTTTTAGTAGAGATGGGGTTTCGCCATGTTGGCCAGGCTGGTCTCGAACTCCTGACCTCAGGTGATCCACCTACCTCTGCCTCCCAGAGTGCTGCAATTACAGGCGTGAGCCACCGTGCCCAGCCTGAGTTTTCATTTCTACATTTTAATCATACAACACATAAGTTACATTGCTTGGAAAGTGTATAAATAAATAAAGATACTTCAAACATACATAAGTGAGTTAAAGGGACTCTCATAAATTCTCAGATGGAGAAAAAAGTGACTAAAGTCCTGAAGTATGATATTTTTCTAGCAACTACTACCAAAATACATTTTTTTTTATGTCACCGCATAAAGATGCCTTAGAATTTTGCCTAATTTTCTAACTAAGGCGACCGATGAATAGAACATGTATTGGAATAATCTGATGTTAGAATATGAGGATGGAATTTCTCTGATGACAGATAAGTCCACTTTGACACATAGATTCTAGAAAAGCTGAATCCCTCTGTTTTAAATCTGAGAAAAGTTGAATTTCAGAGAGTAGAGATACGGGGTCCTGAAGCTCCCTAATTTTTGTGAACATTACATTTGGCTCAGTAGCATAAACATCCATCTGAAGCTTTCAGTCTCTTTGATCATGGCAAGCTCTTTATTTATTCATATTCTAAAAGGTAAGCAGCTCACCACTGGTTTCTTAGTGATCAGTGGACTGATCAGAAAGAAGAGGAGGGGTGGCCAGGATCCCTTTGGCAGGCAGTTACTCTAGCCCTGGCACAACCCAGTCTGTGCTAAGTGGGTGTCTGTGAAGCTCTGATTCAGACAAGTGGAACTTGCAAAGTTCAAAGATGCTTCATAAAAGCTATCAGTTATTTTACTTCTTGCTAGAAATTGCAAACATGAATATACATTGCAGGTTATTACAGGAAGGAACCCCTGCATATTAAAATGTGACATGGTTTTAAAGTTTCATAACCTAAATCACGAAAGTAAGTTGCATTTTCATCTGGAAAAGACAGGAACATGTTAAGCCGGGTTCAGTGTTTATAGTAGCAGGCTGTGTCCATGTTACTTATAAACACAAAACAGACACAACCCTGACTTTAGAGCATAACAGCTGCATCCAAAAGCTTTATTTCTAAGTGAAATGATGCAACAGAAGCCTTTTAAAGAACTAGCTATCTTGTACATTTTAAGAAACAAATAATCTCACTTAAATAAGCTTACTTGTGATAATGAACTTTAGATTCAGCATATTTTCCTGTAACATTTGAAATTGCTAATAAGTCCCTAAAGCTGCTTTATACATGAAAACAAATTAAATCTGACTCTTGTAAATAAATTGCACCAATATATGAGATGTTCCAAGATACAATGTTTTTAAGTGCTTTTTTCAAGGGAGTCCTTTAGGAATGTATGATAAAGGATGTAAAGTTTGATGCTTTTTTTAGCCTTAGCAAAGCCATTTATATTTGGAAATGCCATTCTGAGTAGGCTTCTGGAGTAGATGTGGCATCTTCATAGTGTTTTTTTGTTTTGTTTTGTTTTTTAATAGCCTGCATCCATGGATAGGAAAGGGGCACAATGCTGAGAGCTTTTCATCTAACATAGTAGTTACTGGGGATAATAAACCTTTTTCCATATTAGGCCCTGGAGAACATGAACATGAAAAAGTATATTCAAGGGAATTTATCATTTGTATAATTGATCAATTTAGCACATTTGAAATGTTTGTCATATTAAAGAAGGAGAATCCTTATAAACCTGGAATTGTAAATGTTTTTCAGAAAATCCCATGTTTAATCAGTCATTGAAATGATGCATTAAATTTGAATCTCCTTTAACTTGCATGACATCATGGCCCATGCAAGAGAGCTGAAATTAATCAAGATAATTCTGTTGTATGACCTACTTTGGCATTTTCATCTGATGGAGCCAGGAAATGGGCTGGCTAATAGTCCATTCTGGAGTATTCTAAGATCTTAGCAATTCCATATTTAAGGAGGTTAATAGGATACTAATTGGGGCCTAGGTGAAAAGTTCACAAGAAAAATGAACTCACCTGGATATGAGGAGTATGCACAGCCCAAAGCCCTCCCCTTTACAATGGCTCTTCCAAATGGTTTCACCTCCTAATTCAGAGAGAAAGAAAGCTCGCACCTTGGGAGACTCGCACAGCCAGCATTCTGTCTCCTGGTCCCTGGGTAACAATGGCTGGCCACATGCCAAGGTTGCAGGCCATTAGCAAGATCAGCATTCTGCCTCTGATGAAACGAAAGTAAAGGAAAAAATTCCAAAGGGGGAAAATAAGTGTCAAAAATCAAACCTTTGTAAGAGTTGTTATGAACTTTTAAGAAAAGCGCATGTTGTTAAGACTTAAGAAGTTCCAATGTTTAAAAATCAACTTTTATTCATCACTTTTGCAGAAGTAAATTAAACCACGTTTTATTGTTTATTTTTTCAACAAACATATGACAATCTTGGGCTTGGGTCATTGTTATTGACTAGCTAGTGGCTCTATTCATCAAGACCAATAGGGAAGATAATATTCTTTCTCAATTTTCTCTCCTGTAAATATTTGCAATAACTCCTGGGTGACTTGGAAAATTTATCAACATAAAATGCAGTGCTCTGAAATATTGCAGACTCTCTCTGTTGCGTTATAGCCCCCCTGGCAATGTTAGACTGTCCTAACGATGTCTCAGCATTGTCATTCCTCACCTTGTTCTCATTATAGTGTACCCATAGATGGCACATTGTGCTTTTCTTAATATTTTCTTAGCCTTTTATGTACAGAAAGGGTTAAGGATTTTTCTACCATAACGGCTTATGGCATGTCTTTCCATCTCTCTCTCAGTGTGCAGTCCATCTTCCAAGTTTCCAGAAGCGGCTGAGATTTTTAAAAACAGCTGTAATCTGCGGTCATTGATGGTGGAGTAGATTGTTTGCCAAACTATTACCATAACTGTCAACCGAAATCAGAAAAATAATCTCATTGTGCTGGACAGATGCGTTTCCTGCATTATTGATATAGTCACTCTGGAGTAATAGAGAAATATAAAGCATTGTTCTATTTACAAAAGGAGATTGGCCAAGTCCTTGAAAGTGAGTATGAGGGACAGGCACTTACAGGAAGTGAGATATAGTCAACTCAGTAAAAGTTATGAGTCAGGGTCAGGTGACCTCTATAGTCAGCAGAAGAATCTCAGTGCTTTCCCTCCAGTCTCCCTCCTCACTTCCAGGCCGGTTTTGTGGTTTGCTCTCAGTCTGAAGGTGTTCTCAGAATTTCTAAATACAGCCCTGTGGAATTTGTGATGCATGCTTTATCCCACACCCCAACAGTTGCCCCGAATATGCAAAATGTTCTAATGGGTTCATTACACACCTCTGGGTAGCAAGTGAATTGCTCTAGACCACTACATTGCAGAATAATTGAATTTGTTTATTTCAAGCAGATGACCCTCAATATCCCTCTGATGCAATGAGTTAAATATACCTTATGCTGAGTGGCTTTGCAAGAACGGTCAGTAGTCTTGTACGCTCAGCAATTGCTCCACCATAATTTGAGCTGTGAGTAATGCTGTGTGATTCTATTTGTTGAGCATACATACCGTGAAATACTAAGCACACCACATTTATTATCTCTAATCCACAGAAAACAAACTCCAAGGCAGGGATACCTTTTTAAATTTCCATTTTGCTGCTGAAGAAATAGATGAAAAAGGCTCTATAGATTTCCCAAAGTGACAGAGCTCTTAAGTAGTTGATCCAGGATTCGAACCTAGGCCTGACTCTGGAGTCCATCCCTGCTGGATCATGCTCCCTTCCATTTTATTGAGATATAAGCAGAAGTATATTATGCATTGGAATATTTATATATATTTAATGCAGCTCCCCCAAATATTTATAATAGCTCTACACACACACACACACACACACACACACACACAGAGCCATTTTTCTTACGGACAGATAGCCATCTTTCTTATGGAAACAAAGGGCAAAATCATCTCTGTCCTGCACTAAAGGGCATTTAATGAGACTGGGGTGGGGGTGGATTGGCAAGCAACCTTCTTAGCTCCTAAATACGTGCATCACAAGCACCTAGACTTTAGCAAGATAGTGCCAGGTGTCTCTGAACAGTAGTTCATGAATTCTGGCAACTCCACTCTGAGTACAAGGCAGAGGGCCAGGAAATCTAAATTCTAACCTGGGCTAGTCAGAGCCTCTGTGGTTTAGTTTTCTATTTATGAAAATGCATAACCCTGGCATACTTCTTAGAAACAGCATGCCAGTTCATATATAAGCATCCCATCAATACATTGTAAGCAAAAATTCCTGTGAAATATTGTGTAGTGTCCATAGTGGAAACTTAAATTCATATTAAAATTAATGGCCATATGATAATTAATTCGTGTCCCAAAGATCTGCTATTGTTGCTGTTTTTTTCTTTTGTTAATTACGATGTCCACAGAAATGGTTCAGCATTTTGAGATTCTGAGAGAAAAGTGACAGGGAGTATTGATGCAGTTGTAGGGCCACGTAGCACTCTTGTTGGGAGAGTTGTTGTATTTATGCTGTCTTTCTGGTCTGGGGACTAGGAAACAGGCGCAAGATGTATGCTGAAACTGTGTCTGGGAAGGGTAGGCTGTGGCATAGGATGAAAATCTTGGGCAAGGAAAATCTAGTCCTTCAGGGCCTAGACTATCATCTACACTTTTGGTTCAGATGTTCTGCACCCCACCAACCTGCCACCCCCATCCTCATAGAGGAAGCACAGTTCACTGCTCCACCTGGGGAGGCCCAGTTGCGAGAACCCTGCCTTGGCATCAGCCCACCTGGGTTCTACACTGGGATCGTGTTGAAACCCACAGCAAGAATGTTAACACATCACTGCCCATCTTGAATTGTAGTTCCTCAGCTGTAAAATGAAGGAGCTGATTGAACTGAGCTTCAAGATCACTTGCAGATCTGAGATTCAATGATTCCCCAAAATAACATTATATGACTCTTCTCAAATTATTGATTTTAATTCCTCCCTGGGTGGTGATGGTTTTCATCCAGCTGACGGTCCTATTTGTCTTGTACTCTTGTTTTGCCATCAGGATCCCCTGAAATGCTGGGCACACTGACTAGCCTCTTGTATAGAGTCTCAAGCCTGTGGCCAGAAGCAGCTGTGTGAAGTAGCCGCTGTGATGGATTGGGACCACAGATACCACTTTGGAAGGAAAGGTTCCAGAAACCAAAGCTTGGGCCATGGGTCTCTGGGAAACTGCAGCAGGTATGTTCTGCCTATCTGGCTGCTTTCTTCTTGCTGATCTATTGTTTTTCAGATTGAGAATTGGTTTTCCTGAAGCAAGAAAATAAAATAAACCCCACAAGTCTGAAGAGCATAGAGAAGAGACAGAGGAGCCATAAGCAGGGAAGAGAAAAAACACAAACTGATGTTGTATAAAAATAAATGAATAAATAAATAAATAAATAAATAAATCTTCAAACAAGAACCTTCCCCCTCCCTCCTACACACATCCTTTTCTCAGTTGCACACTGAGGTATCTTTCCTCTCTTCTCAAAATATCTTCTTAAAACAACATAAAAAGAAGGAGCAATTATTTAATATAACTCATTTCTAAAAGTGAACTTTCTCCTGTAGACACAGAACTGATGGAAAATTATACAACCGCGAAATGAGATGATAGCATGTCTTTTTAAAAATTTGTTCTGCCAATTATGTAGCAAGGGTTTAATTTAATAATTATGTTAAAATCTCCAGGTATTTATCTATTTTTTTCTTTAAGATGTATTCATTTTTGTTTCACATATTTTGAAGCTGTTATTAGTTAGATATGCATTTAGGATTATTAAGTTTTCTTGATGAATTGATTCATTTACCACTATGAAATTTCTCTATCTCCAATAATACTCTTTGTCTTGAAGTCTTTTTTTTCTGCTATTGATATATTAATAGCTAAATTATGTTTCTTGAAACTATTGATGGAAGAGAGTATCTTTTATTTGCACTTTTAGTTCCCACCAGCCTGTATTTATATATTTCAAGTATGTTTCTTGTAAGCAGAAAGTAGGTGATCTTGCTTTAAAAAAATAAATTCAGTCTGACAATCTTTGCCCTTTAAGTGGAATAATTTGTCCATTTGCATTTAATATAGTAACTAATACAGTTTTTTATCTCACCCTTCTTTGTCTTCTTTCATTCCATTTGGTATTCGTTCTTCGGTTTGTCCCTTCCTGCCTTCTTTGTGTAGGTTCTATAATTTTTAATATTCTATTTTAGCTCCTATGTTTACTTTTTAGCTATTTTTCCCTTTTTAATATTTTTTCTAGCAATCATAATAATTAGCTGTAAGTTATGGTCTACATTTGAAGCACATTATGCTACTTCATATACAGTGTCAATATGTTACTACAGTACCATTTGGTCTGGCTTTAGTTTTAAACATATTTTTCTAGGATGTTATATACAAATTCAATAGCGCGGCAGAACATAACTTTTATTTTGGGTCGTGGAACTGTTGAGAAACAGAGGAAGGCTCTGGGTCTCCAGTTATACATATACACAGAAAGAACTTTGCATGTAACTTCAGGAGATTTATATCCACCTGGAGGCCAGTTTGTGGACTCTTTGTATAGGACAAAGTCTGTTTTTTTCAGCTAGCATTAGTATGGAATCTGAAGCAGAAACTTATTGATAGAACTTGAAAAATAAACCAAAATAATAGAAATGCCCGAGGATGAGGGCTAAAAAAGGTTTGGGGTCAGAGGAAAGAGAAAGAAAAATATAAATTAAGAATTACTCCAAAATTACTTTACTAAGGTATCTTTATAGCACCTAATTATCATCCTGTTACCATGGGCCATACATGATGCTAACATTTGACCAGGTACTTAAAAAAGTTATTGTAGGCCAGGGGCAGTGGCTCATGCCTGTAATCCCAGCATTTTGAGAGGCCTAGGCGGGCAGATCACCTGAGGTCAGGAGTTCGAGACCAGCCTGGCCAACATGATGAAATCCTGTCTCTACTGAAAATACAAAAATTAGCCAGGTGTGGTGGCACACACCTGTAATACCAGCTACTTGGGAGGCTGAGACAGGAGAATCGCTTGGACCCGGGAGGCGGAGGTTGCAGCGAGCTGAGATTGTACCACTGCACTCCAGCCTGGGCAACAAAGAGTGAAACTCTGTCTCAAATAAAAAAGTTATCATACAATCTCTTAACAACCATGAGTTTTTGAGCTTATATGCATTTATAACATACAAGATAGTTGTTTTTAGAATTTAAAAGTTGAACAAACTGTCTTCCAGATAGTTGATCTCACTTGTTCACAATTAAACAACACATACATAGATCAAGGATTCATATTGCCCTCTTCCTAATTCTGAGCTATCAGTCTTTCCAATTCTCCAGGTGGTCAGAAGAATTTTCTATCACCTTGTTGCCTAAAAATACATATTTTCATTCAGAGTAAATAGATTATAATGCTACAAGTATAATTCAGGGAACCTTTGGTGTCGTAAAATTGGTGGAATTATTCCTCTTAAAGCAGGACTGGAAATGTGTTTCAGCGTAAGCTGGTTTCCAGGACTTATTTCCTATCCTGAGCACTTGGTACCCTGAGAACACCCAAGTAGCGTAAGTAAAGCAGTTGTTGATTGGGATGAAGACAAATGAACTCATCCTCCAGGTGAGGAGAGAGTTAATTGCTCTGCTTATGGGCACCATAAATTATTACTCAGTACAATTTCTGAAAACCTGTGGCCAAGGAAAGGGTGTCCATCTCATTGATAAAATTTGGCTTGTTCACCCAGAGACATGACATCTTGTTTATATGTATATATAACTGGGCACTGGGGTTAGGGTGTTTTCTACTGACTTACTAGATGGCCTTGAGAGAATGCTATACACCTTAAATTGTCTTCTTTGTTTAAACTGAATATAATACCTTCTCAAAAGGTAGCTAACATTTACAAAACAGCTAAAAATACTTCCTTAAAGGAGTTGTGATAGGACAGCCCGATTTGTTCACATACCACTGTTTCCAAAACATGTGCAGAGACTCAAGGAAGTTACCAAAACAATTAAGAATTGATTTAATTAACCTTTGTATCTTAGTATTGACCCAGCCTTTATAACAGCCTCTTAAACTCTGGAATACCCCAAGTCCAGAGTGTAGGCGTGTTTGCACACGCACACACGCACTCACACACATTCACACACACACCCAAACACATATACTCTCGCGCAGATACACCAACTGCAACAGCATTTTTAATTGAAAAGCATAAATTTGGAATGCTAAAACTATTAACGATTTGTTTTAATTAGGAACCCAGCTGCTTCCTGAGATTTTGCAGTCTGGGTTTCAGAACTTTTGCCATACTGAGAACGAGTCTCAAGTGGGTTGCTTTGGTCTTCCAGATCAGCATTTTTAAAAGACTTGTTGGAAGGGGGAGCTGCAAATGCTTCTGAGCTGTAAAATTACAGCTGCGTTTGTCCTTGGATGAGGTTGGGGCTGCTTTGTTATTGTAGCCAGCACCCTGCCCTTGACCTCTCACTTGGGCATGTTAAGTCTAGCAGGCTACCTGATCTTTGGATCATCTTGCCAAGTTGGCTTACAGATATGCAGCATCATGGATTTTGAGGTCCCTACTTATTCCACCATCAGTAGGGGGAGCTGTTACTTAATTGAAGTCTAAAGCGCCTCTCTCTTTTTCTTTAAATATTTGACAAGCTGAGAAGATAGTTCTTGAAAGTCAGTTAAGGGAAGTAGAGTCTGAGGAGCAGTAACATTTTTATGTGCCTCTTTTCTGATGTTCAGCTAATGCCAGCCATAGAACTTGTTATTTGGATAACATTAAATGGAGTATAACACATTCTGTTCATCAGTGAGCGTGGAAGCCATTCATTAGTCTATTCACTCACTCACTAATTTGCTCATTTATTCATTCAATCTTTCTTGATTGCCTACTATGTAAAATGCATGGTGCTATGAATGTGAAGATTACTAAAACACTGCTTCTGCCTTTCAGGAGTTTAGAGTCTAATGGATGGAACACAGAAGCAGGAAAAAAATTGCTGTAGAATATGATAAAGATTAATAGAGGTATGTACAAAGCACATTGGGGATAGAGGGAAGGGAGTCGGGAGATACTTTCTGTGGTACTGGGAATGCGTTTACCAAATATTAATATTTGTTAAATGAATATTGGTAAATGGTCAATAGATGGGTGAATGAATGGATGAAGAGAAAAAGGAGCTGACAGGAAAGTGAGCACAGGCAGTCTAGGAAAACCAGTTTGAAGAAAAGCTTAATGAAAGGGTATGTTAAAGTTGCAAAGCGTGAGAAGAGCAAGGTGCCATGGAAAGAGACTTAACAGGGTGCTGAGAGGTGAAGCTTGTGAGAGAAGGCAGCTGTTCATGAAAGGCTTTTTGTGCCATGCTAAGGAGCTTGGACTTGATGATCAAGAAGCTGCTGGACCAGGGGAGAGATAAAGGGAGAGCTATAGTTTAGAAATGTCATTTGGGCAATGATGTGAATGATGGTGTAGAAATGTAAGACTAGAGGTGGAACAGAAAAATACACTTGAAGGTATTTTTAATACAATGAAACTTTTCTAGGAGTCTGCAATAAAGACTGACAGATTGGAAAGATACTTAAAAAACAAATCAGCAGGACTTAGCAGGTTATTGAATGTGGGATGCTGGCAATTTTAAGGAAAAAATAGTGTTCACGGTACTCCTTTGTAAGTATAGACATGCCTCTGCAGAGAACCATTTTTCTGAAATTGATATATACAGATAAATTGCAATGGATAGCTTGCTAGCTATTTGGAGAAGTCACCTGGAAAAGTCATATTGCAATTTAAATATCATAACGATGGAGTATAAAGTTTGGACTGGACAGTATCAATATTTATATAAATTCAATTATGAATGGAATATTTTGAAATATTTTGTGATTTAAAATAGACAATTCATTCAAATGTATTTATCACCGAATTTATCAAGAAAATTTGTTCAACATCGATACAATAGGAAATAACTATAGAATGGATGTTGACAAATGACAACTCATGGAGCAAACCCAGTGCCCACACTTCCCCACCTGTTTTTGTAAATAAAAGTTTATAAATAAAGTTTTATTGGAATACAGCTATGCTCATTCATTTATATATTGTCCATGGCTGCTGTCATGCTACGATGGCAGGGGTGAGTAGTCATGAGAGAGACTGCAAGCAGTTCATTGGTTTGTGTAAGATAAGAGGTAGATCATGCATGCGTGCCCAGGAGCACTCAGTATAGAGTGTGGGGTGACCTAGTTAAAGGGTCACTGGAACCCATAGACATAAACCAAGACCCAGGCACCCCAAGAAGCAGCCACAGGAGGGCAGCAAAGTCACATGACATTAAAAATATCTATTTGAGAGCAATGGTGGCCAGCAGTGTGTAGATTACAAACCATTTGGTATTTCATGTGACAGCACCAAAGTCCAATAGAAATTTCTTTAGCATGAATGTATATGCTCAGTAGTCTCTTTTGGATCCAAATTAAGAAGTATTCAGAAATAAAATCTGCTTTTGGGAGAAGCCAAATTTTTTAAAACAAAAGAGACTTTTGATTAGGATAAAATGTGTCAGTGCAGGATACTGACACTTTTTACTTCATAGAGAACATCGATACAAATCCATTTAAATAAGCATTCCCATTTTAATTGACTTTTTCACAAGAAGAGCAAGATGAACACATTGCAGCACATAGTTCTTCCATGGAAAAATACAGCATCATTTAAAAAAAATGAACACTGAGAAATAGCATTTATTTATTTTTTTTCTGCTTTTTTTTCCACATTGATTTATTTTGTAGCCTACTTGGGCCAAACATTGCACTGGAGAAGAGGGATACAGAGAACAATGAAAAGAGAGTGACGAAGTTATTTTATAATTTTAAAACCACACCCACATCAAAAATAATAAACATCTCTGGAAAAAAGCACGACTTAAAATGTTAGTCTTGGTTTATTTTCTGTTTTCTTGCCTTGATTTTGGCCCTATATCAAGCCACTTCTCAATTTCAACATGTAGATAGCTTAAAATCTTTGGCTTGGGCTGGGCACGGTGGCTCACACCTGTAATCCCAGCACTTTGGGAGGCCAAGGTGGGTGGATCACAAAGTCAAGAGATAGAGACCATCCTGGCCAACATGGTGAAACCCCGTCTCTACTAAAAATACAAAAATTGTATGGGCATGGTGGCATGTGCCTGTAGTCCCAGCTACTTGGGAGGCTGAGGCAGGAGAATCCCTTGAACCCGGGAGACAGAGGTTGCAGTGAGCCGAGATCGCGCCACTGCACTCCAGCCTGGCGACAGAGTCTCGCTCTGTCAAAAAAAAAAAAAAAAAAAAAAAAAATCTTTGGCTTGGTGAACGGAAGTTCTTAATTTGAATATTTGAATATAGATTAATTTACCTAATTCTTCTGTTATGGTTTGTAAGTTTTGACAAGAATTTTTTAAATTAAGTGGGTTTAAAATATTAACAGTAATAATTTTTGGAAGCTGTATTAAATGTTTCACTACACTTCTAAGTCATCAGAATACTGGTATCTATTCGATAGATGAGCTAACAAATCGTCTCTTGAAAGTGATCTGGTTATCAGTGATCCTTACCTCATTGACTTTTGTCAACAGTAGATATTCCTTGTTTGCACATACTGCATCTGCAATAAATGGTTGCTAAAAATTATTTTTAAATCTCTTATATTTGGAGGACAAGTTAATAATTTACAACTCCTTAATTAGGATCTATTTTGACCAGGTCTTTCCAACTGAGGAAAAATATCAATTGTAGCAATTAAAAATGTAAAATTCTTATTCTTTGATTGTTTCAATAGTTAAAGCCTTAGACTTTGGGAATTAGAAAAAGTCTTTGGTAAAAATATCTAACTTGGAAAAGCTGTGGGTGTGTTGTATATGCGTGTGTGAGGTGTGTGTATCTCAGGTTTGGTGTAGCCATAGAAAGATGTGTATATGTATTTATAGCTCTTGTTTTTTGGCCATAATACATATAGTGTCTACAGTTAAAAATGTTCTGAAGAAAATAGCACATTTGAATGTTAGATACAACCTCCTTTCGCTTTAAACAATTTCTCCAGTTGAGCATGACTTTTTCGTGTTGAATCCTCTGAGATTCACTTACAGCATGTTTTGTCAGCCTGTCAAGAGTGAAGAACTCTTAATTTAGGCATGATCTCCCACTACATATTTGGATTCCCCAAACCGAGTCACATTTAGTAAAAGGATCCTGAAGCCTATACAAGCAGACAGAAACTTCAGTAAACAAGTAGAAGATCTAGCATTTTAGCTAGGCAGTCCTACATTTCAAAGAAACATGTTCCCAGCAGAAAACACATTATTTATATGGTGGTCTTGACAAAAAGTCAGTTTATCAACACATGGCACAATATATAATTTTCCTGATTTTCTGAAATCTTGATGTTTTCCAAAATTCAGTCTTCTGTTAGAGACGCACATTGAATTACAGTCATAGTTTCTCTGATTAAGAACAAAAACAAAACAAAAATCAGATGAAGAAGTGAAAAAAGAGAATGGAAAAGAAATAGGAAGATTATTTCTTAGGAATGTGTGCAAGTGTGGCACCCCATTCACAATCTAAATGTTTCTTAAGCCCCTTCAAATTAGAACATGGGTTAGAATAAAAGTGAATACTCTTGCCTTTGAGAGGTTTACATTTTAAATAATGAAGAGAGAGTAACATTTCATTGCATAGTGGTATATGGCATTTGGATTTTTAAAAAATGTTCCAGGTCTCTAAATCAGGAAAATGATATAGCTATTAGGGAAAGGGAGAGGCTTCTTTCCCTAGCAGCTGGTCATTATATGATATATGTATTTGCTTATATTGAAGATAAAGATACAATGTCAGTGTTTCTATATAACTGGAAGAATAAAACCACATCCCCAAAGGCTGGAACACCAAAAGGACCTTATTTAACAAATAGGCCCTTAATTCAAAAGCTTTAGCTTTCTTGTTGTAGTGTTGTTCAGGGAATGACTAAGAAGAGTCACACAGATTTTAAAGATAAAGTTTAGTAACATTTAGTTAAACTGAAAAGAAAATTCCTTTTAGAATTTTGGTTGGAATTAGATTGCAGTTATTTAATAAATAGGAATACTGAAAAGTTTAAAATTTTTTCTTTTTAGACAAGGTCAAGCTATTTCTTCCCATTTATTCATGTTTTATTTTGTGCTCCTTAAAAGAGGCGTAAGGTTTTCTTAATTTTAGGTTTATTTCCAATTATTTATTTTTGTTGTTGCTATTATTGATTTCTGTCTTAAACTGTCTGCTTGTTTGCGTAAATTTCATTAAAAATACATTTAAGAATAAAGATATTTTTAAAAAGAAAATATAGTAAAGCTTGACTAACTTTAGCATATAGTAAAATATTTCATACAGGTACAATAATTAAACCAATTTGGTTGTGGGACTAAAGAATACACAGATCAAAAGAATAGAATAGAGAGTCCAGAAATGAATCTAACTGCATATGGGAATTTAGTAATTTATAAAACTAGCATTTCAAATTAGTGAAAGGAAATGTGTTTCCCCTTAAAATGCATTGGATCAACTCAATTGCCATTTGGGAAAAATAATAAAGGTAGATCTCCACCTTACCTCCTAAACCACACAACAAAGCTAAATAAATAAAAGATTCAAAAGTTGAAACCTTAAAATGAAGAAAATTTTATTAGATTTTATTATAAATTAAAAGATAATGCTTTCCTAAGCATGACACATGTGCATGAAAGGAAAATAAAAATCAAAGCACATAAAAGTTAAAATTTTTAGATGGCAAAATATCACAAAGTAGAACTACAAATAACAAACTGAAAAAAATTATGACAGATAAAGAATAATTTCATCAATGTACAATGAGTTTTTATACATCAGTGTAAAAGGCAATCAAATAAAAAAAAGGACAAAACATTCCAGAAGGTAATCCTCCAGAAAACAAAAACAAATGGCTAAACAAAGGAAAGGATGTTAACTTTGTTCATTCTGAATAAATGCAAAATTCAACAGAGTTTTATAACTTTTTTCTCTAAGATTGTCAATGTTTTAAAATTTTATTATAAACATCGTTAATGAGTACATGGAGAGAAAGGCATTTTACTCTTGTAGGAGTGAAAATTGGTGTAAAATTTGGACAGTATCTTAGCTATATGTATTAAAAGCATAAATTCATATAACTTTTGACATAGAAATTCAAATTATCCTACAGTTATATTAGCAGAAGTGTTGAATGACCAATTTCAATATATGTATTCAGTACAGCTTGAAAAGTCTAGTAAAGATCATGTTATACATGTATATAAGCCCAGATAAACCAATGATGGTGGAAAACTAAGCTTTCATTAAAATATTAAATGTGTACACATGCATTGATTTACAGTGGCGTCTAGGATACTGATAAGTACAACAAGCAAGTTGCAGAGTAGTGGGTATAGTAAGAATTTATTTTTGTATAATATATATCTGCATAGTTGCCAGGGTCTATGTGTGGGATGGACAGTGTGATTACAAGGAGATAATATGAGAGAGTTCTCAAAGAGGATGGGATTCTTCTGAATTCTAACTGTTTTGTGCCCTAAATGTGGTAGTGATTACACAAATATAGCTAAACACGCACACGTCTGTGTGTATATTATACGTATCTCCATATAACTGAGAGTAACATCAGCAAGATGGCAGACTTGGAGGCTCTAGGACCTTATTTCCTCATGGAAACACTAAATAAACAACTAGAAACTAACTAAAGTAATTTTACAGGTGTTCTGGAAATCAGCCAAAGATCTATAGCAACCAAATAGACCCTTAATGAAGGGGAAAAAAAGCCACACTTGAAATGGTAGGAAAATTTTATAGCATTTTTATTTACCATTGCCTGTCTCTTGTGTGGCATGTAACAGGAAAAAAAACAGACTTCATGTTAAAACTGTTACATGACACAAAGAAGGACATTATATAATGATAAAAGGATCAATTCATGAAGAAAATACAGCAATTGTAAACATATATGCACCAAACAGCAGAGCTCCTAAATATGTGAAGCAAACATTTATAGAACTGAATGGAGAAATATATGTATCTACAATAATAGTAAGAGACTTTAATACTCCATTTTCAATAATGAATACAAAAACCAGAGGGGAGATCAGTAAGGAAATAGAGAACTTGAACAGCACTGTAGACCAAATGGACATAACAAGCATTTAAAAAACACTCCAGGCAAAAATAGCAGAATACACATTCTTCTCAAGTGCACATGGCTAGGATGTGGAGAAACTGAAATTCTTTTGTGCTGTTGGTGGGAATGTAAAATGATATATCCACTATGAAGAACAGTATTGTGATTCCTCGAAAAATTAAAAATATAATTATCATACTATTCATTAATTCCACTTTTGGATATCTACCCAAAAGATTAAAAGCAAATACTTAAAGAGATATTTGTACACTCATATTCATAGCACCATTATTCACAATAGTCAAAAGGTGAAAGCAACCCAAGTGTCCACTGGCAAATGGATAAATTAACACAATAGAATATTATGCAGCTTTCAATATTAAGGAAGTTTGGACACATGCCACAACGTGGGTGAAACTTGAAATGAGCCAGTCACATAAAGAAAAATATTGTATGATTCCACTTATCTAAGATATGTAGAGAAGTCAAATTTATAGAGGCCAAAGTAGAATGGTTGTTTCCGGGACTGAGGCAAAGATGTGATGAAGAGTTGTCAATTAATAGATATAAAGTTTCAGGTTATCAAGATGAAAAAATTTTGGAAATGGATCATGATTATTGGCTGCACAACACTGTAAATGTGCTTTATTCCAGAACTGTACACTTAAAAATGGTTAAAATAGTAAGTTTTATATGTACATTTTACCACAATGAAAAAGCACAAAATCATTGATCTATAAAGACAAAAAGGAAATTCATTTTATTGCATAAAAATATAAAAGCATATTTATATGCATATTGCTAAAAATATAAAACTAAACTACCATTAATGTCTGTATCTCTGGAATAGGAAAATAGACCTGGGATGGGCTTGGATACTGTCACTGTTCATTATAAATCTTGTTTCTTGTTTTAATTATCATGAACATATTTTATTTAAGAATGAAACATAGTAATTTAAAATATCCCCCCCTCAGCCAGGAATGGTGGCTCATGCCTATAATTCCAGCACTTTGAGAGGCCAAGGCAGGAGGAAGCCAAGAGTTTGAGATCAACCTGAGCCACAGACCCCCATCTGTACAAAACAAACAAACAAAAGAAGCCAGGTGTGGTGACACATGCTTGTGGTCCCAGCTACTTAGGAGGCTGAGGTCAAAGAATGACTTGAGCTCAGGATTTTGAGGCTGCAATTAGCTGTGTTCATTCCACCGCACTCCAGCCTGGGTGACAGAGAGAGACCTCATCTCTACAAAAAAACAAAACAAAAAAAGTGATCTATGTCTCAGCAATGTGCATTATTCTTATTTGCATCGAACCAGACAGGGCTCAGTGTGAACTCCACTCTGAGAGGCTGCCTTTCAAATGATGGAGCACTTAGGAAAATATTGTTTTTCTTTCTTATAGATTTAGAATAGAAGTAATGCTTGCCTTGGGAGATATATGGAATTGTGCCTAGTGTGTGTATGTGTGTTTCTGTGTACCCATGCACACATACATGCTTATTCATGTGTGTATGTGGGCTTCCATGCATCTCTGGAAGCCAACAGTTATCAACCAGAAATTGGAAACTTAAAGACGTCTGTCTGCCTCTAAGCTGGGTAAGGACACTTGTGAAAGGACAGAACACAAATTGCCTACTCTGCATTCTTCTGCTGAACTTAAAATGGATTCTCCAGCACCTCAACTCTTCTTTATGGCATTGAGTTGCAACCACAAACTGTTCTGTTAGAGCCTCCCTAGGCAGCGTTCTAGACAAAAAATTCAGACTTGGGCAGACATAAAAGTGGCAAAAGGGTAATAAATTTCGAGATGAGGCCAGTTCCTGCTGAACGGAGCTTCTTGAAAGGCAAATGGAGATTTGCATTGCAGAGTATATAACAGTGGTTCCTAGGACAATCTTTTTGGGGACAAATTTGCAACAAAACCTGATAATAGTGTAGTAGTTGAATTCATGTGTACAGTCTAGATTGGAGCAATATCATTTGACAGTATTGGTGAGTTTCTTGCGCAGGCACAGACGAGCCATTGTCAGGCTGGTCAGATTCAATAAAATACATTCAGTTAAAAGAAGGGCCCAGGCCAGGCGTGGTGGCTCACGCCTGTAATCACAGCACTTTGGGAGGCTGAGGCGGGCGGATCACAAGGTCAGGAGTTCGAGACCAGCCTGGCCGATATGGTGAAACCCCCATCTCTACTAAAAATACAAAAATTAGCCAGGCATGGTGGCAGGTGCCTGTAGTCCCAGCTACTCAGGAGGCTGAGGCAGAATAGCTTGAACCCAGGAGGCAGAGGTTGCAGTGAGCCGAGATCGCTCCACTGCACTTCCAGCCTGGGTGACAGAGCAAGACTCCGTCTCAAAGAAAAAAAAAAAAAAAAAGGGCCCTAAGATGGTCTTGGATGACAGGACTCACATTCTTTGCTGGGCCTTTGCTGCTTGACCTGCCAGACTACTGAATTCCTGCTCTGCATTTCTCCCATAAGACAAGGCAGATCTAGTTCCTTGGGGACTACAGCCTTCCTTGACATAGCCTACTGCAGTGTCACACACCCAGGCTGCAGTGGCAAGGGCTGTGACTTCCTATTCTTTTCTAGGCATGTACATCCTCCTCCTCTTCCTCTCTACTGGCCTAAAGGTAGCCAGGATGTGTTAATAAAGTTTCCTTTTGTTTTACTCATACTTGCTTAGTCTTTGCTCTCTTTAGTTAGGAAGAGCAACTAAAGTTAGTAGAGTTAGTAGAGTTTCAAATTCTACTTTGGAAAAATGAAATGCATGTTTAACCAATATTAAAAAAAAAGAATCCTTGAGGCCAAAATAGCAACCTTAGGAACTAGGGTATGGCATACAACTCTGTTTTGTTGTTGCTGCTATTGTTTTGGTCACCTTGGGGGTTTTCTTTCTCCTGCGTATTAACCCCTTGACTCCACAAACTCTTACACCAGGGGTGAGCTCTTGATTCCGCCTGGACAAACATAGCACCCCTTTCCTCTGAACACATGACTCAGTGTTATATTATATGTGTTTATTTTTATTGATTTAACAAACATAAAGCATGCTTATTATGTGTCAGGCACTATTGTAAGCATTCTACAAATATTAACTAATTTAATACTGAAAATAGCAGAAAGTTGAATCCAGTCCATGTGGTACAGGGGACTCTAATGAAGAAATTACTTCCTGAGTTGTGGATAGAGCAAAAGGGAAAAATCAGGGATATGAGGCACTCAGAGACTAGCAAGAGTGGACAGGCTTTGCCACTTCCAAGCCTAAAGAGGCACGAATGGAAGTTGTGTTAGCAAAGAACAGTGAGAGCTGGGGCCATGCAGATGGGCCTCTCTTTGGGAGCTGTGTTCCTGGAAGGACACAGCCAGTGCCAGCAATCCGGCCCACAGTAGGAAGAAAGAAATACCACAGTCTCTGCCTCTTGTTGTCCTCCAGTCTTCTCTCAGGACCTCCCAGTGGTCAAGCCCAATTTGAAGCCAGTTGGCCAGGTAGCCAGGGTGATACAATACGCAGGAGTCAGCCTCTCTGGGAACAAAACAGAGTAAAGAATGGACCGCAGCAAATGAAAATAACCAGTGAACATTCAAACCATTTTAGTAATTAAGCAGAGACAAATAAAAATAATAAGTAAACATTAATTATTTTTATTCTACCTCTAACTTTATAAACCACCCACATTAACCCTTATAAAAAACTGAAGTCATAAACTAGACAAATGTCTAGATTCCAGCTGTTAGAATTCAGCAGAGCATTCAAACATCACAGAAAGAAACTCAGGAAGCCAGCTGGCTGGGCAAAGATTTTACATTTACTATTTCTTTTTGCCAGATAATTCTACGGTAGTCCACAGACTTCCCTCACACCAGCCCAGCCTATGATATTGATACTTAAGGAATAAAGAGCTGTTTATATTTTGGTGGGGAGCTCATACTATCAATTTGCACATTAGTGAGGCCAGCTATTGCTCTCTTCTTGGGATCTATTGAGTGGTGGCTGGAGAGATATCTGCTGAAAAAAAAAAGAAAAACCTTAGCTGTCTGATGAAATGTTTTAAATGCATAGGGTTCACCTTGGGGTTGGCTGCCGTTCAGATTTTATCCATTAATAACACACAGGGCTCCCTCTGTACTCTCCAGGGCTGATAGGAAAAATAGTACTACTTACAGGTCCTTGCTTTGCCTGAGGGAGGATATTCCAAATGCTGGTTGTGCTTCATGTACACACACGCATGTTTGTATGCACATCTGCTCGGCTCACATGCATGCAATGGTGCTTCCTGATTTTTTTTTTCAAATAAAATGACACAGAGGATTTTCCCATTTTGAAACATCTTAGAAAGGACAATATGTGGGTCAAAGTGAATGTGTAAGTTTATGTTTTATCGTGACACCCAGAGCTCTAAAGCATCTTCATTCATTTTAAGTCATTTGGTATTATGTTTGGAAATGGAAAGGGAAGCCTTCAAACTGTTGTCTTCTTTCAGTTTTTGCCCGATTCAACCTTCAGCTGACATTTAATCCTAAAGGGAGAAAATGAGAATTGCTACAAGAAACCAACATAAATGTATTACTTTTAAGTGTTGTCTATCATTTATTTTATTTTATTTTTTTAACAAACTGCCCTTTTTATTCCCTCTCACTCTTTCTTTGAAACATTTAGAGAAAAGGGTGTTTAAATCAAAGTCACTAATTTCTGCCACAAGTCAGTCTTCAGATGCAACCTGCTGTTAAGAATTTGGCATCATTTTGTTAAGAAAAGATTCCCAGCACAATTGTCTGAACATAGATGATGGAGATGTCTGAGCTTTGTGAATCAACGATTTGCTATGGAGAAGGGTCATTTTATTGTTAAGATTATGGGTCATTAGTGTATAAATGCATGTCAATGGAAAGAAATACATAAGTGAGGGGTTTGGAGGGTATAGAAGATCCCTGAATTGTTTCCTGAAGAGTTTTGCTACACAATTACATTTAAAATAAGAAGGGGAAAAATAAGAAGTGGAAAATTTTAGCATTTAGTAAGTGAGAAGTAATTTACTCATTTTTTTTTCTATCTCCAAAACCCAAGTGCTTCAAGTTGATTAAAAACTTTTCTATCAAGTCATTCTATACTGAATCTAAACTACTCCATTAGCTTTAAAGGAATGTGGAACTGAAGCAAAGAGGTGTCCCCACTTCCATTCTCCAAAATGAAATTGATCATCTTAGGAAACTGTATCAAACACTAAAGAAATTGTCAACCTTCAACAATCTGTGTTGGAGTAAGTATTTTAATTCATATTATTTACTCTAAAATATTAGTCTTGAAGTGAATTGCCACAATGTTACCAAGATAAGCCCCTGAATCCACAGGGGCTAGAAAGAATTGACTCCACAACCAAAATTGCTGTGGAGTCAAGGCTTAATAAATACATATTCCCTAATTAACTAAACTTTGTAAAGATGTTAAACAATGCTGATGCCTTAATAATTGTTTCTACACCTATAGCTCATTTATTTTTATATGTTATTTCTATTTTTTCCCATAACTTGAGTAAAAGGGACATTAGACTTTGACATTCTTGGCTTTCAGATTAACCATGTGACTTGGGCAAGACACTTAGCCTATTTAGGTATTGGGGGGCTTTGTTTGCTTTTTATTAGTACAATAAAGACAGTAAATACTTCATCATGGTTATGTGAGGATCAAGTGAACTGAAACATATTTGTGCTTTTTAAAAAGTTTTAGGTGTGAGAGATAATTACACTGATGACATAGCATGATGACAAAATTTTATTTCTAGATCCAGTCTTTCTACCATCTCAAAAGTCATAAAAGACACTAGAGCAATAACCATATCATTAGAACAATGGTAAAAGGACAGGCACCAAATGACAAAACAATGAGCATTCAATTTAAATCAAAGAAAATCTGACTTAAGGGTGGCTGAAGACAGTGGTGGCAGCCCACTGCATGCCTCCTTAATACAGTACAAAACAGACAAAATAATAAAGAAAAATAGACTGTACTTGAAAATCACATCCTCTGCATAACTTGAGGAAAGACGATGTACAATCTTTCAAATCACTCTAATTTAAAAAAAAAACAAAAGTCAATGATTTCCTGCCAGACCTCCACCCAAAGTAATGCCCCATTGTGGGGAAAGACAGAAGATGAAAGGCTGTGGAGGGGCCTAAACTTGAACTTAAACTGCTTCAGGAAAACAAGGTCTTCCCTAAGTCTGAAAAGTATCTGAGTGGATCCAGGTGATTTGGACAGGAGACAGGGAAATACTGGGTAGAAGAGGGTGGATCCCTGGCAAAGGCCCCACCTTCAAGCCTAGAAACCAGTGGCCCTAAATGGGAACAGGTATTCCTTTTTTCACACCCAGAAGTTGCCTTTTGGCCTGCCATGCCCCACTATCCTGACCAATATAAACCCCAAACCTCAGGCTCCAAGGGCAGATGAACAGAAGAGCAGAAGAATGGTAGAACAGTGTGGCAGAGAAGGAGAGAAAAGAAGGAGTATCTGAAAGTCAAGAGGAGGTCGTCTGGGGACAGTCAGAGAGGAGATCAGCCAATGGACAGCCAAATTCCAGGGGAAGATCATCTTCCCACTCCATCCCCTTTCCAGTTCCCCATCCATCCTACTGAGAGCCACCTCCACCACTCAATAAAAGCCCTGCATTCACCATCCTTCAAGTCTGTGTGTGACCTGATTCTGCCTGGATGCCAGACAAGAACCAGAATACCAAGAGGGCACTGAGCTGGTTAACACTTAAGCCGTCTGCAGACAGCAGAGCTAAAAGACAACTGTATCACACCCAATGTGGCTTTGGGAGTCACAGGCACCCACCCCTAGGTGCTACCATGGGGCCAGAGCCCAGAAGCGCTTGCCCCCACTCCTGCACCTGCCCATCTGTGTGATCCCTGTCCCTTAAGGTGTTCGAGCACCCATGGTAGCTGAACAGACAAGCCACATCCCCGTTGCACATCTTGCAATGGGAGTCAGGGAACTCTCCTATTTCACAGGCATGGGCTATAAGCAAAGGTTTCAAAATATGTGCAAATTAAAGTGGTAGGCTGAATTTAACAGAGCAAGCATAATTTAAAAGGATAGGTGTGATTTAAAGTGGCATAGATTTGAGGAGGGAAAAGAAGAAGAAAGAAGCACAATTTAGCAACAGTAATGAAGAATAAAAAGAGTAAGGCTGGACAGGTGCAATGATTCACGCCTGTAATCCCAGCACTATGGGAGGCCGAGGCGGGTGGATCACCTGAGGTCAGGAGTTCAAGACCAGCCTGGCCAGCATGGTAAAACCCTGTCTCTACTAAAAATACAAAAATTAGCTGGGTGTGGTGGCAGGCACCTGTAATCCCAGCTACTCAGGAGGCTGAAGCAAGAGAATTACTTGAACCCAGGAAGTGGAGGTTGCAGTGAGCCAAGATCGCACCATTACACTCCAGCCTGGGGGACAAGAGCGAGACTATGTCTCAAAAATAAATGAATAAATAAATAAATAAATAAATACATAAAAAGTAAGGTCTTACCAGACAAAAGAGAACCATAAAATTGAAATGCAGCCAGGTGCAGTGGCTCACGCCTGTAATCCCAGCATTTTCGGAGGCCGAGGTGGGCGGATCACCTGAGGTCAGGAGTTCAAGACCAGCCTAGCCAACATGGTGAAAGCCTGTCTCTACTAAAAATACAAAAATTAGCTGGGCATGGTGGCGTGTGCCTGTAATCCCAGCTAGTCTACTTGGGAAGCTGAGGCAGGATAATCGCTGGAACCCAGGATGCAGAGGCTGCAGTGAGCCAAGATCGTGCCACTGCACTCCAGCCTAGGCGAGAGGGCAAAACTCCGTCTCAAAAAATATATAAAAATAAAAATAAAAATTGAAATGTTTGCAATCTCCTCTCCAAACCACAGAAACAAACAGAAAAGACCAGCCAAAATATCTGGACTTTCCTTAAAAAGCTTTAGTTGTGAGAGATAATTACACTGATGACAACATAGCATGATGACAAAATTTTATTTCTAGTTCCAGTCTTTCTACCATCTGAAAAGTCGTAAAAGGCACTAGAGCAACAAGCGTATCATTAGAACAATGGTAAAGGGACAGTAGCCAAATGGCAAAACAATGAGCATTCAATTTAAATAAAAGACAATCTGACTTAGAGGTGTTAGATGAGGTTGCTACTAAACTAGGAATTATACAAAATGTCTATATACCATAAAAACAGACAGATGACTGAAATTCACATGGATCTATTGCAGAAAATCAGGAAACAAAATTTCACACATGATAACTGAGGAACATTCCTCTGAGAAGGTGTGGAGGAGGTTTGGAGGAAGAAACAGAACATAAATGTATGTTAGCACTTCAAACAAAAATAAATATACTCAAACAAGCCATAAGTACATGAAAACCCATCTTGAGTCAGAACTTTAAAAATAAAAACAAAAATGAACAACAACAAAAAAGAAATAAAAAGGGAATTGATTTAATTAGGGAAAGAAATGGAAGAAAAAGGCAAAACTGTCTCACAAATAAATAATACATTGCAAGGGGCCCAAGGAAGGAAAGACTCAAATAATAATTTTATAAGGCATGGAAGAAAGACAGGAAAATAACCAAAAAAGTGAAAATGAAAGGGTCAGTGAGAAAATAGTGAAAGTGGAAGAAAAACAAAGAATAAATAATGTTTCTTGTATTAGAGTCTCTGAAAACAAACAAATTTAACAATTGAACTCAGCTAATATTTCAAACTATAAACCCAAAAATGTTCCAGAAATAGAAAAAATTGAAAATTACTAAGATGGTTCACTGGGTATCTGGAAAAGTTAATCTGAAGCTCATTTTTATAGCCTTGATATCTGAAGGATCAATAGATGAGATATAGAAGCTCACTTTTTTAAATTGCATTTTTGTTTTTCTCATTTTAAATGTTGTTTCATTATTGCCTTACTTTGTATGTTGGTTTAGAAGAATCTGATGCTTGTCTATTTCTTTCACCTGTGTAAGTTATTAGATCTTTCTGTCTCGAGGCCTTGGAGACGTCATCTTTGACGTTTAATATTTTTACCATGAATATTAGTTTGGATTTGATTATTTCACTACTTTGAGTAGAAGGAGAAACACAAACAAATTGCACATAGGAAATAATTATACATGTTTAAAAATAACAAACACACTATATATCAGAATCTATGAAGTATATTTAATATAGTGATCAGAGAAAAATTCCTAATACTAAACACATACATTAGTAAAAATTAAAATAAATAAAATTAAATGCCCAGTTCAGAAACTAGAACAATAAGATAAAACTAAAAGGTACAGAAGAATGAAAGTATTAAAAATAAAGCAGGCCAGGCTTGGTGGCTTACGCCTGTAATCCCAGCACTTTGGGAGGCCGAGGCGGGCGGATCACGAGGTCAGAGGATCGAGACCATCCTGGCTAACATGGTGAAACCCTGTCTCTACTGAAAATACAAAAAGTTAGCCAGGCATGATGGCGGGTGCCTGTAGTCCCAGCTGCTGGGGAGGCTGAGGCAGGAGAATGGCATAAACCTGGGAGGCAGAGCTTGCAGTGAGCCGAGATCGTGCCACTGCACTCCAGCCTGGGAGACAGAGCAAGACTCCATCTCAAATAAATAAATAAATAATAAAGCAGAAACCGATAAGGTCAAGAATGGAAAAACAGTAACTACAATTTAAAAATTATAAGTTCTGGTTTCTAAGAAAATTAACAGAATAGAAGAACCACCAGCTAAATTTATCAAGAAAAATTGGATCATACAAAATAGGAAATAACAAGAGAAATAACACTGGGAAAGAAACGTTTTTAAAAATTGTTAAGAGACTATCCTGCAGATTTCTATGCAAACAAATTTTGAAACCTTCCTAAAGAAATGCAATCAACTGAAATTGGCCCCATTACAAATAGAATGCTTTTAGTTTCCACTGGAAATATTCCACAAAAAGTATCACGTCTAGAGGGTATCACAGGGAATTCTACTATATGTTCAAAGACCAGAAAATAGCTTTATAAATAACAAAAGAACATTTAAAAGGAAGGAAAACTTTATAATAATTTATTTTTTGAAGCAGTATAATACTGGTATCTAAATTCCTAAAGCCAATATAAAAAGAAAACCAAGTTCAATATTTTCCACGCATATTGAAGCAAAAACACTAAATAAGATATTAGCACACAGAATCCAATGAATTAGCACCAATAACAAGTGGGATTGATTCAAATTATCTGGTCATCTGCCTTAGCCTTTATGACTCATGATTTCCACTGGCTTATCATAGTTTTCATCATTCTGGTCATGAGTTCCTATTGAGGATCATATGAATTGGCCATCAAAGAGAAAAACTGGATGATCAGAGCATCTGGAAAGAGCAATGCTGAGATAGACACAACTTAATATTTCACCCTCAGAATGAAAACTGCAAAATCTTGAGTGTTCTAAAATGATTGGTTAATATGAAGATTTTGCATTATTTATGTAGATGTAAGAATTTAAGGTAGAGATTCAAAATGCTTCAGGCAATCTTATGGAAAAACGTCTACATAGTCATTTTTTCCCATGCTCTCCTGCAGAAACCTTCACCCTTCTGGCTGCTATTTCTCAAAAACTTTTCATAGCTGTTTAAGAAAGATTTATCCGGAGTCATTTAAATATAAAGTGACTCATGAATGGTTTTGAGTGAGCCCTTCCATTATGCCATTTTCCCTCTAAACTTGTTCAATTGGCTGGATTATTGAGCACTAATTTTGTGCAACCCATGAAACTAGACTCTGGGCCAGCTCCATTGTTTTCCCTTGAAAAAATTATTTCAAAAAGCTCTATTTTCGCTGGGCGCGGTGGTTCACGCCTGTAATCCCAGCATTTTGGGAGGCCAAGGCAGGCAGATCACGAGGTCAGGAGATCAAGACCATCCTGGCTAACACGGTGAAACCCAATCTCTACTAAAAATACAAAAAATTAGCCGGGCATGGTGGTGGGTACCTGTAGTCCCAGCTGCTGGGGAGGTTGAGGCAGGAGAATGGCGTGAACCCAGGAGGTGGAGCTTTCACTGAGCCGAGATTGTGCCACTGCACTCCAGCCTGGGCGATAGAGCAAGACTCCATCTCAAAAACAACAACAACAACAACAACAAACTCTATTTTCTTAGTCTTACCTTTTTGTCTAAATTTCAAACTGGTGTTAAACTTAGTAATAATAATAACTTATTATATAACAAAAAGATCTCTTTATTTAAGTGTGAAATTCTTATTCAGTATTTTTAAAATTTCTTCCACTGAGAGTATAACATTTAATTAAAAGGGTCAGATTGATGATGTGATTTCCAATTGAGGAGCAAAAATGGTCCTCTTTCTTTACAGCAGGTCTGAAGGGAGAAATTTCTGTAAGAATTTGTTGCCAAAAAAAGTAAAATCTTTGTTTCCCTAAGGATTCCACTGTGCTTTTTTTCATTCACGTGGTGAAAGCTATGTAAATTACTGTGTCATGCATTTTTTACCCTCGCTTCTGAGAAAAAAATTAGACGCTTATTTGATATTTATTTATGGCAAGAAAATTAATCTATAGGGTAGAAATATTTTTTTGCTCTCTATTTTTGTCTCTTTTTATTTATATTATTTTTAAACATATGTCTTCTAATATATACATGACCATTACTAAAATAGTAAGATTTTAATTGTTTTCACCATAAAGAAATAATAAGCATGTATGGTGATTCGCGTATACATGAATCAAAGCATCATACTGTACCCAATAAATACATACTACTATTTGTCAATTAAAATCAATAAATAGATAATGTTAAAGAGAAAAATATCAGGAATAAAATGTGAATGGTGTTTACTGTTATTAGTGGAGTTTTTTTCTCATCCTTTCCCTGTAGTCTGATGGGGCATTGGCAACACCTCATTCATTCATTCATTCATTCACCCATTCAAATATTTATCGAACACCAACTGGATGGGACTGGTTGTGTCAAGGATACAGATCCTCAGAAGTAATGACAAACAAGATCTGTGGCTGTAGACTGCGACTAAGTCAAAGACTCCAGAGAGGATACTGAGCAGGCAGTGTCAGGCCTCTGAGCCCAAGCTAAGCAATCGTATCCCCTGTGACCTGCACATATACACCTAGATGGCCCGCAGCAAGTGAAGAATCACAAAAGAAGTGAAAATGGCTGGTTCATGCCTTAGCTGATGACATTCCACCACAAAAGAAGTGAAAACGGCTGCTCCCTGCCTTAACTGATGACAATACTTTGTGAAATTCCTTCTCTTGGCTCATCCTGGCTCAAAAGCTCCCCAACTGAGCACCTTGTGACCCCTACCCCTGCCAGCCAGAGAACAACCCCCTTTGACTGTAGTTTTCCACTATCTACCCAAATCTTATAAGATGGCCCCACCCCTATCTCCCTTCACTGACTCTCTTTTCGGACTCAGCCTGCCTGCACCCAGGTGATTAAAAAGCTTTATTGCTCACACAAAGCCTGTTTGGTGGTCTTTTCACACGGATGCGCGTGAGAGGCAGACAGCACATGTCAAGTCACCCAGAACCATGCGGTTGAGCTAGCTGTGACTAGCATTTGGGAGCTTAGAGCCCAGTGCAGTCTTATCACTGTAATGCTTACACACTTTCATTGACTTCCAAGTTGGGAAGGCCTGTGCTATAGTCCTGGTTAATTAATAGAAATGATGGATGGTGGTGGTTTTAGAGCGATTTGGAGGAACTGAAACAGACTGGGAAGCAAGAATCTGAAAGGCATGGCATAGCATCTTACAGTGAAGAGGCCAGATAAAGAAAATAAAAACTGAACAGTGTAAGAAAAACTATGAGAAACACAGACTCTGTCTTTTCTAATCTTCACTCACATTTGATGACTCTGCATCTTCACTAAAAATGGTAGGTAATTTCATAACTGTTTTAGTTAGAAAAAAATTAACATTTTATGGGACAAGAGAATCTTGAATCACCCCTCAGCAATATCATGATAACTTGGGCAAAGCAAATACTGACAAATTCAGAATGGCTATAACCAAGTTGTCATTAGTTCTGCTCAGTGTTTAGAATGTTCACAGAGTGCTATTTCTTTAAAAAAATAAAATAAAAAGCTGATTTTTTTTGGCAAGAAAGTAATTGTGAAGTGTTTAAGTAAATGAAATGAGCTCTCTTTGCATTGAAATGTAAAGCTCCCATTTCCTCTCTTTAAATGTGTAAAGGATTTTTTTTTGTCAGTTTCAGCATGAAGAAGCATTAAAATTCATCTCATCCAAAACCTGTAGTGGATTTAAAAAAAAGATGTTAAATATCAGCAAATAGATCTGATAATCTGCAGAGTATTTCTGCTGTCAAGGAAGGACCATGGAATACAAAACACGTGTTCCTGACTTGACATCCCTTGGCATCTTGTAAATAGCCTCCACGAATCCATACCTTAAAAACTGCCAACAACAGCAAAATTGTGCACAAGTTTCTAGTAAGTTAAGCAAGCAAAGCAGAGAGAGGAAATGTGGCTAGATTGCATATAAAAACCGAGGGACTCCGAAAACTGACCTCGAAGTCATTTTACCAAAAGATACTCTCTGCATTTCTGCAGAATTGTCCTTTTATTTAAAATCAAACCGCATTTCGTGATATGTGTGCATGTCTGAGTAAATAAGAATATGGAGAATAAGCACGTTAGGTGGGGCAGGGGAAGATGATGAGGTAAGTGGGAAGAATTTTTCATGTGAAAAAATAAACTGCTGAGTAATACAAAATAGACTTTTCTTATGATTAAAGGTTTTTACCTCAAGAGGATATTGAAATAATCCTTTAGCCTGGATTTCTAACACTTCAATGCTACCTTCCTCAAAGGGGGAGGAAAATCACATTTATCAGTGTGTTTTCAGATTCAAAACTCAAAAGACGTGTTTGTCTCCTGGAGTTTGGAAGTGCCTTCTTTCTTCCTGTGCAAATTGCAAATGCAAAGGCTGCAGGAGACTAAGCAAAGGCCACATAGGGCGTCCTGTTGAGCAAAGCTTAGGCTGACTATCACCACAAACCTATTTCCTTGTTTCCCCTCAACATTTGAGAGATTTGTTCCACAAACTTGAGAGACTGGTTCCATTAAGAATTTCCATTAAGCAGTAGTTCACTCTTTTCCTTAAATTATTAATCAAGAAAATTGGCAATTAGAGCTTCTAATTAGCATAATGTATATTGACATTACCTACCACTAGTTATTATTCCAGCCCAAAGCCAAAAATATCATTTTTTTATGCTGCTTAAAATTGTACTGAGTACTGAGATAAATATGCATTTCCGTACATGGAAAATGATGATGGCATTTGTTGAGAATACATTGTATGATCTATGATTTATAAATATAATTTTATTTCATTCCTATGACAGGTCGGCAAGATCAGAATTAGACAACTTTGAGGTCTATAAAATAACATTGTTCAAATCTCATATTAGAGTGTGAAAGCTGAATTTTGAAATCCTATTTGCAGGATGCGGGTATCTATGGCTTTTTTCACCATTCCCTGAAGACTTTTTGACAAATAGCTCAGTCAGCTATAACTTATGGTCCACAAAGTTTCTGGACACACCAGTTTGGACATATATTGCTTCTCTAAACCTTCCTTAGAGCAAAGCACTTTGATAAAAATACACATAGACATATTCCACTACCACTTCCAGGAAACACAAATAAACATGCAATGTTTAAAAGTAAAACCATTCTGCAGCTTACATCTTCTATTAGTACGTATAGATCAACTTCATTTTTTTCAATGGTTATTATACTGTACCACAATTTATTAAATATTTCATTATTGATGAACATTTTGATAGCATTTTTTTGGTAGGCAACAATTCTGCAATATATGCATACATTTATATTTTGTGGATTTTCACTAATGTTTCTAATCCCTGCCATTCAAAATTATGGGCAAATGAATATGTACATGTTAACATTAGAAAGACACTGCTTAATAGCCCATCCAAAAGTCATGGTGATGGATTGCTGAGCCAGATGGCTGACTTTCTGGCACTCATCCTCCCCGACAAAAGAAAACCAAAACAACAAATAAACAATAGTATTTTGATTGGACTGAAGTTACTGAGGCAGTATGCTACAGAGCACAAGGAAAGCAGCAAAATCCCTGTGGAACCTAGACATCCATGATAGCACAAGGGAGAAGCAAGAAAGTCGTTTTGTCTCTGCTACACTATCTCCTCTGCTTGGATTGGCTCAAAATCAGGGTAAACTTTTTCCTATGGAGGAAAGTAAGCTAGAGATCTCCTGCAGTCCTCATTATTACCTCAAATGCCAGCAATCCTTGCTACAGGAGAGTCCTCTAATTCTGACAGGCCTGGAATCAAGTTTGGAGAGTAGCCTGAAGTTCCCACTACTGCATTACCTGAGTAGAAGCCTATGGTGGACATTCATCACTCCTGTGATCTAAGCTCTAATGGCATGATGCGTTCTTGAAACTGAACTTACTGTGTCCGGAATTTATTCCTTCCTGTAGGTTCTTGGTCTCGCTGACTTCAAGAATGAAAATAGCCACACGGTGAGTGTTACAGTTCTTAAAGATGGTGTGTCCGGAGTTTGTTCCTTCAGATGCTCAGATGTGTTCAGAGTTTCTTCCTTCTGGTGGGTTCGTGGTCTCACTGACTTCAGGAGTGAAGCAGCAGAACTTTGCAGTGAGTGTTACAGGTCATAGAGGTAGTGAGGACCCAAAGAGTGAGCAGCAGCAAGACTTACTGTGAAGAGCAAAAGAACAAAGCTTCCACACCATGGAAGGTTACCAGAGCATGTTGCTGCTGCTGGCTCAAGTGGCCAGCTTTTAATCCCTTATTGGGCCCCGCCCACATCCTGCTGATTGGTCCATTTTACAGAGCTCTGATTGGTCCGTTTTACAGAGTACTGATTGGTCCATGTTTACAGAGTGCTGATTGGTGTGTTTATAAACCTTTACCTAGCCACGGAGCACTGATTGGTGCGCTTTTTACAGAGTGCTGATTGGTGCATTTATAAAGCTTTAGCTAGACACAGAGTGCTGATTGGTGTGTTTACAATCCTTTAGCTAGACAGAAAAGTTCCCCAAGTCTCCACCCCACCCAGAAGCCCAGCCAGCTTCACCTCTCACTACGGCCAGAGTGTATCCTGCAGTGGGGGCCAGTAGCCACTGCCTCTCTTCATCCTTGAGTCTCTGCTATCATAACATAATATTAACGTGAGTACCTGCTACAATAAAACTCTTGCTGCTTGGAACCTATGGCAGAAGAAACAAACAAAACCACAATGTTCAAACCCACGTGGCACTCCACTTCCTCCAGGAAACAGCCAGACCTTCACAGCAGGGAAGTTGCTGAAAAGTTGGTTGGCCAACCTCACCTGTGCATACCCATGCAGCACAGCCAGCCTGATGATGAGCCTGCATGCACCCATGGCCAACCCAAGAGCTGGTCCTGTGGTGGCCTTCACCCTTTGATAGACTGTGGAAGAGTGGTCTGGCCCATCATGCTCAGTACAATAACCAGCCAAGTGCCCTATCCTACAACAAAACCATGCTATCATTATCACAAATTTCCGCAGCTTAGACTACTAGACAATCAGACACACTAGTGACAAAGACTATGGCAGAAGAGACTGCATGAAGTCCATGCAACTGAATCTACCCAGAATCAAAATTAATGTACTGCATCCTACTGATCCGCTAGGACCCAGCAACCCATAGGGAAAATGTTTCTTCCTATGAAAGCTATGCCTTAAAATTGGAAAATGCAACTATTCCACTAGATATACAGGTATCAAGAAAGGGACACAAGAAACATGAAAAACAAGGAACCATGACACTTCCAAAGGAACACAGTAAGTCTCCAGTAACAGACCCCAAAGAAAGGGACATTTACAAAATGCAGAAAAAGAAATGAAAAATAGTGATCTTGAAGCTCAGTAAAATATAAGATAAAGCAGACAAATAATTTCATAAAAATCAGAAAAACAATTCATCATCTGAATGAGAAATTCAACAGAGATAGATATTATATAACAAAGAACCCAATAGAAACCTTGGAACTAAAGAATTCAATGAATAAAATAAAAAATAAATTGAGAGTTTCAACCACAAATTAGTTCAAGCTGAAGAAATAATTTTTTTGAACTTGAAGATAGGGTTTTTGTTATAACTCAGTCAGAGGAGAAAAAAAGACCTTAAAGAAGAATAAAGAAAGTCTATGGAACCCAAGAGACACAGGCAAACAAATCTTTGCAACATAAGGTTGCAAGAGAGGGAAGAGATGAATAAAGACACTGAAAACTTATGTAACAAAGTATTAGCTAAAAACTTTCGAAGTATTGAGAGAGATATGGACATCCAGATCCAAGAAGCTCATAGGTTCCCAATCAGATTCAGTCCAAAAAGATTCTCTCCAAGGCACACTGTAATAAAAATGTCAAAAGCAAAAAGCAAAAAGAATTCTAGAAGCTGAAAGAGAAAAGCATTAAATTACATATAAGAGAATCTCCAATTTATCATCAGCAATTTTTTAGCAAAAATTATGCAAGCCAAGAAAGAATGGGTTGATATATTCAAAATGCTGAAAAGAAGAAAAAAAATTCTGCCAAGAATACTATATTCAGTAAATCTCTTCTTTAAAAATGGAGGATAAATAAACACCTTCGCAGTCAAGCAAACAATGATGGAATTTATCACCACTATGCTGGCTTTACAAGAAATGCTTAAAGGAGTAAGTACTACAACTCAAAATAAAAGGACAGTAATTTCTGTCATGAAAACACACAAAGTTTAAAACTCAGCAGCAGAGTTAAGTTCATTAATCAAACTCAGAATATTCCAGTGTTGTAAAGTATTATGTAAATCTTTCAATCCTATAGTATGGAGGCTTAAAGACAAAATAATCAAAACAACAATAGCTATAATTAGTAGCTAAGAAACATACAATACATAAAGAAGTAAATTGAGGCAATAAAATGTCAATTGTGTGTGTGGGGATAAAATCTAAAGTATTTTTATGCAAACAATGTTAAGTTGCTATTAGTTTAAATCAGTCAATTATAACTACAAGACTCTTCATGTTAGACCTATGCAAATCACAAATAAAGAAATTACAGCAGATACAGAAAATAAAAATGAAAAAGGAAATAAAGTTTTGAAGCACAGAAAACCACCAAACGAAAGAGGTAAACAACAAGAGAAAAAGACATAATCAAAAGATCTACAAAGCAATAGAAAAACAACTAACAAAATGGCAAGAGTAAGTCCTTGTATATCAATAATAATCGTCAATGTAATGATTTAAATTTTCCCATTAAAAGATACAGAGTGGCTGAGTGAATATAAAAGCAAAATCCAAATATGTACTGCCTAATAGAAACACATTTTACCATTAAAGACAAAGATCGAATGAGAGTAAAAGAGTAAAGAAAGATAATTCATGCAAGTGAAAATCAAAAGCAAGTAGGAGTAGCTATAATTTTATCAGATAAAGAAGACTTTAAGTCAGAAATTAAAAAAAAAAGACAGTAAGGTCAATACATAACAATAAAGGGATCAGTTTAGTGAGAGGACACAACAATTCTAAATATATATGTGCCCAACACTGGAGCACCCAAATAGATAAGGTAAATATTATTAGATCTAAAGGAAGATATAGACAGCAATACAATAATAGTAGGTGACTTCAACACCCCACTTTCAACAATGAATATATCATCCAGACAAAAAACAACAGAGAAACTGAACAACTTAACTGAAACTTCATAGACCAAATAGTCCTAACAGACATTTACAGAACGTTTTATGCAACAGCTAGGGAATACACATTCTTCTTAGCTACACATAAAAGATTCTCCAGGATAGATCATATGCTATGCCCCTAACAAGTCATACCAAATTTATTAAGGAGGAGATTATAACAAGTATATATTTTTCTTATACACAGTAGTATAAAATTAGAATTTAAGAAAAGCTTCAGAAGTTTTACAAATACATATAAATTAAACAACATGCTCCTCAACAACCAATAGGTCAATGAAGAAATTAAAAGGTAAATTAAAAAAATAAATTTGAGACAAAAATAAAAACACATTATACCAAAACACAGCAAAAGCAGTTCTAGGAGGGAATCTTACGGCAATGAACACCTACATTAAAGAAGAAGTAAAATTTTGAATAAAGAACCTATTAATACACCTCAAGTAACTACAAAAACAAGAACAAACCAAATCCAAAATTGATAGAAGGAAGGAAATAACAAAAGTCAGAGGAGAAATAAACAAAATAGAGACCCACCAAAAAAAATCAAAAAAATTAATGGAGCAAATAATTGATTTTTTTTCTTCCCAACTTTTATTTTAGGTTCGAGTATACATGTACAGGTTTGTTACATGGGTAAATTGTTCACCATGGGGGTTTGGTGTGCATATTATTTTATCATCTAGCTAATAAGCATAGTACCTGATAGGTAGTTTTTTTATCGTTACCCTACTCTCACTCCCCACCCTCTAGTAGGACACACTGTTTATTTTTCCCTTCTTTTGGCCATGTGTACTCAACGTTTAGCTTGCATTTATAAGTTAGAACATGCAGTATTTGTTTTTCTGTTCCTGTATTAATTCACTGAGGATAATGGCCTCCAGCTTCACCATGTTGCTGTAAAGGACATAATTTTATACTTTTTATGGCTGCATAGTATTCCATGGTGTATATGTACAACATTTTCTCTATCCAGTCCACCCTTAATGGGCATCTATGTGTTGATTCCATGTCTTTGCTATTGTGTATAATGCTACAATGGGCATATGTGTTCATGAGCCTGTATGGTATGACAATTTATATTCCTTTAGTGTATAATGGGATTACTGGGTTGAATGGTGTTTCTGTTTTTTTTTTTTTTTTTTGTCGTTTTGTTTTGTTTTTTTGTCTTTTGTAGAGATTGGCAGACTTTAATATTCAAGAAAAATTAATTTCATCATACACATTAAAAATATAGGAAATTTCATGCAGACATGAAGCTTCCAATTCAGCTTTTGTGGCAAATTTTAGAATGAGAGTTACATATAAATACAGTACATTTTACAGTTAAACTTTATAATTTTATACTATTTATACAGCTTCTCCTTATATTGTACATATTCCACCTTGCTCACTTGATTAATGTACCCTAATCAAGTGCAGTGTATCTGCACTGCTTCAGAATTGGAAATTAAAGAAGAAAAACCACAAGCACAATGGACTGTCTCCTCTCGTTTCACAAAGTATATGAAAAAGTTTGTGTATATAGCTAATTTAAGAAAAACATTTTAAACTTTAAAGCTTACATACTTTAGTAGCTAGGACTAAAATTAATACAAAATTAAATAAATCCTCCAGCGATACTTCTATTACCCATTGATACCACATTTTCAAATTTAGAATATATTAACTGCAAAAGCTATAAGAAAAAAAGTGATGCAAATTTGTATAGAACATTTAAAAAACAACATTCATGATATGAGGGATAAATTAACAAATGAAGTAACTGATTTCAGAATTAACTAAAACATATGCTATAATTTAGAAATGTAACATTATTAAAGAAAACCTAATAGAAAAAAAATAATTAATAAAGCCAACCCACCAGAGTCAACCTGTTTTTGCCTGTGAGAAAAACAAGTATTTCTGTTTTAAGTTCTTTGTGAAATCTCCAAACTGCTTTCCATAGTGCCTGAACTAATTTATATTCCTACCAGCAATGTATAGGCATTTCCTTTTCTCTGCAGCCTCCTGGGCATCTGTTTTTTATTTTTTAATGTCCATTCTGACTAATGTGAGGTGGTATTTCATTGCGGTTTTGATTTGTATTTCTCTGATGATTAGTGATGTTGATCATTTTTTCACATGCTTGTTGGCCACGTGTATGTCTTCTTTGAGAAGTGTCTGTTCATGTCTCTTCCCTATTATTAATAGTGTTGTTTGTTTTATGTGTGTTAATTTGTTTAAATTCCTTATAGATTCTGAATATTAGACCTTTGTCAGATGCATAGTTTGAAAATATTTTCCCCCATTCTGTAGGTTGGCTGTTTTCTCCATTGGTAGTTTCTTTTGCTGTGCAACAGCTCTTTATTTGAATTAGGTCCCACTTGTCATTTTTGTTGTTGTTGTTGCAATTGCTTTCGAAAACTTCTTCATGAAATCCTTGTCAGGGTCTATGTCCAGAATAGTATTACCAGGGTTTTCTCCTGGGGCTTTTACAGTTTTGGTTTTTACACTTAACATCTGTAGTCCATGTTGAGTTTATTTTTGCATATGGTGGGAAAAAGTTTCCAGTTTCAATCTGCATATAGCTAGCTAGCTATCCCAGTAACATTTATTCAATAGGGAGTTTTTCCCCATTGCTTGTTTTTGCCAACTTTGTCAAAGATAAGATGGTTGTAGATTGTATGGCTTTATTTCTATGTTTTCTAACCTATTCTATTGGTTTATGTGTCTGTTTTTGTACCATTATTGTGCTGGTTTTGGTTACTATAGCCTTATAGTGTAGTGTGAAGTCAAGTTTGATGGTTCCAGCTTTGTTCTTTTTGTTCAGGATTGTCTTGGCTACTCAGGCTTCTTTTTGGTTGCACAAGAATTTTAGAATAGTTTTTAAATAATTCGGTGAAAAATATCATTGGTAGTTTTATACGGATAGTATTGAATCCACAAGTTGCTTTGGACAGTATGGACATTTAAACAATAATAATTCTTCCTATCCATGAGCATAGAATGTTTTCCCATTTACTTGTGTCATCTCTGATTTCTTTCAGCAGTGTTTTGCAATTCTCATTGTAGAGATCATTCACTTCCTTGGTTAGCTGTATTTCTAGATATTTTATTCTTTTAGTGGCTATTGTGAATGTGATTGCAGTCTTGATTTTGCTGTCAGCTTGGATGCTATTGGTGTACAGAAATGCTGCTGTTTTTTGTACATTGATTTTGTAACCTGAAAATTTGTTGGTTGTTTATCAGATCTAGAAATCTTTGGGCAGAGATTATTGTTTTTTTAATTTATAAAATTATATCATCTGTGAGGAGAGATAATTTGACTTTCTCTCTTCCTATTTGAATGCCTTTTATTTCCTTCTCTTGCCTGATTGCTTTGGTTAGGACTTCCAATACTATGTTGAATAGGCATGGTAAGAGTGGGCATCCTTGTGTGGTCTGGTTTTTCAAGGGAAGTGCTTCCAGCTTTTGCACATTCAGTATGATATTGGTTGTGGTTTGGTCATAGATGGTTCTTATTATTCTGAAGTCTGCCCCTCTGATGCCTAGTTTACTGCAGGTTTTTAATATGAAATGATGTTGAATTTTATCAAGAGCCTTTTCTGCATCTATTGAAATAAGTATGATTTTTTTGTTTTTAGTTCATTTTATGTGATGAATCACATTTATTGATTTGTGTATTTTGAACCAACCTTGCATCCCATGAATAACACCTACTTGACTGTGTTGGGTTAGCGCTTCGATGGTCTCCTGGATTCAGTTGGCTAGTATTTGTTGAGAATTTTTGCATGTATGTTCATCGTGTATATTGTCCTGATATTTTCTTTTTGTTGTGTCTCTGCCAGGTTTTGGTATCAGAATTATAGTGGCCTCATAGAGTGACTTAGGGAGGAGTCCCTACTCCTCAATTTTTTGGAATAGTTTATGTAGAATTGGTACCAGCTCTTCTTTATATGTCTCGTAGAATTCAGCTGTGAATTCTTCTGGTCCAGAGCTTTTTCTAGTTGGTAGGGTTTGTTTGTTTGTTTGTTTGTTTGTTTGTTTGTTTGTGTTTTGAGACAGATTTTTACTCTTGTTGTCCAGGCTGGAGTGCAATGGCGCGATCTTGGCTCACTGCAATCTCTGCCTTCTGGGTTCAAGCAGTTCTCCTGCCTCAGCTTTCTGAGTAGCTGGGATTACAGGCACCTGCCACCACGTTAGCCCAGCTAATTTTTGTATTTTTAGCAAAGATGGGGTTTCACCCTGTTGGCCAGGCTGGTCTCAAACTCCTGACTTCAGGTGATCCACCTGCCTTGGCCTCCCAAAGTGCTGGGATTACAGACGTGAGCCACCGCACCCGGCCTCTAGTTGGTAGGGTTTTTTTTGTTTGTTTTTCTTTTTGTTTTCCACTGATTCAGTTTTGGAACTCACTATTCATCTTTTCAGGGTTTCAATTCCTTTTTGGTTTAATTTTGGGATGTTGTATATTTTCAGGAATGTATTCATTTCTTCTAGGTTTTCTAGTTCATATGCATAGAGGTGTTCATAATAGTCTCTGAAGATTTTTTTGTATTTCTGTGGGGTAGATGGTAATACATTCTTTGTCATTTCTAATTGTGTGTATTTTTATTTTCTCTCTGTTTATCTTTATTAGTCTACCTAGAGGTCTATTAATTTTATTTATTTTTTCAAAAAACCAACTTTTGGGTTCATTTATCTTTTTTTTTTTTTTTTTTTTTTGAGACTGAGTCTCGCTCTGTCACCCAGGCTGGAGTGCAGTGGTGCGATCTTGGCTCACTACAAGCTCCGCCTCCCGGGTTCACGCCATTCTCCTGCCTCAGCCTCCCGAGTAGCTGGGACTACAGGTGCCCGCTACCATGCCCGGCTAATTTTTTGTATTTTTAGTAGAGACGGGGTTGCACCAGGTTAGCCAGGATGGTCTCGATCTGCCCACCTCGGCCTCCCAAAGTGCTGGGATTACAGGTGTGAGCCATCGCACCTGGCCACTCCTGGCTACTTTTTTGTATGTTTAGTACAGACAGGTTTCACCGTGTTAGTCAGGATGTTCTCGCTCTCCTGACGTCATGATCTGCCCACCTCGGTCTCCCAAAGTGTTGGGATTACAGACGTGAGCCACTGCACCTGACCCATTTATCTTCTGAATGGTCTTGTGCATCTCAGTTTCATTCAGTTCAGCCTTGGGGCGATTTGGTTTGCTTTTGTTTTCCTAGCTCCTCTAGGTGTCATGCTGGGTTGTTAATTCGACACTTTTCCACTTTTTTTTATATGAGCATTTAGCTCTATAAATTTTCCTCTTAACACTGCTTTAGCTGTGTCCCAGAGATTCTGGTATGTTTTATCTTTGTTTTCTTTACTTTCTAAGAATTTTTTGATTTCTGTCTTAGTCTTACTGTTTACCCAAAAGTCATTCAGAAGCAGGTTGTTTAATTTTCATGTAATCATATGGCTTAGAGAGGTCTTCTTAGTATTGATTTCTATTTTTATCTTGCTGGGATCTGTGAGTGTAGTATATATATATATGTTTAGAATTGCTTTATGTTTGAGCATGTGGTGAATTTTAGATTATGTGTCATGTGCAGATGATAAGCATGTGTATTCTGTTTTGGTTGGGTGGAATGTTCTGTAGATATCTGTTAGGTCCATTTGGTCAAGTGTCGAGCTTAGGTCCCAAATATCTTTGATAGTTTCTGCCTTGATAATGTGTCTTATACTGTCAGTGGGATACTGACACCTTCCACTATTGTTATGTGGTTATCTAGCCTACCATGAAGATCTTTAAGAACTTGTTTTGTGAATCTGGGTGCTCCAGTGTTAGGTGTATATATATATTTAGGATAGTTAAGTTTTCTTGTTGAATTGAACCCTTTATCACTATGTTGTGCCCTTCTTATCCTTTTTTGATCATCATTAGTTTAAAGTATGTTTTGTTTGGAATTAGAATAGCAAACACTGCTCTATTTTGTTTTCCATTTGCTTGATAGATCTTTCTCCATACCTTTGCTTTGAGCCTATGGATATCATGGCATGTGAAATGGGTTTCTTTAAAAGAGCATATAGATGGGTCTGTCTTCTTTTTGTTTTTTTTTTTTGTAAATTTTCTGAATTTATTCTGATGCAATAATCAGTGCACAAAGATGGACGTACAAGAATGTTTGTTATAGCGGTATTTACAATTGGATACAAACTAAATGTTTAACATCTGTGACTATTTAAATTGTGGTAGAGTCATAAAATGGAATTTTTTTATAGCCATTAGGAACAATGATATACTTGTACATATCTTGACAAGGAAAGATGTTCATGCCATATTATAAAATTAGAAAATAGATTATAGAATATGTGTACTATTATTCCACTTTTGCCAGAATGTTTATTCACATGCATGCATTTGTACAGATAGAAAATGTCTGAAAGTACAAATATCAAAGTGCTGATGGTAGTATCTGCCGGGTTGTGGAATTATGGTAACTTTTTTCTTTTCTTGTTTTATTATTGTTATTTCAATAATTTCAGGGGAACACGTAGTGTTTGGTTACATGGATAAGTTCTGTAGTGGTGATTTCCGAGATTTTGGTGCTCCCATAACCCAAGCACTGTCCACTGTACCCAGTGTGTAGTCTTTTATCCCTCACCCCTCGTCTCAGCCTTCCCCCTAGTCCCCAGACACCATTATATCATTATTATGTTTTTGTGTCCTCATAGCTTATCTCCCAATTATAAGTGAGAACATACAATGCTTGCTTTTCCATTCCTGAGTTACTTCACTTAGAATAATGGTCACCAACTCCATCCAGGTTGCTGTGAATGACATTATTTTGTGGGCTTTTTTTGGTTCCATATGAATTTTAGGATTGTTTTTTCTAGTTCCATGAAGAATGATGATGGTATTTCGATGGGAATTGCATTGAATTTGTAGATTGCTTTTGGCAGTATGGTCATTGTCACAATATTGATTCTATCATCCATGAGCATGAGATATGTTTCCATTTGTTTGTGTCATCTATGACTTCTTTCAGCAGTGTTTTATAGTTTTACCTGTACAGATCTTTCGCCTCTTTGGTTAGGTGTATTCCTAAGTATTTTAAATTTTTTGCAGCTGTTGTAAGAGGAATTGAGTTCTTGATTTGATTTTCAGCTTGGTCGCTGTTGGTGTTTTACAGAGCTACTGATTTGTGTGGATTGATTTTATATTCTGAAACTTTACCGAATTCACTTTTCAGATCTAGGAGCTTTTTGGATGAGTCTTCAGGGTTTTCTAGGTATACGATCATATCATCACCAAACAGCAATAGTTTGACTCCTTACTATCAGTTTGGATGCCCTTTATTTCTTTCTATTGTCTAATTGCTCTGGCTAGGACTTCCAGTATTATGTTGAATAGAAGTGGTGAGAGTGGACATCCTTGTCTTATTCCTATTCTCAGGGGGAATGCTTTCAACTTTTCCCCATTCAGTATAATGTTGGCTGTGGGTTTGTCATAGATGGCTTTTATTACATTAAGGTATGTCCCTTCCATGCCAATTTTACTGAGGATTTTAATCATGAAGGGATGCTAGGTTATTTGTTTGTCTGAAAAAGTCTCTCTTTCCCTCATTTATGAAGCTTAGTTTCTCTTGAAACAAAAGTTGTGGCTAATAATTATTTTGTTTAAGGAGTCTAAATGTATTACCCCCCAATCCCTTCTGGCTTGCAGGGTTTCTGCTGAGAAATCTGCTATTAATCTGATAGATTTTCCTTAATAGGTTACCTGATACTTTTGCCTCACAGCTCTTAAGATTCTTTCATTCGCTGGGCGCGATGGCTCATGCCTGTAATCCTAGCACTTTGGGAGGCTGAGGTGGGCAGATTATGAGGTCAGGAGATCGAGACCATCCTGGCTAACATGGTGAAACCCCGTATCTACTAAAAATACAAAAAATTAACTGGACATGGTGGCGGAGGCCTGTAGTCCCAGCTACTCGGGAGGCTGAGGCAGGAGAATGGCCTGAACCCGGGAGGCAGAGCTTGAAGTGAGCTGAGATCGCACCACTGCACTCCAGCCTGGGTGACAGAGCGAGACTCTGTGTCAAAAAAAAAAGATTCTTTCATTCATCTTGACTTTAGATGACCTGATGACTATGAGCCTAGGAAATGATCTTTTTGCTATGAATTTCCTAGGTGTTCATTGAGCTTCTTGTATTTGTATGTCTCGATCTCTAGCAAGACCAGAGAGGTTTTTCTTGATTATTTCCTCAAATGAGTTTTCTCTTTTAGATTTCTCTTTTTCCTGAGGAACACCAATATTCTTATGCCTGGATGTTTAACATAATCCCAAATTTCTTGGAGGCTTTGTTCATTTTTTAGATCTCTTTTGTCTTTGTTTTTGTCAGATCGGCTTAATTCAAAAGCCTTGCCTTCGAGCTCTGAAGTTCCTTCTACTTATTTGATTCTGTTGTTGAAACTTTCCAGTGTGTTTTGCGTTTCTCTAAGTGTGTCTTTCAATTCCAGAAGTTGTGATTGTCTTTTCTTTATGATATCTATTTCTTTGGAGACTTTTTCACTTGTATCCTGTATTTTTTTTTAATTTCTTTAAACTGACTTTCACCTTTCTCTGGTGCCTTATTGAGTAGCTTAATAATCATCCTTCTCAATTCTTTTTCTGGTAATTCAGAGGTTTCTTCTTGGTTTAGATCCATTGTTGGAGATCGAGTGTGATCTTTTAGGGGTGTTATAAAACCTTACTTTGTCATATTACAAGAATTACTTTTCTTCTCCCTCATTTGGGAAGACTGTTTCAGTGGAATGATTTCAAACTCAAGGGCTGCTGTTCAGCTTCTTTTTTCCCACAGGATGATCCACTGATGTAGTGCTCTCCCCCTTCCTCTAGGATAGGGCTTCCTGAGAGCCAGACTGCAGTGATTGTTATTGCCCTTCTGGGTTTAGCCACCCAGCAGGGCTACCAAGCTCCAGGCTTGTGCTGGGGAATGTCTGCAAAGAGTCCTGTGATATGATCTGTCTTCAGGTCTTCCAGTCATGGATACCATCAGCTGCTCCACTGGAGGTGGCAGGGTAGTGAAGTGGACTCTGTGAGAGTCCTTGGTTATAGTTTTGTTTAGTGCACTGGTTTTCTCTAATGCTGGTTATGCCAGCAGTGAAGTTGTCACATGGACAGACTCAGGACCTCTGTTTAGCCAGGGTGTTGAAGGTGTTAGCCATTGTTTTCTCCTTCTTTGGAGCAAGGATGTTCTGTCCTGAGTTGCTGTAGAGGCTTGAGTTGGTTTTCCTCTAGCCAGGAGGTGGCACTTTCAAGAGAGTGCCAGGTGCAGTAGTAGAAGGGGGATATAATCTTGCCCTGTGTTGGCCAGGATGAGTACTCAGGTTCCTCAGGTGATGGTTGGCGGGGGGGGGGGGGGGGGGGTCATAGAACTCCCAAGAGATTACATCTTTTGTTTTCAGCTGCCAGGGTGAGTAGAGAAAAACCATCAGGTGGGGGCAGGATTAGACAGGTCTGAGCTCAGACTCTCTGGGTGGGGCTGCTACCACTGTGGGGGGTGGGGGTGGTTCTCAGGTCAGTGGAGTTATGTTCTCTGGGGGATTATGGCTGCCTTTGCTGCTTCATACAGGTTGCCAGGGAAATGGGAGAAAGCCAGAAGTGACAGGCCTCACCTGGCTCCTATGCAGCCAGCAAGACCAGTCTCTCTCGCACCATGAATCCCCAGCTGCACCGAGTTCATGTCCAGGTGATCAGAGCTGAGATCTTGCCCCAAGGCACAAGCCTCCCTGCTGAGAAAGTGGGCAGGGCTCTCAGGCCTTGCCTCCCCACCTGCCCTCACCATTGGATGTGGCTTCTGTGCTTGTATCTGCACTTCCCATTCGCCCCCCTCAGACTCTGCTCAGGAAAGTTTGTGCTCAGTCAAAATTACTACAAAGTTCAGCTAGGACCTATATTTGCCCTGTGGCCCCTCCCCAATTCTGCTGGCCACCTTCCCTTCCAGAAGGACCTCTGTGAGATAAGGCCAGAATGACTTTCCTGGGGCTCAAGCTGAGAACCGGGAGGGTCCTGATGCTTCTTCTACTTTTATATTTTGCTTGGCTGCCTAAATCCATTTCAGCTCTAGGTAAGGTTAATCCTTCTCCTGTGATCTGGATTTTCAGGTTCTTTAGTGGGGATGTGTGTTCAAAGGCTGAATTTTTTTCCCCCTCACATTTTGGGAACTCACAGTTTTTTGGCTGTCTCATGGGGTTTGCAGCGGCAAGCCTCTTCTTTCAAAGGGTTTGTGAATTCTTCCAGTTTTTCTGGTGTGTTCCTGCAGTGGTTCATGGAGCGAAAGTTCACATGTAAGTCTCCAGACACTGTCCTGTCATCTAAGCCGGAGCTGCACGTTAGTCCTATCTCCTGTCTGCCATTTTATGGGAGATCTTTTTTCTTTATCCAAATTGCCACTCTCTGCCTTTTAAGTAGGGGCACTTATCCTGTTTACATTTAAGGTTAATATTGATATGTGCTGATTTGATCCTGTCATTGTGTTGTTAGCTGGTTGTTATGCAGACTTGATTGTGTAGTTGCTTTATAGTGTCAATGGTCTATGTGTTTAAGTATGTTTTTGTTGTGGCTGCTAATAGTCTTTAGTTTCCATGTTTAGCCCTCCCTTAAAGATCTCTTGTGAGACAAGCCTAGTGGTAACAAATTCCCTTCATGTTTGATTGTCCGAAAAGGATTTTATTTCTCCTTCACTTATGACGTTTAGTTTGGCTAGATATGAAATTCTTCATTGGAATATTTTTTCTTTAAGAATGCTGAGGCTGGGCATGGTGGCTTACAACTGTAATCCCAGCACTTTGGGAGCCTGAGGCGGGCAGATCACCAGGTCAGGAGATCGAGACCATCCTGGCCAATGTGGTGAAACCCCATCTCTACAAAAAATACAAAAATTAGCTGGCCGTGGTGGAGGGCACCTGTAGTCCCAGCTACTGGGGAGGCTGAGGCAGGAGAATCATTTGAACTCAGGAGGTGGAGGTTGCCATAAGCCGAGATCGCACCATTGCACTCCAGCCTGGGTGACAGGGTGAGACTCTGTCAAAAAAAACAAAAAAAGAAAGAATGGTGAATATAGGCCCGCAATCTCTTCTGGCTTGTAGAGTTTTTGCTGAAAACTCTACTTTTAGCCTAATGGAGTTTCCTTTGTAGGTAACTTGCCCCTTCTCTCTAGCTCCCTTTAATATTTTTTCTTTTGCATTTACCTTGGATAATCTGACTGTGTGTCTTGGGGATGGTTATCCCATACAGTATCTCATTGGAGTTCTCTGAATTTTCTCAATTTGAATGTCAACCTCTCTAGTGAGATTGGGGGATTTTTCATGGACAATATTCTCAAATGTATTTTACAAGTTGTTTGCTCTCTCTACTTATCTTTCAGGGATGACAAAGAGTCATATGTTTGGTCTTTGTGTAATCCCATATTTCTTGGAGGTTTTGTTCATTGTTTCAAAATTCTTTTTATTTATTTTTATCTGACAAACTTACTCAAAAAAACAGTCTTTAAGCTCTTTTCTCAACTTGTTCTATTCTGCTGTTAATATTTCCAATTATATTATAATATTTTTGTAGTGAGTTTTTAGCTTTATCAGATCAGTTTTGTTCTTCCTTAAAATGCCTCCTTTGTCTTTTATGTCTTGTATTGTTTTACTAGATTCCTTCATGTTCATTGCCATCCAGATTCTAAATTCTATGTCTGACATTTCAGCCATTTCAATCTAATTAAGAACTATTGCTGGGGAGCTACTGTGATCATCTGGAGGCAAGAAAACACTCTGGTATTTGAGTCACCAGAGTTTTTGTGCTGGTTCTTTCTCATCAGTGTGGCCTGATGTTCTTTTCATCTTCGTCGTTTTTGTCTTTTAGATGGTGCTTTTTGCTTTTTTATTCTTTGATGCTCATGAGGTTTTGACTGTGGCATAAGTTGGGTTTAGTTGACTGGCTTCATTTCTGGATGATATCAGGGGGCCCAGGCTAAGCTCAGCACTTCTGGTCTGCGTGCCCTAACCCTGGGTGTTGGTAGGAGGCCCACAGCTGTGTTCTCTGTCCTTATCTCTGTGTTATCCCCTTGAGGATAAACACTTGCTTCACTAAAGGGGCCAAGTTTCTCAGTCTGCTGGCAACAACAATGGGAGATTCTTACAAAAGCACTTCACTGGGGGAGTGATAGTGGGGTTGCGCCCATGTGCACATGCTTGTGGCTGGGCAGCAGTGCATTGGAGTGCATGTTTGCATGTGTGCCAGCAGCAATAGGGCAGTGGTGTGGTGATATCTGCACATGTGCTTGCCAGCAACAGTGTAGTGGTAATGTGGAGGTGTCTGAGTGCATGCATGCTGTCGGGGTGGGGCTCTGGCATGGCGAGGCCCATGCACGCATGTGAACCAGTGGCACCAAAATGGTGAATTCCATGTGTGCACCTGTGTAGCAGTGGGGGAAAGCCACAGGCAAGTGCACACTGGCAAAGCAGTGGGAGGAGGTGTTTGGCACCTCTGTGTCTACCGAGGCCTGTCTGCTGAAGCTGTCCAGTGGTTAGATGGGATCTGCTATGATGTCTGCTGCAGGAGAAATCCTGGTTTTGGAATCCAAGCCTGCACTGCAAGTGGATGTGGTCAGGAGGGACCCAGCAAGAAGCCAGCAAATGAAGGGTGCTCAGATCAAACTGGCCTTGTCCCTGTGGGCAAGACAGCCCGTCTGTGTCCAGGTTAGAGAGCCAACAAAGCCCAAAGCCACTTAGAGGAGCATGGCATGCCTTGGAGGATGGGTGTCCCTGGTCATGCTCCATTGCAGCTGTTCTCACACCAAACTCTCTGGGCTCCACACAGGCTAGAGTACTGTCCCTGCCACTTCTTCAAGCATCTCTTCCTGCCAGCTCAGATGTCTGTGGGCATCATGAGGGTCTCCTGAAGTTAAGATTCTGGAGGTCCATGAAAAGCATGGACCAGTCTTCACCTATTTAAGTCTCTCCTTCTCCAGGAACCACTGGGGGCTGGAATGAGTCATGGTGCTTGGTGGCATTCTGCAGGGTTTTCACCTTCCTCAGCTCAGGGACTCTGTCCTCCCACCTTTCACCCTTAATGCCTTTCTTGCAAAGATCTACTTGGAGTGTGCCGGTATTCTTGATGGTCTGATGTCTCAGTGGGAGATGCTCTTCCTGGCTGAGTCTAGTCAGCAATCTTGGCTCCCCCCTATCAAGAATTAATTTTTTGAAAAGAAAAAAAAATACACAAAACTTTAGCTAGACTAATTGAGAAAATAATAAAACTCAAATAAATAAAATCAGAGATGAATAGAGAGTCATTACAACAGATATCACAAAAATACAAAAAATCATAGGAAATTATTGTGAACAATTACATGCCAATAAATTTTATATCAGAAGAAATGAATAAATCCACGTACATGTGCAATTTACCAATACTAAATGAAAATCTACAAATATGTTTGAAGAAATACAAAAACCTGAACAGAATAAAAAATGAATGAGAAGATTAAGTTAATAATAAAAAGCATTTCATCAAATGAAAATGCAGGATTTGATGGCTTCACTGTTGAACTCTACCAAAGATATAAAGAAGAAGGAATACTAACTCTCCTCTAAGTATTCCATAAAACTGGGGAGGAGAAAAAACTTCTAAATTTATCTTACGGGGTCAGCATTATCCTGACTTCAAAACTGGACAAAGACACACCAAAAAAATGACATACCAACATTGATGATAACCAATTCTCAACAAGATACTAACAAACTGAGTCTAAAACAATATGAGAAAGATGATTCACTATGATCAAGTGGAATTCCTCACAGGCATTCAAAGATTGCTTAATATACAAATGAATAAATGTGATTTACCACTTAAACAACAACAACAACAACAACAAAAGACCAAAACCATGTGATCTGCTTTTGGTTCGATGCAGAAAAAAAATTGAGAAAATTTAATATCCCTTCACGGTAAAAAGTCTCAACAAATTAGGTATAGAAGGCTTGTCCCTCAACACAATAAAGGCCATATATAATGTTCTCACAGCTAACATCATACTAAACAGGGAAAAGCTGAAGGATTTGTTTCTAAGATCAGAAACAAGACAAGGATGCCCACTATCGCCACTTCTATTCAACATAGAACTATAAGTTCAAGCCGGAGCAACTAGGCAGGACAAAAATAAAAAGGAACCAAATAATAGAAGAGGACGCCAAATTGTCCCTGTTTGCAGATGACATGATCTTATGTAGAGAAAACCCTAAACATGTCACCAAAAAACCGTTAGAACTAATAAATTCAGTGAAATTGGAGGATACAAAATCAATATACAAAAATCAGTGGTGTTTCTATGTACTAATAGCAAACTGTCTGTTTAAAAAAATCAAGAAAACAATTTCACTTTATATAGCTACAAAACAAAAATAACTAGGAATAAACTTAACCAATAAGGTGAAAAGGCTCTACACTGAAAACTATAAAACTATATAACAAAAAAATTGAAGAGGACTTACATAAACTGAAAGAATCCCATATTCATGGATTGGAAGAATTGATATTGTTAAAGTGGCCATACTCCCCAAAGCAATCTACAGATTTAATGCAATTCTTGTCAAAATACCAATGACTCACAGAAATAAAAAATCTTCACAGAAATAGAAAATCAATCCCAAAATTGGGAACCCCAAAATATCCTAAATATCCAAATCAATTTTGAGCAAAAAGAAGAAAGCTAGAGGTATTACACTACCTGGTTTTAAAATACATTATAGGAACAACATGGTACTGGCATTAAAAAACAATGGAATAGAATAGAGAATACAAAAATAAATTCACACGCCTACAGACAACTGATTTTCAACAAAGGTGCCAAGAACACACAATGCAGAAAAGAATCTCTTCAATAAATGATGCTGGAAAAATTGTATACACACACACCAAAGAATAAGACTAGTCCCCTACTTTTACCATATAGGAAAATAAACTCAAAATGGATTAAAGATTTAAATGTCATGCCCTAAACTATAAAACTATTAGAAGAAAATATAAAGAAAGCACTTCATGACATTAAACTGGGCAAGGACTTTTTAAATACGACCTTGAAAGCTTAGGCAGCAAAAACAAAAAAAGACAAATGGGATTACATCAAACTAAAAACCTTTTGCACAGCAAAAGAAACTGGTAACAGAATGAAAGACAATTGACAGAATGAGGGAAAATATTTGCAAACTATACATCTGACAAGGGGTTATATCCAGAACATAAAAACAGCAAACCCCACAAATAACCTGATTAAAAAAATGGGAAAAAGTGGCCAGGCATGGTGGCTCACGCCTGTAATCCCAGCACTTTGGGAGGCCGAGGCGGGTGGATCACAAGGTCAGGAGATTGAAACCATCCTGGGTAACACGGTGAAACCCCGTCTCTACTAAATATACAAAAAATTAGCCGGGCATGGTGGCGGGCGCCTGTAGTCCCAGCTACTCGGGAGGGTGAGGCAGGAGAATGGCGTGAACCCAGGAGGCAGAGCTTGCAGTGAGCAGAGATCATGCCACTGCACTCCAGCCTGGGTGACAGAGCAAGATTCTGTCTAAAAAAAAAAGAGAAAAAGTACTCAATAAACATATCTCAAAAGAATACACAGAAGGCCATCAGTTCAATGTCACAAATTATTTGGAAAATGCAAATGCAAATTAAAACCATAATAGAGATACCACCTCACTATATAATGGATGATGTGGAGGAAAGGAATCACTTACAGGCTCTTGGCAGGATTGTAAAGTAGTACATTCATTATGGAAAACAGTATCGGGGGTCCTCAAAAACTTAAAAATAGAACTATCGTATGATCTAGCAATCCCTCTACTAGGTATACATGCCAAAGGGAATCAAATCTGTATGTTAAAGAGACATCCACACATTCATGTTTATTGCAACACTATTTACAATAGCAAGGGTATGGAATCAACCTAAATGTCTAACAGTGAAGGAATGAATAAAGAGAATAATGTATAAATACACAATAGAATACTATTGAGCCATAAAAAGGAATGAAATCATGTTATTTGCAACACCATTGATGAACCCTGAGAATATCATGTTAAGTGAAATAAGCCAGACATATAAAAACAAATACCACATAATCTCACTCATATGGAGGAATCTAAGAAAAAAAAAGTAATCATAGAAGCAAAGAGTAGAACAGTAAGTACCAGAAACTGTGGAAGAGAGTGAGGAGGGGAGGATAGGGAGAGGTTCATCAATGGGTAGAAAGTTAGATAGGAGGAGTAAGTTCTGGTGTTCCGTTTCACAATAGGTTGATGACGGTTAATAGTAAAATATTGTGTGTTACCAAATAGCTAGAAGCTTTTGAATGTTCTCACCACAAAGAAATGATAAATGCTTGAGGTGATGGGATCCACTAACTAACCTGATTGAATCATTATATGACAAAAAGTATGTATGGAAACACCTTATTGTACTACACAAATATGTATAATGTGTCAATTTAAAAAATAACAATAACATTCTTTTTACAGTCACAATGACTTACATTTGCCCCAACACTGTTGGGGATAGCCTGTTGTCCCACTCAGCCGGCCAACTTGGATAATATCAAACTTTTAAAATTTTACCAATTTCTTAGGGAAAAAATGTGAATATGTTTTCATTGCATTTTTCTTATTTTTAAAAGAATGTTTAGAGTCATTTCATGGATTTGGGGTTTATTTATATATATTTTTTGAGAATTATGTGTTCATATTCTTTAATCTTTTTTTATTGATTTGTAGAAACCATGTATATGGTATGAATACCAATGCTTTGTTACTGTCTTTATTTGTCTTTAAATCCTATTTAACTGCCTCTTGCTACATTAGTAGACCAAAAAAAAAATGTGTAGTCAAATCTCTTTTAAGCAGTATTTCTATGAGTTGTGTTCTGTTATTTTCCCTGATGTATGGAGGAGAACCCTGAAACACGTAGAGACACACAGCTAGTAAACTGCTAACCAGGATTGGAACTTGGGTCTAACACCAGGGCTACTAGAACATAGGAATTTTTCTGTTGATTTTTCTCCCCTTAATGGCTTCTGAAATTCCAAAGATAGGTTAGCAGAATTACTAAGTTCTAAGCTTCCCAGAATAAGAAAGAAAGTTTTAGAATACTTCTCACTTCCCACAAAAGGTTAGGAAAAAGTGTTGAAGAGTGTGTTGCCTTTGACTATAGCTCCGTGTATTAGTCCATTTTCAGGCTGCTGATAAAGACACACCCAAGACTGGGTAATTTGTAAAGAAAAAGAGGTTTAATGGACTTACAGTTCCACTTGGCTGGGGAGGCCTCACAATCACGGCAGAAAGCAAAAGGCATGTCTTACATGGTGGCAGACAAGAGAGAGCTTGTGCAGGGAAACTCCGCCTTAAAAAACCATCAGATCTCATGAGACTCATTCACTATCATGAGAACAGTACAGGGAAGACCTACCCCCATGATTCAGTTACCTCTCACCAGGTCCCTCCCACCACATGTGGGAATTATGGGAGCTACAATTCAAGATGAGATTTGGGTGGGGACACAGCCAAACCATATCACTCTGTTTTGGACTTCCTATAACAGTGGCCAAATAACCAAGAAAGGCATAAAGAAAAACATCAAAGTATGTTTTGAGAGCAAAAACTTGTTAAGGGAACAATTAGCAATATATTTTACAAATACATATACACAAGTATGCCCTTCTACACACTTGCACACACATGCTTTTGTAAAAAGTTGGTGAGGATGGGCACAGCCATGTGGAAACACAAAGCAAACAGAAACCTCAGGAGCAGAAACCTCAGGCTACTGTAGAAGACCTGATGAGACTGCTCTAAGTTAAAATGAGGATTGGAGGTCCTGCAGCAGCCTGTGGAGTTGATAGGTGTGTGAAAGCAGCTTTGCCTGCCCTGGAGCACATCCTCAAGGGCAATGGAATAAACTCCTTGACTGAGTCTCTGGACTTGTGCCTGAACTGCCTGACCCTATCCACCCCTGTGCCTTCCCCATTCTGTGAGGGCCAATTATCTTCTGCCCATGCAGCAGCCTCTTGCATTCCCCATTCTTTTTCCTCGAATTTGAGGTTCATTCTGTCTCTGCCTTTCACTCTCCCAGCACCTCTCAGCTGGGTTCTTTCCCTCCATTCTGACAGTGTCCCAAGCTTAGCTGAGTTTGTCTTTCCAGCCTGAGTCCCCAAACTGTGCTTGGGCCGTTCTCGTATTTCATTTTTGACAGGACTGTGATTCCTTCCTCTCTTCTGAGTTTCTCTGTGGAGATGTTTCTCAGAATCGCAGGCCTGTGTCCTTGTCGTGTTCCCTGATAGCACAGAAGTCTTGATTCAACAACAAACAGTGGCACCTGGTGCCCCCAGCATTTCCTGATTTTGTATGATTTCATTAAAATATACCTACCTACTGTATCTAATCAGGTAATCTGCACAGATATGGTAATTGGAGACAGTGGGTTAATGTTGTTCCGTCCCCCCAAGGAACAGATAGGGACTCAACAGGACCCTTCACCAGAGGATGCTTTAACCCCAAAGAATGACTCATATGGTGAGAACTGCACCTTCCACCCCAGGTGGGCATTTCAGTGTTCATTAAGTTACACTGGATAGGTGAGCCACCCACTGTCTCTGCCTGAGGCTAGGTCTAAACCTAATATTTATGTAGGTCAGAAAATTTTTTTTGTTCTCTCTCTCATTTCACAGATGAGAACTGCTCTTCTCTTCTGTGTTGCATGTGTCGACGCCAGAAAAATGTCCATAATTCTCTGTTCTGCATCGCTTGTTACACAACTAGTCAACGCAAAATTTGATATGTGAAAATTGGTTTTTTAAATTTTTATTTGTATTTTTTTTGGCAGGCTTTGGGAAAGGCCTGTTTCCTGGCACTAAAAGTAGCCAGTCTTGGCGTGAACAGCCCTTGACAATTCCCAGCATATGGTAAGAGAAGACGCTTCTGCCCACCCATCAGGTAGGTGTCATCTTTCTGACTGGAGCAATGATAGATGTCGTGCTTGGAGAGCAATGACTGCCGGGAAAGGTGCCAAGCAGCCAACTGGCCAACACTAGTGAGCAGGTCAGAATATACCAGGCCTCTGGCCGAGGCAGGCCTGCTTGTACCCAGCCACACAGAGGCCGTACGCTAGAAAACTGAACACACAGACAGGTCTTGACTGTGGTTGCAGAGTTGAATATTATTATTTGTTTTTGCTAAATTAGCTGTAGAATTTTCAATAAGAATGATAGCTTCACCAACTAAAAATACATGCAAAGCACATCAGCTTCTGCTTTTAGGCCACAGCCTGTGAGTCAGCCTTATGTATAAAATGGACTCAGCCATCTCAAAGAGGAGGGATCTAACAATCAAAGTTTCTGCTATTCAGTTTATCAAAGCATTTTGTCTTCAGCACTGACTGTCAATGTCAGTCATTTGATCATTTTCATTCCTTTGGAAACCACTTTGCTGTTTTATAAAAAAAAAAAAAAGTATGCTCTATGTAGAAAAGTCTAATGATCCAAAAAGTACAAAAAATAACATGAAAATTATCCAAATACCGTTGCCTAGATATAGTCATTGGTAATACTTTTAAAAATAGTCTTAAATATGGCTGTTTACTGTGGCTCATGCCTGTAATCCAAGCATTTTGGGAGGCCAAGCCTGGAGAATCACTTGAGGCCAGGAGTTTAAGACCAGCCTGGGCAACAAAACGAGACCTCATCTCTACAAAAAAATGTAAAAAAGTAGCCATGCACTGTGGTGCATGCTTGTATCCCAGTTACTCTATCTAGGTGCTGAGGCAGGAGGATTGCTTGAGCCCAGGAGTTTGAAGTTTCAGTGAATTGTGATTAGGCCACTGCACTCCAGCCATGGTGACAGAGCAAGACCCTGTCTTTGAAACAAACAAACAAACAAACAAACAAACAGACATAGCCTTAAAGAAGTACCTATATTCCTAAATACAATATGTTACAAATGCAATTACACCATGAATGCCTGCCTATAACCTGCAATTTTTTATTCAATAATACATTATCAATATTATTTTTTAATGCAGTATCAGAGACCACTGCATGTGCACACTGATGTTTACTTAAGTGATCCTCTAGGGAGAATATTTAGATTGTTTCCAATTTTTAAATACTGTAGCAATGCTGCTGATTACATCTTTTTGTACTTGTGCAGTTATTACTTTAGGAAAATTTCCTAGAAAGTGACTGTTGAGACAATGGTAGGAACATTCTTCTCTTTGATATATACTGATAAACTTTCCGAAAAATACTTTATTGATTTACATATTCTTAACATTGCATTTTATAAAGCTTTATATATTTATGAATTAATTTTTATTTGCAGTCTAGGAAAAGATAGCAGCTGGTAGTTTTCACATAACTGGAAAAAAAGTGCTTGCTAAGGAGAGGGAGTAAGAGGCCACTTGGAAGATATTGGTGGGGCCATTGGCAAGAAGCTGACCAAAATCTCTGCTACAATTTTTTGGAAGTAAAAATAGGAAGACTTCATGATCAGCAACCTCAACCACAATGAATGCAACTCATAATCAAGCTATTTTGTCTCTCAGCATGCTCTCACTCTCCCTAAGACACAGCTCATATTTTTATCTCTTCTCAGAACTCCCATCCATGCTTCTTCCTCCTCCTTGACTTCAGTAAATGACTTCTCTTAAAACTCTCCCAAGATGAGATAGAAGCCATCAGAAAGGAATGTCTTCTTTGCAAATGAGTTCACAGCTACAAATAGTAGTATGTTTGATATACATTATATGTCTTGTTTTATTTTATTGCATTGATTAGGCCATCTAAAACAATGGTGAATTATAAAAGTCAGGTGCATAGATGTTAATGGGAATGGTTTAATAGTCAACCCAAGTATAATGCTTGCTCTAAGTTTCCGGTGGGTACCCTAGCTCAGTGGTTCTCACCAGAGGCACTGTGGTCACCCCCACCCTGGAGACATTTGGCAATGTCTGCAGAGGGTTGCTACTGGCATCTAGTGGGTAGAGGGCAGTGACACTGTTAAACATCCTATAATGCACAGGAAAGAACCCCACAATTATCTGGCCCATAACATCAATAGTGTCACTGTTGGGAAAGCCTGCCTTAGCTCAGGGTCCAGCCCAGTGTTTACAGAAGTGGCCTCTGGAGACAGACTGCCTGGATTGCAATCCTGACTCTACTACTTACAAACTGGAGTTCGACCAAATGAGGTTAAAATTTCAATAAAGCCTGAATTATGTACACATGGACCATCATTGCTTTGGGAAATCCTTCTGCATGCTGATGACATTATAATTAGAAAATAGCAGGTGTGAAACAAGTGAAAATTAAAAGTGAAGCTATTTGTTGTCTGTCTTGATACTTAATGGGAAATACTTTTGGAAAGAGTTTGGAATGGGTTTGTTTCTCTGACAAAAAAATCACAAGGAAACAAATTGGGTCGTGTATAAATTAGTTAAATTGAACTTGAGTGGAGACCTTCTAGAGCCATCCCTCCTGCACATTTTTCCTCCTCCTGACTTTATTGAAAGCCAGTGTAGATAATTAATTTTGTGGCTCTACATCCATGTTATGCTTCTGTCATCCATTGGCAGCACCCTGCCTGGATAGTGCCCTGAAATAACAGAAATAAGAAAGTTATTCTCTTGGTGACTAATGTGAGGTGGCTTGGGATAGGAGCATGCAACAGCTTGATGGCTATCTTTCTCCCCCTACACTTAACATAATCCAGGAGGGTTAGACTGACCCTTCCTAGAAAGGGAGGTAAGAAGAATGTCATCCACATCTTGCATGTTGCTTCATTTTCTCGATTTTTCTCACATTCTTTGATCTGTGTTCTGGAAGAGTTCTTTTGGTTTTCAGCACACTGACAATTGTTCTTCAGCTATGTCCAGACTGTCCATCCCATCCATTGAACTTCTCAATGATTAGGTTCTAGTGCTTTATTTTAATCATTGTATTTGTCTTTTTCAAGATCTTTAATTATATAAAGCTGTATACATCACCTATTCTTGTTTAAAGTATGTGATACAGTCTCTCATCTCTCTAAAGATATTAAATTCTCTTTTAACCTGTATCCACATAATAGGTGTGTGTGTGTGTGTGTGTGTGTGTGTGTGTGTGTACATCCTACACTCTTAGCTCTGATCATCTTCTTCATTGGTTATTTCAATACCCTCCTATTCTGAACCTCTACTTTCTTTCTTGCCAACCTCCAATTGTCAAAGAATGGCCCAAGATGGTTTCTTAAATGTTAACCAGATGATGTCATCAAACTAATTTAAATATTTCAGTGGGTTCTTGCTGAACATGGGACAAAACCCTTGCTCTTCACTTGATGATGGCCCCAACACAGCATTTGCCCCACATCAGAGAGTGAATTTTCCTCAGCTTTTCAGATGCAACAAGCTCTTTTGCCCCTCAAAGACTTGATTCTCTTTGCCTCCTCCTTCATTCTTGGCCCCACTACCTCCTATTTCCACTTCATGTCTAAGGCTTAAATGGTCCTTCTTCTGAGGAAACTTCCCTAAATCATTCCCTTATTATGATTTCAGTAGCACCTTCTGGTTTTCCTTCTTACAATTTATGAAACATGGAAAGAAAATTGACATGTATTTGACAACTATGTTTAATATCTATCTTGTTCTTGCAGGTAGCTCTATTAGGGAACGACCATGCCAGCCAGGTGCAGTACTTTATCTTGAGCGCATAGCTCAGGCTGGCCTCACCAATACCATGAGGAATTCTGTGATAAATGTATGAATAAAAAAATGGTCATATTGGCTGTTCCACTCCAAAGTCTAGTTGCAGGGTTCATTCAGTCTCCTGGAAACACATTCTTGACTCCTTTACCCTCCAGGTGTCCCAACATGGCATTATTATGTTGTGTGGAGTATGTTTGCTTGCATTTTGCTATCAAATCAGGCAAAATCAGGAAGAGTTCACTGTTGCTCTTTGTCATCTTTAGGTGAGGGATTGTTTCAGGAAACCCCATTGTGACCGCAGGAGACACTCCAGCTTTTGTGTGCAGGAGACAGGACATATGGGCAACTGGAAAACAACATGTCCTCAAGTCCAGCACTTACTGCTGCCTTGGGGGACTCTAGTTCACAAGAAAAAGAAGTCTGTTTTCTAAGGCCCCTTCCGAGCTCAGCCTTTCTGCAGATCTCATCAGCAGAGGCAGCAATTAGGGCTCATTAGAAAGGTGTTTTGGGTTTTTAATTTATTTTGTTTTCCTGATGTGGATACCAGGCCTGGAAAGAGTGAACTGAAAACTAATGTGTTTTAGGAAAAGGACACATTGTGGGGAGACAGCAGCTTTCCAGACACCGCAGAGAAAGGCTACCATGGGCCTTAATGAGGACTGTACCACACAGAACTTCTCCACAAGGGAAGGGGAGGAGAGTGGTGGGGTGCCTTTTTACCCGGGGGTCCTGGTGCACTCTGGCTATGTAGATCATCCTGCCACAGATCATTGACACTTCATAGGGATTCCAAGTTCCACCACAGCCCGCGGTAGGAAACAGTTGACGATGCATTATGAAGCTGGAATGGTTACAAGTTGCTAAACTACTTATCCTTTTTGGGCACTGGAGGATAAGGTGGTCTGAGTGGTTTTCTGAATGTGATCCCATCTGCCTTATGGATCAAGAGGGAAAGTAGGTGAGAAGCACTGTGCTGGAACAGTGTGGAATTGTACTTTCTGTAATGCATATCTGCTCCCTACTTCTTCCATCTACAATCTTTTACAGAATAAGTCCTACTTTTTCTTGTATCGTTTGTGTTTTGTATGAAATAGCACTATATGGATAAAGATTAAAAACCAGAGGCCTCCAAAGAGCAGGGGTGTTAAGTCAGAAGATGCTGGTTCCTGTCTAAGCTATCCAATTCCTAGCTGGGTGATATCGGGCTGATAATGAACCACCCTAAGCCTCAATTTCCTTAACAGTGGATGGAGCAGAGGTAGTAAGACCTGCCCTACTTATACCACATGTCTATTGTGCATACCAGCAGGGTACTTTATATGAAATACCTGGTACTGTAAATCTAAAGGATTCTATGGGCACAAAGATTTCTACAAGGGTTTTCAGTTACTCCACCACTGGCAACTTTCTTTACAAAAATAGCTGAATGAAGCCAGCATTACTCTGATACCAAAACAGTGTAAAAAAGAAAAATGAAGACTAATACCTATCATGAACTTAGATACAAAAATTCTTAACAAAATGTTAGCAAATATATATACCCCTACTACTGAGTTACACTGACCCGTTAATAACCAGTAACTCATTATGACTGCCAGTGGCAGATAAGGGAGCTCAATGTACACAGAAGAGAGGCCTGGAGGTGTAGCTGAGGTGGAGGTGGAGAAGAGAGAGCTAGATACTAGGCATGGGAAATTGCCCCAGAAAAGAGAATCTAGTTACGGAACATGAACCACCCATGTGCAATTTTGCCTCTGATTAGACCCTAATATTAATCATTTAATCACTCAATTTGGAATTATTATCTACATCTAAATTATGGTATTCCTCTATTCGTTTATACTCATGCACCAGCAAGTTTTATTTGTTTTTGAGATAGGGTCTCACTCTGTCACCCAGGCTGGAATGCAATGGTGTCATCTCAACTCACTGCAACCTCTGCCTCTCAGGCAGAAGCAATCCTCCCACCACAGACCCCATGAATAGGTGGGACTACAGGTGTGCACCACCACACCAGCTAATTTTTGTAATTTTTGTAGAGATGGAGTTTCCCCATGTTGCCCAGGCTGGTCTCCAATTCCTGGGCTCAAGCAATCTGCCCCTCTCAGCCTTCCAAAGTGCTAGAATTACAGGCATGAGCCATTGCACTCAGCCACCAGCAAGTTTTACTAAATATAGTTGATACTTGCAGTATTGGGACCTAGTAAATACTGTAGTATGTAAACCAACCTTCTGCTTTCAAGGAGTTTATCTACTAGGGAAGAAAGAGACATTAGAAAAGTATGTGTAATACAGAGTAGTGAGAGAGAGTGAGAGAAAACTACTTACATTGCAAATTTCAGAGAAAGAGCTTCCAAGCTCTGGCTTGGAGATTGGGTCTGATTTGGGTAAACGGAGATGGATGGGCAAGGATGCTCCAGGTGCAGAAAATAGCATGTCTTGAGTTTGATCTAGGCCAGGCATGGTGGCTCATGCCTGTAATCCTAGCACTTTGGGAGGCCGAGGCGGGCGGATCACAAGGTCAAGAGATCGAGAGCATCCTGGCCAACATGGTGAAAGCCTGTCTCTACTAAAAATACAAAAATTAGCTGGGCGTGGTGGCTCACACCTGTAGTCCCAGCTACTCGGGAGGCTGATGCAGGAGAATCCCTTGAACCTGGGAGGCAGAGGTTGCAGTGAGCCGAGATCACACCACTGTACTCCAGCCTGGCAAGAGAGCGAGACTCCATCTCAAAAAAAAAAAAAGAGGTTGATCTAGCTTACAGATGGGGCCTTCAATAGGGCACTTAACTTTCTGCTCAACAAATCTCAACTGATCTGAAAAATCCTTTCTTTCTGCTTCTTCCTCATCTTCTTCTCCGGGAGAAGCCCAGACTGAATCCAAAGTGCAGCTGGTTTGGCCTAGGCGCCAAAGAGCAAGATTGTCACCCGCTTCCCTCTTTTCACTAGTGAGGGGGAACTTAAGTCCAGGTGTTTTCACTTCAGAGACTCCAATGGCTACATTACACTCAGCACTTGGAAGGTAACAAATTTGCAATGTCACAATTGATAATCAACTCTAGTAAAAGAATGTCCAAATCAATTGAGCTTTAGCAAGGGCAAACCAGCTGGACGCAGGCAGGTTTCCAGCTAGAGCTGGCCAGGCTTGATACATTTGCCCTTATTATGGCTATTGATGTTTAAATTTCTTCAGGGATGTTGTTACATGGGTGCCTGGTGGTGACAGAGGTACGGTGACCTCCTTCGATCCTTAATCTACACCTGTTAGTTGGCTCCTTGGTTGCCTCTGAGTATACCCAGGCTTAAAGGTTAACAAAAGAAAAACAGGCCAAGTTTACGCGACGACAGCAGCGGATCAATGCAAGTAAATAACCTTCTCCGTCTTATTTCCCCAAGCATTATTGATCCAAGTTCTTTGTTCTTTGTCATGTTTCTGTCTTCTTTTCCCAGGGGACACTCAACAATCAGCTTCTATTGAACATGTTAACTGGCACATTATGACAGCTACCATTTTGTCACTCAGCGTGGTAATATACACACACACACACACACACACACACACACACGCACACACACAATTTTAGTAGGCTGTCTTCTAAGCTGTATACTAGGAAGTGAATCTCAGATATAAACTTGCTTTGCTCCGATTTATTTTTTTTCTTCTGTAGCAAGCAGGAGGATTCCATGACCTGTTATTCCATTAACAAGTTTATTTATTTGTTTTAAATATCTATCAAAAGGGACAGTGATCTCACGGTTTAAAGAAATCACTTAGCAGCTGCAGCTTGGGGCATATTTCTGGTGAGTTGTGCATGCTGATATCTGATCTGACCCCCGACTTATTTTTCTTTGGAAATTGGATCCTTTTCTTTCATTTCCCTGGAACTTTTAAAGGCTATTGTCATCTTCCCTTAGTTTTCTCTGTGAAACACTAAGGGATGTTACAGTGATTGCTCTAGCCATCTTGAACTCCATCTTTTTCCTAGACAGGTTCTGCTGGTGCCTTAGCAAGCTCCAAGTGAAGACTGCTAATTTGAACATGTCTAGCTATTGTACCAAATTCATTGGATTCCACCCATATGTATATGTTGTATGTATATCAATTGCAAAATAGAATTTTCTACATAAGTCTAAAATTTAAAAATGTTCTACAGGGGCAGGAAAGCTCTTTTTGCTGAAACTCATTATACTTTAAGGCACATATGTCTAGTTGAAAAGAAAAAAATAACTTCCTCTTTGAGTTACAAAATAAAGCTGAGTGAATGATAAAATTATGACAGTGAGTGTTGTACCCCTTTCTGTGGATCTCATCAATTGGGACAGATCGTTTATTTCTGAAAAAATACTTGAGAGAATTTAGGGATAATGTAAAATGTTTTCATGCTCATCATCCTGGGAGGCAAGACTGCTACTTTTAAACTAAAAACTAATTTGAATGAAAAAAAAAAAAAAAAAGAACCCAGAGTCTGCAATTGTTGTCCTTGAATTGAACATGTACTATGTCAAACAAAATAAAGCCAATACTAATTACTTTGCAAAAGAATAGTCTATTAACAACTAGACAGTGCCAGTATTTTCCTTGTAGACATTTGAAAAAGTTAAGCCAATATTGATGGTCTAATGTGAAACAGTGATTATCCATCGTCTTTGGGGTCAAATAGCAAAGAATCCTGTTCCTTAAATTATTCGACCAAACAAACTTCACTTGCTCAGAGATGTATGTAAATTGTGTGCTTCTCTCTTTCATTTGTCAATCATTAAAATGCCCATGTATATAATTAATACCGTTGCAAACTCCCTTGTCTCCCAGTTTTCAATTTTGTATTCTGTTTAATCCACTGAAGAGTCACCTTTTAAGTGATGTGTTGATGAAGTATGAAAGCTTATTTCTATCATTTCTCTACATGCAGAAATCACTGCAGGCATTGCTGAGGAATGTGAAATTGGTTATCATTAGTGTTTAGAGCTTTTCATCTTTGATGTGCTTTGCAAACACTAATTAATGAATCCTCATGTAACACCCACACCAAATGAAGTTGCTAACAGTTCTATTCAACAAATAATAACCCTAGGCCTTTGGCAACTTATTTGAGCTACCTAACTCTTTTTGTGAGTACACAGAGCAGGTAATAGCCCCAGGATTATATGCTTCTGGTTGTATGTGTGATATGCTAGGGTGTTCTCTGAAAAGGCAAATTTTTTCTCAGATACTTGTACCTTAGAGCACACCCTCTTGTCTTTCTTGTTTTTAAGTTATGTCATGTCTCTGTTTCATACAATCATGGCATTGAAATGCTGTTAGAAACATTTTATTTGCGTATGTTATTCAGGAGATTATACCATATGTTGTAAGCTTAATTTTGGAATTAGCCTTTATTTTTATTTTGAAATTTTTCCAGCCACTGGCTCTCTCATGAAGGTCAGTGCAGTTTTAAGCAAACATGGTCAAACTTTGGACAGAAATAAAAATGAAGTCAACTGAAAGCATTTCAACCTTTGGATTCCTGCCAAATAACCTCTTCTTTTCTATCCCCCAAGCTGTCGTTGGAAGTTAAAGAAGACTAAAAAACTATTTTCAAAGCTTTAAAAGTATTTGGTTTTATAGGAAGAGTCTGTTTGGGAATTGTTTATCCCCCAAATGAGAATTTTGTCAGTTTATACCATACTTTTAAAGAGCCAGGAATTTTCCAGAAATGGTATTCAAAGACACCTTTAGGGTAGAGAATGAAAATACAATCATGACCACTTTTACGATTGCTATAACTTTTCTATTTATTTGTTTTCTATCCTTTTCCAGATATACCTTTCTTATAGAAGTTTTCAATGTTAAAAATAAAGTCTGTAAAGTGTTTAGGTATTCCCTGAGCTTACCCCAGTCATGAAACAGACCCACAGTAGCTTTGCTTAGGGACCATGCCAATGTTAAAAATTAGGGAAACTGATTCAAGGCAGCCTCATGTATCCAGGGAAATTGGAATAATTTTAATACACAAAAATTAATTTCCCCAAGATATGTCAGTAGATTTTAATTGTATTTACATATACTGCCATAGAATATGCATGCTAAATACACCTTTCCAACATATCCATCACAGGTAGACGCCTCTGCTTTCTCTTGATCAGTTTTCCCATGGGAGGGCAGACTGAAGAATCCCACAGAAACAAGATGTTCTGCTGTAGGCAAGTAGAGCACGTACAACAGTTACAACTGTGCTCCCCTGGAAAGATAATCCACAAATACCGGACACTGTTTATTAGAGCCACATACGCTTGGAACCATAATGTATCTGCATATGATACATATTAGATGATCATTATCATGAACATTCTCACCGAGCATGACCTTATTATCAATGTATATCTTTTAGTGCCATTTTTTCTGTGTTAAAGCCCACTATGAGCCTGCTTATTTGTTAATGTCAAGCAATACGTCCAAAATGATTGTGAACTTCTTGAGAACGAGGCTGTGTCTTGATCAGTTTTGTATTTCCAGTACCTTGCCTCTTGTCTGCACAGGGATGGTATTTAGTAAAAGTGTGTTGAATGAAGACTAATACTCAAGCCACCAGTATTTAATTGTTATAATGCTTTAGCACTTGTTGACAGTTATTGCAAATGGTATCTGGAACATTAGAAACATGAGACCAGATTCGAAAGGATCTTGAATCACGTTCATGAGAGCTTGGGGTAGCTCCAAGCTCCAAGCATGGGCCATAATTTTCAAGGCCACATGAACCATAATTTTCAAGGCCACAGACAAAATTTGCCTTACTCCCTGGGAGAGATTTCATACTGGGCATGCCCAGGACAGAAACCTAAACTTTCATTTCCATTTCATGTTGAAGTAAACCTCCTAGACGGTTTGAGTGTGGACCCCACTTCTGAGGTCTGTGGCACACAAACACATTTCCCCTGATGTTTAAAGGAAACAGCCGAAGAAGAGGAAACAATTGTTCCTTCAGGTGTGCACCCAAGTTGGTTCTGAACCAATATCAAGGAATGATTGACCCACACGAGGTTGTGGAAAGGCCGTGTGGTATAGCGTAGCGGTTTTTAAACCTCACTGTATGCACAAATCACCCACTTGTTAAAATATAGATTCTAAGTCAGTAAATATAGGTCTGGGCTTGAGACGATGCCAGCCAAACAGCCACACACCTGGAGCCTTCTACCACATTAAGACTTCGATGAAAGGCAAGGTCAGGATTCTGGCATCCTTTAAGTCACAGAAGGGAAGAGATGATGCCAATCAGAAATGTGTTTGGGGGTTAAACCCCTCATGGGGTAAACTTTGACCCATGACAAAAATAAAATTTTCTTCTTTGCTATCTTCCAAAAAAGACTCTGAGGTTTTACTTTGCACAATTTCCAGGGGAGTCCCTGATGTTTTCGTAGACAAGCCTGCTGAGAAAGCTGCTGTATCTCACGGTGGTACTTCACACGGCAGCAGCTGGAGTCATATGCATCACTTTGAATTGTTTCACATCTTCCCTTGCCTCAAGTTTCCTTTTCTTCCTCTTGACTGACCTGAGCATGCATTGGGTCAACAAATCTGCGTTAGGTCCTACTTTTACATGGTATTATTATAGAAGTCTTGCCAACTTTAATATTTCTCATTCAACTTGGGGGCAAACTAGGTCATGTTTTTTTGGGAGGTGATTTGTAGTGGACCTCAGTATTGCCAAACTAATGTTTTTGGTCAATCTCTCTCTCTCTCTCTCTCTCCCTCTCTCCCTCTCTCCCTCTCTCCCTCTCTCCCTCTCTCCCTCTCTCCCTCCCTCCCTCCCTCTCTCCCTCTCTCCCTCTCTCCCTCCCTCCCTCTCTCCCTCCCTCTCTCCCTCCCTCTCTCCCTCCCTCCCTCTCTCTCTCTCTCTCTCTCTCTCTCTCCTTTCTTTCTTTCTTGACAGTCTCGCTCTCTTGCCAGGCTGAAGTGCAGTGGGGCCCTCTCAGCTCACTGCAACCTCCTGAGTAGCTGGGACTACAGGCGTGAGCCACCACACCCAGCTAAGTTTTGCATTTTTAGTAGAGACGGGGTTTTACCATGTTGGCCAGGATGGTCTCGATCTCCTGACCTCGTGATCTGCCCGCCTCAGCCTCCCAAAGTGCTGGGATTGCAGGCATGAGCCACCGCGCCCAGCCGGTCAATTTCATGTTTGTCCTCTTGGACAATAAATTTATTAAATTATGTCAGTAACCAATTTCATCATCATTAAAATCAAAATAGTATGTTGGCCCTATTGACTACCTTGTTGTGGGGGAATGCCACAGACATTGTAGGGTGTTTGACAGCATCCCTGTAATCTATTGACTAGATTCCAGTAGCACCCCCAGTTGTGACAAATAAAAATGCCTCTAGAGCTTGTCAAATATTCTCTGATGGGCAAAAACAAGTCCTGGTTGTGAACCACTGCCATTAACATTTCGGTAGCTTGAACTTTACAAGGTTAAGCCATGATTTCAAGATATTGAAATGATCGTCCATATTTACATTTCCCGTGAGATACTGTCTACATGAATGTGGGTGTTTCAACAAGTTTGATAACATACTTTTCCCCAATAAATTAAATGCAATTAATATGAAAAAGCATGGAAGGGTGCCATTATTAATTAGTGAAGATATGAACTTTAAGAGTTAGATAGATGAGGCAGAAAGGTGGATGGATGATCAGATAGACAGACAGACAAATAGAAAACACATTACATTAAGAGTATTTCCAAATATAAGTCATGCTAAATATACTTTCTCTTTAAGAGCAGGTTATATCTGTTCATTGCATAGTCACTACATTTGTGTACACACAAATAACACTAAATTTTTGAAAATTGTGTGTTCTATTCATTCTTTACATTGTACTCTGATATCGTGTTGGGCTTATTTATCTTTTTTTTTTTTTCCTATTGGGAACTTTTCTTTCAAGGTAATGAAGAACAGTGTACCTTGTTCAAATTGTCATGAAATTCAAATGAAGAAGTTTAAATTAATGAGGGTTTTACTATGCTTGAACATATGCTGAGGACTGATATCAGATAATCTCCAGATTCTGAACCAATAGCAATTATGCTTGTATCTTCAGTGGTGTCAACCTGAATTAAAAATTGGCCAGCTTTATTAAGAATACCTCTAACAGACTTCTTAATTAATTTAGAGATACTATCAAATAATGTAGTCGAGTGCAATTCCTAAAATGATAACATAAAAACACTTTGCCCTCTTCCTATTACTTTATTATAAATTCAAGGTTTCTTAAAGAACATTGTAATTGCTCAACATAAGCTAGATCCAGTGGGAAAAACTCATGTTACAGTTCCTTGGTTGAAATTATTGGTAATTCCTTTATCCCATAATAATTGTTTCTTTACTGTTACATTTAATTACACTAATCAATTGCATAATCTATGGGTTCTTCTACCTAGTTTTCTTCAATAGTGAGACTGATGTTAGTTGGCTTTATTAAATTGATTCACTTGCTTGAATCATTCTTTGCATGTACTTGGTACCTACTTAGAAACAGCTTCAAAATAAAACATACACATTATAATGTACGTAAGTGTAGAGTAGAATGTCTGAAAGAATGTACCCTAAAAGATTAACAGTGGCTCTCTCTGAATGGTGGGACTCAACAACGCTTTTTCTTTTTTTCTTTTATATTTTTCTGCTTGAATTATTTACAATAACTTGCTACCATTTTTTACCCCAAATTGTTAAATGTTTTCAAAACATGATTTATACTTATTGATACATTTTTAGTGTATAATGTTTTCAAAATTGCTATTACTTTCCAATATACACGTAATTTCTCAAAATATCCTTTCAGGAGTAAAATATGATACTGGATATTTGAAAATGCTATGTATAAGTATAATGATAAAACATTAAAGTAATTTTGTCTCATGCTTTTATTTAAATTTGAAATATGACTATTTACACAAAAAATGGGACTTAAAAGTAAAAAATAAAATGCTATTAATTTTCATCTTTTTTTGAAATTTGGCATTCTAGTTTTCACTTTTTAGTTCTTTTTGAAGTCTATCATTTCCCTCCATTGATATCAATTTATTATATACATACATACAAGCACACTTATACTTTGTAAACAACAGCAATGATATAATAAGTGATTTTGGGAAATTTACAATTATATAGGGATAATTTACTTAAGAAATGATCGTTACATATATGTTTATATTATATAACACACACTCATATATGAGAATTCAGTAAAGAAATTAATTCTTAGAAGACACAGCATTGGTTTAAGTCATCATTGTTATAATGATATTAAATATATGTAGATGTAACTAGATAGAAAATATTTATGCTTACAATTCCTTTACAACTAGAAGTTCTAAGCAAATTCATAAATTCAATGCATGCAAAACCATAAAGCCAATAAAATCCAATTAAAAACATTATTTTTAATATGGTGGATTATTTTATTTTACTAAAACTAAAAAGTTGAGGCTTCTAGTAGAAGCATGTAGCCTCATATATGGCTATCCAAAAAGTTTATGTGTGTATTTTGACTTCAGTTTTATTACAGAATTTGTATGTGGTGAAACTATATATATATATATAGTTATAGTTATATAATTACAATTGTATAGGGATAGTTCATTAAAGAAATGATTATTTATATATGTATATGATATAACACTCATATATGATAATTCAGTAAAGAAATGAATTCTTAGAAGACATAGCACTGATTATGTATACATATAACTTCTATATATAAAACAATTTCTATATATAAAACAATTGTTCCATAGATACATGATTTCTATATATATATAAAAACAATTATTCTATATATATATATATAACTTTTCTAAGACCCTGTTTGCTATTCTGAGATTACTGAGCCTCAAACTTTATCCAGACTGCATGTGACATACCTCCAAACACCATTTGGTTTGGTACACTGTTTTTCATTACCTTGAACGCCAAGAATTATTTGTTATATCTGTAAGACTTTCTTGTTCACTTGAATATAATGCTGGTGTTATTGCATTAGTGATAACTTCATTAAATGGGTATGTAATTCATTCAATTGTTGCTGAAACTGGAAATAGAAATAGAAAAAATTCTTCATTGTCTTTTTAGCATTACACCTACTGCTAAGGAAATGGCGCATGCTGTTATACATAAAAACATGATCCATGCAATATGTCTGTCGTGAAGGTGAATATGGTATTCATCTTAAACATAGTTTAAATAATGAACTCAGATGCAATTTGGCCTTCTTTTTGGCTTAATACATCAAAAACAAAAAAATGTAAATTACAGCACTGAAATTGAGTGGCAGAACCTAATTTCCAGACAGTCCAGAATATGCTCATGTTTTGTTTATGGGATCATTAAAAAATTGCAAAGTAATTGTAGAGGATCGCAATTTCCAGAAAATGGGTCTGTAGAATATGTCGCAGATTGAAAAATCCTAGTTTCGTCGGAGGCATGAGTTTAAAACTCACCTCCTTTTTGCTCATGAATTCAAAATTTTTCTTGAATTATTCTTATGTCTTAAGAGAATGTTGGTGCTGGGTAAATGCAACAGACTTGCTCCAAGCCCTCCTGGAACTCACAATTTAATAGGTGCAGACAACAGTGTAATAGGGGATAAATTAGACCCTGTTACTTACCAAGTGACCTTAAATGAGCTATGAATTAAACTCTCTGAGCCTCAACTTGCTCAGCTGTAAGAAGAGGACGGTACCTACTCTAACCATTAGATGATAGTAAGTGAAAGTGTTGAAGTACTACACAAAAGGAAAACATTAGTGACATTCACTTATGCCAAATTAAATCACATTCAAGATAACAACTAGTAAAACGATTTCTGACCGGGCACCATGGCTCACACCTGTAATCCCAGTAATTTGGGAGGCCAAGGTGGATGGATCACTTGAGCTCAGAAGTTTGAGACCAGCCTGACAACATGGTGAAACCCCGTTTCTACTAAAAATACAAAAACTAACCAGGCGTGGTGGCTGTAATTCTGGCTACTTGAGAGACTGAGGCAGGAGAATCACTTGAACCCGGGAGGCGAGGTTGCAGTGAGCCAAGACAGCGCCACTGCACTCCAGCATGGGCAACAGAGAGAGACTCTGTCTCAAAAAATGAAAAAAAAAAATTCTAAAATAGTGCAACTTCCATCCTAGTACAATCATTAAGGTCAGCAATATTAATACTTTTATACTTATAATTTCCATGGAAACTAGCATGTTTGGACCCTGATTCCAAAATAATGATTCCAATAACATTATTATGCCTATTATTGAAATCAGTCATGTCTGGAGTGTGAAAAGGCATCTGTCTAGCAGCTGTCTGAAGCACTAGAAATAGACGGTGATGGTAACTGAAAAGCAACTTCTTCAGCTGAAATTTCAGGGGAATGTTCAAGAGAGGTAGCACATGGCTTCCCAGCTTGGAATGCTGCCAGGATCATTAGAACTAACAACCATCCTGCACTGGTGGAACATACCATGGGTGTTTTAATGATCATCTTGACTTCCCATCTGAAAGATGTCATCTCTGACAACCAAGGGCCTGCTGCTTACAGCACAACACATGAGGAATTAGTGGGGTAGTAAATCATTGCTACTCCTTGTGCAAGAGAGGGCTTGCTGTAGTCCTTTTGGTGTGGAACTGAAAGAGCCTGAAGAGCTTGAACTGCTAATACCCTGAGATTACTTTTACTCCAGAGCCACTTCCTCTACCATTAGTGGATTTGTGTTTAGGGAGTGCTAGCTAATTTTAATATTGTCTTAAGAAAAGCATAATTAGAAAGGTAAATCTGCTGAGGGACAAATTATATCTTCTGTGTGTGTGTGTGTGTGTGTGTGCGCGTGCGCAGGTGCACTTTAACCAGATATTCCAAACGATGTCTATTCTCCCAGCACAGTGCTTAGCACGCAGTACGTTACAATGAATATGTGATGAATGTATCTATTCTTCAAGATAATCAAAAGATAAATTTTAAGGCTACACACATCTAAAATTTGCCTGAAATCATTTTTGGATCAAGGCAATATATACATAATTTCAAATTATATATATTTTACAATTTTAAATAAATTTGTATTATTTTTCTGACATCAAAAGTAAGATAAAATTTTAGTAGAAAAATTAAAAATATACAAAAAGTCTTAATCAGGTGGACTAATAGCTATCAGTTATCTGTTTATCTGTTGATAACACTAGAGAATTTCCCTATCTTCTATTCATATAGAGCTATAATCGAAATCACACGTGTTTGTAGTAGTATTCTATGTTGTCATTGATGGCACTAGTCTTTTCTGCTGTTGTTGCTTTCTGATGCTAGTAAAATTGGAGTCTATTCTTACCAAGAAATGAGGAATATATTTTCCAGAATAAGTCCAGAAAATATATTAAATTAAATTAAATGTTTAATATAAAAGCAAATTAGCATGTTGTATCTTTAAGAAAAGTCCACTAAGCCAATTTAGTCTTGGGTCAACACAATTCATCAAGAAAGGGCATACAGGACTAAAAATGCTGTAAAATGGTTTTGCCCCCTTAATGTAAAATATTGCTCATTTATGTTCCTTTTTTATTCAGTATCATTCTTCCGGTTTTGCAGTATAAAGCAGATATGCTTGGAAACCTTATTTAAAAATTTGGGAAAAGAAGTGGAGAAAAGTGTAATGATATTAATGTGTTTCATTAATTGTAGAGAATGTAACTTCATTTACTCAATTGCCCTGGGGATATTGTTGCTGCTTTAAATGGAGAGCAACTGGTAAATTGGGAACCAAGAGTCTTAATGCTTAAAACAGAGCTTCCAGTTCAGAGACAGAAAGTCATGTCCTAAAGAAAGCAGAGTCTCTGCTTTGCCCATTTAATACTGAACAAAATGTAGTGCAACTGAAGAATGCAAGGAAACATGAAACAGCTGTGAAATCCTGGGAAAAAGAGAGGCTGAGTGAAAGTGGAATTTTTGATAACCGCATCAGCATTATCTTTCCCAGTGGTGATTGCCAAAACTGTATTTGTTTATAGTTACTTGAAGATAAAGAACTAACTTTGGGCTGAGGGAGAAATACTGTATTTCCCTGAGAAATAAAAGCCTTTGAGATTTTCTTGCGAAGTCTGGAAAGCATGTCAGACGAGCCTGCCTGTGGGATATTTCCTGACTCATTTTGAAGTCCTGAGGGGTCATGATATGCTCCAGAAAAAACATCAATATTAAATTTTGCTATTAACTTGGGAAAAGTTTAGAGGTGGGAATAATACACTCAAATGCAGTTTGCCTAAGTAGAACTGAACCTGCAAACTGGGGCGGCTGAGGCTCTTCTTATCAGCTCTGTGGTTTGAGGGCAACATTGATGGCACCTGGTTTGTGAACCTGTAAATCTTTCCCCTGTGAGTCATGAGGATTCTATCACTTCCTGTTACATCATTTTATAGAGTTTTGCATAGAAAAGAAATGGAAACTCCGGGATATGGCATATGGGACCCTCCATAATCTGGCTTTTGCTACAACAACCTCTTTCCTTTCTCTTTACCAACATCTTCCTCCTGAACCAGTTATTCTCACTTAGTAATTTGCTTTTGTGCTTTAACAGGAATGTGCTCTCTGGGTGTGCAGATCAGGGCTAAAGTTTTGTAAGCACTGCACTGAGCACAGATCTTTGTACTCAGCAAGCATCCCATACATGTTTACATACCTCCTGAACTTCCATGCTACTGCAGGCAACAGTGAAATGCCCATTGTGAAACACTGATGAACAGCCCTTGTGGATAAAAATGGCTTCCTTTTCCTTTTGGATATATTTCATAGTACCTGATTTTCTTTCATAGAATATGAGTGAAAAGAAATTGTCTCTCCCTGTGATTTTCAAAGGGGATGATTTTAACAATATGGAAAGATACTTAGGGCGCGCAATCAAGGTTTGAATAAAAGAGATTTCAGATTTCATAGTGAACTTTGATGAAAAGTCATGTACAGTGTTCAATAACATTGAGCAAGAATTAGTTCTTTCCCATATGGAGCTCACAGGATACTGGAAAAATAGACATTCCAAGGACGATGGATTTCTATCAGATGGACGGTGATAAAGACTATGCAACCCTAAAGAAAGGTGCTGAATTCGTATAGGTTTCATGGACGTAGGGCAGTAAGTTTGGATCCTGACGAACAGATAGATTTTGATAGGTGGAGACAAAGGACAGAGAATATTAGGGGAAAGAGATAGGGTGGGACAAGATCCAGATATGTCAGAAGCTGTTCATAGCTAAGGGCACCAGGCATTAAGGATGGAGACTATCAGAAAAAATAATAAATAAATAAAATAAAATTTAAAAAGGCTGAAGAAGTAAGGAATCGGTGGGAAAAGTAGAAAATAATTGAACCCTAATTCTTCCACAAGCACTGTGGGAATACTGCAGTAATGAACACGAACCATCGATGAAACGGAGGAGACAGATTTGTGATTTTGGTGCCCGCAGAAGTAACTCAGCCACAACTCCAGTCTAGGAAGTGACCAGGACCTGAGGAGTCCAGGGGACTTTCTGGCAGTCAGGCTGCACCTGGAGACTCCACCTCACCACTAGAAAGCAGAACACATCTCCTATGATAACGTTCGGTTTACCCGATCCCAGGGACAGCTGATTCATATACAGCATGATTAGATGCTACAAGGAGAGGAAAACAACAGTATACAAGAAATGTACAAATTAACCGGATTACATTCTAGGTGGGGAGTTGTAACACGCAACATAAATTATAGGTCATTGGTTTTCTCAGCACACAGCTGGTGAACCTTTACTGGGTGCAGGTACTGAGCTAGGAACTATGAACAAAACATTAAATATAGCACTTGTCTCAAAGGCTGTTCTAGAGAGATGCATATACAAATATACGCAGAGGTGCATAGACAGATAAATTACAATATAATAGGATAGTGATTATCAAACTGGGTCACTGGACTCCCTTACACTCATAAAAAGTATTGAGGACCTTCAAAAAGATTTTGTTTATATGGATTATATCTGCCAGTATTTCCTGTATTAGGAATTACATTTTTAAAGGTTTAAAATATTTATTTACAACATTTATTTTTCATGGTTTTTCAATGTATTTATTTGGTTTAATTAGTAAATAAAAATTACATATGTTCATGGTGAATAACATAATGTTTGTATATATGTATGCATTGTGGAATGGCTAAATCAAGCTAATTAACATACGCATTACCTCACATGCTTACCAGTTTTTTTGTGTGTGGTGAGAACATTTACGATCCATTCTTCCAGCGATTTTAAAGTGTATGATATGTAGTTATTAACTATAGTCAGCATGTTTGACAACAGATCTCCTGAACTTATTCCTTCAGTCTGAGATTTTATTACCCTTTGACCATCATCTCCTTAATCTCACTCCTCCCTTCCCCAGCCCCTGGAAACCATCATTCTACTCTCTACTTTTAGAAGTTCAACTTTTTTAGATTCCACATATAAAGGAGACCATGGGGTATTTGTCTTCCTATGTCTGGCTTATTTCACTTAGCATAAAGTCCCCCAGGTTCATCTATGTTGATGCAAATGACAAGATTTCCTTCTTTGTAAGGCTAAATAGTATTCCATTGTGTATATATACCACATTATCTTTTATCTGTTCATCTGTTGATGGATGCTTAGGTTGATTCCATGTCTTGGCTATTGCAAATAATGCTTCAATGAGCATGAGAGTGCAGATATCTCTTCAGCATACTGATTTCATTTATAAACACTTATTTTAAAATGGACAATTGTAAACCCATCACATGTTAGCTTCAAGGTGATGACCATCCCATGCGTTCTCTGGAAAACTCCACTGTACAGTTGTGTGAAAATGATAGTAGGAAAGGTAAATAATATTTTGGTATTACTATGAAAATAGTATTGACCTCACAAAATCCTGAAAGAGTGTCAGGTTCCTAGGCCACGTTGAGAGTACCACTGTAATAAGATGGAGTTCTAATAGAAAAAGAAGGGGGAGGAGGGGAGTAGCTGCAGTTCGATCCCAAACTGTATACAATTTATACTGTTTGAATAACACAAAATTTAAAAACATGTTACCAGATGTTGGCCCCATATTATCTCATTTAATATTCAAAACAATTTGCTACGGTCTGGATGTTTGCGCCTTGCCTTCCCCCTCAAATTCCTGTGTTGAAACCTAACCCCCAATGTGATGGTATCAGGAGGTAGAGCTTTCGGGAAGTGATTAGGTCATGAGGGCAGAGCTTTTACGAATGGGGTTAGCACCCTTATGAACGAGATCCTAGACAATTAGCTAGCCCCTTCCACCACACAAACATACACTGAGCAGGCGCCATCTATCTATAAACCACAAAGTGGGCCCTCACCAGACACCTGATCCACAGGCTGCAGCCTTGGTCTTGGAATTCCCAGAACTGTGAGGAATAAACTTATGTTGCTTTTAAGCTCCCCAGTCTATGGCATTTTGTTATAGCAGCCTCAGTGTTCTAACACACAACCACATGAGATATGATTTAACATCTGTATTTTACAGTTGAGAAAAATTAGTCTCTGAAGGTTTCAATACGTTCTACAGCAACTGAGCAGCAGGTCTGGAATCCAAACCAGGTCTGTCTTACTACAAATCCACGAACATGAGGCTATTCAGCAGGACAGTATATAATTAAATAACAATATCCAGTTCTTCATCAGCCCTTAGTATTTGCAAGTCCTTGGGCTAAGCCCATTATGTCCAACATTAAATTCCTACAACAACATTAGAAAGTAAGTGCTATATTTATCCCCATTTTATATTTGCATACTCCAGTTGTAGATGTTAAGTAACTTGTCTGAAGTCAAGTCATAAACTTGGGAGAGTAGTAAAGATTCGTACCCAGATCTTCCTTTCCTCCTTTCTTCCTTTCTTCCTTTCTCCCTCCTTCCCTCCCTTCTTCCTTCCTTCCTTTCTTTCTCTTTTTATTTTTTTTTGACAGAGTCTCGCTCTGTCACCAGGCTGGAGTGCAGTGGCGCAGTCTCAGCTCACTGCAACCTCCACCTCCTGAGTTCAAACGATTCTCCTGCCTCAGCCTCCTGAGTAGCTGGGACTATAGGTATGCGCCACAATGCCCAGCTAATATTTGTATTTTTAGTAGAGACAGGGTTTCACCATGTTGGCCAGGATGGTGTCGATCTCTTGACCTCGTGATCTGCCCGCCTCAGCATCCCAAAGTGCTGGGATTACAGATGTGAGCCACCGCGCCCGGCCTGGTACCCGGATCTTTCTATGTCAAAACCAGGTTCTCCACCCCCAACACTGCCTCCTAGAAAAATAACTGCCCTAACAAAATAACAAGACAATAATAGCTAAGACGCATCAAGCACAAAACCCTTTCTATACAGTAACTTATTTAATGCTCAAATAAAAGTATTCTATGTTTATCACCATTTTGTATAAGAATCCTTGTTAAAGATTTTAAATGATAGAGAATTACAGAAGTGAGACATCTGAATGGGACATAAGAATTGAAAAAAATAATTAAGTAAACCCTTCCAGAAGACACGGGTCAGGAAAAGGCAGTCCATAGGATACATATACACAAGCTGGGCCTCAGCTATGGGTTTATGGGTTGGAAGCGGAAATGCAGAAAGCTGATCTCAGTACTGGAGGAAAAGCCCATGGTTTGGGAAAAAAAAAAAGTGACCACAATATTTCAAAAATCAATATTCTTTCTGTCGTTCAAAATTAGAGTGGTCCAATTTCTGCCCTCCCTCTTGCCTTCCTTCTGCACTCAATTTGACTACAAAGTGGATTCCCCCCCCATAGCTCTCACAGAGGAAGATGCCTCAGGTTCTGCTCCCAGTGGTGAAATGTCACCACGTTCGCCTATTTGCAATGCAAATCTCCAGGCTTTGGCATCTGAGATTGATGTCCCTAGTATGAATGTACTTAGTTGCTGGGCTGGAGCTGAGTGGAAACGACACAGGTCTCTTCCCAGCCTCGAGTGGTTGTCAGAGGTAACAAAGCGGCGCTGGCGGAGATAGAAGCCGCGCGCCCTTTTGGTACCATCCATTAACCGCACGTGGCATTACGCATCTAAATTTGGTTGAGGCCACCAAGGCTGGACTGAGGGCAGGTGGCATACCCGAGCTGGGGCAGAGGGCAAGGGGACTTTCCACAAACTATTCTGAAGACGAGTGAGAAGGCGCAGAGCCTCATGTTTAGTCGAACTCCCTTGTGCATTCCCAGTGTTTCTGGGCCTTCAGGATTGTAGTATTTGGCCAGGCTCTGTAGGTGCAAGAAACTCACAGGAAAACCTGGAAATGCCCTGGAAAAAATAATCCATTTGAAAGCCATCTTTTCCTCTATGTGGTATTTGTTGCAATGAAACGACATTATTTTATTAAATTTATTACCATCTGTGGAGAGTTTGATTTACCGACGATGAAGTGGGAGGAGACTGTCTTTACTCAGGGCCCTGGAGATCCCAATTATATGACTGTGTCTTGGCTGGTTTTTAAGTGAATCTTTCCTTAGATGTATGTTTCTGAGTGCCCTGGGAAAAGAAAACATACAAACAATGAGAAATAAAGCATAACCAGATATCTCACTTAGTAAATTATGAAATCAGTATAGAAAAGAGAAAATATTGACAGGAAAAAAATAACTTTTTGTAGAGTCACCAAATATCTAAATACCTAGACATTACAGCTGTGAGCATTTTGTACGTGGCTTTCCTAGGCATGCACATACACACACACACACACACACACACTCTCTCTCTCTCTCTCTCTCTCTCTCTCAGCTTACAATATAGCATGAATACACTGTAATTGCAAGAAGCAGGAAATAATAATTTTCTATCATCACTTTTATCAGCTGCTGAGTATTTCATTGTACACATGCACCATCATTAGACTTACTAATCCCCCGGAGTTATGCACTTATATTTGACTATTTTTAAAAATTACGATAAATATTGTGCTTTAGTCTTTAGGCATTTCTATGGTTAAACATTCCTATTTCTAAATATTAAAAAAAGTCTGGATCATTTTTTACTCTGTTATTTTTGATTGACCCCTCTCATCTGCCTTCATAATCTCCAGGTTGATTTGGAAGAACTTTTCTCCTAAACATGGCAACATTTCTGCCAACATTCAAATTTGGGCCACCTTGGGAACAGGCAGAAACAAAAGGATGATGGAAATGATAAGATCCTGGCATTGCTCTTTCTATGCTTTGCAGGTTAAGCATCTATATCCCTCTCTTAGTGTAGATAATGTACGATGCCTGAATGGGTTGTCCAGAAACTCATTTACAAATTGGACACTTGGCACTGGGAAAGTGTTTTCCTATATAAATAACATTAAAAATACACGTCTATCTCCCAGGAGAGTAGAACAAAGCTTACAGAACTCTTGTAATAATGATATTTAACATTATTGAGCAACTTCTATATGCCAGACAATTTATATACATCACCTTTAATCCATATGGACCCTGAATTATTTATATTTGTAATTTTTCACTGAAGGCAGAATGATGGAGTAATTTTTTTTCTTTTTAACATCATAAGTACATTTACTTTATCAACTTCATAATGTGTTAAGAATTTTGAAATTTGTTACATCATTATTTTCATTTTGTGATACACATAAAAAACTAAAAATAGAAGTCAATAAAATTACATGGGAAATAGTCTTTATTTACCTTAAGAGTTGGTGTTTGAGAGTAGAAGGTAGTCTTGAAGAGGCCCTGAAGAGGCCCTCGAAAATATTTTCAAAGACTTTACTGAGAGCCAGGACCATAGATGCCCTTCACTATGTTGAATGTTTTTCATAAAAAAGTTTATGAAACATTTTCCTTGATTAACATAATTAATAGAAGCCTACAAATTGTCCAGTGTGATGTGGGTTTTCTGAGATATGGATTGAAAGCTGATCCTCTTGGACTCAATACAAAAAAAAAAAAAAAAGCTTCCTATATAATGAGACTATACATGGGCACTTAACATATAGTAAATTCACATTAAATATTCACCTTTTAATTATTTCTGGATTTATAAATGCACATATATTTAATTACTAAGTATCCTTACCCCACAAAATTCTCTGCCTTTCCTCTCTTTAATTCTTTGGTTTCTCCTAGTCCCTCCCAGTGTGTCACTCCTAACTCTTCTTACCTCCTTTCTTTGGTTTAAGGTCTATTAGTGTCTGTACTGGGTAGTGTTTTCACAGCTTTCTCCTCTGACATGGCCGCCTGACTCAGCGGAGAAAGCCAAGGAGATAGGATAAAATGATCCATCTGACAGAAGCCTAAGTCCATATTCCAGAATGTATCCCAAACTTCTCATCTAAAGTAGAGTCTTCTTCTCTGACTCTGGAGTTAAGTTAGTATTTGGTCTTTCTTTTTCTTTGTTTAAACTCATTTAAAATAAGCCATTATTCACCTGAAGTCAGGAGTTCATGACCAGCCTGGCCAACATGGTGAAATCCCATCTCTACTGAAAATACAAAAATTAGCCAGGTGTGGTGGTGGGCACTTGTAATCCCAGTTACTCGAGAGGCTGAGGCAGGAGAGTCGCTTGAACTCGGGAGGCGGAGGTTGCAGTGAGCCGATATTGCGCCACTGCACTCCAGCCTGGGCAAAAGAGTGAGACTGTCTCAAAAACAAAGAAAAAAACATGCGTACTTCTTAAAACACCTCTCAAACCATGGAAATTATCCCATGAATGAAAAACATAAATTACGTCTACAATGTATCATCAATGATTTTTAAGTTCTTTAAAACAGGCAATAACATAAAGCAGCAGTCCCCAAACTTTTTGGCACCAGGGACTGGTTTCATGGAAGACAATTTTTCCACGGAACGGGGTTAGGAGGAAAATGGTTTTGGGATGAACCTGTTCTATCTCATATCATCAGGCATTAGTTAGATGCTCATAAGGAGTGTGCAGCCTAGATCCCTGGCATGCACAGTTCACAATAGGGTTAGCTCTCCTGTGAGAGTCTAATGCCACTGCTGATCTGACAGGAGGCAGAGCTCAGGCGGTCATACTCACTGCCTCCCAACCTCCCATTCCCCACCCCTCCACCCCTCCACCCCTCCACCCCTCCCCACCCCTGTGCTGCCTAGTTCCTAACAGGCCAGGGACTGGTACCGTTCAGCGGCCTGGGGATTGGGGACCCCTGACATGTATGTAGCACTTGCTACAGAGTCTTGATTTTTTACAATTATTTCCTATTTGTTTTACCATCCCTACTTAATTTCTAAAAAATATTTCGATGCTTGTTGAACTGCATGTTTGAAACCTTAACCCCCAATGGGATATTATTAGGATGTGGGCCCTTGGGTGATAATTAAGTTTAGATGAGATTATGAGAGTGACAACTCCATTATGGGACTAATGTCCTTACAGGAGGAGAAAAGAGACTAGAACTCTCTCCTCCATGTGAGGACACAGCAGGAAGGCATCTATCTGCAAACCAGAAAGAGGGCCTACACCAAGAATAAAACTGAACAGCCTCTTAACCTTGGACTTCCCAACCTCCAGAACTATGATAAATAAATGTGTGTTGTTTATGCCACCCAGGCTATGACATTTTTGTTACAGCAGCCCACACTGGCTAAGACAATGATTCTACTTTATCTTGTCTTTCTAAAGCTTGCAATTTAGTTTTAATAGTGGTAACAACTCACATTATATATTAATTAATTATATATTATTAATTTATATATATTTTAAATTATTTAAAATGGATATTAATTTAGTATCCATTTATATATTAATTAATTAAAGTATATAATTACAATAATGGTAAACATGGTATGAATATATTTTGAACAAACTTAACTGATTCTTGGTAAGCATCATATTCAGGAAACATCTTGTTGTAAATTTTGCTGTTAAGCAGAAGTGCACTGGCCCACTGAGTAGTCTCCCTTGCACAGAATTGTATGTACTTATGTTATAATGAGAGAATGGAGAGTGTTTGAGATCCTGTAATTCATTACATGCAGGCTGGTTCAAATCTTCTACTCTGCCTTTGTCCTTGGAGATATCAGAGAAGGGAAGACTCTTTTCTCAAAGAGGAAGAGAAGGAGCAAGGAAATTGACTAAGTCCATGGGTGTGAGGTGGCATAGATTTTCCCCCTGTTCTCAGTAGAGCCAAATGTTATCAAGTGAGAGATGAAACAAGCCTGGAGTGTATCCATGAGACAGGGGAGTGGTCAGACCAGAAATGAAAGTGCGGATTTCAACCTCAAACCTGTGGTCAGGTGGAAGGTAAGTCTTTAGGAAAACGGAGATAAAAGGAAGTACTGATAAGTAGTATTGATAAGTAGCACTCACAAGAAGTAGGTTGGATGGGGCCAGTCCTTCTATGATGGAGATCAGAGAATTCCTATAATAAAACCTTATCGCAAAGAGAGAGTTGAGCTTAAGTGGTTCTAGAAAATGTTCAATGACCAGAGAGAAATTAGGGCAATGGAGAAAATGACTGGAAGCTGACTTTATAAGACCTCATAATGAACAACTGTGATAAGTTAACATACAGGTCCTGACTTTGGAACCCCTTTAGAACTTTATTTTCCTTTAATATTCAATAATGGTATAGTAAAAGCAAACATGTATGAATTACTTACTGCATGCCAGATAGGCTTTTTAAAATTGAAATGCCATTTAATAATTCTGATAATTCCATAAAAATGGTTATAATTATCATTCATGTCATTAATTGATGAGTCTAAGCTTAGAGAGTTTTGAATAACTGAGGTCAAATAGCCTGAAATTCCAACCAAGGTCCCTGACTGCAGAGCCTTTACAATTGCTAGACTTTCTATTACCGATGCTTGCATGTACCTTCGATGCTCTGGCTTTGTTTCTAACTCTTTGGATGGTGGGAGGAATAGACGAGCGTGAGGAAAAGAAAACTTGAGAAAAGTAGACCTGGTGGTCATTTGGTACACAGCCAAAGCCATTCCCCTTCTGCCTGGCAGAGAAAGTGGGTTCTCAGTTCCTGTCCACTCTGTCTATGGTCTCCATTAGAGATTCCGACAGTTACTAAAGTTAAAGACTCGTGTAGTGATCTCCACACTAATTGGACTATAATGTATAGCCTCGGTCAAGCACATCTTTCCCAGCCCTCCTCTCCGCGGACGGCAATCAAGCCATTTACAGAAGATGCATTGGCTGCTGAGACCCTGGAGTAACCTTAAGCTGCACTGGCCTTTTAGTGGAAAACACAATTAATTCTGATACTGAAGGGCAATTAAGACTGGGGTTAAAATAAAAATCTTTTGGAACATAGAATGTCAAAGATTGGATAGGAAATGTTTTCCCCTCATGTATCTCAGAAGCCCATGAGCATACCAGCCTCTGGTTACTCTGAGTCAACTTACCTGACTCTCATTTTATGTCAGTAAACGCGAATTGAAATGAATAGCAGTGTTAGCTGTGTTGCCGTTCTGAAAGAAGATTACTTACATCGACTGTTTTACTAGCATTAGCTTTAAAAAAACATGTGTGCCTGGACACCTGTTACATTCATACACTTGTAGAAACACCTACACAGGCTTTTAAAAACACATGCTCACAACCATGGATAATATGCCATGCGTTACAAGTTGCTCTAGCTAATTTTAGCTCAGAGAAACTCTTCCTAGAAAAAAAGTGTTTTTGTTTAAATAAAAGAACATTCCAAAAGGAGGGAAAGGGTGATGCTGCTACGCATCACTTACAGAAGCAGACCCTTTACTATCATTTGGTAGTTGCTGATTATTTGGAAGAAAAAAAGTGGAGTAGTGGAAAAAGGCTGGACGTGCATCCAAGCTACAATGGGCCACTTATTAACAAGGTTTCTAACTACCTGTTAGTCAGTTAGTCTTGCTCAGTTTATTAGTCATATGGGTTTTAAGTGAATTCTCTTTTCTTTTTTTTTTTTCATTTTTCTAGTGGGAATTTTTTTTCAACTTGTAGGAAGTTTTATTAAATGTATATTTAAACAGTGATTTTTAAAATATATATATGCACAGAAATTACCTTTTCTTAGACTGTGGGTTGTCTAATTATGCCAATGTAATTAGAAAGCAAGAAATGTTGCTGGAAATGCACCTTGATATCATCAGTTTGAACTGGATATTGTAGGTGCTACAATCCAAAAATTTCATGAGATATGTATAAGGATGTTTTCTGCAGCATTGTTTATAGGAATAGTTAATTCATTCCAAACACTAGCTGATTCCTGATAACTAGTCTAAACTTTTTCTTAGTTAAAAACAGTACCATTCAGCCTGGGTGACAGAGCGAGACTCTGTCTCTAAAATAATAATAATAGGCCAGGCGCGGTGGCTCATGCCTGTAATCCCAGCACTTTGGGAGGCCGAGGTGGGCAGATCATGAGGTCAAGAGAGCGAAACCATCCTGGCCAACATGGTGAAACCCTGTCTCTACTGAAAATACAAAAATTAGCTGGGCCTGGTGGCACACTCCTGTAGTCCCAGCTCATTCAGAGACCGAGGCAGGAGAATTGCTTGAACCCGGGAAGCAGAGGTTGCAGTGAGCCAAGATCACACTACTGCACTCCAGCCTGGTGACACAGCGAGACTCCATCTCAAAATAATAATGATAATAATAATTTAATCTGCCAAATTACTATGTGGTCATACAGGGACATAGAGTTTGTTAATATTGGTATAGTATAAGTAAACGAAGGCATAGCGATCAAATAATTTTCCCGGGATCAAAAAAAACAAATATAAGTAACCATATGAGGATTAGACCTCAGGAAGTCTAGCTTCAGGGCTCACACTTCAGGGCTCAGAGTGAGACCCATGCTGAGTTCTCATTATCGTAAGATTGAATACATAGATTTCAGTTGATCATTCAATAGAATACCATTTTGTTAAACTGTAGATTTATATGCGTCACCATAGATTAATCTCAAAAAATTAATACCAAGTAAAGGTAATTTCAAAGAGCATATATTTATCATAAGGTATTCTTTAAAGAACATGCAAAACTGTACACACACACACACACACACACACACACACACACAATGCATTCATATGTAAATGAAATAAGTATTAGAATTAACACATATCAACTTCAAAAGAGGGTCAACCTCTTTAGAGGGAGAGAAGGAAGGACGATAAAAATTTTTTTCTTTATAAATAGAGGAATTTGAAGAAAATATAGAAAAATATGAACATCTTTGAAATCTGAGTATCTGATGTGTTGTTTTTTCTACATTTATTTTAAAAATATTCCATAGATCAAATTTAAAAAGAAGCAAAAAGATAATATGTGAGGTCTCTTTTAAAAGCTATTATGCTATTCAAATGGGGATCATTTATGTTATGATCATCAAAAGCAAAGCGGAGGAGCTTGATTTCCAAAATGGCTGATTAAGGACTTCTGAAGTCCACTCCTCTACAAAAGCATATGAAGTCTGGAAATTAATTAAGGCTTGCAACAATCTGAGAAGTGTTTACTGAAGAAGTTAACAGAGTGTTAATAAGAACAGTAAGCTTTCTAGTATTTTAACTTGCCCTAATTTCATCACGCTATTTCCAGACCATAATGGCCTGGAAAACCAACAGTATCGTAACTACAGTAGTGATGAAAGTAAGTAGGCTACTATCCACTTGAAGGCCCAGAACAGTTTGGAGCTCTCTAAAATCCTCAAGTAACTGTTCCTAGAGAGCAGCACTATTTGACCTGAACGCAGCTTGAGAAAAAGTCCACTTGCCGAGCTTGCTTTTACTTGACCTGATTTGAAACTCACTCTGTGTGAACAGTCCTACCCACTGGGTATTTGCTGAAAAGAATCAGCAGCAATTGTTTAGCATTACAATTGCCAGAACCATGATATGTGTTAATCTAACAATGCACCAACCAAAAAAACTGATAAGGAGAAATTAAGAAATAATATTGCAAAGAGGTCTTTAAAGAGCTATAACATATTCCTGGAAATCTCTAAAGCCATGCATACATGCAAGATAGTGGATATTACCTAGGTTGTGTGTATGCTCAGGAAAGACCTGAGAAGGCCTTAAGCTTGTGCCTCTAGCTGACTTTTAGGCTCCTTGCAAAGAAGAAGTGAAGGTTAAGACATAGTGGTAGACTGTCAGAACATTGAAGGCATGCTCAACAGGGCCTCTCTGAAAAGGTGGGGAGACTCATTGGTTCAAGTATTTAAGGTAATCTCTGTCTGCTTATTAGCTTATACTAAATAAACTGAGCAGACATCAGGGGCCACACGTGACAAAAAACAATACAAACTTTAAAGAAACAAGGAAAATTACTAAATAATAACTATAAAAAAGCAGCAACAACAAACCATGGTCAGAGATAGGATATGATTTCTAGAGGTAACACATTACATTATCTTAAATATCTAATTTTCAATAAAAATTATAAGACACACAAAAATCAGAAAACTACCATCCATGTGCAAGGGAAAAAACAGAGACTTACCCTAAGGAAATTCAGATGTTGAACCTACTAGACAAAGACTTTAAATCAGCTATCCTAAATATGTTCAAAGAACTAAAGAAAACATATACACAAAACTAAAGAAAATATTCAGAAGCATATGTTGTCACAAATAAAGATCAATAAAGAGACATAAGCTAAATAAAGAACCAAATAGAAATTCTACATTTGAAAAGTAAAATTAGTGCTATAAGACATTCACTAGAGGGACTCGACAGTGGATTACAACTGACAGAATGAAGAAACAACAAATACGTAGACAAGTAGGTTGAGATTATATAGTCTGAGAAAGAAAATTCAAGAAAAAAGAAAAAGAACTGGCCCTCAGAAACATAGGGACACCATGAAGCATACAAACACATGCATATTGGGGTCTCCAAAGGAGAGAAGAGAAAGAAAGGGGAAGAAGAATATTTGAAGATAGAATTGGGTGACTATGATATGTCAGTGCAGGTTCATTAATTTGAACAAGTGTACCACTCCAGTGGAGGATGTCAGCAATGGGAGAGGCTCTAAATGTGTGAGCACAGAGAGTACATATAAACTCTCTGTACGTTCCTCTCATTTTGCTGTGAACCTAAAACTTCACTCAAAAAATATTTAAAAAAGAATAGCCAAAACCTTCCAGATCTGACACAAAAATATTAATCTGCAATGCAAATAGTTCAATGAACTCTAAGTAAAATAAACACAAAGACCTATACCTAGAGATGCTTAATCCACTGAAAGCCAGAGACAAAGAGAGACTCTTGAAAGTAATCTGAGAAAAGCAACTTATTGCATACCAGTGATTGTCCATAAAATTAATATCTGACTTTTCATTAGAAACCATGAAGCCCAGAAGGCAGTGGGATAGCACACTAAAAATGCTGAAATAGAAGACTGTCAAGCAAAAAAAAAAAAAAAAAAAAAAAAAAAAATATATATATATATATATATATATATACATATGTCCAGCAAAACTACCCTTGAAAAATGAAGAATGAAGAGGAGATAAAGAGATTCCTAGAGAAACAAACCAGAATTCATGGCCAGCAGATCTGGTCCACAAGAAACACTAATGAGATGACTTCAGGTTAAAATGAAAGGACATTAGACAGTAACTTAAACTCACATGAAGAAATAAAATGCACTGGCAGTGGTAAATCCATACATAACTTTAAAAAACATTACAAATATATTTGAATTCATAATACTTTTCTTATTCTATTTCATTAGACAGTAACAACTCTGTAAACAATCATTATAATCTTGCATTGACAGGATTGTAATGAATAAAGATGTAATTTTTGGCCAGGCTTAATGGCTCATTCCTGTAATCGCAGCACTTTGGGAGGCCCAGGCAGGCGGATCACCTAAGGTCAGGAGTTCAAGACCAGCCTGACCAACATGGTGAAACCCTGTCTCTACTAAAAATACAAAAATTAGCTGAGTGTGGTGGAGTGCACCTGTAATCCAAGCTATTCGGGAGGCTGAGGCAGGAGAATTGCTTGAACCCGGAAGGCGGAGGTTGCAGTGAGCTGAGATCATGCCACTACACTCCAGCCTGGGCAACAGAGCGAGACTCCGTCTCAAAAAAAAAAAAAGATGGAATTTGTATGTCAATAAGAGTAGAGAAGAGAGGAAATGGAGCTGAAATGGAGCATTTATAAGTTGGTATTAATTTAAACTAGATTAAGTTAACATGTTAATTATGCCTCCCAGGGTACCTGTTAAAAAAAGACACAAAAACATATAGCAACATATAAACAAGAAAAAAACAAACAACCCCATCAAAAAGTGGGTGAAGGATATGAACAGACACTTCTCAAAAGAAGACATTTATGCAGCCAATAAACATGTGAAAAAAAGCTCATCATCACTGGTCATTAGAGAAATGAAAATCAAAACCACAATGAGATACCATCTCATGCCAGTTAGAATGGTGATCATTAAAAAGTCAGGAAACAACAGATGCTGGAGAGGATATAGAGAAATAGAGACACTTTTACACTCTTGGTGGCAGTGTAAATTAGTTCAACCATTGTGGAAGACAGTGTAGTGATTCCTCAAGGATCTAGAACCAGAAATATCATTTGACCTAGCAATCCCGTTACTGGGTATATACCCAAAGGATTATAAATCATTCTACTATAGAGACAGATGCACACATTCATTTATTGCAGCACTATTCACAATAGCAAAGACTTGGAACCAACACAAATGCCCATTGATGATAGACTGGATAAAGAAAATGTGGCACATACACACCATGGAATACGATGCAGCCATAGAAAGGATGAGTTCATGTCCTTTGCAGGGACATGGATGAAGCTGGAAACCATCATTCTCAGCAAACTAATACAGGAACAGAAAACCAAACACCGCATGTTCTCACTCATAAGTGGGAGTTGAACGATGAGAACACATGGACCTAGGGAGGGGAACATCACATACTGGGGCCTGTCGTGGGGTCGGGGGCTAGGGGAGGGATAGCATTAGGAGAAATACCTAATGCAGATGATGGGTTGATGGGTACAGCAAACCACCATGGCACATGTATACCTATGTAACAAACCTGCATGTTCTGCACATGTATCCCAGAACTTAAACTATAATAAAAAAAGAAATAGACCCATAACAAATGAAGATATTGAATTAGTGATAAAAAAATTCCACTATGAGAAACCCAGGCCTATATGGACTCTTGAGTGAATTCTATCAAACTTTTGAAGAAGAATTGATGCCAATCCTTCTCAAACTCTTCCAAAAAATTCCAGAGGAAAGAACAATTTCTAATTCATTCTATGAGGTCGCTATTGGCAGCATATATAAAGACTTAAACACTGTAACAAAGTGAAATATGTTCCAAGAATTCAAGATTACCTTAACGTACTAAAGTCAATCAATGTAATACACCCTGTTAATAGAGGAAAGGGCAAAATCTACATAATCAGCTGAATAGATGAAGAGAAAGCATTTGACAAAATTCAAACATTTTCACAATAAAAACAACTAACACAGTAGGAATAGAATGAAACTTCCTCAACCTGATAAAGAGCATCTACAGAAACCCCACAATTAATATTACATTTACTGGTAAAGACTGCATACTTTACCTGAAGATCAGGAATAAGACGTAGATGTCCACTCCCATCATTTCTATTCAACATTGTACTGGGGATTCTAGCCAGGGCAATTAGGCAAGGAAATAAATTAAAGACATCCAGATTGAAAAGAATGAAGTGAAACTATCCCTATTTGAAGATGACATTATTGTGTTTGTAGAAAATCCTATCAAATCTGCCAAAAAACTATTAGATCTAATAAATGAGTTCAACAAGATTGTAAGATACAAGCCAATGTAAAAAAAAATGAGTTCCAAAGATGAAACTTAAAAAACTCCATCTATAAGAGCATAAAATAATATGATATTTAAAAATAACTGTAGCAAAAGAAGTGAAACACTAACACATTGAAAACTGCAAAACATTATTGAAAGAAACTAAGGAAGAACCAAACAAATGAAAAAACACAATATTGAAAGACTCATACTTCCTGATTTTCAAAACTTGCTGCAAACTACAGTAATCAAGACAGCGTGGTGCTAGCATAGGATAGATGCATAGGTCAATGAAATGAAATGGAGTGTACAGAAATAAACCCTTACATTTATGGGAAACTGATTTTTTGATAAGTGTTGCAAGACAACTGAATAAGAGCAAGAAAATTCTTTCCAACAAATGGGACTAGGACTGCCAGATATCCACATGCAAAAAAGTAAAGTTGACCTCTTACCACATACCACATGCAAATGTTAACTCTTATTGGATCAGAAGCCAAATGTATATGTTAAAACTATAGAATTCTTAGAAGAAAGCAGTTACAGAGTTTCAAGACCTTGGATTAGGCAATGTTTCTTTGATATGACAATAAAAGCTCAAGCAACAAAAGAAAAATAGATAATTGAACATTCCAACAATTTAAAATGTTTGTGCTTCAAAGGGCACCATCAATAATGTGAAAAGACAATCCATTGAATGCAAGAATTGAATGCATATTTATAAGTCATATATCTGGCAAGAGACCAGTTTCCAAATATTTAATGAATTGATTAAACTCAACAATAGAAAGACAACTCAAATATAAAATAGACAAAGGATTTACATAGACATTTCTCCAAAGAACATATAGAAATGGTCAAAAAGTACATGAAACAATGCTTAACATCATTGTTGTTGAAGTAATAAAACCACAATGAGATACCACTTCATACCAGGTACTATGACCATAGTAAAAAATGGTGGGCACTAAGAAGTATTGAAGAGGATATGGAGAAACTGGAACATACATACATTGCTGGTGGCAAGGTAAAATAATGAAGCCACATTGAAAATCAGTTTGCCAGGTCTTCAAAATGTTATACATGGGAGTTACCATGTGGCTTCATAATTCTACTCTTAGGCATATACTCAAGAGATACGATAATGTGTCCGCACAACAAATTATGCACAAATTGTTATAGAGCATTATTCATAATAGCAAAAAAGTAGAAACAATCTGTGTCCATTCTATTGAACGTATACAACACATGTTTGTTTATCTGATGAAAAGATAAACATGTGATGTATACGTGCAACAGAATATTACTGAGACACAAAAAGAAATGAAGTTCTGATGCATGGTGTAAACGTGGGACAAACCTTAACAATGTTATGTTAAGTGAAAGAAATCAGGCACAAAAGGCTGTAGTGTTATGTGATTCCACGTATATGAAATGTTCAGAAGAGACAAATCCATAGAGACAGAAATTATATTAGTGGTTGCCATGGACTGGGGGAGGGGAATGAGAGGTGACTGCTAATATGTATGAGGTTTCTTTTGGGGGTGATGAAAATGTTCTGAAATTAGCCAGTGCTGATCTACACATCACTGAACTTTTATGAATATACTAAAAACCACTTACTAGTACACATTAAACGATTACACCCTATGACGTGGAATTAAATCTTAATAAACCTGTTTTTAAAAATGTAAAACAGACATGTCTCATATTGAGATGAGATGCCTGTTTATGTTGTCAATATTAATCAAATTAATTGGACAATCACCAAATCTGTCAGCAACCTGAGGCCATGAAGTCGCAGTACAGTCATACACCTCATGTTCAACCACAAACTCATGCTACTTTGCAGCGCTTTCAAATGCATACTTAGGACACAAATGACATGGAGAGCCATGGTGTTGTAATCTCCTTGGTATGTGAAATTTCCACAGCAGAGTTGAAGGTAAAGTCTCCAACACTCTGAGGAAATTCCATAATAATGATGAGCTCACATATAAGAAGCTATCATAATTGTTAAGAAGGGATGAAAGTGATAAATATCTGAAGCCCCAGGCCTGTGATAAAAACTCTGTCAGAGTAAGGAGACAGTCAGAGTTTCAAGGCCTCATCCCTCACACACCAGGCCTGAAACACAGGCTCTGCATCCTCACAAAGCCGCTGAGACTAAAAGTCTCTGCAAAACACGTTCTCATCAGTCTGAATACCATCTCACTCCATTGTTTTTGATCTTAGAATTGTGGTGACCATAGCCATGAGAACAGACAGATACATGGACACCTGTCTCCAAGTGTACATTTTCATGTTCAAACCAGATCCCCATATGAATTCTCTATACAGACCAACTCGCAAGTTTAAATGGAATATATTTGCATTAAGATAATTGGAAGTCAGGCAACTAAAAATGCCTTGTACTACAGGTCCTTAAATTTAGAGTATGTGTTATTCCTGCACTTTGGGAGGCCAAGGCAGGGAGATCACCTGAGGTCAGGAGTTCACAACCAGCCTGGCCAACATGGTGAAATCCCCTCTCTACTAAAAATACAAAAATTAGCTGGGCATGGTGGTGGGCGCCTGTAATCCCAGCTACTTGGGAGGCTGAGGCAGGAGAATTGCTTGAACCTGGGAGGCGGAGGTTGCAGTGAGCTGAGATTGCGCCATTGCACTCCAGCAATTAGAGTATGAAAAAGCTATTTCTTGGTATCTTAAATCATTGACATTACAAGGTACAGGTGGTGAGAGTATAAAACTAATTCAGGTGGATTATGAAAGGGTGCTATAATATGACACCCAAGGAAGAAATTTAAATTGTTATTATCAGACTACCTCTCTCTCTTCTTCCTCTCTCAGCAACATACCTGAAATTAAAAGAGGCATCAATAAAATTCCCCTAGAGGCTGTGGTGGGACTACGACCTTGCCAGCACCTTGATTTTTGACTTCTGGCTTCCAGAATTGTGAAGGAATAGATTTCTGTTGTTTTAAGCCACCATTCTTGTGCTAATTTGTTATGGCAGCCACAAGAAACTTACACACTTGATTCAACGCCACTGAATAGCTTTCTACACGTAGGTTCTTTCCAATTCTATGGTATTATCATTAGCACTGAGGTGAACATTGCACCATCTGGTGATCCAAGGTGGCATCTTTTCAAAATCTCCCTCTAAGTGGCTAGGGTATCAGGCATGCGTTCTGGTTCAGTCATATATATACATTTTTTTTTGCAAGTCTACATGGCTTCACTTACTCATTAATGGAAGTTTTAAAAACCAAAGTGATAACCTTAATCATTTCTCACTTAAACAAGAGAGTATGATTTTAACCAGAATGATACCTGTTACAGCAGCAATAGTACTGTGTGGTATTAAGGTTTGAATTCTGACTGTAAGGCTTTGGATCAGTAACTTAATCCCTCCATGCCTCTGTTTACTCATCTAGAAAATGAGGCTATTGGCAGAGACGTAGTTGGCATTCACTGTCTCAACTTCATGCTGAGGTCCTTAGTCTAGTTCTTGCAACTGCAAGCTTTGGCTCTCAACACCGTTACCATATCACTAATTTAAAAACAAAACAGAAGAAAAGGAAAAAAGAAACTATTTAGAACTAATTGATTTTGTTCTATGAGTTCATCTGCCTCCTTCTGCCAGTGTGAAAGGGCTGAGCCTAGAGGGTTCTTTAAATAGTAAAAAATAGATTAATGCTGCACTATTCTTGATGGGATGCAATGTGATATTATCCACTGTAAAACGCACGTAGGTGACTCCCACCACCAATGTCACTGTCCCACTCCTCAGATTTAAAACACAAATTTGGTCATGTGTCTTCACCCCACCTCCAAACCTTTCGTGTCTCATCCTGTCATTAGCAAGAAGTGTTTGCCACGGACTATGCCAAGGCTCCATGTCTTTGCTCATGCTGTTCATTCTGTCCGGATTTAGGTGCCCTTTTCTTCTTGCTAGAGAACCCTACTTTTAAATTTTTGGCCAGTTTTGCAATAAGCATTCCAGTCCTGCTGGCTGGTAGATTACATCTGCTCTTTATTTTTAAATAGACTTTATTTTAAAAAAAAACTTTTATATGTACAGAAAAAAATAAGCAGAGAGTACACAGTGTTTCCATATAGCCCATATTCAGTGTCCCCTATTGTTAATATCTTAGATTATTATGGGATATTTGTCACAATTAATGAATCAATACTGATACATTATCCTATACTAAAGCCCACACGTTATTCATATTTTCTTAGTCTTTACAGAATTCTCTTTTCTGTCTCAGGATACCACATGACATTCAGTCCTCATGTCTCCTTACGCTCCTCCTGGTCATGATAGTTTCTCTGACTCTGTTTGTTTTTGATGACCTTCTCAATTTGGGGCATACTGTTCAAATGTTCTGTAGGATGCCCCTCTATGGGAATTTATCTAATATTTTTCACATGATAAGACTGGTTTTATGAGTTATTGGGAAGAAAAATACAGAGGTAAAGGGCCATTTTTATTACACCACAACAAGAATACCTACTATCAGCTGGGCGCGGTAGCTCATGCCTGTAATCCCAGCACTTTGGGAGGCTGAGGTGGGCGGATCCCTTGAGGTCAGTTTGAGACCAGCCTGGCCAACATGGAGAAACCCCGTCTCTACAAAAAATACAGAAGTTAGCCAGGCGTGATGGCGTTCGCCTGTAATCCCAGTTACTCCGGAGGATGAGGCAGGAGAATTGCTTTAACCTGGGAGGCGGAGGTTGCAGAGAGGTGAGATGGCGCCATTGCATTCCAGCCTGGGTGACAGAGTGAAACTCTGCATGCCCCCAACCCCCCAAAGAAGAATACCTACTATCAACATAATTTATGACTACTGATACTGACCTTGACTTTTTTCACCTAGCTGAGGTAGTATTTGACAGGTTTCTCTGCTATCTCTTACTCACTTTTAATACTCAGTTCAAATGCTACCACCTTTTTGAAGTCCTCCTGGACTCCTTCAGCCCCTAGTAAGCTATTGAATCCATTTATCCATTTATTAGTCATTAATAAACATTTGTTAATCACTTACTATGTGTCTGGCATGGTGCAAAGTGTGAGGATGCAGCAATTTAAACATGCAATAATTGTTTCATAAAAGAGTAGCTACGTGAACTGATGGTGTTAAACAGAAGCAGAATACTTTTCTCATATTAGGTCAGCATTTATATATTGAGCACCTCTAGTTTATACAGTACCGTGTTAGAAGTGTTAAGGACAACATATATTTAAAATACAGACCTTGCTGTAAGGTATAGCAAGGGCTGGCAAAATCCAGCATTCAGGACCAAATCCTGCCTGATGCTTGTTTTTGTAAATAAAGTTTTATTGAAACACAGCCACACCCCTACGTTTACATATGGTTTATGATCACTTTGCCCTAGAGCAGCAGAGTTGAGTAGTTACAACAGAGCCTATATGACTTGCGAAGCTTAAAATATTTACTGTCTGCTCCTTTATAGAAAAGGTTTTCTTATTCCCTCTCTCAAGCATTAAAATTCACAATATACATGGAAACTCATAACACTTAGGTACTTGTAAAAATAAAATAGATTTAACTCTAAATGGAAGAGCTAATATAAGAGCTTAATATATTTTTGTAGGCATTATTTGGTTTAACTGTAAATCCAGTGTAAGAATTGATCATCCTGAATGGGAGTCAATGAACACATTTATTAAAGGCTTCTTATGGGCCAGGGTAGTGTTGAAAGCAAGGGATTTATTGACGAACAAGACAGGTCCCTTCCGCTAAGAAGCATACACTTTAATGCTATAGGGCTGCATTATCCAATACGGTAGCCATAGGCACCTGTGTCTGTTGAGCACTTGAAATCTGAGTGGTTTCGACTGAGATGTCTGAAAGCCTAAAATATAATGCAAAAGAGATTTCCAAAGAATTAGTGTAAAAAAAAGTCTGAAAAAATGTTAATATTAATTACATGTTTACTTTATTGTACATGAGGATTATATAATATGATGATAATAAAATATGTTGCTAAAATAACTTTTACCTGCATTCTTTTCTTTTCTTTTAACTTTTTAATGTGGCTACTAGAAAATTTTAAATCACATATGTGGCTGATATTATGCTTCCTATTGGACAGTGCTTGTCTAAACTTTAGAAATGTGCTGCCAATACAGTAGCCACTAGCTACCTATTGCAATATAAATTGAAGTTAATAAAAATTAAATATGCTGTAATTATAATTTTGGTTTCTTGAGTTAAACTAGCCGTATTTCAAGTGCTCAACAGCCACATGTGGCTAGAGGCTACCATACCGGCCAGTATAACACAGATATAAATTATTTCCATCATTGCAGAGAGTTCTTAATATGGTTTGGCTGTGTCCCCACCCAAATTTCATCTTGAGTTGTAGCTCCCATAATTCCCATGTATTGTGGGAGGGACCTGGCGGGAGATAATGGAATCATGGGGACTGTTTCCGTCATACCATCCTTGTGGTAGTGGATGAGTCTCAGGAGATCTGATGATTTTATAAGGGGAACCCCTTTTGCTTGGCTCTCATTTCTCTCTTGTCTTCCACCATGTAAGACATACCTTTCACCTTCTGCTATGATTGTGAGGCCTTCCCAGCCACTTGGAACTGTGAGTCCATTAAACCCCTTTTTCTTTTTTCTTTTTTTTTTTTTTTTTTTTGAGACGGAGTTTTGCTCTGTCGCCCAGGCTGGAGCGCAGTGGCTCTGTTGCCCAGGCTGGAGTACAGCAGCGCGATCTTGGCTCACTGCAAGCTCCGCCTCCCGGGTTCACGCCATTCTCTTGCCTCAGCCTCCAGAGTAGCTGGGACTACAGGCGCTCACCACCGCGCCTGGCTAATTTTTTGTATTTTTTAATAGAGACAGGGTTTCACTGTGTTAGCCAGGATGGTCTCGATCTCCTGACCTCGTGATCTGCTCACTTCAGCCTCCCAAAGTGCTGGGATTACAGGCGTGAGCCACCAAGCCCGGCTGCCTCTTTCTTTATAAATTACCCACTCTCGGGTTTGTCTTTATCAGCAGCTTGAAAACGGACTAATACAGTTCTAATGAGCAGGGATGCCCTAGAGGAATATGAAAAAGGCTTCCTATTTTTTTTTCATTGACAAATAAAAAGTGTATGCATTTATTGTGTACAATGTGATGTTTTGAAATACGTATACATTATGGAATGGTGGAATTGAGCTAATTAACATATGCATTACCTCACACACATACCATTTTTGTGTCTCTGTGGTAAAAACACTTAAAATCTACTCTCTTAGCAATTTTCAAGAATACAATTTGTTGTTATTAACTATTGTACAACATAATATCTCTTGAACTTATTTCTCATAACTTAAAGTTATGTCCCTTGACCCACCTCTCCCCAACCCCCAATTTTTTTTTTTTTTTCACTGATGGTGATAAGCATTCTATTAGGAAAGAAAAGGACTAAAAATGAAATGGGAGACTGATGTTGGGCAAATGCATTAACATTTCCTGGAAGTGAATTCCTTCAGGTGTGTGGATCTTTGAGTGGCCACACTGATGTGCTTGCATAACAAGGACCAGGAACAGTCAGCAGATGGATGACCTGGAAGAAAGGGGAGGAACCTCAGGACAAGGAAACAGAAACAAACGCTGCTACACATTTAGCTCTAAAGTACTGTAGGGAAAAGTATGACATCTTAACTATGTTTTTTAAAATGTATATTTCGGAGTGTTTTGACTGGAGGACCTATATAACTGTGTTGTGTATTAAATGGATGAAACATATTTCCCTAGATGCAGAGGAAAGTCTTTCTAATGGCAGGAAACTATATTTTCTTTATGACCACTTTTAGTTTCAGTAGCAGATATAATACCAGGCCCAAGCCTCACAAGCAATACACTAAAAAGGGAGTAGCTACGAGGGTGGGAAAGGAGGAAAAACGTGCTCTAAAAGCAGGAAATAGGCAGCACAAAGACAGATCAGATCTTGCTCCCTGGGTGACAAGATTATGGGTTTTGGAGCATCAGAGAATTTGGTTTGGATCTTATCTCAACCGTTTACTAGCTGTGGCATAAAGACATCAGCACTTACTGTGCTCTTACTATATATCAGGCACTTCAGATTGATTATCTCACTGAATTTCCCAAGAACCCTAAGAGAGAGGTTCTGTAATTATCCCTATTTTACAGAAGAAGAAAATGAGGCTTAGGGAGATTGAAAATTACATTCCAATGAAGAGCACAGGCAGGCTTTGCAACCAGCTAGTCAACACTCCACATCCCACCCTTACATTTCACTGTCTCCCATGGAGCCTGCATCGAGTCAGTTAACCTCTCCTTAGACCCAGTTTTCTCAACTACAAAATAAGAATAATTATATCCACCTTGCAGAGTTGTTACAACTATTTGATCAGACACTGGTAAACCATCTAATTGGGTGTGGGATGTAAATGTTAGTTTACTCCTGCATTCATGAGGTAAGACAAAATTGATACAATTTGGAAAAAATACATATCTTAGGACAGGGTCCCCAGGCCCAGGGTGATGAACTGGTACTGGTCTATAGCCTGTTAAGAAGTGGGCCACACAGCAGGAGGTGAGCAGCAAGCGAAACTTCATCGGTATTTATGGCCGCTCCCCATCGCTTGCATTACCACCAGAGCTCCACCTTCTGTCAGATTAGTGGCAGCATTAGATTCTCAGAGGAGCACAAACCCTATTGTGAACTGCACATGCGAGGGATCTAGGTTGCACACTCCTTATGAGACTCTAATGCCTGATGATCTGTCACTGTCTCTCTCATCTCCCCCAGATGGGACTGTCTAGTTGCAGGAAAACAAGTTGAGGACTCCCACTGATTCTATATTATGGTGAGTTGCATAATTATTTCATTATATAATACAATGTAATAATAATAGCAAGAAAGTGCACAATAAAGATAATGCACTTGAATCAACCCAAAACCATCTCCCTCCCTGGCTGTCGAAAAATTGCTTTCCATGAAACCAGTCCCTGGTGCCAAAAATCTGGGGACTGCTGTCTTAGGAAACAAAGATATTTTTCTCTTGCTCATAACAGACACAGGTGAGAGTTTTGGCTGGCAGTCAGCCTGCCCCACATAGACAATCAGGGACTGCATTCCTTAGTATTGCATGGTTCCACCATATCTGGGTTCTAGCAGGTGGGAAAGCAGAAGGAAATGGAGAGAAGCCACATGCTCTATCATAAGCTACACCTGAAGACACATATCCAGTGCTCATATCCACTGGGGACAGCTTAGATCCTTGCCAAACCTTACTGAAAGGGTGGCTGGAAAATGTTGTCTTGCCATGTGCCCACCTCCAACTCAATTACTGTAGAAGGAAAAATAGATTGTGGTGATTAAAAGGACCATGGTTTAAATTGTCAACAAGTCAGTTTCTCTTTAATGTCCCCTGATCCCTTCCTTTAGTATTTGACTTCCCTCTCATCTCAGTTCTCTCCTCTGCTGGATTCTGGGCCTGCTCATTTTGGGTAGGAGCCCACATGAGGTATCCTGGGGCCTGTTCTCTTTATTCCACTCCAGTGGATAACCCACTAGGTACCTGACACTTTTGAGATGCCCTGATCCACACTCTTGCAGCTCTCCTCAATTCTTTATTAATCAAGTTTTCTGGGTCTATAAGGGCTTTCCAGGCCTTCCAAGGCAGGTTAATATCATAGGAATGTCCCTGGGAATAATCATGTCTTGAATCTCTGCCAATTACACTTCCAACTTTTGATGACCTTGGCCAAATTACTTAATCTCTGAGCTGAATTGTTTATATTTGTAAAATTGGGATAATTCTTACTCTCCTTCCCTCATGAGACTCTTTTGTGAAAACAACTGAGATAAAAAATTAAAAAGCGTTTTTCAGCAGGTAACACACTGTTACAAAGTTTATTAAAATTTCCCTAATGTAACAGATAAAATAATTATTTGCTCTTTTTTGCTGAGTATTAAAGTTGACTCTACTTTTAGCAAAAATAAAATATTCTATATAAATAATAATAGTATATTATCAATAAATGAAATAAAGTATCTTTGTATGTTGCTTTTTTTTTTTTTTTTTTTGGCAGAGCAAGATAATGGAATAGAAACGTATACTATTCATCCCCACAGCTAGAACACCAAATTTTAACAACTATCTGCACACAGATAGACACTGTCACAGAAACTAAAAACCGGGTACCAACTCAGCCTCAGTGGAATAGAGCAACAAGCAGGCTCTTGGGGGCCCTGAGTCCAGGCCTAGGCTCTTGGACAGCATTTCTGGACCTACCATGAAGGGTGAATCCCTGGCCAGTCAGCATTCTCCACAAGCTGACTGAAGAGCCCTTGAGCTCTAAGTAAGCAATGGCGGTCACCTGGCAGAATCCCCTGTTGACCACTGTTGGCTGTGACCACAGAGAAAGGGACCGGCTCAGCCACAGTGGAAAGAGGAGGGAAGAGTGGGAAGGACTTTGTATTACAATTTGAGTGCCAGCTTAGCTGTAGTAGAGTAGAACATCATGTAAATGGCTAAGGTTTTTGACTCCCTCCCAGACAGCATCTCTGGACAAATCCAGGGTCTCGGGGAGCTTGCCTTCCTGAAGGGAAGGGCTTTGAACCAGACCCAATGCTGTGCTAGTTTCAGGTCTGACCCAGTGCAGTCTCAGTGGTGGTGGTGGCCATAGGGGTGTTTACATCAATACACCCCCAGTTCCAGGTGGCTCAGTACAGAGAGAGAGACTCCTTTTGTTTGGCAGAAAGTAAGGAAAAAGAATAAGAGCCTTTGCCTGTTAATCCAGAGAACTCTTCTGGATCTTATCCAAGACCACCAAGGTGGTACCTATACAAGTCTGCAAAAAACCACAGCATTATTGGACTCAGGGCCCAAGTCTCTTTGAATACCTAGAAATCTCTCTCAAAAAGGACAGGCTCAAACAAGCCCAGAATGTGAAAACTATAATAAATACCTAACTCTTCAATGCCCAGACACAGATGAACATCAAAAAGCATCAAGGCCATCTGGGAAAACATGACCTCACCAAATGAAATAAATAAGACCAATCCTAGAGAAGCAGAGCTATATAACCTATCAGTCAGAGGATTCAAATAGCTGCTTTGAGGAAATTCTAAGAAATTAAAGATAAAACAGAGAAGGAATTCAGAATTCTATCAGATAAATTTAACAAAGAAATTAAAAGAATTAAGCAGAAATTCTGCAGTTGAAAAATGCAATTGATATGTTGATGAATGCATCAGAGTCTCTTAATAGCAGAATTGATCAAGCAGAAGAAAGAATTAGTGAGCTTGAAGGCAGGCTATTTGAAAATACACAGTCAGGCCAGGCATGGTGGCTCACGCCTATAATCCTAGCACTTTGGAAGGCTGAAGTGGGTGGATGCCTTCAAGTTTCCCCAGGAGTTTGAGACCAGCCTGGGCAACCTAGTGAAACCCTGTGTCTACTAAAACTAAAAATTAAAGAAAAGTAGCCATACATGGTGGTGTGCACCTGTAGTCCCAGCTACTCAGGAGGCTGAGGCATGAGAATCATTTGAACCTAGGGGGCAGAGAACCTGGGAGTTGGAGGTTGCAGTGAGCCAAGATTGCGCCACTGCACTCTACCCTGGGTGACAGAGTGAGACTCTGTCTCAAAAAAAAAAAAAAAAAAAAGAAAAAGAAAAAGAAGAAAAGACACACTCAGAGGAGACAAAAGAAAAAGAATGAAAAACAATGAAGCATGCCTATAAGATCTAGAAAATGGCCTCTAAAGGGCAAATGTAAGAGTCAATAGCCTTAAAGAGGAGGTAGAAAAAGAGACAGAGATACAAAGTTTATTCACAGAGATAATATTAGAGAACTTCCCAAACCTAGAGAAAGATATCAACACTCAAATCCAAGAAGGTTATAGAACATCAAGCAGATATAACCCAAAGGTGACTACTTCAAGGCATTAATAATCAAAGTCCCCAAGTCAAGGATAAAGAAAGAATTCTAAAAGCAGCAAGAGAAAATAAATAAATAGCAAATGATGAAGTTCAAATACATTTGGTAGTGGACTTTTCAAGTAGAAATCTTACAGGATAAGAGAGAGTGGCATGACATACTTAAAGTGCTGAAGAAAAAATAAAACTTTTACCCTAGAATAATATATCTGGCAAAAATATCCTTCCAACTTTTGATGGAGATATAAAGACCTTTACAAACAAACAAAGACTGAGGGATTTCATCACCACCAGACCTGTCTTATAGGAAATGCTAAAGGGAGTTCTTCATTCTGAAAGAAAAAGGTGTTCACAAGCAAGAATAAATCATCTGAAGGTACAAAGCTCATTGGTAATAGTAAGCACACACACAGAAAGACACAGAATACTGTAATACTGTAATTGTGATGTGTAAACTACTATTATCTTATATTAAAAGGATTATTCACCATGACCAAGGGGATTTATCCCAGTGATGCCAGGATAGTTTGACATACACAAATCAACCAGTGTGATACATTATATCAATAGAATGAAGGACAAAAACCACATGATCCTTTAAATTAACGCTGAAAAAGCATTTGATAAAATTCAACACCATTTATGACAAAAACAAAAAAACTGGGAACAGAAGGAACATACCTCAACATAATAAATGTCATATATGAGAGACTCGTAGGTAGTTATCATACTGAATAGGGAAAAACTGAAAGCCTTTCCTCTAACATCTGGATGCTCACTGTCACCACTGTTATTTAACATAGGACTAGAAGTCCTAGCTAGAGCAACCAAACAAGAAAAAGAAATAAAGCGCATCCAAATTGAAAAGGAAGAAGTCAAATTATTTTTGTTTGAAGATGATAGGAAAAGCCTAAAGACACTACCAAAAAACTATTAGAACTCATAAACAAATTCAGTGAAGTTGCAGGATACAAAATCAACATACAAAAATCAGTAGCATACTTCTATGTCAGCAGAGAACAATCTGAAAAAAAATCAATAAAATAATCCCATTAACTATATATAAATTAAATAAAATATTTAGGAATTAATCAAAGAAGTGAAAGATCTCTACAAGGAAAACTATCAAACGTTGATGCAAGAAATTAAAGGGGACACCAAAAAATGGAAATATAGTCCATATATATGAATTGAAAAAAATCAATATTGTTAAAATGTCCATACTACCCAAAGCAATCTACTGATTCAATGCAATGCCTATCAAAATACCAACGATATTCTTCACAGAAATAGAAAAAAATCTTAAAATTTATATGGAACCACAAAAGATCCAGAATAGCCAACAATCTAAGTAAAAAGAAACCTGGAAGAATCACATTATCTGACTTCAAGTCATACTACAGAGATAGAGTAACCAAAACGGCATGGAAAGGGCATAAAAACAAACACATAGACCAATGGAACAGAATAGAGAACCCAGAAACAAATCCACACAACTACAGTGAACTCATTTTTGACAAAGTAACCGAGAACATACACTGGGAAAAAGGTAGTCTCCTCAATAAATGGTGCTGGGAAAACTGGACATCCACATGCAAAAGAACGAAACTAGTCCCCTGTCTCTCTCACCATATACACAAATCAAATCAAAATATATTCAAGACTTAAATCTAAGACCTCAGACTACTAAAAGAAAACTTTAGGGAAACTCTCCAAAACATTAGACTGGGCAAAGATTTCTTGAGTAATACCTCACAAGCAGAGGCATCCAAAGCAAAAAATGGATATATCGGGTTACATAAAGTTAAAAAGCTTCTCGACAGCAAAGGAAACAATCAACAAAGTGAAGATACAACCTATAGAATGAGAGAATGTATGTGCAAACTATCCATCTGACAAGGAATTAATAACCAGAATATATAAGAAGCTTAAGTCTACAGGAAAAATATCTAATAATCTGATTAAAAAATGGGCAAAAGATCTGAATAGATGTTTTTTTAAAAGAAGACATACAAATGGCAACAGGTATATGCAAATCAAAACTACATTGAGACATCATCTTACCCTGTTTAAATGCATTTCATTCAGAAGGCAGGCAGTAACAAATGTTGGCAAGGATGTGGAGAAAAGGGAATTCTTGTATACTGTTGGTGGGAATGTAAATTAGTACAATCACTATGAAAACAGTTTGGAGGTTCCTCGAAAAACTAAAAATAAAGCTATCACACTGATACAGTTTGGAGTATGTCGTTGCTCAAATCTCCTATTGAAATATAATCCCCAGTGTCAGAGTTGGGGCCTGGTAGGAACTGACTGGATCATAGGGGTGTATTTCTCATGAATGGTTTAGTGTCATCTCCTTGATACTGTTCTCACAATAGTGAGTGAGTTCTCATGCGATCTGGCCATTTAAAAATATGTGGCATCTCTCCTCTCCCTCTTTTGCTCCTGCTCTGGCCATGTGACATGGCTTTTTCCCCTTCGCCTTCTGCCATGATCATAAGTTTCCTGAGATCTCACCAGATCCTGAGCAGATGCCAGCATCATGCTGCCTGTACAGCCTGCAGAACCGTGAGCCAATTAAACCTCTTTTCTGTATAAATTATCCCATCTCAGGTATTTATTTATAGCAATGTGAGAATGACCTAACACATGTATGATCCAACAACCCCACTGCTAGGTAGAAACCCAAAGGAAAAAATCAGTATGTCAAAACGATGTCTGTACTCTCATGTTTATTGCAGTACTATTCACAATAACCAAGATTTGGAAACAAGCTAAGTGTCCATCGACACATGAATGGATACAGAAAATGTGGTACATATACACAATGGAGTACTGTTCAGCCATAAAAAATAATGAGATTCTGTCATTTGCAACAACATGGATGGAACTGGAGGTCATTATAAGTGAAATAAGACAGGCACAGAAACACAAACTTTGCATGTTCTCACTTATTTGTGGAAGCTAAAAATTAAAACAATTGAACTCATGGACATAGAGAGTAGAAGGGTGGTTACCAGAAGCTGGGGAGGTTAACTGATACGAAAATAGAGAGAATGAATGAGTTCTAGTATTTGATAAAGCAACAGGGAGACTATAGTCAAAAATAATTTAATTGTACATTTTAAAATAACAAAGAGTATAATTGGATTGTTTGCAACACAAAGGATAAATAGTAGAAGTGATGTATACCCCATTTACCCTGATGTGATTATGATATACTGCATACCTGTATCCAAATATTTCATGTACCTCATAAATCTATAAGCCTACTATGTACCCACAAAAATTAATTTAATAAAATGTAGTGCATTTAATTTAATTTGCAGAAAAGAATACAGCATTATTACTTTGCTTTACATCTATTTGAAGATATTTCAGTGCATTTCTTCATTATGTTATCCCTCTCTCCTTTGAAATGCTCACCCTTTCATACTTGCTTTTTATATACCTGCTGGTTTTTTTTTTGTTTCAGTTTGTTTTTTTCCTTGAACTCCTAAAAAGTAAGATTCCATAGATACTTCAAATCTTGTCATGTGGACTGATGTTTCTCTAGCACAGCAAGGAAAAGGCAAAGGAAGAATCAGAACCCCAGTAACCCTGTCTCCAACAGACTTGGGTTTTCTTCCTGGTTACTCAGGTCCTTATTTCTCTCAGCAGGTCTCTTTCTGGGTTAGTCACTGCTTTCTCTTCCGAGAATTGTGCAAAAGTTTCTACAAGTTGTATGAGAAACCACTAACTGATGTTAAGTTTGCACAATGGGTAGTTTATACAAATGTTTCTCTTAGAAAGCAACATGCCCAGGACATTTCTGGGAGGCATGTATAGTACAGCTTTCACTAGCAGCTGCCAGAACATGCTGGAGCTTCCCAAGGTTGAATCTATTGCTCCCCGGGATTGACTCAATGTCTGTTCTGTCAGCCAGTGTAACTGCAGACTGCAACGTGCTCCATGTTTTCATACACAAAAGGGATATGGAAAGAACAGAAGGCAGGATCCAAGAGAAAATGTGAGCCAGTACAACACCACGCAAATGCAACATGTTGATTGATCTAGTGTGAACTCTTTATATAGACCAAAGGAAGCAGAGCCCAAGGCTGATATCTGCATTGTTAAAGTGAATATATGATCTGTCCCAAGTATTCAGAGAGCTGAAGCAAAATTGAGGATATTTGCCTTTGCCTATAAAATAGTTTACTGTTGACTTGCCTTTGTTCCCGCATCCCTCCCAGCATGGCTACTAACCAGCTGTGTGACTGAGTCTGTTAGTTCACAGCTTTCAGCCACCTTTACCATTGGAAAAGTGAAGATGGTGCGCCAGTCGGTCTCTGACATCCTTTCCAGCCTTCAAACTATGTCACTCTTTTAGAGACATTTTGACCACTATCTCCTTTTTTTCTAATATTGTATGAGGTTTTTTACTGAACACGAGTTGAGATGAACCATGAGATGTCCCTGTTTAATCTTGCAGATGTGGCCAAGGGGTGCACGGACTATAGTAGTTGGCATTGTGTTTGACTGAAATTAACAACAACATTAAACCCTACCACAGAGGCTGCAACATGTTGAAAAACACTGCTCCAGCACTTCTGAGAACTTACACGAGATGCATATATAACACAAGCATACATATGGGTTTCCTTATTTTATTTTTGCTTTGTAGCTCACAAAAAGTCAACAGATTCTCCAGGAAAACAAGAAATCACAGGGCTTCACAAGGACCTCTACAGGTTTTAAGAACACCAGTGGTGGGGAGGGAGGTGTCTTTGAGCTACTAAAACATTTTAAAGAGACTAAGAGCAGCCAAGCAACCATATCATCATCTCTATAAAGTTACAAAAATGTTGAGATTATCTTCTTTTGACATGAGTGATATATATTATGTTTGAATTTATCCTGATCTTGTCTCATTCTGATCTTAAGCTCTAATGGGCAGCTATATATAAGCTTTTGAGGAAGTAAAACACAATTACAAAATTGGGTTTACACGCAAAATATTTCAAGTGATAGGGCAGTTCAGCTCAGTGCCTACCATGGGGAGGGATGGAAAGAAAGACCTAGGAAAAAATCATCTCAATACAACATGGGGTGTTCTACAGTTGCCTTTACAGCTGGTCCTCAAGGGACACACAGAAAGGAAACTCTGCCTTGGCAGTGGGACGGTTCCAGGGAATCTTAAAAACATCTGAGGAGTTAACCTTTGAAGAAGGTGATAAAGAACGCTCCAGGAAAATGAGATCATCGCTGTAAGATCAAGAAGTGTTAAAGTCTTTGATGCATTTAGAGAACTCCATGCATAAAGTTTGAGGAAGTGATGGGCAAGAGGTGAACCTGAAGGGGCAGGAAGAGGCCTGACAGAGGGAGGGCCTGCTGTGCCTCACTAGAAAGATCAGGCATGTGTGTGTAGATAGTGGGGAGCCATGGAAAGGTGCTGGATGAGAGTGTGACAGGGTTGGTTTTCTACACCCCCAGAGTAAAAAAGAATAAAGCATCCTTGTAATTGAAAAATTGAGGAGCAACTGCCCTACCTGTTCAGGCAGCTGTTTTAAGTTTCATTACTTCCTGGCACATCATCTGTCACTTAATATTAGTGGCTCTATAGTTCCTGCTCTGCTTAACTATATCAGGGGCAATCAGTCTCAGCATCTTTGTATATTCACAGTTTGTTTTCTGCACTGATTCAAGACTTTCTATTAGCCAAGACTTTCTAGTACAAACTTCCACTCCTCCTCCTAAAGTCTTCCTAAACTCTCCTAGATCCCAAAGATATCTCACTTTTAATAGGAGTTTATGAGTTATCATTTGTTGTGTAACAAGTCATAGCAAGGTTTATCAGCTTCAAACAGCAAACTTACTATCTCATAATTTATGTGGGTCGGGAATCCAGGTATGGCTTAGCTGAGTGCCTCTGACTCAGGGCTTCTCACAAGGTTGCAATCAAGGTGTCAGCCTGGGCAGCAGTCACCTCAAGGCTCCATGGGAAGAACCTGTTTCCATGCTCACTCACACTGCTATTGGGAGGCCTCAAGTCCTTACTCACTCTTGGAGATGGCAGTTTCTTGCTACCTGGGCCTTTCCAGAGTTCCACCACAATATGGCACTGGGGTTCTCCCAGAGAGCCAGAGAGGATAAGCAAGACGGAAGTCACAATGCTTTTGCAATCTAATCTCAGAAGTGATAACCTATCACTTTTTTTTTGTATTCTATTCTAGTCTATCTTTATTCTAGAAAATAAAGTAATTCAACCTATACTCCAGGGGAAGGGATTACACAGTGGGTGAATGTCAGGAGGCAGGGTCACTGGGAGCTATCCTAGGGGCTTTCAACCACAGGAGTTACTCAACTACCTCCGTTTCTCCAAACATGACTGAGAACAGACAGCTTGGAAGAGCCAAATATGTACTCCTCCATCTTTCCGTGTGGGTGTTATTCCCCAATCTCCTATTTCACTCCCAAAACCAGTTCATCATTCCAGCTATGTTAGTCCAGCTTTTGGGCTGTGTTAGGACTATATTCTGAGGATGTTGATGTTTTCTGCTTTTATCTGTAAAATGGGAATAAAGATACCTCTCTCACAGGGCAGGTGTGAGGAATGAATGGAACTATATATTAGATAAGAAACAGATCAATGAACTCAGAAGCAGATGCTTATGGATTTAAGCACTGATCACCTACCTCAGTGGCACCTGTTCCTCTACATTTAAGCTCATGAGTGAGCAAAGTTACAAAACTTTAGAAATGCTCCAAGTTGAGAATATTTAATCCAGTCCTCGAATATCCATTCACTTATTTCTGAGGATTAATATAACCCACTTTACTGGACCTTTTGCTACCAAGGTCTTTTATTGATCAGAGTATACCTTACTCTCCAAATGCAGCTTCTTGACTTTTTAAAGGCCATCCTACAACCCCTATATTAGAAAGACTTGTGCTCATATAGCAAAGGATATTTGATTGGGCTGGACACACCACTTATCTGCCTTAGATGTTGTAGCTATGGAAAATTACAGTACTAAGCATCAATCTATTCTGAAATTTCTTTATTGAACTCCTGCATTGCATTCTTTCATTTCTTTTTCTTAGAACTGACACTGGGCTCCTCAATAGATTGCAACCTTCTCAATTAATATTTGTGACCAGTTTTATACTTTTTAAGAGCTCCCTAAGAGGTTAGGGAATGCAAACCATATTACAGATACTCATTCAGTCATGTACACTAGAAATTTAGAGTTGCAAATTACGGGCCATCTAGTTGAGTCCCATTTTTCACATAGGCAAGAAGTCATTCTTACTATATTCATGAAAAGTCATATAGGAACTTAGCTTCTATTTGAATTGATACAATTTTGGAGAGCCTTATATTTCTAGAGAACTGTTGTTTCTGTGTTATACCTGAGTGTTGTTTACTGATTATATTGAACTAAAATCTGCTCTATTTTCTTTATTGAGATAGGCATGGAAAGGAGCAATAATACACGCAACACTGAACAGGACCATGCCCTCTTCTAAATGACATTATGGACTTCCCGACACTTGAAAATGGTATCTTTGCCTCCTCTGTCTCCTTCTCTTCTGATTAAATACCCTGAATTCCTTTTGTATGAATTTGTTTGATTGAAGATTTTTGTCCATGTTCAATGTAATTCCAGTAGAGTAATTTGGAATGGCTCCTTCATCATCAGCAGAAATAAACACTAAATTCACTCTACTCTATAGTGGGTGTACTATTTCAGCTGACAAAACCATGAGGCTCCTGGGGAAAGAGAATTAACAAAATAATTACAAAAACCACAAATCCTTGCCCTCACCGGGCTTATAAATGAAGATACAGGCTGTGTTAAACTGAACTGTAAATGCACTTAACAGTTAAAGGGCAGTTACAAGTTTGAAATGCTGTTTACAACCTTCTGAGTTTCATTTAACATGAATATACTTTGTCTTTGTGACAATCAACCAGCTTGTATGAAAATATTCCTCTGTAAGTGTTTATTATTTGTTCAACATGTATTTACTGATGGCCTACTATGGGTCAGATGCTGATTCAGGCATTGGGCATATGATAGGGAATAAGAAAACTAAATCACTGCTCTCATAAAAATTATTCTAGGGAGTGGATACAGCCAACAGAGAAATGAACAAGAAGACTTAATAAGATTGACATTGTTTTCCAATTATCTTCTCTCAGGCAATAGGTGATTTGTGATAAAGCATGGAGAGAACAGGGTAGGTTTTATGAGGGCCTTAGAAAATCTAATGGGTTTTAGGGGCTACAATTCTAGTTGAGCTAGAGATGAATCCTCCATCATGTTTGTAGTTGCATAAGGGCCTTGAGATCCATATCAGTAATCCTTACTTTTGGAAGACTAGGAAGCTCAGGCTCCCAAGGCCCTAAACTGAATAAGGATGTGGAAGTCACAGGAGAAGTTGATGTCTCTTATTAGTCATTAGGTGGGAAAGCCAAAAAAAAAAAAAAAAAAAAAGAATCCAGAGAATCCAGGAGAGCCTGACTTGTGATGCAGGTACCACACCTACTAAGATAGGGGTTCTTTGTGCCCCAAAAAAGGATTGCAAGCTACTTGGGTTTTGAAACAAGTCAGTAAAGTGCACCTTCTTCTCCTACTCTCTTTCCATACAAGCTGCACTAATTTTCCCAACTTTTATTTCTTCTTACTGCCCTTTCTATTTTCCCTGAGTACTTCCCTTTTTCTAAGTATCCTTTTGCTCTTCTCTTCTTTCTATAAAACCAATCCTTCAAATAATAAAACACAGGATAAGCCTTTTCCTCAACAGAAGATGAAAAAATAAATTTATAGTGAAATAAATTTTCCAACACAATAATTCTTTCATTAATATGCCTTCCTCATCTTGATTCACACACACACACACACACACACACACACACACATAAAATGCAACAATAGAAATAGTACATGGTGCAGCCAACCATGAATCTATATATAAAAATTTAATTTAAATATAAAATAAACTTAATGTAAAGATGGTTTGGAATGTTCTGCTTTATGGCTGTTGGAGCATGTTTTTTCCCCAATCATTCCTGCTATCTTTCCCATTCAGCAAATAATTTTTCTGGATTTGTATTTCTACTTTGACGCTCATCCTGTTTCTAACTTCTGAGCATAGGCTCCCTACCACATTTATTAGGCCAGACCTGATTAAAGTAGGTACAAGGGTAAGACTTTTTCTTAATATGTTAGGAGAGAGAAACAGAAGATTTGTCATTTGTGCATGGAATCTCTAGATGATTAAAAATATTTTAAGAAACTAGCAGCTTTAAGTTGTATTTATGGTTTAATTCTGAGAAGGACAACTGGAAGGATGTAATTGTAAATATAGACAGCCAGTCAAAGATGAAGAAGATAGCCAATAAAATAAAGAGAAATTAGTAAAATAAGCTCTACACTTCATAGTTTCAGGACCTCCATCCTTAATTTCTGGTATTTAACTACCTGTGCTTAAGAGCCAAAGACTGATAAGCGAATGACTCAGACCAACACTTTATATGCTTAAAGTTACCATTACAACCTTACAACCGTCTCCTTCAGACTTATCCTCTTCCCATGTTTAGTAAAGGAAATCAAACTATAGAGAAACTACAGTGCTTTACAGTCAGCTCACAGTACAAATCAAAAGTTGAGTGAGTAGGAATTTAAGTTTAAGTAGAATATTTACCACCAGACCTAGAAATTATGCTGTGGGTAGGGATGGCCATACTGTAGAGGTAAAGAAAAATCAAAGTGATTTGTATTAGTGTTTGTTAAGCACAAAAAATTTAAAAAGAAGGTAAATAAATCACATATTCAACTGAATCAAAAAAATACAATGAATGGAATGTAAGGAAAGTAGAAGAAAGAAGATAATACAGATAAAAGCAGAAATTAATGAATTAAAAGAGCAGTAAATATTGGTTAATCTGGAATGGACTTTGAAAAGCCCAATAAGGCTAGTTTCTTGAGGATAGTTTCTTGAAAAGATCTCTGTTACTGAGAAGAAAGGACAGAAAAACCTATATACAAATTTTTAAAAATTTCACATCTATAAAAAGAATCAGTAGACCATTTATAAGGAAATATCATTTCATTTCACTGGTAATAAAGTTGAACATTTTGTTAAAATAAGTGGTTTTCTACTAAGTACTATACATACAAACTTTTTGTCCAAAAACTCTGGCAGGAATTTGAAAATTTGTCAAAATACAGCTGCTTCTAATGTCCACCTTATGTCCAACCAAAGGCACATCACTTAATTGCATGTAAGAGTTTCACACATCAAGGAATAGTTACTTCTTATACTAATTTCAAGGTTGAAAAAAAATAGAAAATTACAATTATTATCATGAGGTGGCACACGCTAAAAACAAAGTAAATTTCTCTCGGACTTGAGTATAGATGGAAAATCAACTTTTCCATAACTACAGAATGCCAGGGCAGTATCATATCAAGTGACTAACATCCATGCTAAAATGGGGTTTATCCTATAAGTATGAGGATCATTCAATGTGAAGAAACCTACTAATATGCTACCTCATCAATATATCAAAGAAGAAACACCATATATTCATCTAAAAATCTGCCAAAAGGCATCTGGTAGAGTTCAACATAGATTTGGAATAAAATATATTTTATTCCAATAAAATATATGCAAATTGAATGACATTTCTTTAGCATGATAAATACTATATTCTGGTAAAATAAGCCACCAATATTATGCCTAACTGTAATTCACTAAAGATATTCTCATTAAAGCTAGGAAAGGGACAGAGCGAGACTCCGTCTAAAAAAAAAAAAAAAAAAAAAAGCTAGGGAAAGGAATTCCAACTATTCCCATCATTGTGTGTAATGTTGTTTTCAAATGCTAACAAATACAACACAATAAAAAATTATATCTGTAAACATATAATACAGATAATATATGTAATTAAATATATATAATGAAAAACATAATTATCATTTGCAGATAATATATCTGGCTGGAAAACTGAAAATAATTAACTAAAAAAAATGAATTACAGGAATTGATAAAAGAAGCTCTAAAATTACTAGTTACACAGTTAACATAATGAAATAAACACTTTTGCCTATAGATAACCACATCAGTTAGACTCTAACGTTAAAAAATATCCCATTTACTATAAGACTAATATTATAAAATGTCTAGAAATTCTTGTATCAATAAGCACTTACAAAATTACAAAGTATTTTTCTGACACTTAAAAGAACTTGAATAAATAGTGAAACATGGAATGCTTTAATCCAAAAATTAATTGTTAAATGTCAATTATTCACAAGTTAATACATAAAGACAATGCAATTCTAATTAAAACCCCAACATAAATTATCTGGAGATTGGCTATTTGACAAAATATTCTAAATTTCACCAAAGACACTTATTGTTAGAATAGATAGAATTTTTTTAAGTGAAAAATTTGAGGACTATAAAAGTTCAATTTCTTTAGTTCTAAAAACTGAAAATGACAATTATATAATATATATATGTATAAGCATGTGAGCATATATATGCTATTCATTGGCTTATACATTGGTGTGTTTATGTCTGTGTATGTATACATTTATTATATGTATTTATTGGTAGGCATAAACCTTGGTATGATTTTTATGGGAGGCATCTCGTGTACCCATTGGTGCAGCATTTCCTTCTCCAGGAATTTGTCCTAAGAAAATAATCATGAACATTTATAACGCAATAGCTAAAAATATATTCATCCTAGTGTAGTTTATAGCAAGTCAAAATTAGAAAGAAAAAATCTAAGTCTTCAAAGGTTGAGTATTTTACAAAATCCAGATACATTCATAAAGTAAATATTATGCAAACATTAAAACCAATATATAATAATATTTAATGAAAAGGATATTCTCATAAGGAGTACGAAAAGTAGCTTATGAGTGAAGAGGCTAAGGAAAGACTGATTTTTAGGAGTATGCATTTTCCAGATGACTTACAAGCGCCCTAATCCTATGCAAACCACATGATTTTAAGGAATGTTACTACATCTAACAAGGGCTTTAAATGACCTCCTTTACAGTCCATGGTAGCTTCCTCACAGGAAGTTCTGATCTTACTCTCAGCCAAGTCCTTGTAGCTCACTGTGCTGTGGCTGCATTTATTTGCCTTCTAAATGCATCAGGATAATGAGGATTTGAGCTGATAAGCAATAGCCAGGATGTGATGGGGATGAAGATTTGAGAAAGCTAGGAAAAGCAGAATCGAAACAAATTGACCAAATGTATAACACTGGGAAGGGAGAAAGGCTGAAGAGTTTCAAGTTTCTGACAAGCATTACACCACAGGGTCACAGTCCTGAGCTTTACCATCCCCTTCTCCAGCCTCCCTTACCAACTCAAAAGCAGCCCTCACCCTGCCTGCCTTAAACCCTGCACTAACTAAGCCACCAGATACATCCAGCAACTGAGGCAGGAGCTCCTATCTGGTGGGCAGGTGAGCTGAGATGAAGCAGGGATGTCATTACATAGTTGGGGTCCCAATTTGGGATTTTGAATCCATTTGTCCATAAATTTTTTTTTACCCCTATTTATTTTTTGAGAACAACTGGTAAATATTTCTGTCGTATGATGTTGTGTTCTAAGTGAGATTTTTGGCCGTCATTATCGTGCATATGCAAACCCCACAGCCTTGGGGAAAAATCCAGAATTCTACGTATTGACGGGCTTACCTGTGGTGAACTGGGGGTTATTTGATTTGTAGTATTTTTAAACATAAAAGCATAATATTTAAATCTTGGGGCACCATAGTAAGACCAAATTGCTGTTATATCCAGAGAGTAAAATTCACAGCCGATTATACATACATATATAATTTTCATTTTAATTTTTAGAACTAAGGAAATTGAACTTTTGTAGCTCTCAACTTTTCACTTGAGAAAAAGTTCTATCTATTCTAACAACTAGTGTTTTGGGTGAAATTTAGAATATTTTGTCAAAGAGCCTATCTTCAAATAAATCATTTTAGGGTTTTAATTGGAGTTGCATTGTCTTTATATATTAACTTGTGAATAATTGACGTAATAATGTAGAAAGTAATTCATCAAGATGAAATGAAACTTATACCTTTAAAATGTACCTTAATGTTGACCCAATCATATTATTCTAAGTAAAGGGAAATCTAACATTCCTTAAAAGGTTAATAAACAAAAGTGTTTTCTTCAAAAAATGAGCAAACAAACAAAAACTTAGAAGTCCAATAATTGAGGATTACTTAAGTAAACCATGTAGTAGTCTATATTGAAGTATTATGCAGCTGTCACAAATATTTGAGTGTCTATATTATCAGGGGATTTATGCTACAGCACTCCACATAACATGTAAAAGTATACATATTTTATAATATCAACTTTAGAAAAATATTTCTGGGAAACATAATCGCAAGAATTTTAACAAAATATTTTTATTTTGTGTGTGTGGGGGTGTCAAATCTCAACTCCCCCACTGATAACTTGATAATCTGTATATAAAGCTGAATTTACCATCTGGCAAAGAGTTAGTGCTCAATAAAACCTGCTGAGTGCTGTCATGCCAGGCACTGGACACACACCTTTTAGTCCTCTTTGGCATCCTACAATATAAGCACTCTTAGTACCTCCATTTTGCAAAGGACGTCGTGAGTTCTGAAAGGGCTAAGTAATTTTCCTGGAAACTCATCAATATTGAGGGACAGAGCTGAGGCTAAACCTGGGTCAGTTCATATCTAACTCCCGGTGCCTCTTACCCCATATGGTGCTCCAAAATAAGGGTACGTTTTCTTTTATAGGTGGCTTTTATTTTTATTGTTGAAAATTTTGTGTGCTTTCCAAATTTTCTAAAACAGGTACCTATTGCTCTATTGCTTCTAAAATCAGAAGAAAATCTTTGTTTTTGTGTTTGTTTAAGAAAGACCATTAAGGAAGTAACATAAAAGGCAGGTTGAGGGTGGAGAAGAAAAATTATGTTGTTAAGTGTAAGCTCTCAGCTTCCCTCACAATTTAGCTTTGGAGAGCAATGCATTTCTAAATGTTTCAGAGATGCATACAGATTTAAAATTTTCCTATCCAATTTCTGTAAGAGTGATAATTTAAATTAGTATGTGATTGTGATACATTTTGTCTTGAAAATATGGCCATTAGGCAATGGTCTGGTTAAAGTTATATCTTTAAAATGTCCCATCCATTTGCTTTCATTAAGGCTGCATAAAGGTTTGCATGTTCTGTTTTATTTGCTTTATTTGGATGCCTAGTGCGTCTTTTGTGGTCTTGGACTTGGCCCCAACTGAGGAGGAAGTGCAGCTGGATGGGGACGGAAAGTCAGAGCCCTGGATGCTCCTCCCAGCCGCCCACTTAACCTCTCGATGCCTCATTATTTCCCCCTAGAAAATACTTTCACTATTTGTCCTTGAATTAAGCAATGAAGAAGACAACTTTCTACACTTAGAGTAAATGCAAACAATTACTTTTCTGGGTCCTCACTGATTTTTCCATTTATCTGCTTCACCTCTCCTCTCTTTCCTTTCTGTTTTCTTCTCTCTCTTTCTCTCTTTCCTTTTCTTTCCCTTTAATTCTGGCCCCAAAGTATGGGCTTGGCCAGAGGAAATACTCAGAATGAAGGATTGCATCTTCCGACCAGAAGCAGGTGCTGAGGATGGATATGACATCAAAACAGAAGGTCTGTTTTCTTTCTTTCTTTCCACTGTTCATGTTTACAGAGCCCTCCCTTTACAAGGCAAATGTTACCTTTGATGTGTTACCCTATTAGTTCTCATGCTTAAGGGATGCTAATAAATCAAAGACATTTGCGTATTCATGAATGCACTCCTGCAATTTCCAAAGTACCCTCTCAATGGTCTTGAAAAGCTCAAGCTCACTGGTTAGGCTGTTGTAAACATGCCTTGTCCCAACCCCATGCCAGGCCTTGCCCTCCCAGATGCTGGACCCTGTTAAGAGCAGTGGTCCTGCCTATTACGTGACTCTGAGGCTCCTTTTGTAATCCCCATAAACTGGATGGAAGAGCCATAGGGCTACCATCAGCCCTGCAGAGACAGTGGAGCAGAGGAGTCTCATTACGGAAATTAAGGCCTGCAAGAGACCCAGGTTGCAAGTGAGGCACCTTGAGAGTCATCCAAGGATCTCTGGGCTGGAAAAATGGAAATACACTAACATTAATTAGCCTGCTGCACCAGAAGAGAATAATTTAAATGCAAAAGATAATCTCACTGCCCTTTTGATGTGAAAAAGTTGTCCTAGATTGTAACTTTGATTTCCACGTCAGCAGCCTGTGTGCTCATACATTAACAGCAGCCTGGAAGATTGAAAAAGCAGGGGTGGGTATCGATTCTGAACAGTGGACCTGCCGCTTGCTGTGTGATCTTAGGCAATGGACTGCTCCTCCCTAATTCTCTGTTTATAGTCTTATTCACTTTAGAGTGGTGAAAGAACACTTATTTTAATGAGATGCTGTGAGAATTAAGTACGTTGAAACTCTCTATGACGTGAGAAAAGCTGCAGGCGCAGAATATCCTGCAGAAATAAATAGCTGGTTATTTGCTGTGTATGTGCCAGGCAAATGTGCACACATAATTTTTTTTTTTTTTACCAAGTCTTTCTCATCTTGGTATTGCCATTGAGTCAACTCTGCTGGGTGTTATTAAAAGACTCCCCAACACAATAGCAAGGGATGGTCAACAAAGGAAAGCACACACTGCAGCGAAAGCTATTGAGAAATGTACATTCACCCTCCCACACCCTTGACCTCTAGAATCAGATCAGTAACTTCTCCCCTCTTCATTTCCCCTTCCTGTGTCCACAGTGAAGGGAAGTTGGTTGCGACCTTTTGCAGATAATGTGACACAGGGTACACAAGAGCGGAAGGGAGAAAAGCATTTCAACAAAAGCCTGGAACTTCAGTTTAGGTAAATTCAGGAAGGCGTGAGATAGGAAATGGCAGCAACCTTGCCAGGAACTAAAGGAAAAGGGTTCTGGCATCAGCCCCGGAGCAAAATGTTAGGTCATCTATAATAAGGGTTGGGTGAAAAACCTTCAACTCAAAATGAAAGATACAATGACACAAAGAAACTTATCAAGGCAACCTTTGAAAGCAGTTAAGAAACCAATTCTTCTTTTTTAAAGAAAGTCCGCAGACAAAAGAGATTCCCTGATCAGCGTGTGTCAAGTTCCATGTAGAATAAACTTTCTTCACAATCTCAAGAGCCAAGTTTCTGTGCCAATTTTTTTTCCTATTTATGAGGAAAAGGAGAGGAAACAGAAACTTAAAAATGAAACAGTAGATTAAACTCACCTTTCCCCAATTAGGTAGCTTTAATAAGTGGTTTCTATTTTTTATCAAATTTCATTCCATTTCACTCTTCATAATAACTATAAATGACACTGACGAGATACAGTTGGTATCGACAAAAGAATCGGTTCACGTATAAAATGAGAAAAGAAAAATGTCCCATTCCACTTTAAAATTACAAGATGAAAGAGCACATTCCAGGGAGAAGGAATGTATTTTTTCTCAAGAGTTAACATTTAGTTCTCCTGGCACTAGAAATGCTGAACTTCTGAGAAAGATGTTAACAATGAAATCAGAGCTGTATCATGGGGGAAAAGGATAGGCTAATTTCAGAGATTCTGCAATTGTAAAGATTGTTTCTTTGGGCTTCAATTAATTAAATATTTGTCCCCCTAAAATTAATATGTTGAAATCCCAACACCCTTCTACAAATGTGATGGTATTACGAGGTGGGCTCTGTCATGATGGCTCATGAGTGGGATTAGTGCTCTTATATAAGGGACCCCAGAGAGGGCTGTCTCTCTCCACCATGTGAAGATATAAGTCAGCAGTCGGTAACCTAGAAGAGGGCCCTCACCAGAACCTGATCATGCTGGCCCCCTGGTCTTGGACTTTTGGCCTGAGAATTGTGAGAAATAAATGTCTATTGTTTATAAGCCTCCAAGTCTAAGCTGGGAGCTAAAACAGCCTGAGCTAAGATACCTGCTTCTAAAGCCTGACTCACAATTCTGTATTAAGTTCCAGACTCTTTTCCAACCACTCATTTCCAAATGGACCAGTCATTTTTGCACAAATGTTATACAGACCTGAATGCCTTAGAAGAAACCCCTTCTTGATAATAGGTAATGTTCTGGTTTCCACTCCAACACCTTAAATGACAGCATTTTGGTAACTCCAGTTCTTCTTGTCAAGGGGTCAAAAAGTAAGATGCCAGTAGTTCACAGTGGGAAGGTTCTTAGTTTAACATGTTAGAAGAGAGAAGAAGAAAAAGTCCTTTTCCTTAATAATCTTCACAGTTAGATGGTAAAGTAAGTGGAAATGATCTGCACTTGGTTGCAGTGAATAACTAACTGTCTTCCACCAGGGTTGATAGGGAGGATCATTAACCATCAGAGAAATTGCTAACTGCCCTGGAACACAGCACATTCTTGGGTGAAAAGTCACTTGAATGCCTGTTGGAGCCATCACTATGGATTGCCGGCTATTCTGACTTGGAGTTTGAGGCTGACATCTGAAACCACAGGTTGTCTTATTCATTGTTTCTTCATGTTTTTCCAGGGGTTATTTAAGCCTCTCAAATGTGAATTTCACACATGTTGCTTGGGCTCCACCCAATCATCATCTCATGATTTGATACAAAACCCATTTTTTAAATGTTTCCTTTATATAGAACATAAGGTATCACCTACCCATATATCCAGTCATGACCTGCACTGTTTTTAATTTAGGCTTCATGTTAAAACTTCCAGCTAGATGCTGTTATCTTCAGTTTAAGGGTAATACTAATTTTGACCCAGGAGAATTTAAAAAACTTGTTCAACTTTATTTCACCAATAAGTGACATCTGAAATTTGAGCCTATGTGTTTCTGTTTCCCAAGCCTGTATTCTTCTGCCTTTCCACTATAGCCTTGTAACTTACAAACTTCCCTTCAATCATAAATGTCTATTCCCTTAAAGCAATGCCTTTTTATTATATAGAATAACAACGTCTCAATAGTCAAAGATGCCTTCTCATAATTTGGTTCCAAATTTGTTCCAAGAAGAATCCGCATGCCTCTTGTCTGTCCCTTCAGGTCCAGGGGAAGCAATGCATCCACTGTTCAGCACCACCCCTCACCCATCACCATCACTGCCAATACCTACCCTAAGGTTCTCTTTCCTATTGAGCCACTTGATTTATGCTTAACACTATACTAATTACTAAAGTAGTTGATGAGTCCCACCTTGTAAACTGTTAAAGTCTAAAGATTAAACAGAAAAGAGGGCCGGGCACGGTGGATCATTTGAGGTGAGGAGTTTGAGACCATCCTGGCCAACGTCGTGAAGCCCCGTCTCTACTAAAAACATAAAAATTAGCTGGGCATGGTGGTGCGCACCTGTAATCCCAGCGACTTTGGAGACTGAGGCAGGAGAATCGCTTGAACCCAGGAGGCAGAGTTTGCAGTCAGCTGAGATGGCACCACTGCACTCCAGCCTCTGTCTCAAAAAAAAAAAAAAAAAAAAAAGACTTCATATGTGAAGTTTGGTTTTTTTCTTTTTGTCACTGTAAACATCGTTAATAGAAAATTTTAAAAGAAAAACTAAGAGTTCCAAAAGGTTCAAGATATATGTGACTTGATTATTTAGTCATTCAATGAGAGCTTTAGTCTTAGTTGTTGAAAATCTATGTGGATTTCTCTCTATTTGTAGTCAAACCTGTCTATAGGTACATAGGATTTTTTGGGGGAAAGAAATCAAATAGTTATATATTTTAACTTCATTTAGGTGCCCCAATCTTAAGCAGATGAAATATAGAATTCCTGCTTTTCCCCAACCCCTGACTTCACATTAAATTCTTCTCAGCTGATGTGGTTTAAAGCTAAGTATGTTTTCTTTCTTTTATAGCTTAACATTACACAGGAATTTCTCTAGTTCTTCCAACTTCATGCCACACATGGCATTCTGTCCTTATCAAAAATCAGATCATTTCTCTCAAAGAGAAAAAAAACTGGCATCAAGGCAAACCCTGGAGATGAAAGCAAGGGTTAAGTTTACTTCCAATATTAGGGAATGATTCGGAAATAAATGTCGAGGTTAAAAAGTCCAGATGGCAATTCAACTGTATCCTCACTATAAACATGATTTGATTTATGGGAACTACTAATGGTATCTCCGTTTAGATCTGGACAGCTTTGCTTTCTCTCATCTGAGTTTTAATTTCATCAGATTCTTTTACTCCCACTATCAATCCTTCACTACAAAGAGACACTCCTCATCCAGAATTTGGGAGTATCTTAAAATGCAGAAATTGATAAATGTTAACAACCCTAATCCATGCAAATTACTGTCTGTTGTCATTATTTATAACCTGGCAGATGTGCTTATTCAAAAGATCCTCAAAAAGCTTTGACAATTCATGCTTCCAGTTGTGAAACATCTTTTGCTCTTCTTCCTTCTTTCATAAGGGATCCTACTGAATTAGTTTTCACTTTTTTTCTTTGCCTGACATTGCAATTATTAGCTTTCTTGGCTTTGTCAGAAAAATCCATCGGAAATGTTTATCTCCTGGGGCAAATCTCAGGGAAACAGCATGTTTATCACTTCAAGGGGCTGTAATCCAAAGGCAGCCCCAGGCCCACCCGTTTTATAACATAGGGACTGGAGGAGGAAGCAGCCATGTAATTGAACAGCAGTGATACAATAAACTCCCGCCATGAGCCTCACTGCCTCCCTGGCCTGTCTTTGTTCTCTAACCTACACTGATTAAATGTACAAGCTGAAATCATACTAATTTAATCTGTTATTTCCATTTAACTTTGTTCAGTTCACAAAAGTATTGGCCTGCAGAGTTGACACTATTCAGAATTAGGCCACTTTCTTCCATAGCTAGAATCAGTGAGTTTCATGTATTGGCCAACGTTGACTAACATCTAATTTAAATATCATACCAGGAAAGGGGATAGTTTGAATCAGAAGGATGGCTGGAATGACCAGATGCATTTTACTTTATGTTGCAAGGATAAACATAACCAAGGTATGTCTTCAATAACAGACACATAATTTTGTATCACTGTTCATATTCTTGTAAGACCTAGTCCTAATGTCATTTCCATTATGAAACAGTCATTCCAGAACCTGCATGTACTGCTCCCTCCTCTGTGCTCCCAGTGGGATTTTGGATACTCTTTGATTCACTCAATAGTCAACACAACTTATTACACTTTTAGAAACTGTATTACTTACAGCTTGAAATATAATCAGGACCAAGACACCCTCCATGAGCTCAAGGGAGAGAAGTAACAGCCAGTTGCAATAAATCATCCATAAGCTCAAGATATACGGCCATGCAAGAAGGGCATCTTCTTTGTTGGGTTAAGGTCATGACCCAAGCAGAAATAGGGAAAAGGCAAAATAAAAAGATTTTATATCATTAGGAAATCGATAATCAATGCTTTCTCTTGTCAGAAGAACATATTTTTGAGGAAAACTACAGGTAGAACAAATTGGTTTAAATATAGAATTCAATGGTAAGAATAGAATTAAAAAATAGACTGGATAATTAAGCATAGGTCAGTACGTAAAGGATTAAGAATTTGTATTTTCTTACCAGGCCAATGGAAGTTAAGACTTACAGGTGAGTCATTGTGGAGATCTGAATGCAGTGAAAGGTTAGGGGAATGGAGAAAAGTCTAGAGAGTCAGCAATTATCAGGAGACAGAAGAAACGGAGACTGTTGACTACTTGGGTATGGGAGCCAGATACAAAGAAACACAAAGAAGAATACACAATTTCTGTACTGAGAAACTTCAAGGCAATGGTATCTTTGGTTGATAGGGAACTCAGTATAAAGAACCTGTTCCGGGGAGAAAATATGGAGTCTGATTGTTTCAGTGTAGAGTTTAAGTTGCCTATGAAACATTCATTTGGAATGTCTAAGAAGGTGTATATTTCTATGGTGTGTTTACTTTCAGAATAGAAACAATTTTGTGCCAGTTGGAAAAAAAAACTATTATGATTTGATAGAGGACTAAGAAGAAATACCAGAGAAGTAGGAGGAAACCCAGAGGGAGAATTCATTCCCACAGAAACCAAGGAAAAAGAACATTTCAAGAAAGACGTAAAGGCAAGAGTTACATTTCAAGGAAGTAAAGTAAACCGTGAGAATTGATAAAGCATCTATATAATTTTAATGAGTGAATAAGTCATTGGTGGACTTAGTTGGAGCATTTTTAGGGGTGCTTAGGGGCCCAAGACAAATTACAAAGATGTGAAGAGTGAGAAAGGAGAAAAAAGGAAACATGCTAAGTAGTTTTCTCAAAAAAATTAGATAAGGGAGATAAGCATCTATATCATAGATCATGTTAGTTTCTTTGAATCTACAAGGTAGATTAGTCTTTTTTGCCTGCTTCCTCAAACCACAACGCTGGATTGAGCTTTTGTAGTCAGTTGAGTTTTTAATTTATTTGGAGAGTCTCAGTTTCTAACCTAGTGCCTGGAACTCTGTAATGGACTGTTAAGTCATTGAAAGATTGGGGAAGACATGATGAACACGTTTTCTGTTACTATTTTCCAGGGAAATACCAATTATTTTGATGGAAATTATTTGAAGGCATTGGAATACAAATCTGTGTGAAGTGAGTTAAATCTCCGCAAGGCCAAGATACACTGTGTTTAATTACACCTTCATGGAAACTCAATTATATCCTTCTTGCTGATAGAAAACTGAATTCCTTAAAAATTAAATGAATTAAAATTTGTGTATGACAGGACTATTATACCCATAACAGTTCCACTGCAAGTACATGAGACTGTCATGGCAATAACTGAAAAACTAAAGGAGATGTCTATGTAGACAGCTGCTCATTTACTGCCTGAGGCTCAGAATCAATCATAACTCCAGGTGAACTGAATCCCTCAGAGCACCAAGGGAAACCTGAGAAGCATTCCAGGAGACCTCCGTTTGACTGGCTTTTCGGATATATATAACACAGGCTGAAGTGTGCTGTCAAAACTCATCATTTAAGTATTGTAAACTCCATTAAAATATTCCTTTAAAAGAGAAAGAGCTGCAGACTTGATACAGGAAGGATCTCTTCCATGATTCTGGGATTTGGAGCTCAGGTGGTACAACGGTGATGAAGATGGAGATGTGGACGTGGCCAGTGTAAACATGGTGACTTAGCAGGGAGGACTGATGAGTGAGGAGAGAGCAGATGTAATTGAAAGAGGAGAGGACTAGCCTCAGTACCCTGTGAAACATTAGCATTGACTACTGGGCAGGGAAGGAAGAAGCCTCGAAGGGACCTCAGAGGAGTGGTCTCTATCCCACAGGAGTGTATACTTTCTTTCCAGTTCTCTTTGGATCTTTGACAAAGGAAAATAAAATCTATTGTTAAGCATTAACCATCTCTCAAGATATGTTTTCCAAAATTGTGTCTTTCCTTTAAAATATTCCCCAATGCCTTCTATTTATTTTTTTGGGAATTTTCTGTGAATACTTGACCAACATTTATTGAGCACCTACTGTATAGGCCCTATCACAAGTAACAGTCACTTACACTTGCATTATCTCATATAATGTTCACTGTCAATGTAGATGGGAAATTGATGCCCACACTGACAACGGTCCTGGATCACATAGCAGTAGGAAGACAGGGCCAGAATTTGAACCTGTATTTTCTGAATCCTGTGATCTTTCCACGATGGTTGGTTGGTATGGCTATTTGATACATATATTGGTCATAAAATATATGTTCTTATATCCTTCTCAAAAGTTTAAGATTGATGGCTTGTGCAACCAGTCATGTTACTACACAGTGATACTTGAGAGTATTGTAAAAGGCATCAAATATCTAACCCTCCCAACAGATGTCTCTCTGGCTTATGCAGAACCTGTATGACAAGGGACCAGAGATATGTGTTGGGTGATTATCCTCTGAACTCAGTCTCTACAAATTTCAGTGTTTAGAAATACATGAGAAATATATGTCTTAAGCTGGGCTAATGGCACATACATGAAGTCATAGTCTAAATGTGACACATAAAGTTTGCTGTGTTTTGAAAAGTATGTTGACCGTCTTTTTGCATACTCTCTGACACTTGGGAGTTCAACAGCACACCAACCCCTTATATTTTGAAGTCTCCTATCAGAAAAAAAAGAATTTTTAATTGGCATCCCATGTTCATAGAACATGAGTTAACAAAGTAAGATTTCAGAAAGAAAAGAATAGGAGAGACTAAATGTTATCATTTAGAGCAAAGAGAAAAGCTCTTTTTCTTTAGGAATGTGTGGGTGGAGGAGAGGATTGTTAGCTATCTGCTCTGTGATCCTGTGGCAATCTGATGAGTAATTTAGAAGCTTCAAGTGATTGACAAACCTTGTTGTATTCTTATTTTATATATTTATATGAATAATGGCATACATGAAGATATTATATATTAACCTTATCTTAAAGCTTTAATTATTGTAAATACAAAACACATACAAAAAAGTATCAATGACACACACAAAGTTCAATGAGTTATTATCAACACATGCATGTGTAATCCGCACTGTGTCAAAAGTTAGAATGCTCCCAGAAACCCTGTCTCCAGCAAATCTGTTCCCAATCACAGCACCATTCCTTCTTCCAAAGATCACTACGCTTCTGACTTTTGAGAAAATTATTTATTTGCTCTCTTAATACATTGACCACCTACATACGCATCCTTAAACATGGCAGTTGAGTCTTGCCTTCTTTTGAACTTTATGTAAACTTTATATTTTATTGTGTCTGGCTTCATTTATCTCCATTGTGCTTGAGAGATTCATTAAGTTACTGTGGTTAACTGTAGTTCATTAATCTTTTTGTATATTCCATTATTATAGGGTTGTAATTATTTACCCATCCTGTTATTTTTAAACTTTTGGGTTGCTTTTAGTTTAAGTTTATTAAAAATGATGCCTCTATGAACTTTCTTGTATCTGTATCCTGTTCTCACACTGCTGCTACCCAAGATACTGCCCAAGACTGGGAATTTATAAACAAAGGAGGTTTAATTGACTCCCAGTTCTACATTGCTGGGGAGGCCTCAGGAAACTTAACAATCATGATGGGAGGGGAAGCAGGCATGTCTTACATGTGTGAGAAAGAGCAGTAAAAACTGCCTTATAGAAGCATTAGATGTCATGACAACTCACTCACTATCACAAGAACAGCATGAGAAAAACTGCCCCCATGATCCAATCACCTCTCTCGGTCCCTTCCTCAACCCATGGGGATTATGGGGATTATAATTCAAGATGAGATTTGGGTGGGGACACAGCTAAACCATATCACTGTCTCATGGTGGATATTTGAACACATTTTTCTGGGTATATACCTAGGAATCAAATTGAGAAATCATACAAGATGCGTATCCTCAATGTTAGAAAAAACTGTTAAACAGTTTCCCAAAGTGGATGTAACCAATTTACATACCTGGATGTGTTTGCATTGCTTCACACAGCCAGTGTTTCTGTTTTTTGTACTTCTTTTAATTTAGATATTCTGGTAGATATTCAGTAGTATCACTTCGTTTCTATTATACGTGATTCTAATTTTGTTTCTATTACACATGATAATATCGAGTGCTCTTTTGTATGTTTTTGATCATATGGACATAGTCTTTTATGAAATCCCATTAAAAGGCTGGTGTCGATTTTTCTAATTGGTTGCCTTTTCCTTATTATTAATTTATAGAAGAGTTTTCCTTGAGGCAAGAATTTTACGTTATTGATTCAATTTTTTTCTAAAAGTAGTGGTATTAGTCAATGTTCCCATTCATTTTTGTATTTATTTTGCTAAATAAATTTTTTAGAAATTTGCCTTTTTATCTAAATTTTGAAATTAACACAAATTTTGTCAAAAATATCTTCCTTTATCCTCTTTTATCCTTGAATCGTTTTATCATAGGATTAGTAGTCATGGCTCTGATATAAGTTACTTGCTCCTTCTCAGATATTTCTTGAGCAAGTTCATTACAATACAGCAATTTTGTTATTTTTTTTCCCAGTGAACAACTTTTGGCTATGTTGATTCTTTCTGTGATGTATTTATTTTTAATTAATTTTTGCTCTTATATTCATTATTTCATTTTTTCTACTTCTTTTGGGGTTGGTTTGTTCTCTTTCTAACCTGAGATGAATTTTTAGTTTATTACTTTTCAGCCTTTCTTATTTACCAAGCTGTGCATTTAAGGCTATAAATGTTCCTTTAAGCATGGCTTTAGATGTCTTTCATTGTTTTTAGATATCATACTTTTTTATTATCACCCAGCTTCAGATATCTTTTTAGTTCTCATTTTGACTTTTTCTTTGACCTGTGGGTTATGTTCCATGTCCTGGTATATATAGTAGGCATGCATATTTTAAATTCTGTGTTCGATAGTTCCAATCCCTCAAGCTCTTGAAAGCTTTGTGTAATGCTTTAGGTTTTTGCTGGCTTTTCTTCATGTTACTTTATTTTTTTATAAGCTGGTGAAATTTTGTTGTGTGCTTTAAGCTATGTTTTTAAAATTATTTGTAGAAACAGTGTAAGGGCTAGGATAATGTCCCCTCCTTTAGAGATGATTAACAGTTGTTTCTACCAGGTACTGGAGGCAATATCAAAACACAATTTTCTTCATCCAATTTGTTGGATGGGAAGATTCAAAGCTGAGCTGCAATTTCTATGAGGGCCTGTCAACATCCACTTTACTCTTCCTCCTAAGCTGTGAATTCTTCTGTGGACCAGCTTAGACAAGAATGTTCATCTGGGCCCCCTTCACCAAGTTCCAGACTCTGTTTTCTGATTCTCTCATCTCCTTGGATGGTCATAATCATTGATGATCTCTCCTCCTCTCAGCCACCCCATTCTGAATGGCAACTTCCCCCAGGAGAAAAGTGATTCCAAATCTCAGGCTCCTCTTCATTGGATCTCTTTCCTCTCCCTTATCCTGGCCTAGCCACTTTTCAGTGTCCTGATAGCAATTTTGCATCTTCAAAGAGAAGATATAACTGACTTTTCTGGTTATCCTCACCAGTCGAAATTGCCTAGTACATTATTACTAAAAGCAGAAGTCCAACCAGGGATATTTTTGTTCTATAATATAAATAAAAGGCAGTAAGAGTCTCCTTGTTTTTGATATATAAATTTAAGTAGGCATCATGAGTCATCAGGCCTAACTTACTCACTGCTTCTTAGCTTTTGTCCTGATGCAACTGGGTCCTTACTCAATTATATCATTATAGCATATTGCTCTGAGCGACTTTTCCTGTTATAAGCATATGGTGTTTTTAGTTCTACTGTTAATTCTTTTCCACTGGACTTGTTTAAAACATGCTCATTTTCAATTTAGAGTCTGGGCAATTCATGTATTACATTCTAAAATGCCTGGCCAGCTTCCTCAGGAGATAAAATTATGAACTGGTCACTTAGACTTGCATATATTTTCTAGAATTTATTTGCAGAGTTATCAAGTACCAGTTACAAAGATTTGAGAAAGGATCTGCAACCTGTCTTACTAAATTAGGAATCATGGGCCTCTTATTTCATGTGGAATGCTCTTTATCAAGGCAAAAGAATAAAAGCTTGGGACAGTTTGACTGAGAGATTTGAATCTAAAGTTGTATAAAACTATCCAAAAATTAATTCAAGGTTTTCAGTGAGGACTCACAAGAATATAGAGCCATGTACCTACATACATATCACAGTGGGAGAGATTACCCAGACTTCCATGAAGCTGTCAGTCAAAATGAGGGAAAGAAGTCAGTTTAAGAATGTTAAAAGAAAATCCATTTGTTCACATTTCAAGTAATAGTGAATGTATTACTTTCTGTGTTCTGAATCTCTTCTCTTTTTGTTGGGGGGAAATCTCTTTCTCCCTGCTTTGGAGAAATAGTTTCTCCTTCCTTATACAGATACGTGAACTGAAATGATGCCTCCATCTACCTCCATGATCAGAGGATATGGTCTAGTTGTGGAAACATTTTCCAATCTGAAGATCACATTTCCTTCTCTACAGTCATTGCTGTGGGGGATGGACAGGTGACCTGGTCCTGGTCAATCAACCTAGACATTGCCTGGGATTATGTGATTTAAACTTATTTCAAAAGTCTTTGTTTTGTGTGATGACAGCTCTAGAAAAATGTGAGCCCAAAGTGTCTGGCAGAATAAGACTATCAGAGGTAATGAAGCTCATACAGAGAAAAGCAAAGGTTAATAATAGCCAAACTTCTGATGATATTTGCGCATTCTGCCCCACTGACCAAGAGGCTGCTTTACTCCCTGCCCTGCCAACAGTTGGGACAAATGGTCCATTAAATTACTCTTTTTTTTGATCTAAGCTACTTTGAGTTGGATTCCTTTAATTTGTAACTAAATTTATAGGGTTGCCAAATAAAATAGAGTATGTCCAATGTCTTAGTCTGTTCTGTCCTGCTGAAACAAAATACCAGAGCCTGGGCAATTATAACAAATAGAAATGTACTGGCTCATGGTTCCGGACACTGGAAAGTCAAATATCAAGGTGCCAACATCTAACCGGGCATTATTGCTATGTCTTATTTGGGGGAAGGCAGAAGGGCAAGAGACCAGGAGAGAGAGAAAGCAAGAGAGGGGATGATCACACTCTCATGATAACAAACCCACTCTCCTCATAATCACGGCACTAGTCTACTCACCAGAGAAGGACGCTTGTGACCTAAACACCTCTCAAAAGTCCCACTTCTCAATATCATCACAATGGCTATTAAATTTCAACATAAGTTTCAGAGAAGACAAATATTCAAACCCTAGTACCCAGATAAATTCAAAACCAGATAAACAGAAGGAAAAATGTCTTAGTATAGGTATGTCCCTAATATTGCATGAAACATTATATGTACTGAAAATTAGTTTTTGTTTACCTGAAATTTAAATTTAACTGGTCATCCTGTTTGTTTATTTGCTAAATCTGGCCACCTCAAATTAAAAGAATCTTAACCTATATGTGGGTTATATTCTGTTTGTATTGTAAATTCTGGAATTTCCTGGGTAAAAATCCTTCATTAAAAGTATGTTCATTTTTACTAATTTATTCTTAAAATGACTGAATTATTTTTACTAAGGTTTTATTTAATAACTTAATTTTATTAAATTTCTGCTTTGTGCAAGACAAGTTACTAGGCTGGTTGTAGTAGGAGATAAAATAGATCTGAAATCCTTATAGCTAAAGACCTTAAAATCTACTTTGGGAAATAAAACTAAATTTATTAATATAATTTATGGAAAATATAAAATTGAATAATGCAATATTCAATTTATTTAACCTTGTATAATTTACAAACTATTTTGAGATCACTTCTCATTAAATTCTTAGGACTTTGTGAAATAGGATTCTTGTATTTGTTCTCATTCTTTAAAAGAATAAATTGGAGTTTAAAGACATTAAGTGACTTTCCTAGATCTCTCAGATAACATGTAACATAGCCAAAATTTAATTCCAATTATTTTACTCCAAAGTTTTTCACTCTATTACTCTACTATTAATTATTAAATAAAATTCTGGGATATATGATAGGTGGTATAAATAAATACTAGGTGAAGTCAGAAAGAAAATTGATAAAAGAGGAATAACATGAGAATGGCTTTAAAAGTTGGTTATGATTTAAATAGCAGAACACAAGAAATGAAAGGTATGTAGGAAAGAGAAACACAAAGGGTTTGAGACGTGCGAGAGTGTGCATTCTCAAGAAATCTTTGGAGCTTTCTGGGACAGAAGTCAGGGAAGTTGTTAAATTGTACGCTCAGTCAGCTCTGCCTGCACTCACATGCAGAAGAGACAAACATCATCATCAGCTCAAGTCAGCCACAGGAAATCATATCACAGCCCTAATCTATTGACTCCACTGCTCTCCTAGACCACTATTTCTTTTTTTTTTTTATTTCTGCAACTTGCTTTTATTATTATTTTTTTCTTTTTTTTTAATTATTATTATACTTTAAGTTTTAGGGTACACGTGCACAATGTGCAGGTTAGTTACGTATGTATACATGTGCCATGCTGGTGTGCTGCACCCATTCTAGACCACTATTTCATGATTCTTTCTAACTCTTCAAACTTCCAATCCACTGTTCCCCATTCTCACTCTCAGCTGATGACCTTTATTTCCAGCTCATTCACAAATTAGAAATCATTATAAAGCAATTTGCTAATGACTTCAAAATACAAATCTTTAGCCTACTGTCTGGACTCTGTATTTGTACCTCCAGCTGCCTACTCATCATGTTTATTGGGATATCCAGTGAGTTTACCAAACTTTGCACACACAAAGCCAAATTGCTGATAATTTTCTGCCCCATACCTGCTCTTACCTCTTCTCCCATCTCAGCAAGCTGTAATGCCACCATTCTACATGTTTTTGCCACTATTCTGAACTCTTCTCTCACACTTCACATATAGTTCAGTGTCAATTCCTTTATGTTCAATATTTAAAACATACCTAGAATGTAATTGCTTGCTACCCCCTTGGGACAAGTTATCATTATCATTACCTGGACTTTCCCCATTGTATTCTAACTAAACTGTCTTCTTTGAGCCTTGCTCCCATTCAGTCTAGGAATAACAGCATCTGAATGACCCATGCTGCATATTTGCTTATAACCTGGTAATGGTGGGTTTCCGCCCGCTCCAGGAAAGCCTAAGTCCTTGAAATGGCCTAAAGGCTCTACAAGATGTGGCCTTCTGTCATTTCTCCAACAATATCCTCTACTATTGTCATCCTTTTCTTTCCCTGCACTCCAGCTTCCCAGGTATTCTTGCTATAATAATAATATACTTTTTAAAAGATGTGACGTGCTTTGACCTCAAGGCTGTGCAATGGATATTCTCTCTGCGTAAACTTTTCTTTACCCAAATGCCAGCCATGGCTTACTCTCTCATCTCTTTCTCATCTTTTACTTCCCCTTTTACAAATTGCAACACCACACTGATCACTGGCGTTCTCGATCTGCTTTCCCTGCCCTATTTTCCTCTCCAACATTTATCATAATATCATACAGTATATGTATTTTACTTATCCATTTATGGGCTGTCTCCTCCCACTAGGACATAGCTCCATGGGGAAAGGGACAATGTCGTGTACGTTGCTACATTCCTTGCACTGAACACAGTGCCTTTTACAGAGCAGACTCAATAAATATTTGTTGAGTGAATAAATAACTGTGCCTATACAAGTCTGATCTATGGTAGGCTTTGAATTTAGGCACTGAAGTAGAGGGATACTGAGCCACAAGATTTTTGGCTATGTGAAAATACGTGGAAATTAATACGACAGACATAGCTAGGTTATATCATATATTGGCTAAAGTAAGGTAACAACTCATTATCTGAGAGGGTTTGTGGTGTCGGCAGAGGCCCTGAGGACCTACACGGAGTCCGAGAAGACAAGTTTCTCAAAGTGTTCTCACAGCTACAGGATATGATCACTACATGGAGGACAAAGAGACCAGATGGGAGGCTGTCACAGTATTCCAGGTTTGAAATGATGTGGGTATGAATTAAAAGTGTGATTGACAATGAGGAAGACAGAAAGGCACAGATTTGAGAGACAGTTAAAGAAATAATCCCTAGGATTAAAGGACAAAAATGGATATGGAACATACATTGGAAATTCTGGCTAACAAATGACCTTAAGGTTTCCAGATTAGAATACTGGAAAAAATAATTGCATCCCTGATTTAAAAGAGCTATTTGGCCAAGTTAAATGGTTTCTTTTTGCTACTTTTGGCTTATTTTGTACTTTTTCAGGGAAGAGAGCAATGGTGGGTAAAAGATGGAGGCTGAATACACAGTCACTAAGGACTTGTGATTTTCCCAAACTTGTGAAAATCCTTTTGGGATCAGACTAATGCCCGAATACCCCAGGTCACTGCAGATCTGTATTGATTGTATCAATGTCTATATCTTCTCTATAGCATGATAGGGCCACATATTTCCTATAGTATTTACACTAAAAAGGGCTTTTACATTGCTGTTATCCCATAATGCCACCAGTAAAGATGTGTCTAAGTGGTGTTATGACAAAATGAAGTCAAGGTCACTCGGGAAGATTTTGGCTTTGCTGGGAATTCTCACTCACGAAACTCCCAGTAGTTGTGTGTCGGAACAGGTCACTGTTACGGTTTGTCAGCTATGCTCAGCGGTAGAAGCTTGCACACCATCTGTTCTCAGATGCCTGGTTTTGCCCAGAGCTATTTGTTCTTCCTTTTTTTTCCCCCTCACCAATTTCCACAAATACCAAGCAAGAAAATCTTAACAAATTTTGCTAGTATTGGAGTGTTAAATGAATTAAACTTGGTGAGCCTAGCTCATTGAGGGATTGTGCTAAAATTCATGCACACAGAGGAATAGCAATTCTCCTGCAAGCATATGATCCCTAGGCCGACTTGCTTAAAAGGTTGAATAAGGAGGTGAAAAACCGTTCTCTCTTTCCCTTGTAGCTCCTTTTGCCCACCACTAAAGATGAGGAAATGAAGGGAATAGGCACTTACATATCATTTTAGTTGCCTGCCATTTGTGAGAATGACAATGTGCTGAGCTCTATACCAGGAACTTTACATGTAAGATGATGGTTGAGAAGGTATCCGGGTGCTTCAATCTAATTATTATTTTTAAGATAGAAATCACCTTTAGAAATTAGAGAACATAGATGCCTCTCATTCTTATACTAGTGAATCCACTTTACTGGAGAAGCCCAAAGAGTAGGGATTCCTAAAGAGGGAAGAGTACAAATTAAAATGTCAGAGATGCTGGTATGAGATCCAGCTCAACACACTCAGCTGAGGCCACTTTGATCCAATCAATCTTTACACATCTCGGTGTCCTTAGTTTTGAAATAAAACAGTATAAACCCCTTTTAATGAATAGGGAAATCACAACTGCACAAGTATCTGGCACCCCATAAATATGAAAGACATTAAATCTAATATAAATGTAAAAACTAGAGAACATGAATACTTCTTTGATACACTTGAATTAAAATACTGTTCAATGATACATAAAGTTGTGGGTTAATCATTTTCTGCTGCTTAAAATTTACTAATCAATGGAGAAATGAAAGCCTCCAGACACATAAAACCACTCAGATCTTCCTGTTGAAGCAGCCATGGGAAACCACATAGTTAGCTAAAGCAGATTGAGATGCTCTGTGCTAAGGTCAGAGTACAGACATGCAGAAAATCCAAAATTCAAGCTGGGCGCAGTGGCTCATGCCTGTAATCCCAGCATGGTGGGAGGCCAAGAGTGGGCAGATCATGAGGTCAGGAGATCGAGACCATCCTGGCTAACACGGTGAAATCCCGTCTCTACTAAAAATTCAAAAACTTAGCCAAGCATGGTGGCGTGCACCTGTAGTCCCAGCTACTCTGGAGGCTGAAGCAAGAGAATTGCTCGAACCTCTACCTGGGAGGCAGAGGTTGCAGTGAGCCAAGATCCCGCCACTGCACTCCAGCCTGGGTGACAGAGAGAGACTCCGTCTCAAAAAAAAAAAAAAAAAAAAAAAAAAATCACTTACTTGTTCAGATATGCCATCCTTCATTGGACTGTGACTTGGAATATGGTATTAAATATTCTACATTTTTACTGTCTTGTTCAGTTTAGCTTGGGGAGCTATTACACATATTACATAATCTACTATAGGCTGTTTGGAATGAAATTTAGATACATGTTACCTAAAATGGTTAATGGTAAGTTTACAATACTTACAAGTGGCCTTGTTCATATTCCTTCATTCAGCCAGTATTATCTAGTCCCTCTGTGTCCGGAGTTGGTTCCTTCTGGTGGGTTTGCGGTCTCACTGACTTCAAGAATGAAGCAGCTGACCAGACCCTCACAGTGTTACAGCTCCTAAAGGTGGCACAGAGCCAGAGTGAGCAGCAGCAAGATTTACAGTGAAGAGTGAAAGAACAAAGCTTCCACAGCATGGAAGGGACCCAAGTGGGTTGCTGCTGCTGGCTGGGGTGGCCAGCTTTTATTTCCTTATTTGTCCCCACCCAGGTCCTCATGATTGGTCCATTTTACAGAGTGCTGATTGGTCCATTTTACAAACCTCTACCTGGCCACAAAGCGCTGATTGGTGTGTTTCTACAGAGCACTGATTGGTGCATTTTACAAACCTCTAGCTAGCTACAGAGTGCTGATTGGTGGATTTTACAATCCTCTTGCAAGACAGAAAAGTTCTCCAAGTCCCCACTCCACCCAGGAAGTCCAGCAGGCTTCACCTCTCACTTCTACATATAACATATCGTGCTGGCCAATGGGGAGAAGTACGCTAACATTTAAAATATATTTCTGCCTTGAAAGATTTGTAATTTAGTGGCAAAAATAAGAGGAAAAGAGAGTGGACTTGAGAATAAGCCAGAGAAGGCTACAGTCACTGAAGAAGGACTGCAAAACCTCATTGTCTACTGTGGCAAGGTTAAACTTCAACCACATACACCACGCATATAAATGCATCATGTGTATTCAGTGCATATTCACAGCCCTCCTGAGGGTCCAGTTCTACAGACATAGAGCCAGCCAAATGTTGTTGGAACTTCTGTGTTTGCACGGGACTCTCCACAATGGCCCTCCCTCTCTAAGGCTAAGGCTATACCCAGAGAGCTCCCGGCAAAGCAGTTTAATGCAACAGACTTGAGGGGCAGAGATTTGAGGTTGAGCTGCACTCTGTTCCTTGTTTACCTTGCAAGTCGGGGCAATGTATTTACATTTTCAGAGCCTCAGTCCCTTATCTGTAGAAATGGATAATCATAGTTGTCTCTAGTGAGTCATCTAGAGAGGCCTTAGATGACAAGAAAACAGCTTATTTAATAGGCAAATATAAAGTCCTCATTACTCTGTAAATTGACTGGATATTTAGTGATGATAAAGCATTACTGATATAAAATTTTAGAAGCAATGATATTAAATTTATTTTTCAACAGTGGTCTTTTGAAGATATATATGGACATATACAAAGGTTCAATAATAGTATTAGCTCTACTTTTATATAGTGAAATATATAAATTGAAATACATATAAATATTACAAGTTGAAACATACAAATTGAAAAAAATAGTATATACGTATGCATTTATAAATTCAAATATTTCATAATAAAAGTTTATAGAAATGCAAGATGCTTGAAGAATAGAATGAACGAAATGCCTTTTCCCAAAACCAAAATATTTTTCCCTATCTTTCTCATGGGCTCTCGTCATTTACTCAGGGACACACTGGATATACATAGGCAGCAAAAGGAAAAACTATGGAAATAATTCCCCAGCATCCTTAAACTAAAAAGGGAAACTATTGCATGTTGCCAAAATCTGGGAAGGCCCTCCAGCTTCCCCACCCTGGGTCTCCCTTTATGATGCCTACTACAATGTGGATTTATGTTCACCAGAATATCACCTACTGTATAACAAGTAGAGTATAAAGTACCATATTGGACTACCATATGGCTACCAACCTCAGAGGTTGGTAGCAACTATCAATGTAGAAATTTGAGAGCAGAATGAGCCTCAGGATAGAACCAGTTCTCACTCAAGCATGCTATATAATTGGCTGTAGTGAGAAACTAAAAAATGTCTCAGAAACCAGATGGATTTGAAATGTTCCATTATTCATAAACAGTTTTTCTTTTTTTTTCTTTTTTTGCTACTGTACTTGTTCCCATTCCCAAATATTCTGCTACAGAAGATTGTTGAAGAAGGTGTGAAAAGGAACACAAATCTCTGCTTGCTTTTCTGAAAGGTGTACTTGCAGCCACAGCACCTGAGGAGCCAGAGGCAATGGCTGGGACAATTTGTTTAGGGTCCCCTCTCTGCCTGGGCTTGTTATCAGTGGATATGTGTGTGAAGGGGCTTCTGGAGGGAGGGTGCGAAGAGGGTCGTATGTCAATCTGGCCACAGGTAATCACAGCCTTCCAAGTTTTGCAACTAAGAAAATTCATCCTCTCCAAAACTCAAAGCGATATTTCCTACCTTTTGTTGATTCAAATGGCGGTCATTGATGTTCTGACCGGAAGTGGCTCTCGCCGGATGAAGAATTGCTCAGTCTACTTCCTCCCTTCCATTGTCACACCCCACTCCACTTGGAGAAAGGAGAAGCGAGGGCACTTCAGTTGGAGAGCAACACTTTTTTCGAATAAGTAACATTCCAAGCCACAAAAGAGAAACTCATCAGTGACATGTATAAACAACGGTGGTTTATAAAACACTCTCAGACAAGCAGACTTGCAGTTTGGCAATTTACATAGCGGATGAAATGCGATAAGGAGAGCACTTTTCAAAGAGTATTCATGTATCATAAAAGAATGTGAAAAAAGAAAATCCAGGTCCTCTTCTCTGTAACATGGTGTTGGGGAATGCAAAGTCATGCAGCAATCCTGGTAGCCTTCCATCAGACATTTTACTATCCTTAGAAATAATGCATTTATTCTAGAGATGTTGAGAAAATGTCTATTTAAGGCGTTAGTGTAATTATTGCTTAGGGAGAAGTTTGTTTTGTGTGATTTATATACAGAATGAAATAACTGATAGATTTGAGGTTGGTAATATATAGTTAGTATGAAAGAGGAATCCTTCCATGCTTCCACACCTAAATCTTACTCATCCCAACTTTGGTTCATTAAATCCAAACTGCCAGAGGATAAAACCGGACAAAATTCACAATTGAGAACTTCATTTCATATGTGGTGAAATTTAACTGTCATTATGATTAAATATAATGTGTTTTCTATTGGGGTGCTAATGATTTTATTATAGACACCATATTTTTATATGGTTGGGTCTCACTTATGGAGAAGAATGTGCCCTTAGATAACTTGGATAGAAGATAATCTGTGAGTGACTTAGCTATAACTTAAGAATATACTTTTTTTTTTACAGAAAATATAATCTCTCATATTAGTTCAATATTAAAAATATTTTTAGGTTCTCTGCACATACATGTAGCATGGAGGCTAAAGACGACCTCCTCCACCCTTTCAACTACCCTCTAAAGTTTTTGCCAGGGACTATTGCCACTCATGTATTTTCCAGAAATTTGTTCCTCATAACGTATATTATCTCTGCCATACAGTGTCACCTTTAAAATCTCCCAATCCTTTTTAACCCAGTAGTAATCCTAGAGATTGTCACATTCAGCCTTTTCTTTCTGTTAACTAAGAGACACCAAGTGACTGGCCCAGGTTCAAAAGCTACCTGGAAAACCCGGGGAGGAATTAAGGTAAGCAAACCCATCTCAGATGCTAATGGTACTATCTTTTTACAGTCTGTTTTGTATCATTATCCAATTGCTTTGATTAGGACTTATTTCCCAAATGGTTTCAAAAACCTTTGATGGCAGGGAAAGTGTTTTATTTATTTACTGTTTTTCTTTACAGTGTAATGCTGGAAACACACTAAGAAAGCAATGAGTATAATGAATATGTTGCATAGTAATAAGGAGCACCATGTTTCTAATTGAGGCAAAATTCACATAACATAAAATTAACCATTTTAAAGTTAACAATTCGGTGTCATTTAGTACACTTACAATTATATGTGAACACCCCTTTAATCTAGTCCCAAAATATCTTTAATCAACCCAAAAAAGACACCTTGTACCTACTAAATAATTATTCCCCATCCTCCCCCTCCTTATCCCCTGCAAAACACCAATTTGCTTACTGTCTCTATGGATTTGCCTATTTTGAGTATTTCATATAAATAGAACCATACAATATGTGAACTTCTGGGTCTGGCTTCTTCCACTTAGCATATTGTTTCAAAGTTTAATCCATATCATAGCATGTATCAGTACTTCATTTATTTTTATGGCTAAAAATATCTTATTATATGTATATGTCACAATTAGTTTATTTATTCATTGATAGACACTATGTTGTTTGCATCTTTTAGTTCTTGTAAATTGTGCTGCCAGGAACACGTGTATATGTGTATTTGAGTATCTGTTTTCAGTTCTTTTGGATATATACCTACAAGCAGAATTGCTAGGTCATATGGTAATTCTATGTTTAGCTTCTTGAAAAACTGCCAGACTCGTTCCCATAGTGGCTGAACCATTTTCCATGAAAAATACAATTTTGAGGATAGAAAATTATATAGTGTGATGTTTGTGCACACAAAAAAATGCCCCTTGACAGTTTGGTAACAACTGTTGTGCAACAGTTGTCATTTATGTGCATTCTTCACTTACAGGTGAGGACTCTGACACATCCAGATTTTGTAAGTTGCATAGAATGAATTTCACAGGACGCATCCAATTCATGGACTCTTACAAGTTTGTATCAACACCTACAGCTCTGACCTCTGGGGTAAGTAGTTGTGCTGCTATGCACAGTTGTTGAAGTTGTGCACAACCTATCCTGTCATATGCAACAACCCTGATTAAGTGGTAGATGACTCTTCACATTCCAAACTTGGCTCTTTCTGATGTGAGTAATTATCCATCTACTCTAATGCTTTCAGTCATCTTTTGGAATGCAAGCACCTACTCTACTGCTATCAATCAACAATATCTTTAATGTTGTGCACAAGTCCTTATGCCAGACCATTGGAGGGACTGCAAAAGGTATAAAATGTAGGCCTTATCATCAAGGAAGTTAAAGATTCTATGGAGAAAAGAAACTGACATGCTTGAAAAATGTATTAATAGTATAGAAAGTGATATGGTTTGGCTGTGTCCCCACCCAAATCTCATCTTGAATTCCCACGTTGTGGGAGGGACCCAGTGGGAGGTAATTGAATCATGGGGGCTAGTCTTTCCCATGCTGTTCTCAAGATAGTGAATAAGTCCCACAAGATCTGATGGTTTTTTATAGAGGAATTCTCATGCACAAGCTCTCTCTTTGCCTGCTGCCATCCATGTAAGATGTGACTTGCTCCTCTTTGCCTTCCACCATGATTGTGAGGCCTCCCCCAGCCATGTGGAACTGTAAGTTCATTAAACCTCTTTCTTTTGCAAATTGCTAAGTCTCAGCAGTGTGAGAACAGACTATTACAGAAAGTATTAAAAAATTGTAGGAAAAACATCTGGCTGAACGATTAGGGCAGTCACACAGAAAAGATGAAATTTGAATTAGGCTCTGGAGAAGGGGCAATAGTTCAAAGGCAGAGACAAGAAGAGCTGTTTTTCTTAGTGTATTGTATAGAGTCTACAAAGCAGGTTTTGGTAAAAGTTTGAATAGAAAACAGAATTTATGCACCAGAGTTGTGAGAGGTGTGAGTTTGCAATGATAGTCTGAACCAGCTGGTGGAAGACTCTAGTGTCAGTCTGGTATTCACTCTAAAAATATAGGGTCTTTGAAAGGTCAAAGATGATGAAAAGCAATCTCTTAGCACAATTATTCCTGCAAGATGGATTGGCGAGGTAAGAGAGTTATGAGGCTTTCATTGTTCTCCAGACATACAGTGACACAAAAGGATCTGAATTAAGTTAAAGACAGAAGAAACCGAAGATAAATAACAGGATCTCAATGATAATGTCAAGAGGATTTGGGGACTGATACAGTTTGGGCTTTAGAGGAAAGAAAACAAGGAGTTAATGGTGACTGTGAGGTTTCAGAGCTGGAGGACTGAACAAATGGGGGCATTCTTTATGAAGCTGGTTCATCTGCAACAAGGGAAGAGGGCAAGAGTGTTGAGTTCATATAGACAGTGAAACACGTGTGACATCATCACTGTAGCAAACTGTGTCTAGATAAACCTCCAACCTTTCTAGAGAAAAAGTTTCAGAAGATGTCTAAATAAGGCAATATTTGAAGATAGTTGGAAACAAATGAGGTCTTTGAGGATTTGTGCTTGAGTCTACCTCTTTAGGGACATCTCCCTTATAAAGCCCAGGCAACTTTTGTATTTTATTTTATTTTATTTATTTTATTTTTTATTATTATACTTTAAGTTCTAGGGTACATGTGCACAATGTGCAGGTTTGTTACATATGTATACATGTGCCATGTTGGTGTGCCACACCCATTAACTCATCATTTACATTAGGTATATCTCCTAGTGTTATCCCTCCCCCCTCCCCCCGCCCCACAACAGGCCCCAGTGTGTGATGTCCCCCTTCCTGTGTCCAAGTGTTCTCATTGATCAATTCCCACCTATAAGTGAGAACATGCAATGTTTGGTTTTTTGTCCTCGTGATAGTTTGCTGAGAATGATGGTTTCCAGCTTCATCCATGTCCCTACAAAGGACATGAACTCATCCTTTTTTATGGCTGCATAGTATTCCATGGTGTATATGTGCCACATTTTCTTAATCCAGTCTATCATTGTTGGACATTTGGGTTGGTTCCAGGTCTTTGCTATTGTGAATAGTGCTGCAATAAACATACATGTGCATGTGTCTTTATAGCAGCATGATTTATAATCCTTTGGGTATATACCCAGTAATGGGATGGCTGGGTCAAATGGTATTTCTAGTTCTAGATCCTTGAGGAATTGCCACACTGTCTTCCACAATGGTTGAACCAGTTTACAGTCCCTCCAACAGTGTAAAAGTGTTCCTGTTTCTCCACATCATCTCCCGCACCTGTTGTTTCTTGAGTTTTTAATGATCGCCATTCTAACTGGTGTGAGATGGTATCTCACTGTGGTTTTGATTTGCATTTCTCTGATGGCCAGTGATGATCAGCATTTTTTCATGTGTCTTTTGGCTGCATGAGAAGTGTCTGTTCTTTTGAGAAGTGTCTGTCTTCTTTTGAGAAGTGTCTGTTCATATCCTTCGCCCACTTTTTGTGGGGTTGTTTGTTTTTTTCTTGTAAATTTGTCTGAGTTCTTTGTAGATTCTGGATATTAGCCCTTTGTCAGATGAGTAGATTGCAAAAATTTTCTCCCTTTCTATAGGTTGCCTGTTCACTCTGATGGTAGTTTCTTTTGCTGTGCAGAAGCTCTTTAGTTTAATTAGATCCCATTTGTCAATTTTGGCTTTTGTTGCCATTGCTTTTGGTGTTTTAGACATGAAGTCCTTGCCCATGCCTATGTCCTGAATGGTATTGCCTAGGTTTTCTTCTAGGGTTTTTATAGTTTTAGGTCTAAAATTTAAGTTTTTAACCCATCTTGAGTTAATTTTTGTATAAGGTGTAAGGAGGGGATCCAGTTTCAGCTTTCTACATATGGCTAGCCAGCTTTCCCAGCACCATTTGTTAAATAGGGAATCCTTTCCCCATTTCTTGTTTTTGTCAGGTTTGTCAAAGATCAGATGATTGTAGATGTGTGTTATTATTTCTGAGGGCTCTGTTCTGTTCCATTGGTCTATATCTCTGTTTTGGTACCAGTACCATGCTGTTTTGGTTACTGTAGCCTTGTAGTATAGTCTGAAGTAAGGATTTTTATTTCAATGAGCTATATACCTCAAAGACACAAAACTCATAATGGGTTTCACAGTCTTTCTCCCAACCCACACCTCAACAGAAACATTCTGACCAAAATCCAGATATTTTCCCTAATGCCTCCAGTATACTCAATCTGAACCTCTGAATCTTCCACCTTTTGATTAATCCCAAAAGCCAGTGCTGATGTTGCTCATTTCATGGTTGAGAGCACCGGAAAGAGATTTCTTGACTATGGCTGAGAGTCAAGTTTAGAGTTTGGAACAAACAAGGTATCAATTCTAACCTAAAGAGGGCTTATCTAAATTTTAATTATGTTTGCCAGGTTGCTATTTGTGGTTTTGTAGGGAAAAAATCAATAGCATATCACTACCTTATTTGGCATAAGGAGAGATAAGCTTCTTTCTCATCTGTCCAAGGAGATGGGTGACATAAAGAGCAAGTGACCATGACCCCTAAGCAAAGGAAATTTAATTATAAATGTTTAGATATTATTCATTCAACTGTAGTATCTTTCAGGAAATATTGTAAATATTGCCTAAAAGAAATTATCATAATTGGCTAATTAGTCTCACTGTTCCCAAGAACGGGTAAAATTGTTTCATGAGAGTGCCAAGTGTTTCCAATCCCAAGCAAGGAAATTCCAAGCCCAAGCACTCTTTTATAATCTAATTTTTTAAAAAGAGAACAACTGGCCGGGCACAGTGGCTCATGCCTGTAACCCAGCAGTTTGGGAGGCCTAGGCAGGCAGATCACCTGAGATCAGGAGTTTAAGACCAGCCTGGCCAATGTGTGAAATCCCATCTCTACTAAAAATGCAAAAATTAGCTGAGTGTAGTGGTGTGCCCCTCTAATCCCAGCTACTCGGGAGGCTGAGGCAGGAGAATTGCTTGAACCCAGGAGGTGGATGTTGCAGTGAGCCAAGATCGCGCCACTGCACTCCAGCCTGGGCAATAGAGCAAGATTCTGTCCCACCCGCCAAAAAAAAGAAAGAAAAAAAGAGAATAACAGCAAGACAAATAGCATTGTTCAATGGCTTCTGTGTATAAAGCCCTGTGCTGACGATTACCTTGTTTAAACCTCACAACAGTTGTATGATTATTAACCCCATTTTATAGATGGGAAAATTAAAGCTTAGAGAAGCTCAGGTTGCAAGGTCAAAGAAAATACAAATAGAATGTTCTTGGCTACAACACATTTTCTTAAACTACGTAGCTATTGGAGAGTGTTTAACTGAAGGAAAGAGAACAGAGGGGAAAATGCCGACGAATATAGACGTGACTATGAGGAGAAACATTTAGGAAGATGGCAGTATCAAAACATGTCCTACATCAAGGATGTACACCAAGGAAAATATAGATTAAGATGTGAATCCAAAGAAAAGAAAGTCACGGATGGAACTTTGAGAAAATACAATTTTAGATTAGTCATGGTAGTAGACATCAGATGCAGGGAGTTAAGTTGCGAGAGGATAACGGAGATGTGGCAGAGTTTAGAAAAACAAGTCATGCTAGAAGCCTTAGAGTGAAAAGGAAAACATGGTAGCTAGCATTGAAGAGCCACATGAGCTGTCCTCAGTACAGGGAATGTGTACATGAAAGAGGCAGGCATAGGGCTTGTCAGCTGATAGGGAGGACCAGAGGTCATGGAAACAAGGGAGAGTTGAAGGAGGAAGTGAGAGCAGGAGCTTCGATCACGAAGAAAGGACTTCAAGGAAGCTAGACACCTTTTCTTCTAGGAGAGAAGGAGAGTAAAAATGGAATGGGTCACTAAGAAAATAAAAACCTACTACCAGCTCTTCCAAAATTACAACTTTGTGTTCATGTATTTGTTTGTCTTAGTGGCAAGAACAGCCCTCTCCAACCACTCATGCCTGAAAAGTTTGGATTGCCTTACACTCCTTTCAAGCTTCCTCCCATCCATTCAACTTCTGGCTGTGAATGCTTTCCTATCCAACACCCACTCCTGGATGGCAGTGTTTTAATAATAATAATACCATTTACTAAACCCCTTTCATGTGCCAGGCACTGTAGTTAAGTCTCAGAGCAGCACTGTTGGAGAGGAGCATTGTCGTACCTTTTTGTGGGAGGACACTGAGGCTTTCACAGGGTAAGTACCTTGTTGGAGTTCACATGATAATAAATGGAGAACCAGAAACTGACCTCAGGTCTGTCCGACTGCAAAACCATCCTCCTACCACCGTACCACACTCTCAAAGGCATGTATGTCTCTTATTTTACAGAATGAAGAAGATACTTAACAATAGTTTTGATGGACTAGAAAATCAACAGAGATAATATCCATATTCGTATTGGTAGCCCCATTGTATTTAGATAGTGTGAGCCAGCAGTGTTCACTTCCACCCAATTCAGGGACTTCCTCTAGCAAGGTATTGCAGTTTGGAAGTGGGAACAGAAGAGACTGTGCAATCTTCACAGGAGAACATTGTCATGACAAAGAGGACAAACAAGTTCAAGGCAAAAAACTAAACCATAACCTTGGGATTCAAGGAAAAAGTCATCAAGCACAGAGGTAAGCGAAGGACTCTCACCCAAAGGCTCTCTCTGCCCAGTCCAGTTGGGATGGAAGATTTCATTCTTCACATTAATCATTGACTGTGTACAGTCATCATGTGGGTCTCAGGTGTTGGCCTCCTATAACTCCTGATATCTGTCAATTTATTTCTTGTTATCTTAGGCTTTCTAACAAATTTTAAGTTTACACTTTCTTTAGTTCAACTAGTACACTAGGATATAACAAGAGTGCCAAATTAAATATATATATATTTTTATATTCGATTTACATATGTTATTTATATATTTATATATATGTTGTTATATATATATAAACCTCCACTACTATAACAAATTTACTCTTTTCAAGTTTTTCACTTTCTCTCCAGGCCTTGTACAAAATCATATGTGAATTTTAAATAGTTCCAGTGAGGAAAGAGATGCCATATTTTAGTGTGGCTGTTTCACTGCTCCTTTTTTATAATTTTCAATTTTAATGGTTGCTAAGATTCTGTCAGGTTGCCCCCATTTTCCCCTAATCAATCTCCTCTGTTGAACATTTAGGTTGTTCTCAAACTTTTATTATTGAAAGTAATACTGCAAGAGAATATTTATAAAGAAACTTCTTTTAATTGTTTCCTTAGTTGAAAATTTTGAAGAAGCAGAGTTACTGGGTCCAGAGATTCTCTTGTAACTCAGTATTATATCCCCATTAGTTAATCTCCCATTGTTCTTTTTCATCCCTCCCATGTGCAAGCTAATTATTTTCCCAAATGTGGATTTTTGAGGACAAAGCAATAGCTTTGACATTTGTATCATGCTTATTTTTGTTAAATAGTGATTTATGTAAAATGTACATGTAACTGTAGAACTGACTAATGGGTGTAGAGTATAGCACTTGTAACACAAAATATTATATATATTTCTCAATAATTGATGCATTAGACACCTTTACTTCCCTGGAAAATCATTTATGCATGTTTGTTTTCTGGCCACTACAACTTGGAATTAGCTTTTTGTTAATCTCTGGGAGAGCAATCAGCAACTACAGTGATGATAAAGGTAAACCCAGTTGACAATGGGAGCACCAAGAAGAGTCACCCTACTCAAGAGATCATAGAGAAAATGATTATTTTTCTTTATGGACAAAATTGCTTCACGAAAGGTCTGTAGATGGGCTATCCATTTAAAGGGCCTAATTTGGGGTTTTAGGATATATTCTATAGGCTTTTCTATGGAAGAGTATTTTGGGTTGTATTTCATCCCAGGTAGTACATTATGAAACATTCTTACACTGATGTTATTTTATAACTTTTTAAAAAAGGGGGAATAAATGAAAGAATATATCTCAGAGTTTTGGGAAGCCATAAGGATACTTAACATGCCCTTTCATCTGGCTTCTGGCTGGTGAGAAATGTTCTTCCTGGATGCCTTTAGACATGGAAGAATAGAAATAACCACTTAAAGGTTGGTGCTTTAGTGACTTCTTTCACTCTAACCTCAATTCTTACAGACTTGGTTGTATTTTTGGAATTATTTTAAGAGAATTACAATGAAATCTAAGATGACTTTCCTTGTGGAAAATATAACATATGAATTTATTGTATCTGTTTTGCTCATGAATTGCCCCTGTAGCCTTACAAATATGATAAAGAAATCTATTCACATTCATGTTTTGGGTATTTAGGATAGTTTTCAACATGTAAACGGAAGTATAAGACTAACAAAATACTAATATCACATTGCAACTGAAATACAAATTTGTGGTTTATTTCCCTCCAAATCTTTGCATATAGATGAAGACTTAACTAAGTCTACTTCTCTCTTGAAAAGTTTGCTCTTGCTTGCTAATAATTCTGTAATTGATTTGTGTGAGGTCTTTTGTTGGTTGACTGGTTGTGTTTTTTCTATTATGTGAAATAGCTCCCGCCATTTCTGTTCTTTGGCAACCCTGAAAAAGCTGAAAGAGGCTGATCATCGCTAATGTATTGAACATCTTTTGAAGCCCCAATGACTGCCACCAACAAAGAACAGACACATGTGCTATCTGGGTGAGCACTTCCTCCTGACTCCTTAACAAAACCCTCCCTGAAAGGTTGATAAGCAAACAGGCTTCACAACAGAAGGGCAGCTCATTCCCCAGAGGGACTGACGGAAGCCATATTCCCAACACAGGAAAAGAAAGCAGGACATGGGTGATTCTGAGAAAGGTGCAGCCTTCCAGGGCAGACAGGAAGCACTGACATATGGCAACTGAATCAAAGGGGATCATGAAGTCTCTGTTCAATCGTTTGAGTCACGAAGTCTCCAATCCTTCAGCAACATGGTACTTTGAGCATGACTTCAGCAAAACCAAGGTTATAGGTGATGGTTATGATGATGAATAAAAGAGCAGTGCAGAGTGAAAATGAAGAATAAATTTGACTTTGATTTTAGTTCAGGGGTGTAGATGGATATTTTGCCCAGGATTTGCAACTTGGATTTTGGGAGATTGCTTTCCATGAGGATTTTGAATCCTTATAGATAATATATTAATTTAGAGTAGAATAGAGATGAATTCAAATGAAGAGTGAGAGAAGTTGTATTTCGAGGAATAAGAAAGCAGGTATAAAAACATTCAGTGAACTTTTAAATCATGCTATAGACAATCATCATAATGATGCTACTTAGGAAAGTCAGAGTCACGAAGCTCTGGATATAGTTTTTCTGTACTCTGTTGCAAAGGGAATTCTTTGGTAGAGAAAATAGATGGAAGCCTGTCAGTCGCAGAGAAGAAAGTGGAATGCAGGAGAGTGGGTTCCTAGAGGGATGTTGCTTTCAATCTACTTCCCTGCTGCAGTTTCTAGCCAGCACATGGTAACCACCTCTCTCTTCTGCCACCTTCTGAAGTTACTCAGATAAATCTCTGTTCCTTTGACCCAAAAGAAGTGCCCCCCACCAGCCACCTCTGTCCCATTACATGGCCCATTATGCTTACCTTATCTCAAAGATACACTCGAGTTATTGGAAATTTCCCATAAAGATTCCCACACTCCTGAAAGCGGAAAGAACACAGCAGGAAAAGACGAACTAGGATGTGTGTTAGTGTATGTAATTATATTGAGGTTAGAAATGGAAAACACACCTGATGCTCTGCGTTATTATTTTAAAAACAGCAATAAGAACAAACTGGAAGCTCAGAATGATGCCCTGGAGAGAATTATTCTTTTTCTGACATTTATTTAGATTCCCCTTTGAGAAATAGCTTTATTTTCAGTGATTTCTTGGGTGAGTAAAATAACATTTCACTCAAGAGTTAAAAGGGGTCAGTTTGGGTCTTGTCAGGGGTGCTTTGGAACTTTCTTGCTGACCTGGAATTAGTGCACGTGCATCTGAGTGCTACTCCAGCCACCCAGCACACCATAAAATATGTTTTCCGCTACAGTGATATTGCTGGCAGTGCATAAAACAAATGGACTGGGTCAGAAATAGTCAGACTCCACCTTTAAATGGATTCTTCTGGATGTATGTTACTTTGGAGAGCACTTTTGAAACATTCTTCTATTAAGGTTTTCATTATGATTTTAACTCCTGTCTACAGAAGCTATTCATTAATTCAATTAGTCCTTATTGCCAACGTAGAGGGTGAGTTCTATATTGTAAGCCCCAATGCACAGATGCAGAAACCGAGGTTCAGAAGCTTTGACATCTTGCCCCAGGTCTCTTAGATGTTAGTAGCTAATCTGGGATGCAAACCAGATGCCTGAATCAAGTCTTTGTTCTCTTCATTCTGCTGCACTGGTTCGTCTGACTTGAAATTGCATCAGTTAGGGTTTGGGTTCAGCTGCATACAAAAAAATCCGAGTGGCTGCCAGTTAGACTAAACAGAGATTTATTTTTCTTCCATATAACAATAAATTCAGACATAAACAGTCTGAAGCTGGTGGAAAGAAAATGCTTTCTGGTTTCCCAGTGTGATTAGGCACATGAAGGCAGTTGCAATTCCAGCCCTCATGACTGTAATCCAGACTGCAGAAAGGAGTTAGAAACAAGAAAATCACGTGGCACTTACATCAGGAAAGCACAGTATTTTTCAGAAATACACAGAAATAACCAGAAATGTGTCTCACATGATCATTGCTGGTCATCTAATCTCCCTAGAAAAGTAATTTTTATCTTATAACATTGCTGCCCCAACAAAATAGAGATTCCCTCAGTAAAAAGGAATGAAGGAATGGATTTTCTGTTAGTACCCAGAGAAGTATCTGTCTCCAAAAATATCTATCTTTCCACTTCAAAAATAATCAAATGTTTTCTTAGGGCATTTTTGTCCCAAAGCCTATTCCCACCCCTTGTTTTATGTTCCTCAATTTAGAGCATGAACACTTGCTGGCTGACCCATGGTCCCTTTGGCTGAATGTCAGCCAGCTGTAAAAGGACTATGTATATGAAGACCACACCAGCTAGAAGCTTAACTCAAGGTTTCATTGTTTTAAAGGACTTAATATTCTTCTAGTTTATGCAGAATCTCACTGGGTAAAGTTGCAGAAAAAAATTCTAGAATAGAAGAGAACAGTTTGGAATATGTAATTCAACTATTTCTAAGTAATAGAGAAAGGCAACAAAAATGTCAATATTACAGGCATCAAATACTTTAGCTAATCAGGTAATGTTATTGAGTTGGAAGCTGACCCTATCACCATAGGTATCTGTTTTCCTAAGTTACTCATCTTAACCGCTGATTCACACTGTTCACCCTCCCACTCGGCAGTGGAAGTTAAATGGCTTGTGATTCACAATCTCAGCCTTAGAGAAGAGATTTGTAATAACAGATGTTTATAATGTGCCTCTAGTTTCCCTTGGCCTTCTCTTCCTCCTCACTAAATCCCTCATTCTAGACCATGGAATTTTACAAGGGACTTGATGTCCTTGGGTCTTGCTGAGACAGAAGATATTCACAAAGGCTTGGACGAAAAGCTCCTCAGCCATCAAATTGGCTAATTCATTCCAGATTATGCTGAATGTAAGCTCTCCAGACGAAGAAACCATCATCTAACACAGGGGTGAGGTGGGGCACGGTGACGGGAGGATCAGATGAAGAGGAGTCAGCAGTAATAACGGAAAAGGAAGGCCCAGGGTGATTGGAGAAAAGCCAGGACAGTGTGAGGACTCTAAGCCCAGCATTAGAACTTCAAGAAGAATGGAGAGGTCAACAATGTCAAATTCTCCAACATCTGAGGAAGAGAGCAAGATGAAAGCATTGGGTTTAGAAATGTGAATGTAATTGATGAGCTTGCTAAGGTAGTTTCAGAGGGACGATAGTGAAAAAACAAAAAGATAAAGCCTGTGCTCGGTAAAAATTTAGAGAAAAGGAAAATTTAAAGTAGGGACTTCGGTGGCTGACTGGTCATTTTTTGAAAGGCCTCTCGGTGAGGGGAAGGAGAAAGAGATAATTGGAGCCAGAGGGACGTGCAAGGTTGGTGGCATTTGTTATTAAGACCACATCAGCTAGAGGCTTAAACCCAAGGTTTCATTGTTGGGTTTCATAGTATGGTAAAATCTTGGGTGTGGTTTTAGTCTATGGGAAAGTAGTCAATTAAGACTAGGAATAGAAATGTGTTTACAAGCAAATGGAACAGGAGCTGAAGGAGATGACACCCTGAATTAAAATTTAATTAATATCACAGAGAATGCTTTTCTATCATGGTTTCATTAAACACAGAGCCTTCACTTCTAAATATTCAAATACACATATATACATACACATACACACACACCTTTATACAAACTTTAAGTGTGTGGAGTGTTAGAAACCTCACTGTGTAAAAACTGAAACTATAACATGGGAAATGAAGAAAGGTGATTATTTAGATGAGAACACATATAATAATAAAAGTAACACATTTTACGGTTTCTTTAAATGTTTATTCATCCCTCTACACAATTAAATAGCATGTGTTTTAGACATTTTTATTATTTTCCATTTTCCAGCTGTACATACCATGAGAGATATAGGTTCTATAACTATTTGGAGCTATACAAATAGAAAGAGGAATAAGAAAATGTTATGTCCTCTCTCCTCTTTAAAAAAAAAATTCTGTTTTGAAAATTTTTCTTTTTTTGAAAAAAATTTTTTGAAAAATGTAAGGTTGATTTAATGAGTACATATGCATTTGGAAGTGATATGTCTATTCTCAATGGTCGTTTTTAAAATTTTCCTTTTCTTCAATGTCCTGATGTTTTACTCCATGTCCAGTCCGGCACTGTTTCTAATTGTTGTATGTTTCAGTCGCATGCCTGTCACATATGAGGAGCAACTCCTTTGTAAAACGGCAAGACATTACCTTTTTTTTTTTTTTTTTTTTTTTGTCTTTGAGACAGAGTCTCACTCTGTTGTCCAAGCTGGAGTATAGTGGCGTGATCTAGGCTCACTGCTACGTCCACCTCCCAGGTTCAAGCAACTCTCCTGCCTCAGCCTCCCGAGTAGCTGGGATTACAGGCGCCTGCCACCACCCCCGGTTAATTTTTATTTATTTATTATTTTTATTTTTATTTTTTTAGTAGATACAGGTCGTGTTGGCCAGGCTGGTCTTGAACTCCTGACCTCAGGTGATCCACCCTCCTTGGCCTCCCAAAGGGCTGCATCGCCTTTTCAAAATACCCTTTCCCCATTCCCTCTTTCAGCCCTCCCATTCTCTTCCCCATATTACTTGATTTCACACTTACATTCTCCATCTCGGCATTTACACTGGATCCTTGATATATGGATCTTTCAGTCAAGTCACTAATGCATTTATTACATATGTCTAATTTGCCATTTCATCTATTAACTCTATTAACTACTTTCATTTTATTTTAAGAACTATATGCTACAATTATAATTCTACTTCATTCCTTTTCCCACGTTTTATCACTTAGTGTTGCTATTTTTAGTGTGGTGATTTATCCTTCATTTATTGTTTTAAACCTTTTTAAGGCTCTTTTATAACTTTAAGTATTCTAATTTTACTTCTTGGAGCTCTAAAGGTTGTTTGTTGTATTTTTTGGTTCTTTACCTTGGAAGAGTTTTTATTTATTCTGTTAGTTTGTTTATTTATTTATTTATTGAGATGGAATCTCGCTCTGTCACCCAGGTTGGAGTGTAGTGGTGCCATCTTGGCTCAGTGTAACCTCCGCCTCCCAGGTTCAAGCAATTCTTCTGCCTCAGCCTCCAGAGTAGCTGGGACTACAGGTGTGTGCCACCACATCTGGCTAACTTTTTGTATTTGTAGTAGAGATGGGGTTTCACCGTGTTGGCCAGGATGGTCTCACTCTCCTGACCTCGTGATCCACCTGCCTCAGCCTCCCAAAGTGCTGGTGTTACAGGTGTGAGCCACTGTGCCCAGCCCTCTGTTAGTTTTTTTTAATTGTGGACTCAACTTCAACCATAATTTGTTTTTCCTCTGTGTGATTCTCAAGAAAAGTTAGCTATAAGTTTTAGTTTTTCAGAAAATGAGGATGGAAACATAAGGATCAGTCATTTGCCTAACAGAAGAGAAAAATATATCTATCTCATAGGTTTTACTCAGAGGCCGGAGGGAGCCTGTCTACTCTGTTCTTCACACTGATAGTAGAGTGATCACGCAAAAATTGATTTTGTTTGTCTAAGTCCATTCAGGCTACCATAACAAAATACATCAGACTGGGTAGCTTACAAACAACAGAAATTTATTTCTCACAGTTCTGACTGATGGGAAGTCCAAAATCAAGGTACCAGCAGATTTGGTGTCCAGTAAGATCCTGCTTCCCGGCTCAGAAAGGATGCACTCTCCCTGTGTCTTCCTCTCTGTGGGCCAACTGAGCTCCCTCAGGCCTCTTTTGCTTGTTTTGTCTGGTTTTGTTTGTTTGTTTGGGGTTTTTTGAGACAGGTTCTCACTGCTATTGTCACCCAGGCTGGAGTACGGTGGCATAATCACATTTCAGGCTTCTTTTATGAAGGCTCTAATTTCATTCATAAGGGCCCCACCCTCATGACCTAATAACCTCCCAAATTTTGGTGGGACACAAACATTCAGACCATAGCAATGTTACAACCCTGTAGTAACCTTTAGGATAAAGTACAAAGTTTCTTCCCCTGTGATCCAAATAGACACTGGATAGCACCTTGCCAAATCATTTGTTTGTACTGGGCATGCAACTAAACCACAATTCCAAGCCCATTTGCATCCTGGTGGGCCCTTGTGAACTAGTTCCCATCAATTGAATTGTGTTTAAGTGATAAGTGCCTCTTGTAAATCAAGGCAATTAAAGCATGCATACCTTCTCTGTGTAGCTCTCCCCACCCCAGCCCCTGTGACTATATGGCTTGGGGTGAAGTTTTCTTTTTTTTTTTGCCCCTAGACAGGGTCTCGCTCTGTTGCCCAGGCTGGAGCGCAGTGGCACTATCTCAGCTTACTGCAGCCTCCGTTTCCAGGATATAAGCAATTCTCGTGCCTCAGCCTCCCGAGTAACTGGGATTACAAGCGTGTGGCACCACACCTGGCTAATTTTTTGTATTTTTAATAGAGAGGGGGTTTTGCCATGTTGGCCAGTGTGGTCTCCAATACCTAGCCTCAAGAGATCACCTGCCTCAGCCTCCCAAAGTGCTGGGATTACAGGCATGAGCCACCATGTCCGGCAGAGCTGAAGTTTTCTATCTACTATCACCACTGCTATATCAGACTATGATATGTGTAAGCTAGTATAAACTTTTTTTTTTTTTTTTTGCTATGCCGCTGATATTTGAGGACTTATTTGTTACTGCAGCATAGTCTAGCCTATTGGCCCTCTCTGATACGCTTCCTGCCTAGTTCCCCAGTCTCATTGTTATCTATTTTCCTCTTGTATATTACATCCTCAGCACTTTCGCATTCTTCAGTTTCTCAAATACATTTGTCATTTTATACTTTGGCACTTTCGCATATATTTTTCCTGCATTGGGGATACTCTTTCTAATACTCTTTGGCTAATTTGATCTTCAATTCTCAGATCATGTACCAATTCCTCAGGCAGGTGTTCTTTGTTCTTGATTCTAAATCGTGTGCTTTCATTGATCTTCTCTTCCACAGAACACTATTCTGTTTCCTAATAACAATTTGTCCAATTGTTAATTATGTGTTTCGTTGTACAATGTCTCTCTTCTCTCATTAGTCTGCATACACCATATAAGGTAAGGAAAAGAACTATTTTGTTCATTACTACTTACATGACCCAAGATAGAGACTTAATGTATGTATTTATTAATATTTGTTAACAACAAAATGCATTTGTTGTTGAATGAATGAACTGCTCACGTCAACCTCTTGCATTTGCTAAGCCCCTAGATAAAGAATGTCTGCTATGCATTATTATGTGAAATGTGAGGTGAAAAGTATTTTGAGCACAGATAAATTAGTTAATGTATGTAAATGTCGTTTGAAAGCTCTCCTGTATAAAGCAAATTATCTTCACCAATTATATAAAAACTAAACTGTACAATCTTGAAGACATGCATAGTAATGTCCTTTCAATAGATGATGAATAATGATAATAGCTTCATGCCATAGAGCCTTCCCTGAACAGAGAAAAACAAATATATATGTATCTAATACATAGTATTACATACATAAAATATATTTCATCACTGATTACATGTTCATCATTTTATCTGTCGTATCAAGAGCAATTCGAAAACACACTTTTTTATCTTCTTTATATCTCCGGAAATTGTCATCACAGTGTTTATCACATAGTAGATGCTCAATAGGTTTTATGAAAAATAAATGAATGGTTAAATGCATTCATTTTCATCTGATTAATGAGTGTCTTTATGGCTATGAGGTGTGGTGACCTCTACACAAATCAAAGATAAACAATAACACAAATTTAATTTTAGAACTTCATTTTCTTTAAGTAATGGCTCATCTACAGGCTTCTGGTAGGATATGATGATTTAATAGGTAAAAATGTCATGAGACTAAGAGGTTTCTGAGACTCTGAATCAAGTCCAGGCAAACATAAATAACAATGAAATGATAATACAGTGCATGACCTGTTTGATATTCTTATTACTGCTCTGTAAAATTCCATGAGTAGATTTATACTGCAGTCATCCCAAGCCAACATTGACATCTTGACAATTGGTTTCAGTCTTTACTGTAATTGTGTCACTCATTAAAACATGCAAGATAATGCTGCTTAATCAGAAAACCGTTGCTTCTTTGAAATACACGCGAGAGCTACTTTTTCCACTGCCAGATCAGTTGCTTCTGCTAATACAGAAAAACAGATATACAATGAGACCATTTTGATATAAACCTGAAGGATTGATTAAAAAAGGTATTCAATGTAGGGCCACTCTGGCTTTTGTTCCCTTGAAAATAGAGGGAAAGTGACATATGTTGAACAAAACAAAAAGAAAAATAAGAAAGTTGTCCTTAGAGTCAAATCCAGCTTTTGAAATAAAAGTTTAATTAGCAAGTGTAGGACTCAAGGTGAAAATCTAAAGCCCCAGATTCTCAGGAGTTTCAAAGAGGGCTTTCTGTGTGTGTGTGTGTGTGTGTGTGTGTGTGTGTGTGTGTGTGTGTGTGTGTTTGTGTTTAATAATGGCTTACAAGTCAAACACAGCAAACGGAAACTTGAAACCTCACACCCAGGTTTACCCACTGTGCCTGAAACTGATGGATGTGTGTCACCGTGAGGAGATAAACTTATTTCTCATTGTCGACCTCATTCCTGTCTACGTTGTGGATGTAAGAAAGGTCCAGAGTTGAGAGAATAGGAAAACAAAGGCCCAAACAGCAATCAAATATTAATATATTGACCAGAGGGAGGGGCTGGGGTACTTGGCTGTCAGGCTGATTAGCTCTTTGTAAACAAAACAGCTTTAAACTCCTGCTTCACATTGTTAACTAATGTGGTGGCTGACCTTGTTCCCATTTCTGGGGCTGGGGGAGGCCCTCGCTGTCTGGAGACAATCTGACCAACAGTCATAACAGGGACCTGGGCTCCCCTTAGGGGGCCCCACTCTCTTCAGGGTGATTGTTTCCTTGTGCCTTAAACTCCTGACCCAGTCCAGCTTTTAATTCATTATTCATCAATTTTCTTAGTCCACTTAAAAAAAAAAAAAGTGGTAGAGTTGCTGCTCAAATAAGAGGGAGTGGAGGGTGGGGAGTAGGGAGAGTGGCATTCTGGAAAAAAGGACAACCCTGTCAAAACATGACAGCCGATCCAATGCCTGCTTTATACTATTCACAGAAAATGCCAAATTCTGCAAATAGTAACCACATGTACATTGGCTTCACAGACTCAATGTTCTGCGGCGAAATGCGACGTTCTTTATTTTAGTGTGTCATCAAAGGCGATGAAAATATCATTCTAGCCTTCTAGGCTTAACCCTGTGGACTCTCGATGACTAGAAGTTTCATGTGAGCAGCGCACACACCCAGTCAGCGTGAGCAGCAGCACTGGCCCACGCAGGTCCACGGCACGGAAAGGAGATTCGATTCACAAATCTGTTACCCGGACATTTTTATTCATCGCCACGAGATCATTACAGCGACAAGCCCACATCTGACGTTTATGATCTTGTTCGCTTTGCCAAAGTGGAGGAGGGGGGCAGACAGCTTGGGGGATCTACAGCAGGAGGGAAATGGCACCACTCAGACTCCTGCAAGCTCGTCAGCCACTGCAGGGATTCTGAAGACCTTTTTTCTCGTCCAGGCTCCGCTGGCTGGTGCCTTCCAGGTTTTCTTTGGATGCATGAGTACGAGCTTGTTAGCTCAAATCTGTTGTGCAATTGTCCTTTTTGTGTGCCTGGCTGGATTCCCTCGCACTAACATTTAAAAAGAGCCCATGCACAGAACTGAACAGGGGATAAAGATTTTGTGCACGACAGACCTGACTCAACCGCAACCAGCTGGCGCTTCTGCTGGGCTCTACTCTTGCCTAGGAATGCTTCTAGCACCTTCCGCATGACCATTGGCTCTAAAGATGCCTCCTGTTTATCTTCTCCTCCTTAACAAATAGTCTCTGTAGCGGCTGCAGTAAATCTCTTTCAGTCTGGAGGCAACAGCCCTTGGGTGTTTGTCCTTTTTCCTCCCTCCGCTTCTCCCCCCTCAGCCTGCGTGTGTCTTTGACAATAATTGTCTTTGACAATTATTTCAAAATGTCCGTACTTTTGGCCTCTTGATGACAAAGAAAAGAGCCCGTAAAGTGCAAGGAAACTTCTCTCTATTTCCATTCAGACCGCAGTACACAGGCAGGGCAGCAGGTCCCGGGGAAAGGGGCATTTGCCTGCTCTGTTTCCCAGTTGAGGGGCAGATAATAAGCGGCAGGGGCTTCTGCCTACAGCCATCATGACACAGGACCCAACTCATCCTTTTTTAATGGCAATAAATAAATGACGGAAGTTTTAGCCACTAGACTAGTGAATTGGTGGTTAAGCCTCAGGCTTTTATCTCCCTGACCCCTGTTTGAACTCAACCTTGGTTCCTAAGTGCAGGGCAGACAAAGTGGGGTGGGAGGAGGGTTTCTTATCGACATGAACACCCCTTCCAGCTCAACATAAAGAAATATGATGCCATGTGTGTGCCTGTGGCTCAGAGCAAAAGAGGGTAGGGAAGGATTTGTTGGGACAAAGTGAGAAGAGACTTAAATACCAGCTACTATTTCTGGATGTCTATCCCATAGCTTAAGAGTTTAATAGAGAACATATTAATGAATTCCACTAGCATTTATAGAGGGAGGGGATTATCAGTTGTGTGCGAGGCCCTGTGCACACTGCTGGAGGTAGAAGTTTAAAAAGACAAACTGAGGAAGTTGGAAATGGGGAAGCCCAAAGCTGACACCAGCCCAGGTGAATATGTATTGAACCATGAATATGTCAATCACTGTGTTAAAACACTTTATGTGCATTATTTCACTTTCTTCTGTTTATCTTCTCCTCCTTAACAAGTTGTTGGAATCCTCACAACAACTTTATGAATCAGGTACTCTTGTTTTCTAATTTTACAGATGAGGCAGTTGTGATTTAGAGAAGTTATGTAATTTATCCAAGGTTACATGCGTGGGAAATGAAGCCAGGATAAAAATCCTCATCTAACTCTGTATTATATCACTTTCATGAAAAAAAAAGTGCTTACTGCATGAGGTTCTCTAGTTTGATAGATGATGACTCCATTTTCCAGTCAAGATTCCATATGCATATTCTGGCAATTCCGAATGTATTCATGAAAACTGTGGGTCTGACTGTTTGAGATTAAGATACTATCTTTATGCAGTCCATTTTCTTATCTGAAAAATGAGCATGATGATAATGATCTTCAGTGTCTCTTGGTCTGATAGTTTTCAAAATGGTTTAGAGAATAAATGCCTGTATGGAAACTAGGTTTGGATGCCTTCTTGGCGATAACTGTTCACCGTGCCTTCCAGCAAGATTCCCAAGTACTTTGCCTAAGCCAGGCTTCCAACATTGTGAGTAACATGTTGAGTTCTAGAATAGTTCTATCCTAATTAGGTACACAGTACTACTCTAAATAGGAATAAGGCAAAGGGTGAATGTTGTTTCATAGTGGTTGCTAAGGTGGATGATCAAGAAACATTCATCATGTGGGATAGTGTACGTATTTGATGCCACAGATATGCTTTCTGGTTTAATAGTTAAGAGCAAGTAGGCATCTTAGGCATTTATATGTTTGTTTTGTTTTATGCCAAGGGAAGGCTTGGATAACTTGGATGTCAGAAGATCTCCTCTCATGTTCCCAGCTACTGTCCTAGAAACCAATCTACCCGTTCCATTAAGACAGACCTCTGGGCCGGCTGCGGTGGCTCACACCTGTAATCCCAGCACTTCGGGAGGCCAAGGCGGGCAGATCACCTGAGGTCGGGAGTTTGAGACCAGCCTGACCAACATGGAGAAACCCCATGTCTACTAAAAATACAAAAATTAGCCGGGCATGGTGGCAGATGCCTGTAATCCCAGCTACTCGGGAGACTGGGGCAAGAGAATCTCTTGAACCCGGGAGGCAGAGGTTGCAGTGAGCTGAGATCACACCACTGCACTCCAGCCTGGGCAACAAGAGTGAAACTCCATCTCAAAAATAAAATAAAATGAAAAAAAAAAACCCTCTGGTTCTTCTGGATCTAGACTGTGGTTGTATGGTTGTCTGAGTAAGACCAATGTAGGTATGATTCGCCTAAACAACCTACCACAAGTTAAAAAAGAGCAGCCTTTAGGCACAAAGACCCAAGTCTTAGGGAGTCTTTGAAAGGAGAAACCAAAAAATACCTGGGTATGTTACTTAGGAATTATAACATGCCCAGGTATTTCATTGCCCAGTGGAAAAGCCTAGCCATCTTGTGTCCCAGCTTCAGTTTACTCCCATTCCCTTTATCCCAACAAGATTACCCCTAACCATGCCTCCCATTTTAGCTTCCCAGGTTGCTGCTTTCTCTCTCTCTTTCCTTAAGGTTCACATCTGACTCTCCTCTAAAGTATGGATTAAGACCCACATTATCCCTTTGCCTGACTGATTCTGTCGACTATGAGACACGATGCTATGACAGGAAGTACTCCGGCTTGAAGTTAACTGCACTACGGGTTGAATCCTGAAATCCTGACTCAGTAGCATTTTGTCTTTGCCTCCTTTGCCGAGTTTTCTAGCTTCATAAAAATGTCAATTCCCCCATCTCCCAAAGGCAGGGAAAAACTGAAATTACATAGATAATATCAGATGACATATCTAGATGGACTTGTAGTTGGTGCTCATTAAATGTGAATTCCTCACTGTTTATAGGCACAACTTGTTTTATTGCACCTCACCTTATTGCGTTTTGCAGATATAGCATGTTTTTTACAAACTGAAGGTTTGTGGCAGCCTTGCATTGAGCAAGTCCATTAGTGCCATTTTTCCAAAACCATGTGCTCATTCTGTGCCTCAGTGTCAGCGTTTTTAACAATAAATTATTTTTTAATCAAGGTGTGTACTTTTCTAGATATAATGCTGTTGCACACTTGATCGACTACAGTATAAAATAAACATAGTTTTCATATGTACTGGGAAACCAAAAAATTGTGTGACTCTTTATTGCAATATTTGCTTTATTGCAATATTTGCTTTGTTGCAGTGATCTGAAAGCAAACCTGCAGTACCCTGAGGTCTGCCTGTCAATGCAGAGCTTACAGATGCACCTTCTTTTGCTCTCCACTTCCTCTATGAAAGAAATGCAGAATGTTTTTCTTCTATGCCACTTACTATGGGAATCAGGCACTTAATAAACACTGCTAATCAACAGGATGGAAGAATTAACTAATAAATCCCTTCACAGAAGCATGCCAAGTTTTACATGATGGCCAATACGTGACCTCCTTGGGAGACAGGGCAAAAAACTGAAGTTTCTCTTATTGGGGAAAGTTTCTTCACTCTTCTTCTTCTTCCTCTAGTAATAATAATATAATTAATTAGCATGGAAACTTCTTTTAAAAAGCTTCCATACACACTGATGAGAAAAATAAGTTTACTAGGAATAAAGCAGGGTCCAGAAGTATGAAAGTATTTATTTGAATGGTATCATTCCCCACCTCAGGGAGGGTATCTGTCATGCAGGATTGGTCTGGATAAGTAAGCTAAGGGTTGAAGTGAGTTCAAAAGAGCTGAACCAGGCTGGAAACACAAACGCAAGCTGTGAACATCACCTGGAGGAGCTCAAAGCACTTCAGTTCTGGTTCTTTCTCTAGACTTTAGAAGAACAAAGGTCACGAAATTTATTATTGGCAAGACTATAAATGTCTAATAAAAATTACTTGATTATGAGCTTTTTTTTTAAATTTCAGGTTTTACACAAATACCTAAGCAGAGAGTCTTAGATTTTTTCTTACTTTGAACATACTCCCCCATTTTCCTGGCAATATATTTCCATGTTTCTTCAAAAAGCCATTCAAGAGTACTTTAAGTAACAGTTTTAAACCTCCCCCTGTTAAGAAAATATATAAAATTGCTTAAGAGAAATGAGATCGCTTTCTGGCTCCTGTAACAATTGGGGATGATGTTTAACAGCAGAAACCCAGTGGGAGTGCTCAGTCTAAATTCTGCACAGCCATGTCAACAACCAAATTCCTAAGAATTTCTTCCTCATTGTCCCAGTGAGGCCGCAGCAGGATCAGCTACTGGCTGGGCTTTTTGGACACCACCCACCCCCGGCAATTTACAGCTAGCAAAGAGCTGTAGATGGAGTGACAGCTGCCCATGCCAACACAGTCACACAGGACAGGGCAGCTTTCCTACACCTGACTGGGCCTCAGCCTCATGGACAGGAGTGACATTACAGAACGTGCAAGGTCTCCAAACAGCCCTTCTCCTCCAGGTCACATTGTCACCTTTTTTGCTTGTGCCAAAGTCCTTCCCAGATGTCTATGCAACGGAAGTAAAATTTATACTCGTGGAGCCTTAAAATGCTGACATTCCATGTTTACAGGGATTGTTTACTCAGAAAATTAATCAGTTACGGTTTTAAATTTTAATTAAATAATGTTTTCCGGTGTTATTGCAAAACAGGCAAAAGCCCATAAAATGTATGTTTGACTGCTGTTGTGTGTTGTCTTTGGATCAAGGCACAGTCTTGAGATCAATCATGCATGATATTTTTGTGAACTTTTAACAGGACAAACTTTCACATAAATTTGGTTCATTAAAATATGTCCATCAAAATAAAAGTCATTCTGAGAAACTCTCTGGAATTTCCTTTTTCTTTCTAATCGGCAACAAATGATTTTGTACTTGTCCTGTAAATAAAAATATGGGAGGGAGGTAAGCAGACACTCAGTTGTGCAATAGACTGCTCTTTGCCAATGAACCAGAAGTAACTTCATAGGAAGTTATCCATTCCACTCACATATTGGTCAAGAGAGAATTATTGGTTCAGTGAACATTGGCATGGTGAAAATATTTTGGTTCCAGATGGTGATGTGTGCGAGGCATATTCTTAAGCTTTCTCGCATATTTTTCCATTTTATTTCTTCTTTACCTTGTTTTATTTATCTGATTATAAAACAAATATGTGATTCTGATACAAACAAGGAGAAAACTACATGAATTAAGAGATTTAATAACCTCCCTCTTAATAAATATGATTAACACATCTCTATTTTTGTCAGTGCATCTACTAACATCATTTATGTATTTATTTGCATAAAACTGTTACAAATGCCAAATAGCTCACCAAATGTGCATAATCTTTGTCCACGGAGGCTCAAAATCTAGTCCTAAAACTACTGATAATAGTTACTATAATATCTCAAGTTAAAAGAATATATACTAGCCAGGAAAATTTGCAAAATCTTAAAACCAAATTGATTTATCACAGAATATTTACCAGTATAAAAAGTATAATATTACATCTGTTTTATGTTATATATTGCTTAATGACTCTATTTTTAATTTAGTTTTCTTATGTTTTCTTTTTTGTTTTCGTTTTGTTGTTGTTGTTTGAGATGGGGGTCTTACTTTGTTGCCTAGACTGTAGTACAGAGGCATGATTATAGCTCACTGCAGCATCAAACTGCTGGGCTCAAGGAATCCTCCTGCCTCAGCCTCTCAAGTAGTTAGAGCTATAGGTGTTTGTCACCATACTTGGCTAATTTTTTTAACTTTTTTTTTTTTTTTTTGTAGAGATAAGGTCTCACTATGTTGCCCAGGCTGGTCTTGACCTACTGGCCTCAAGGAATCTTCCTTCCTCAGACTCCCAAAGCACTGGGATTATAGGCATGAACCACCATGCCTAGCCCTTTTTAAGGATTTCGCAGTGTATCCTAGAGCTCTTCTAAGGGCAGTACACATAGCACAACGTCATTCCTTTTCAATATAACCTATAATACCATTGGATGAGTCCTCTAGTCATGTCTCTACCTTTTGAAAAACAAATCTTTTCACATTGGCTACTGAGTCATTTGGACATGACCCTGGCAGTCTTTTATAATCTCCTTGATATCTGGTATAACAATATGTTCTAACACCATTTTGTATATTTCCTATGCCAGTCATGTAATCAGCCATTTCTCACATTGAAAAATAAATCTTTTCACATTGGCTGCTGAGTCATTTGAACATAACCTTGGCAGTCTTTCATAGTCTCTTTGATATCTGGTATAACCATATGTTCTAACATCATCTTGTATATTTCCTACTCCAGTTGTGTAATCAGCCGTTTCTCCAAGATGAGCTGGTTCCTTCTAGTAGGGAATTGTACTAAGAGACTGCAATCTGGGAGCTAGGAGTGCTCATTGTTACTGGGTTGATCATTGTGTCTGTTTAGTGGAAAAATTAATAAAATGTTTTGTTTATAGGATAAAATACATTAGGAGTTCTTATTAATACTTCCTATTCAAATTCAGGACTATGAGATTATTAGTGAACCTCGTGTACTCTGTTTCACACCAAGACTTGTGATTTTTAAGATCAGTAAGGATGACAGGATTAGAATATCACTTACTTGTTCTCTTTATTCCACATTACCCCCTAGATCTGTCTCAAAACAGTAATATTAACATGACCACCAAAAATATGATTAGTACTAACAGTTAACATCTTTTTGTAATGCGGTCCTTTTTGTCCTTAAGTTGTTCTCTAGAGGTGTGTGCAAATTTTGTATTTTAACAAAAATATATTCTTACTGGATTATTACGTAATCTGGCAATATGTATTAAGCTTCTTCTAAAAAGACCTCCATATCCATTAATCCAGGAATTATACTTCTAAAACTTTAAAGCAACAATAAAAAAATCTGGACAAAACTTTATTTTCAACAAAAATTTCCTATTTATTAGAGGGAAAAAATAGATGTAGCCTTCTGTCCAAAAATACAAAAGTACTTAATTAAATTGTAATGATTCATCCCTTAGAATATTATGCATGTGTTACAAATAAGTGAGAATAAATAACCAATAGAACAAAATGATGTAAGCATTTTTGTAGAAGAGGAAGAAAAGCAGCAGAAGAATGACAAATGTAAAGATATGAAAATCCCCAAATTACCACTGGAGAGCACTAAAGAACAATCTGAGAATGTTAGACGAAGCCAGGGAGGGGCAGGGATAGGGGTGGGGAGGATCAGGGGAGCTGCGGCTACCCATTCAAACATAATGGGCTAAGGTCTGAGCTAGTTGAAGATGTCTAAGCGATAAAATATTTTTCTTTTTAAATTTTAAACTTTTTATTGAGAAGTAATTTCGAATGCACAGAAAAGTTAGAAGAATTAATACAAAGAACACCCATATACCCTTTAGCCACACTGCCCATTCTTTACATTGTATATTATGTTTATCCCATTTGCTCTTTTTCTTTGTCCATGTTTGTGTATGTAGGTATATCTCTATATGTACCCATTCACAAAATATATATTTTATTTTTTTTCTGAACCATTTGAAGGTAAGTTACATACTTTATGGTGAATAACCTCTAAGTTGCTTGGTGTGTTTTTCTTAAGAATGGAGATATTATATCTAACTATAGTATAGTTATCAAATTCAGTAAATTTTACACTGTTTATTTTATTTAATCAATTATCCATATTCAAATTTTTTCAATTGACCTTATTAATATTACTTATAACATGTTTTCCCTTCAGTGCAGGATCCAGATAAAGGTCAGGTATTGCATCGATCTGCCGGAGCTCTTCATATTCCTTTAATCTGTAAATTCCGTTATCTTGTGTATTGTATGCCATTAACATTTTGAAAAATACAGTCTTTGCCCTTTTTGATAGAAAGGGCCTCATTTTGGATTTTTCTGATGTTCCGTTATGATTATATTCAGGTTAGATATTTTAGGACAGCAGTATGTAAGAGATGTGCTTTCTCATGGTATCACATCTGAGGAAACCAATATCCATTTGTTCCCCATTGGTAATATTAGTTTACATTATCTGTTCAACCAGCTATTTGATTTCTCCACTTTAAAATTATTCTATATATAGTCAACTTAAAGTAGTCTGTGGGGAGCCATTTTAAAAATCAGGTAAATATTCTGATCCTTAACAAAATGTTACCTCTGATTTAGCAACAATTGATTGTCCTTGACTGATTTACTTTTTACTATAAGAATTGCTAAATACTGATGTGCCAACCCCAGCTCTCTCTCTCTCTCTATATATATTTTTTAATATATATATATTTTATATATATATTATATATATATATTATATATATATAATATATATATAATATATATATAATGTATATATAAAATATATATATAATATATATATATTATATATATATATATTCTTTTTTTTTGAGATGGGATCTTGATCTGTCACCCAGGATGGAGTGCTATGGCACAATCTTGGCTCACCGTAGCCTCCACCTCCCGGGCTCAAGCCATCCTCCCACCTCAGCCTCCCGAGTAGTTGAGAGCACAGGCACACGCCACCATGCCCAGCTAGGTTTTTTTTTTTTTTTTTTTTTTTTTTTTTTTTTTTTTTTGTATTTTTGGTAGAGAAGGGATTTCACCATGTTGCTGAGACTGGTCTCAAACTCCTGAGCTCAAGCGATCCACCTGCCTTGGCCTCCCAAAGTGCTGGGATTACAGCATGTGAGCCACCATGCCCAGCCTCTTTCTATATATTTACCAATTAACAATTACTATTCTGCTGAACACATATCCCTCTCATCTGTGCTGTTTATTTGACAATTTATTATATGTATGAACTCATAAATCCTGATTTTTCAATGGCACATCATTTGTTCCTATACTTTATTATTTTAGATGCTGCAAGTGTTTTATATTTTACTAGGGGGAAACCACATCAAGTTGGCTTCAGTGTCCTTGTGATGTATCTGCAGTTGTTCTTTCCTTAAATACTTTTATTTACTTTTAAACATAAAAAAAAGTTCTAGGCTCAGCTGGGTGCTGTGGCTCACGCCTGTAATCCTAGCACTCTAGGAGGCCAAGGCGGGTGGATCAAGAGGTCAGGAGTTCAAGACCAGCCTGGCCAAGATGGTGAAACCCCATCTCTACTAAAAAAAAAAAAAAAAAAATCCAAAAATTAGCTGGGCGTGGTGGAAGTCTCCTGTAATACCAGCTACTCAGGAGGCTGAGGCAGGAGAATCACTTGAACCCGGGTGGCAGAGGTTGCAGTGAGCAGAGATCACACCACTGCACTCCAGCCTGGGCAACAGAGTGATACTCCATCTCAATTTAAAAAAAAACAAAGTTCTGGCTGGGCGCGGTGGCTCACGCCTGTAATCCCAGCACTTTGGGAGGCCGAGGCAGGTGGATCACGAGGTCAGGAGATTGAGACCATCCTGGCTAACATGGTGAAACCGCATCTCTACTAAAAAATACAAAAAATTAGCCAGGCGAGGTGGTGGGCCCCTGTAGTCCCAGCTGTGTGGGAGGCTGAGGCAGGAGAATGGCGTGAACCCGGGAGGCGGAGCCTGCAGTGAGCCGAGATCGCGCCACTGCACTCCAGCCCGGGCGACAGAGCGAGACTCCGTCTCAAAAAAGCAAACAAACAAACAAAAAAACAAAGTTCTAGGCTTTTTTTGTACTTACCTTGTGAAGCTTCAGAACCATCCATTCTCCAAGGATCCCTGGGTTTTTTTTAAGTGAGGCATTGGAGGCCAAGGTATCAGAGGTAGGTATGCTAGTTGTTACTGAAATGTCTTTGTTGCGTGTGAGCTATGAACTCTTGGTACTAACAACCTGACACTCCCTACCAAAACAAAGATCCACATTGAGAAGAAACTGTCAGAAATATCTCCCTAATTGGACAAGGATGGTAGATATAAACCATCAAATAAATTGTCAGATTAAAACTGTGGAAAAGAACAGGGGAGGCAAACTTTTCAGAAGAGGCACATAATCTTATTACTTTATAGAAACAATAAAAGTGGTCTTTCTAGAACTATGAAGCTGAGTAAATTATGCATATGCAGACCTAGTATCCAAAAATTAAAGATAAACTAGGTGTCTAAAACTTGAGCAATAGAAAATGGTGGCTTTCACATTCATAGATGTTGCTTATAAATTAAAGAAAATAAAGAAAAGATTGTCCCTAGAGACCACAAAAAAATTCTAGAAAGATATATTCACAAAGCAGATAAACGCTGATGTTTTAAAATGAGCTAAAAGGAGTAAACAAATTAGGAAAATCGTAGATGCTATGATACAACAATAAAAATTAAAATTAGATAAATTCAGAGATGAGGTGATCTGAGAAAAAGATTTAAAAAGAGGTGACAGAAAAAAAAAATTGAAAAGGAAAAACAAATGTCAAAGAATTAGTAATTTTGAAAACACAAGAACAATTAAACATAACAAATAAGAACTTAAAAGAAGTATAAGATGAAGAAGGATGAAAAAGAAAAAAATTAAGTTCAAAAAGATGTAAAGAGAGAAATACAAAGGATTTGAAACAAAAAGAAAGTAGGCTAAGAAAATCTAACATACATATAATAGGAGTCTTGAAATAAAAAAACCCAAAAATGCAAAAAAATTCAAAAAACTGGAATTCAAGAAAATGACCTAAATAAAAGATTGCATATTAATATTTATATACATGTAATATAAATGATATATATCAATATCAATATTTATTTATAAAATATTTTTATATATTACATATGAATATTTATTTATAAAAGGAATTAACAGCTATGACTATTGATGGTATCTTGTATGGGTACACAGTTCCCAGATTCTTTTTACCATAAAGTACCTACTTTTTCATTACTTCAAATCATAAGGTCCCAACATCAGGTAGGAAAAATAAATCATGCACAATTTGAGGTCATAGGGAGGATGCCAGGAATTTAGTGAAAAATTGGGAGGGTGATTAAGAGCTGAGGTTCAGTAGCTGAGAAAAAATTTTCTGAGGAAGGAGTAAAGAGTCATTAGACATGAATAACTAAATATGGGATCTTGGCAAATATCTAGCTTCTTTGAATCTAAAAAAGCATAGTTTTCTTATGAAACTGAGATTCAAATGTTAACACATTTTGTCTATTTAATAGGATTGTTATGATGACCAAACTAGTTAATAAGTGTGAAGGTGTTTTTTTTTTTAATCATTTGTTTGGTTTATTATTTTCCAGCTTTATTAAGATAGTATTGAAAAATTAAAATTGTAAATATTTATGCTGTACAATGTGATGTTTTGTTACATGTGTACAGCATGAAATGATCACCACAATCAAGCTAATTAACATATCCATCACCTCACATAGTTTCCTTTTTTTTTTTTTTTAAGATGGAGTCTTGCTCTGTCACCCAAGGTGGAGTGCAGTGGCGTGATCTCAGCTAACGGCAACCTCCGCCTCCCAGGTTCAAGCGATTCTCCTGCCTCAGCCTCCCAAGTAACTGGGACTACAGGCGACCACCCCCACACCGGCTAATTTTTGTGTTTTAAGTAGAGATGGAGTTTCACCATATTGACGAGGCTGGTCTTGAACTCCTGACCTTGTGATCCGCCCTCCTCGGCCTCCCAAAGTGCTGAGATTACAGGCGTGAGCCACAGCGCCAGGCCAGTTTCCATTTTTGTGTGTGTGGTAATAATGTTTAAGATCTACTCTCTTAGCAAATTTTGTGCATACAAACAATGTGAAGGTGTTTTCACAAATATAAAAAAGCAAAAATTGCATTTTTGTTCTAATTGCTAATTGTTATTCTTTTCATAACTCAAACAAAGATGTCTTTAAAAAGATATATGAAAATTCTACTTCTAAATAAAAAATAGATATGATATCTGGCTCCCTCTTCCAAGACCAATCCAATAAAAATTTTTAGAGGAAGAATAACTAGAGAGAAATAGTGAAATTATATTCTCAGATAGCAGAGTACTGTTTTGAAATGGTGTGTATGAGGAATCTGATTGCTTTTCCATCCCCAGGTAGGAAGCATCCTGGCATAGCTATGACATATTGAAATAGGAATGGTAGTTCTGGAATTCTGATATCGTTCTTCTGTCATTGCCTTGGAACAAAATATGTCTACTGCCACATTTGTGGTAGCTCTGGGGGATGTCCTCAAGAGTTATATATTAGCTCAGCCTTGAACATAGCTGGGAAAAATGAGACAGAGGGAGTAACTAACTCCAAGTAGTAGGTTGTTTATACCATCCATCAAATACCCCTGGGCTAAAGAAACAATTTGAGATTATAATCTACAATTTCATTTACCTTTCCCAAAAAAGGATAAAGTCTTGCCTAAGCAGTTGGTTGTGGGAAGTGATATGATTGAGTGGTTCCTGGAGCCAGTCTTTATTCCATCACTTTTTGCTACTTTTCTTCTCCCCATTCTTCCAGTGACTTTATTGGGGCTGACTCACAATTGGGCCTGACTTTACACATTATGTATTACCTGACAGAGTATTTGATATTTCTAGGGGAAAATAGGCTCAAATGTTAAAATAACAAGACATTTGAGGACCCAGTCTTTTTCAAATGAATATCAACTGAATGATGTATTTCATTAGAGGTAGATAAATAGGGAAAAAATTTAAAAGCAGATTAACACAATAAATGTACAAGAAAATATTAGCAATATGGGGCTAAAATATTCAAATAAGCAGAAACATTAAAAATGAAAAAATAATAGTTTTGATAAATAATTCAATAGACAGAATAAATGAGAAGAATGATATATGAAGTAAAAATGATAAAATATCTAGAAAGAAATTTGTTGATAATAAAACAAAATAAAGCTAGAGAAAAAACAAAACAAAAACTAAGATGTGTTTACCACAAACCAGAATTAAAAAGACTTTATCATATTGCATTAGTCTGTTTTACACTGCCATAAAGACATACCCAAGACTTGGTAATTTATAAAGAAAATAGGTTTAATCGACTTACAGTTCCACATGGCTCCCCAGCCATGTGGAACTGTGAGTCCAATAAACGTCATTCTTTTGTAAATTGCCCAGTCTCCGGTATGTCTTTAATCAGCAGCATGAAAACAAACTAATACAGATTATTAATCTATTTTCAGATGAATAGTTTGCAAATATCTTTTTTCCATTCTGTGAGTTTTCTCAATTTGTTTTCTTTGCTGTGCAGAAGATTTTTAGTTTGATGTAATCCCAATTGTCTATTTTTGCTTTGATTGCCTGTGCTTTTGAAGTCTTACACAAAATATCTCTACCCAGACCAATGTCCTGGAACATTTCTCCAATGTTTTCTTTGAGTAGTTTCAAAATTTCAGGTCTTAGATTTAAGTCTTTAATCTATTTAAATTTTTTTTTGTGTATGGTGAGATACAGGGGTCTAGTTTCATTCCTCTACATATAATTACCCAGTTTTCTCAGCACTATTTATTGAAAAGACTGTTCTTTTCTCATTGTATGCTCTTGGCACCTTTGTTGAAAATGAGTTGGTTGTAAATGTGTGCATTTATATCAGGCTTCTCTATTTTATTCCATTGCTCTATGTGTCCATTGTTATGATAGTACCATGCTGTTTTGGTTGCCAGCACTTTGTAGTAAGTTTTTTTCGCTTGTTTTTTTTTTGTTTGTTTGTTTGTTTTGTTTTTTTTTTTTTTGAGATGGAGTTTCGCTCTGTCACCCAGGCTGGAGTGCAGTGGCACGATCTCGGCTCACTGCCTGGGTTCACGCCATCTCCTGCCTCAGCCTCCCGAGTAGGTGGGATTACAGGCACCCGCCGCCACACCCGGCTAATTCTTTTGTATTTTTTAGTAGAGACGGGGTTTCACCATGTTAGCCAGGATGGTCTCGATCTCCTGACCTCGTGATCCGCCCACCTCGGCCTCCCAAAGTGCTGGGATTACAGGTGCCAGCCACCGCTCCCAGCCTGCAGTAAGTTTTGAATTCAGGTAATGTGATGCCTCCAGTTTTGTTCTTTTTGCTCAGGATTGCTTTGACCCTTTGTGGTCTTTTGTGGTTCCATATAAATATTAGATTCTTTTTTTTCCATTTCTGTGAAGAATGCCATTGGCATTTTGAGAGTGATTGCATTGAATTTGTCAATTGCTCTGAGTAGTATCATCATTTTAACAATAGTAAGTGTTCCAATCCATAATCATGGAATATCTTTCAATTTTTTGTGTGTATACACTTCCATTTCTTTCACCAGAGTTTCATATTTTTTTAATGTAGATCTTTCACTTTCATTGAATTTACTTCTAGGTATTTTGTATTTTCATAGCTATTGTAAATGAAATAGCTTTCTTGATTTCTTTTTCAGATTGTTCACTGTTGGCATATATAAATGCTACTGATTTTTGTATGTTGATTTTGCATTCTTTACTTTAGGAATTCACATCAGTTTTAACAGCTTTTTGGTGAAGTCTTTAGGATTTTCTAAGTATAAGATCACATTGCCTACCAATAAGGCTAATTTGATCTATTCCTTTCCAATTTGGATACCCTTTCATTCTATTGCTTAATCGTTCTGGCCAGGACTTCCAGTATTATGTTGAAAAATAGTGGTGAAAGTAGGCATCCTTGTTGGAAAAATGGGATGGAAATTATGTTTAATTGAATTTAAAGCTCATGCTTCAAAGTACACCATCAGGAAAGTAAAAATATAATCCAGTAAATGTGAGAAAATATTGGTAAGTTATATATCTAATAAGGACTTGTAGCTAGAATATAATAGAACTCCTACAACTCAATTAAAAAAAAAACTCCAAAGACCCCAAAATGGGCAAAGGATCTACATTGACATTTCTCTTTAAAAAGTTACATAAGAATCAGTCGGGCGTGGTGGCTCACGCCTGTAATCCCAGCACTTTGGGAGGCCGAGGCGGGCGGATCACCTGAGGTTGGGAGTTCGAGACCAGACTGACCAACATGGAGAAACCCTGTCTCTACTAAAAACTACAAAATTAGCCGGGCATGGTGGCACATGCCTGTAATACCAGCTATTCAGGAGGCTGAGGCAGGAGAATCGCTTGAACCCGGGAGGAGAGGCTGCAGTGAGCCGAGATGGCACCATTGCACTCCAGCCTGGGCAACAAGAGTGAAACTCCCTCTCAAAAAAAAAAAAATAGTTACACAAGAGTCAATTAGGATATAAACAATGATTAATATCATTAGGGAACAGCAAATCAAAACTACAGTGAAACATCATTTACAAACACAGAATGGATATAATTATAAAAGCAGAAAACAGCAAGTGTTGGTGAGGATGTGGAGAAATCAAAACCTGCACACATAGCTGGTGGGAATATAAAATGGCACAGCCATTTTGGAAAACAGTCTGGGGGTTTCTTACAAAATTGAACTTAGAATTAACACATGTCCCAGCAATTCTAATCTTAGATACATATCCAAGAAAAATTAAAATATATGTGTACACAAAATATTATACAGAAATATAAATAGCATTACTCATAATAGCCAATAATAGCCAATAATATTTGTGTAAACAACCCAAATATTAATCAATGAATGATTGGATTAACAAAGTATCGTATATCTAAACAATAGAATATCATTCAACTATTAAAAGAAATGAAGTATTGACACACAGTGTGATATAAATGAATCTGAAAAAAATGAAGTATGTTAGGTAAAAAAAAGCCAAAAATGAAATACTACAAATGGTATAATTCCATGTGTATAAAATGTCGCCAAATGACAAATCTGTCAAAATAAGTAGTATACAAGTGGTTGTCTAGTGCTTGGGGGTGACAGAGAATAGGCATTGACAGCTATTGAGAATAGGGTTTTGGGGGCTATGAAAATATTCTAAAATTACATTATGATGATAGTTGTACAACTCTGTGAATGTACTAAAAACTATTGAATTATGAGCTTTAAGTGGGTAAGTTGTATGGTTTATGAACTATATCTCAATAAACCTGTTATAAAACAGGTGTACAAATATTACCAACTATCTGCTAGCAACTTAGAAAACTGAGATAAATGGACATATCTCTAGTAAAATGTGACTTATAGTTAATTCATGAAGTAATAATAAAGCTTAATTAGTCCCATGGTTTTTAAAGAAACTAAATAGTGATTTAAAATTTTCTCACAAGAAAACTCCAGACCTTGTCTACTTCAAAGTTGAGATCTACAAAAGCTTTAAAAATAAAAGGATTGTGGTCCAATTTATTCTGAGTTCAGCATATGCTTGTTACCAAACCCAAAAATGTTATAGAAAGACAAAAAAACTGTAGAACCACACTTGTTAATAAATATAGATATGAAAATTCTAAATATAAAAATTTTAAATTAAGTCCAACTCTGGAGAAAAGATAATACAGCAAAACCAAATTGGATGTATCCTATATATTAAGAATTACTCAACATTAGAAAATTCACTAATGTGATTCTTTTAATATGTTACCGTTACTGTAATGTATTTTTTAATATGTTACCATGTTACCACACATTAACACTTAATATATTACCACAGTAAGATATTAAAAGAAAAAATCTGTAAACAAATAAAGCATTTGATAACATTTAACATAATTTCTTTTTTAAAATAATTTCAATGTTTATTTTAGATATGAGGGTACGTGTAAGTTTTGTTACATGGGCATATTGGGTTTGGAGTACAGATCCCATCACCCAGGTAATGAGCGTATTACCCACAGGTAGTTTATCAACCCTTACCCAACTCCTTCCCTCCTTGATATGGTTTGGGTCTGTGTCCCCATCAAATTTCATGTCAAATTGTGGTCCCCAATGTTGGAGGTGGGGCCTGGTGGCAGGTGGTTCTATCCTATGAGTGGATTTCTTGTGAATGGTTTGGCACCATGGTCCTGGAGCTGTTCTCATGATAGTGAGTGAGTTCTCATGAGACTTGGTTGTTTAAAAGTGTGCAGCACCTACCCCTTAGTCTCTCTTGCTCCTGCTCCCATCATGTGAGGCACTTCACTCCCCTTTCAACTTTCACCAAGATTGGATGCTTCCTGAAGCCTCTCCCAAAGCAGAAGATGCTATGCTTCCTGTACAGCCTGTGGAAACATGAGTCAATTAAGCCTCTTTTGTTTATAAATTACTCAGTCTCAGGTATTCCTTGGCAGCAGTGTGAGAACAAACTGATACCAAAAAATAGTACTAGGAGTAGGATATTGATATAAAGATACCTAAAAATGTGGAAGCGGTTTTGGAATTGGGTAACAGGCACAGGCTGAAAGAATATGAAGGTCTCAGAAGAAGGCAGGAAGATGAAGGAAAGTTTGGAACATCTTAGAGACTGGCTAAATGGTTCTGATCAAAATGCTGATAGAAATGTGCACAGTGAAATCCAGGCTGAGAAGGTCTCATATGGAAATGAGGAACTTATTTGGAACTAGAAAAAGAGTCACTTTTGTTATGCCTTAGCAAAGAACTAGGCTGTATTGTGTTCCTGCCCTAGGGATAAGTAGAACTTTAAAATTGAGAATGATGATTTAGGGTATCTGGCAGAATAAATTTATAAGCAGCAACATGTTCAAGACGTGGACTGGCTGCTTCTAATAACCTATGTTCATATGCATGAGCAAATGGCATAAACTTGGAACTTATATTTAAAGGGAAAGCAGAATATAAAAGTTTGTAAAATTTGAAGAGTGGCCATGTGGTGAAAAAGAAAAGTCCATTTTCAGGGTAGGAATTCAAGCAGGCTGCAGAAATTTGCAAAAGTAAAAAGGAACCAATTGCTAATAGCCAAGACAATAGGGAAAAGACCTCCAAGGCATTTCAGAGATTTTCAAGGCAGCCCCTTCCATCACAGGCTTGGAAGCCTAGGAGGACTGAATAGTTTCATGGGCCAGGCCCTTTGTCCCACTGCCCTTCACAGCCTTTGGACACTGGTCCCTGCATCCCAGCCATTCCAGTTTTAGCCATGGCCCAAAGGAGCCCAAGTACAGTTCGGGTCACTGCTTCAAAGGGTGCAAGCCATAAGCCTTGGTGGCTTCCATGTGGTGTTAGGGCTGCAGGTACACAAAGTGCAAAAGTTGAGGCTTGGGAGCCTCTGACTAGATTTCAGAGGAGGTATGAAAAAGCCTAGAATCCCAGGCAGAAGTCTGCTGCAGGGGTGGAGCCCTCATGAAGAACCTCTACTAGGGCAATGTGGAGGGGAAATGTGGGGTTGGAGCCCCGACAGAGTCCCCACTGGGGTACTGCCTAGTGGAGCTGTGAGAAGAGGGTCACTGTCCTCAAGCCCCGAGAATGGTAGATCCACAAACAGCTTGCACCTTATGCCTGGAAAAGCTGCAGGCACTCAATGCCAGCACTTGAAAGCAGCCATGGGGTCTGAAACCTGCAAAGCCACAGGAGCAGAGCTGTCCGAGGCCTAAGAAGCCCACCTCTTGCATCAGTGTGCCCTAGATGTGTGACATGGAGTCAAAAGAGTTTATTTTGAAGTTTAAGATTTAATTACTGCTCTGCTGAATTTCTGACTTGCACAGGGCCTCTAGCCCCTTTCTTTTGGCCAATTTCTCCCTTTTGGAATGAAATTATTTACTCAATGCCTATACCCACATTCTTGAAAGTAACTAACTTGTTTATGATTTTCCAGGCTCATAGGGAGAAGGCACTACCCTTATCTCAGATGAGACTTTGAACTTTGTAATTTTAAGTTAATGCTGAAAATAGTTATGACCTTTTTAACAATAGTGATTCTTCCTATCCATGAGCATAGAATATTTTTCTATTTATTTGTGTTGTCTCTGATTTGTTTTTGCAGTATTTTATGTTTCTCCTTGTAGAGCTCTTTTACCTCCTTTGTTAGCTGTATTCCTATTTCCATTTTTTTGTGGCTATTGTAAATGAGATTAGGTTTTTGATTTGACTCTCAGCTTGAATATTGCTGAGGTATAGAAATACTGATTTTGGAACATTGATTTTGTATCTTAAAACTTTACTGAAGTTGTTTATCAGTCCTAGGAGCCTTTTGGCAGAGTATTCAGGGTTTTCTAGGTATAGAATTGTATCACCATCAAAGAGAGATAATTTTATTTCTTCTTTTCTATTTGGATGTCTTTTGTTTCTTTCTCTTGGCTGATTGCTGTGGCTAGGACTTCAAGTACTACACTGAATAGGGGTGATGAGAGTGGGCATTCTTATCTTATTTAAGTTCTCAACAGGAATGGCTCCAGCTTTTGACCATTCCATAAGATGATGGGTTTGGGTTTGTCATAGATGGCTCTTACCATTTTGAGGTATGTTCCTTCACTGCCTAGTCTGTTGAGAATTTTTCATCATAAAGGGATATTGGATTGTACCAAAAGCTTTTTTCCATGTTCATTGGGATGATCATATGGTTTTTGCTTTTAATTCTGTTTATATGGAAAATCACATTTACTGGTTGCATATGTTGAAACAGCCTTGCAGCCCAGGAATAATACTTGATCATGGTGTATGAACTTTTTGATGCGCTGCTGGATTCAGTTTGCTAGAATTTTGTTAAGAATTGTTCATCAGGGCTGTTTGCCTGAAGTGTGTGTCTGTGTGTGTGTGTGTGTCTATTCCTGATTTTGGTGTCAGGCTGATGCTAGCTTCACAGAATGAGTTAGGAAGGAGTCCCTCCACTTCAATTTTTTGGAATAGTTCCAGTAGGATTGGTACCAGTTCTTTGTATATTTGATGGAATTCAGCTGTGAACCATCTAGTCCAGGGCTTTTTTTGGTTGGCAGGTTTTTTATTACCAAGTAAATTTTTTATGACTTCTTATTGGTATGGTTAGGATGGCTATTATTAAAAAGTCAAATAATAACAAATGTTGGCAAAGGCTACAGAGAAAAGTGAATGCTTATACACTGTTGGTGGGAATGTAAATTAGTTCAGCCATGGTGGAGAGTAGTTTGGAGATTTCTCAAAAAACTAAAAACAGCAAGTATTTAACCCAGCAATCCCAATACTGGGTAATATACAAAAGAAAACATTGTTCTACCAAAAAGACACATATACTCCTACATTAATTGTGATGCTATTCATAATGGCTAAGACATGGAGTCAACCTAGGAGCCCCAAAATGGTGAACTGGATAAAGAACACATGGTGCATATACACCATGGAGCACTATGCAGCCACAAAAAAAGAACAAAATATGTCTTTTGCAGCAACATGGATGCAGTTGGAGGCCATAATCCTAAGAGAATTAATATAGAAACAGAAAACCAAATACTGCATGTTCTCACTTATAAGGTTGCAGTGAGCTGAGATCATGCCATTGCATTCCAGCCTGGGTGACAAGACTGAAAAAAATTTAAAAAAAACAAACATATAACTAAACCACTTTGTCAAGTATTGAGCCTATTTGTAAAACTAAATGTTTTCTTATTGTTTTATAAACTTGATAAATTATTGAACCTGAAAAAGAAATGACAGGACCAAGCATTAAAAGTCCCACATCTTAAAACTATAACATGTTTTTCCTATTAAATAAACTGACAAAGGTACTGAGTTGGTCTTATGAAAGCCAGTCTTCCTTGTGTTTTCTGTATATATTTCCTTATTTATTGCTCCCTGTATTTAAAGCATTTAAACCCTGCTTTTCCTTGCTTCTTCTCTCTTATTAATTCCTCTCCATTGCATTCTTCCTCTAAGCTGTTTGTGCTTCTGCCGATAGACCAACTTTGAAGAGTTAGTTTTCCCATTATGATTATGACTTGCAAGATTATTATTTTCTTGTTTCTTTGCCTTATTTTATTGGTCGTTGGACAATTAGGTAATGTGCAAAAGAAACAGTAATGATATCACTGGGTATACTGGACCATATATTTCCTTTGTCTAACCCAGAGGTTTTCCTAGTTTTTCAGTTACTTTCATTGATGGTAGCCTTAAGGATAGAAATGTCACCTTTAAAAATATCTCAAGGATCTAAACTGAATTCACTTTGAAACTTTATTACTGGACACGCACAAGCATGTCAAGTCCTCAATTAATAGATGAAATATTATCCCCTTTTGCAGCCTTAAATGTCTTCCAAAGCATTTCATGGACATGCAAAATAGTTGGTTGATATTTTGGGGACTATACCTGGAAGTAATTGAGTGCACTGGCTAAGAGTATTTTTTGTGCTAATTAAATATTCCAAATTTCTATGAAGATTATTGTCACCTATTTAATGGCTCATTGAGTTTACAGTCTATGCAAGTTCTCTTTCATCAGTAGTGTTAGGACATCCATTCTGGAAACGACAAATTAGAGAGCAAGCTAAAAAGATAAAAGACCTTCTGAAGATTATTTACATTTCAAATTTTTGACATGGACCATTCTGTTCATTGATGAGATAAAGAATCTGGCCAGCTTGGAAGATTAATTTCCTTCAAAGAGTTCACTTACACTTATTTTACAAAAGTAAGGCATTGAAACTTGTGCTAAAGAATGATTTTGTCCATTTAAATGGATCTGTGCAGAAAATTTAATACCTTTCATACACTTGGTAAATCTTATCTTTAATAGAAATTTTTATTGCATATACTAAAAATAGTTGAAACATGGACTCATAAATAAAGTTTAACATTTCTGGTATGAAAGAGAATGAGAAAGTTCACATTAGAAGTTGAGCATGCAAATAATTCATGAGTTCATTCAACAAATTATGATTAAGCAATGGCTATATGCTAGGGATTATATTGCACCATAAGTATACATTGGAGAATAAAATGGGGATTAAAAAAACTTATTTTTGCTTGAGTACAGTTGGAAATATAAATAATAAATAAACATGTATATAATAATGACTCTTGAAAAGTGTATGAAAAACTACTGACACAATACCATAAAGGAAGAGCAGAGGTAGATGAATGGTAAAGACATTTAAGCTGAGATACAATGGAAATAAAGACTGAGCCAGGCAAAAATTGAAGGAAAGTTCAGTGGAAATGGCTGTCCTCCCACATGACAGAATAAAGATTCCAATCCAGATTTTCAGACCCCAAATTCAATGCCTTATTTCCCCCATTTACCCATATTACTTGGACTGTATTTTTTGCCTTAAATAATAAAGACATAGTAATCTAGATACCTTAGCCTCTAAAGTTTATGGTTAATGTTTATGGTTAAACATAAAAATACAAAGAAGTCATTTTTAAATACCAGCTCTATCTTTTTTTTCTTTTAGTAATCCATCCAGATTCAGTGCTAGGACATGGCTCTATGCAGCCAAGACTGCAGAATTGCATGGGGTCATACTTTTAGACTGACATGAGTGGTCAAGGCAGCTGAACAACCAATTTAGTTGATTTTGGTTTAATAACTTGACCGGTCACTGGACTGAATTGACCAGAAGGCAATGGCAAACAGAGTGAGTTATCTTTTTCTAGAAGATGCAAGCTATGCGTTGGAAGCTGATATTAACTATTTCAGATTGCATGGGTAGCTTCTGCTACTGAAGTGACAATACATTTTGAATCAACTTTATATGAAGAATATGATAATTTCAGAGAGAGAAAGGCAATATCTGTGTTTTTACACCTGCACCCCTTGGACCTCTTTGGTTGTAAATGGTAAAAATTAACCCTGATTAAATGAAGCAAAACAGAAATTCATAAAAGGATATTAAATCGTTCATATTAGGGATGATATGAGAATTGGGCAAGAGACAAAAACATAGGATACCTAGTAACTAATCAGTGCTGTATTCAGATTGTGGGGACCTGATTGGATCAGGCTAGATTCTGAGTAGTTTGGTTACAGTGTTTCAGGGGCAGAGAGAGAGAGAGAAACTGTATGTTTCTGTTACTACTATTACTACTGCTACTACTACTACCCACTATATTAGTAAATGACATTTAGTGAGATCTTACTCTCTAGTGGTAAGCATGTTATGTGCCCACACAACCTGGCAATTAGTAACATGAGTATCTCCATTTAACATAAGAGGAAACCACAGCTTGAAGAGATTAACCTTTCACAAGGCCACATGGTTAGCAGGTGGCAGAATCAGAAATGTGGTCTATACAGAGTCAAAGCTGTGTTCTTAATGTCTATTCTAAATAGTTCATCCAGTCAACTTAAAATAAGAAGATGGCTGGTTAGTTAATGGCATTGAAGGAAAAGTAGCCAGTAGGAGAGTTAGTTGGGCTTTTTTGTTTGTTTGTTTTCATTTTTCTCCAGGTCATTTCACTTTTTTTAGGCCTCCTACGGCCTGTGTCAATCTATGCCTATGATTCAAAATCCAATGCATGTGGTTTTCAATTTTCAATGAAATCATACCATGTACGACTAAATACAGTAAGTAACTGACCATAGGAAAAGGAGCAAAAGTTTTCCAAGAGTTGTTTTTAAAGTATCAGTGAAACTCAGTTAAGACTATGCCGCATACTGGTTATGTGTTGAAAGAAGCAGAATACTTTTCTTGCTGTGTAAAAATTATAAACACAATTTTAGAAGTAAAAGCCCTCTAAAAGACATTTTTCTTTCCATAATGTTGCCAACTCCAACATCTAGCCCTTGAAATGAGAAACACAAGTTTACTGATGACTGAATTCTGGAAAGAAAAACAGTGAAGAGGGAAATTAAAAATGGTAAATTTAATATTAGATTCTTCTCACTGTAGTAATTATAAATCAATCTTCTACTACTTATATTTAGCTTCTGGTGCAGACAGAAAGTGAAAAAGCAAAATGTTTCTCACTATAAATTAATTATCTAGCAAAAATCCAAAAGGTTCAGTGTAATGGATAGGCAGAACACGAATACATTGACTTCCTCGAAGGTAAAATACATAGACAGTCCCTCTTGTTTTTGTTTTTGTTTTTTCCAAAATAGACCATTCAGTAAGTAGGACATGACTGATATAAAGGATATATGCAGTTACTCGTTACATTTGTTTAAAAATGTTGCTTCCATTTACCACCAATTGACGGCCCAAATTAAGATGGAAGAAGCTTACCTCTAAAATGAAAGTTATTTACATTTGTTATGTCTCACTCAAAATAAATACATACCTTCTGTCTGTGTAAAATGCAAACTAAAATCATTTAAATGAGGAAAGAAGTAGAAGTGCTGCAAATAATGTTTTGAAAAGTTCTCTGGGAAGTGGTCACAGCCTCTTGAGAACACTTTGAACCAGAGTTAAAATAAATGAGTGTGCTGTAACCTCACACAGACTCCTAATCAGATGGTCTTTGTTCTGCAGCTCATATTTTAACTAGAAGTTCGTTTCCAATACCTGTGCATATTTTTCTATTCATATGTAAATTGCGTTAAAGTTGTTATTCTTTCTTCCCCAAATTCTGCTTTTAAAGTAATAATAAAATTTATGAAACAGTAATGTGAGAGGTGGGTGCTTGTGGACACTTGAGTATTCTGGCATTTGTACCAAGCCCACAGGGGCCATCTTGAAGGAGAAGCTTGTGTCTCTCCTTCCCTTAGGGATCTATCTGAACATTAAGAGGTTATCACTAGTGCCGTTATGGGCTTTAGATGTTTCCACTGATATGACATTTGGATTTCAATGGCAGTTTTATGGCTCTCTTTATAGCTGTGATCAGAGCGGAGGTGGTGTGTCCATGGTTGCACTGCCTATCAGGCTAGGGACAGTTGTCTGTTGGTCCGAATGGGCTGGGAACCACACACCCTGGTTCTGCTCCTGGCTTTGCCAGTCACCTGCTGGATGCCACTGAGTAAGTCACATAAGATTACAGGGACCTCCCTTTCTTCTGTGCGCAGACTAATTGCCTGTGGCAAATGTTGCCTGCAAATTTCAAGGGCAATTGAGTCCTGTGTGCTTCCCCACTTGGCTTCTCTTTTTTCTTCTCCTTCTTTTTTTCCTCTCTCTTTTTTTAAGGCCATGAGTTGCCAATTTTATGTGCAATTGAGTTGTGCATACCCCAAGCTAAGTAGGGCACCTCAATTGCACTTTAAAACCATCAATTATAAACATATCTACGATATCTGTTATCTGATGTCTTCAGGGAGTAACGCAATTCTGCTTTGATGGAGTCATTTTACACAGCTGCTTCTTCCTATTTTTACAAGAGGGCTGCAGTTATTAGTTTAACCAAAACAGGACATTTCATTCTTGTGTGCCTTGATTTTTCAATCTGTCAAAGGATAAAGAAATAAGCCACATTTATGAGTGTCTCCAGTTGTTAAAGAAGGAGAAGGGTTAAGATGCAATTTCAAATGTATAAATATAGGATATTTGCAGCTCTTGCTTAGAATGTGCCCCGAGTTGCATTTGCTATTTAAAATGATATCTTATAAATATATTTATTAGAGAACTAAATCAACTGCTTTCTTTCAGGGAGGGAGTTTTGTGTTAAGAGGGTCACCTGGGTTCAGACAATTATACATTTGAATATCAGCTTTGTTAACTAACAACTGCGATTTTGAGAAAGTCACTTTTCCCTCTGCCTCAGTTTCCTTTCATGGAGGAAAGTTACTTTGCCCTACACCTTAGTCTCTCAAATGGGGGAAAAAAATACTTACCTTGTAGAATTGTTATGTAGATGAAATTGGATACATGAAAAACCCAGCCTCTCTCAGGAGTTCAGAAAACAGTGACAGTCAATGTCCACGATTGCTCAGAAGTTCTCATTTGGGGAAGATCATGTACTTAGAACCATTGAATAAATACTAGAAGTACTCAAGGAAATTAACTAGGTTATCTAACACTAGGTTGATCAATAAAACAAATGTACATTTCAACTTTTCAACCATATATTGGGCTCACGTAGGCAGAGTTGGTGGTTTTCATGCCGTGTTGCAAGAAGTCAAGGACCTCAAACAGAGGGACCGGCTGAAGAACCTACCGACATGTGATGTCTCCTCCGGACGCCCAGCTTTAAAATTTCTCTCTTTTGTACTCTGTCCCTTTATTTCTCAAGCTGGCCGACTCTTAAGGAAAATAGAAAAGAACCTGCGTGAATATCGGGGCAAGTTCCCCAATAACGCCGGTTGCTTTTCCTTTCCTTAACAGCACTCTTGCCCTGTTAGAAATCCACAGGGGTGGATGATAATCCTTCCACTGACCGTGGCAAAGATTCCTCCATTAGCGCTCTGTGGAGTCCATCTGTCTATTTCCTTTCCGGCATTGCCTCATTCCTTCTTCAGTAGCTTCCTTACTCGTATACTTTATATCATTTGCGTAGTGTGAAATTTAACAAGTGATGTTAGAGATAATAAATCCCACAACTGCTATTTCTGTTTGAAAACCATGACACAGTGTGGTGAAAGCGCCAAATAGTCTGGGGTTTGTTCTTGTTTGCAGGGCTTTTTCTTCGCATATTTTACTGTCAGTTTCTTGACATTTTTGTCAGCTCAGGACTGGAGGGCATAGGTGCTGGCGGCAGGTCTGACCACATTTTTATTCTCCGTTGCATTTTCAGAGACTACGAAAAAATAAAATAAAAACTGGGGGTGGGAAGGGGGAGTGAGGAAGAATGAGGAAGAGAGGTGACCGAGTCAAAGGCAGAGCAGGACAGGGGTGAGGCTGTGAAAGTCAGAATGTGTAGCTTTTCACTCCGCAGGCGCTCACCAGGGAAGGTGCTCCAGGCACCCCTACCCCCACCCCACCTCCAAACCCTGAGACACAAACGCGAAGAGATTTGCTATGAAAGACATGCCATTTTCTCATTTCCTCATTATGAAAGGCAGGTAGAAGGCAAATATTTGAATCTGTTTGCAGGCTAATTTTTTTTTCTGACTAACTGCGTTTCCGAGCTATGGAGAAAGTGCACAAAACAGCTATTGTTTTTCCTGGAACATCACCTTTGGCTCTCATCAACTCTTATGGTTTTCTGCACTTTACAAGTGGGAGCTTTTTCTCTCTCTTTTTTTTTTAATATTTTATTGGTAGAAAAAATGTACGAGACCCCCAATGCCACGACCTTCAGGAAGTGTTCATGTAGGTGGCGTCTTTTGTCATCTCCTCCCAGCATTTGCAAACAAAGAGAAAAAAGTGAACACATTGTCATGAGCATGTATTCAGCTTAACTAGCATAATAACAACTTAAATAGCATAACAGCGACAATAACAACTGTATTACAGTACAGAAAACCATCCTCCTAAGGAAGACTTGTGATAATTTATTTTAATTTCCCTAAGAATGTATTACCCAAACTGTCCATGAAGGAATAAAAAAAGTTTTCTTATTAAATAAGTTATGATAACACACATTCCCAAATTTAATCTAAAACTGAGTCCTTTTTTTCCATCAGAATATTTATTAATATGAAAAGGGGCTACAGTTTCAATACCAATAGTACACAGTTTAAGAAGCAGAGTTCTAATAGTTTAAATTTTTACCTTTCTGAGCACATTGTTTTACTAAACAATTGTTTATTATTAAAGCTTTTACTTAGTGAATTTGGCTACTTACTTTCATTGCAAAGGAAGTTCAAGTGTTTGACACTTCAGGGAAGGTCAAAAATTAATTTTTAAACCATTCCTAAAATATGCTGATGTTCGCTTCGATGTTAGAACAAAACAAAATATTTATTAGGGCTTAAAAAATAGCTTAAAAATAGAGCTTAAAAAAAGAGAGATAATATAGAGATATAAAAATATAAATACATATAAAATATATGATAAAGAATGTAAATACAAAAGTACATAAAATAAATTTAATAACCTATGTACATAACCCAATGATATTAAAATATAAACAAATTAAGATATGAACATAGAAGAGCCAAACAGAAAAAATATCTTGGTGAACATCTGCAGATACATCAGTAATGTAAACTGCTATCAGGAGAATTATTAGGTCAATAATTTCCTACTTTAACACATTCGATAGAGGTCACCAACTGCCTTCCAAGCAGGACACATTGATTTATACTTGCACAAAAGTATTTTTAGATATATATGATTCTTTTTTGTTAATTTGCCCTTTCATGTTTTTTCTTCATTTCTTTATTGGGCTCTAGATGAATTTAGTTGGTCTTTTAAAATGATTGTATCAAGTTTATAAATTAATTTGAGAAAATTGACATCATTATTGTATGGCTGCGTAGAGTTAAGTAGTTGGAACAGAGACCATATGATCTGCAAAGGCTAAAATATTTCCCACCTGGCCCTTTACTGAAATGCTGACTCCTGCTTTAGATCATTTGTTTTTCTTCATTGTCTTTTCAAAATTTATTTTCATAAGGAAAAATTATCATTAATTTTATAAATTATCTTGTTTTAATAATTTCTGATGACTCCCCTGAGATTTCTAGGTATATAAGATATTACATGAAAATAATTATAATTTAACTTTTATATTCTCATTATTTGTATGTTTACTTCTTTCATTGTCTAGGTCTATTGATATTTACATCCTTTACATATATATCTCTTTATATATATTATACCTATTTAATTTATTCCTATTTTATTAAAATACATTTTAATCAAAATGGATGTTGAATGTAGTCAAATGTTTTCCCCCATCCATTGAGCTAGTCATATATGATGTTCTGTTTTGACCTTTAGACTGTAGTGCATTTTATGAATAGATATCCAAATAGATATTTGGATCCCTGGGGGTGAACTCTACTTGGTTAGAATATTTTATTCTTTCAATACGCAGCTGAATTTTTGGGGTAGTATTTTGTTAACATCTCACATCCATAGTCAAAAGCAAAATGTGTCTATATTTTTCTAGTTTTGTTGTTTGTAAATTTAGGATGTTAATGTTATGTGAGGCTGAGAAAAAGAATTTGTCTGTTTCCTTTTTTTACCATGCTCTGGATTAATTAAGAGTATTACAATTGTTTTTTCTTGAATGATTAAAAGTATGTACCTGTGAATACATTTGAACATTTTCGTTTACTGGCTATTATTATTTTAATACATCTGTCAATTTAATTCATTGCTAATGGGCAAAATGTTTCTGTATTTGTAGAAAAAATACAGTGTCTCAAATTTATATTAAAACTCATCTAGTTTATTCAGAGTGACAAATTTATTTTCATGGAATAAAATATTTAGAAAATACTTTTTTCTCAGATTGTTAAGGATTAAAAAAATAGCTTTCATGCATCCTGGATGATACTATTTGTTATACTTCAAGAAAATGAGGATGGCTACCAAAAAGGAAGGGATACAATCAAAAAAAACGGTGGAAACATCCCTAGAAGTTTTACTGTAAATAATGTGCAGAATCATAGCTGCCTGAAAACAGCAACTGGAAGCCAGACATGGTAACGCACCACTGTAGTCCTGCTACTCTGAAAGATGAAGTGGGAAGATCACTTGAGCCCAGGAGTTCTAGTCCAGCCTGGGCAACGTAGAGAGACCCCCATCTCAAATAAAAGAGAAAGCATCTGGCCAAAAATAAAAAAGGAAGTCCGTGGATTTCTGGGGAAAAAAAACCACACAGAATTAAGAAATACAAACAGTACCAAAATAGAAGTTATAAAGGAGAAGGTGAAGAAGAGGTAAAAAGATATCATGAAAGAAGGCATCTTTCAAAAAAAAATTAAAAGGCAATTACTTAAAAATAATGAACTAGACTATGGGATAGTTATGAAGCACACCTTAAAATATCATAATTGTGATCATGTTATTCAAAAGGAGTTTAAGCAAAGAGAATAAGTTCAACCTAGAAATTAGGGGCATTTGTCTTTGGAAGGGCATCATTATACTGAGTCAGTGGAAAAAAATGTGACTCTAGCACCTTTTGGTTCTGAAATGGACAGTATTTATATACTCATAATGTGTACTAAGTTTTCAAATTTTTCAATCAGCCTACAGACAAACAAGAATGATTTAGATGTAGTCTGAAAGTGATTTATCTGTGTTTACTTGTGAAAGGAGACAGGAGTGAGGTTGTTGGAGAGGAACATAGAAAGGAAAGTCAGCAGCTTCCATATCCCATCTTATACAGAAGGGAACAAAAAGATGCCTTAGGAAATAATGAAACATGAAGTAGACTTTTAAGGATGTCATTTAAAATTACAAAACAACAATGAAAGATCTAAAAATAGTGATTCAATGTATCTGTCGAAAGTTGTTGGGGTGGGGAAATGGGATATTTTACATAGGTTATATCTTCTTTTCTAGTACGAGTAAATTATTAATGTTGGATATGGTTTGGCTGGGTCTCCACCCAAATTTCCTCTTGAATTGTGGTTCCCATAATCCCCACGTGTTGTAGAAGGAGCCTGGTGGGAGGTAACTGAATCACAGTGGCAATTTCCCTCATGCTGTTCTCATAATAGCAAGTTCTCACGAGTTTTCATGATTTTATAAGGGACTTCCCCCTTTGCTCAGTTCTCATTCTTCTCTATTCTGCCACCATGTGAAAAAGGACATGTTTGCTCCCACTACGATTGTAGGTTTCCCAAGGCCATATTAAACTGTGAGTCAGTTAAACCTCTTTCCTTTATAAATTACCCAGTTTTTATGGGTAATTTAATGGACAGTTCATTATAGCAGCATGAGAATGGACAAATATAGTAAACTGGTGCTGGTAGAGAGAGGTGTTGCTATAAAGATATCCAAAAATGTGGAAGCAACTTTGGAACTGGGTAGCAGGCAGAGGTTGCAAGAGTTTGGAGGGCTCAGAAGAATGTAGGAAGATGTGGGAAAGTTTGTAACTTCTTAGAGACTTGTTGAATGATGGCCTTGATCAAAAACAATGAAGTCTAGGCTGAGGTGGTCTCAGATGAAGATGAGGAATTTGCTGGGAACTGGAATAAAGGTGACTCTTGCTATATTTTAGCTAAGAGACTGGTGGCATGTTGCCCCTGCTCTAGAGATCTGTAGAACTTTGAATTTGAGAGAGATTATTTAGGCTATAAGGTGGAAGAAATTTCTAAGTGGCAAAGTGTTCAAGAGGTGGCACGGGTGCTCTTGAAAGCATTCAGTTTTATGCATTCATCACAAACATAGGTTTGAAATTGGAACTTATGTTTAAAAGGGAAGTGGAGCATGAAAGCTTAGAAATTTTGCAGCCTGACAATGTGATAGAAAAGAAAAACCCATTTTCTGGAAAGAAAGTCAAGCTGGCTTTAGAAATTTGCTTAAGTAACAGGGAGCCAAATGTCAGTCACCAAGAAAATGGGGAACGTCTCCAGGGCATGCCAGAGACCTTCAGAGTAGCTCTTCCCATCACAAGCCCCGCAGCCTAGGAGAGAAAAATGGTTTCCTGGGCAGGGCCCAGGGCACACCTGCTCTATGCAGACTCAGGACATGGTGCCCTGCACCCCAGCTGCTTTAGCTCCAGCAGTCACTGAAAGGGGGCAAGGTACAGCTCGGGCCATTGATTTAGAAGGTGCGAGCCCCAAGACTTGGTGGCTAACACCTGGGGCCGGGCTTGCAGGTACACAGAAGTCAAGAACTGAGGCAGGGGAACCTCCGCCTAGATTTTAGAGGATGTATGGAAACGCCTGCCAGGAAGAAGTTTGCTGCAGGGACAAAGCCCTCATGGAGAACCTCTGGTAAGACAATGCGGAAGGGAAATGTGGGGCTGGAGCCCCCAGGCAGAGTCCACACTGCGGCACCACCTAGAGGAGCTGTGAGAAGAGGGCTACTATCCTCCAGACACAAGAATGGTAGATTCACTGACAGCCTGCACCTTGCACCTGCAAAAGCCACAGACAATCAATGTCAGCCCATTCAAGCAGCTAGGAGAGGGGCTGAACCCTGTAAAGCCAAAGCAGCAGAGTTGCCCAAGGCCATAGGAGCCCAACTCTTGCATCAGCATGACTTGGCTGTCAGACATGGAGTCAAAGGAGATTATTTTCGAGCTTTAAGATTTGACTACCTACTGGATTTCAGACCTGCATGGGGCCTGTAACCCCTTCGTTTTAACCAATTTCTCCCATTTGAAGTGGGTGTATTAGCCCAATGCCTGTACCCCCATTGTATGTAGGAAGTAACTAACTTGCTTTTGATTTTTCAGGCTCATAGGTGAAAAAAACTTGCCTTGTCTGAGATGAGACCTTTACTTGGACTTTTGCGTTAATGCTGGAATGAGTTGAGACTTTGTGGGACTGTTGGAAAGGCATGATTGTTTTTTGAAATGTGAGGACATGAAATATGGGAGGAGCCAGCGGTGGAATTATATAATTTGGCTATATCCCCACTCAAATATCATCTTGAATTGTAGTTCCCATAATCCCTGTGTGTCATGGGAGGAACCTGGTGGGAGGTAATAGAATGATGGGGGAAGTTTCCCCCATGCTATTCTCATGATAGAAAGTTCTCGTGAGATCTGATGGTTTTAAAAAGGGCTTCTCCCTTTGCTTGATTCTCATTCTTCTCTCTCTTGCAGCCATGTGAAGAGGGACATGTTTCCTTCCCCTATGATTGCAAGTCTTTGGATTTTGGAGGCAACACATTCTTCATTTGGGCGAGTTACTCCAGGCAATTTATCAAGTGACTCAAAGGGCTGCCAGTTTTGAGTGGGGCCCAGAATAGGAGAAGGCTCTGCAACAGGTCCAGGCTGCTACACAAGCTGCTCTGCCACTTGGGCCATATGACCCAGCAGATCCAATGGTGCTCGAGGTGTCAGTGGCAGATAGAAATGCCGTTTGGAGCATTTGGCAGCCTCCCATAGATGAATCATGATGAAGGCCTCTAGGATTTTGGAGCAGGCCCTGCCATCTTCTGCAGATAACTACTCTCCTTTTGAGAGACAGCTCTTGGCCTGTTACCGGGCTTTGGTAGAAACTGAATGTTTGACTATGAGTCATCAAGTCACCATATGACCTGAACAGTCTATCATCAACTGGGTGCTTTCTGACCCATCTAGCCATAAAGTTGGGAGTGCACAGCAGAATTCCACCACCGAATGGAAGTGGTATATACATGATCAGGCTTGAGCAGGTCCTGAAGGCACAAGTAAGTTACATGAGGAAGTGGCTCAAATCCCCATGGTCCCCACTCCTGTCAGCCTGCCTTTTCTCCCCCAGGCTGCACCCATGGCCTCATGGGGAGTTCCCTATGATCTGTTGACAGAGAAGGAGAAAACTAGGGCTCGGTTTAGAGATGGCTTTGCACGATATTCAGGCACCACCCTGAAGTGGACAGCTGCAGCACTACAGCCCCTTTCTAGGACATCCCTGAAGTGCTGAAGTGGCAGAGGGAAATCTTCCCAGTAGGCAGAACTTCAAGCAGTGCACCTAGTTGTGCATTTTGCTTGGAAGAAGAAATGACCAGATGTGTGATTATATACTGATTCATGGGCTGTAGCCAACGGTTTGGCTGGATGGTCAGGGACTTGGAAGAAGTATGATGGGAAAATTGATGACAAAGAAATTTAGGGAACAGGTATGTGGACGGACCTCTCTGAGTGGTCAAAAACTGTGTAGATATTTGTGTCCTATGTGAGTGCTCACCAATGGGTGACCTCAGAAAAGGAAGATTTTAATACTCAAGTGGACAGGATGATTCATTTTGTGGACACCACTCAGCCCCTTTCCCCAGCCACCCTTGCCATCACCCAATGGGCCCATGAGCAAAGTGGCCATGGTGGCAGGAATGGAGGTTATGCATGGGCTAAGCAACATGGACTTCCACTCAGCAAGGCCGACTTGACTACAGGCACCACTGAGTGTCCAATTTGCCAGCAGCAGAGACCAACACTGATCCCTCCATATGGCACCATCCTCAGGGTTGATCAGCAAGTTACTTGGTGGCAGGTTGAATATATTGGACCTTTTCCATCATCGAAAGGGCAATGGTGTGTCCTTATCAAATAGACACTTAGTCTGGATATGGGTTTGCCCATCCTGCATGCAATGCTTCTGCCAAGACTACTATCCATGAACTCACAGAATGCCTTATCCACCATCATGGTATTCCGCACAGCATTGACTCTGCCAAAGGCACTCACTTTACAGCTAAAGAAGTATGGCAGTAGGCTCATACTCATGGAATTCACTGGTCTTACTATGGTCCCTATCATCCTGAAGCAGCTGGATTGATAGAATGGTGGAATGGCCTTTTGAAGTCACAATTACAACGCCAACTAGGTGACAATACTTTGCAGGGCTGGGGCAAAGTTCTCCAGAAGGCTGTGTATGCTCTGAATCTGCGTCCAATATATGGTACTGTTTCTCCCATAGCTAGGATTCACAGGTCCAGGAACAAAGGGGTTGAAGAGAAAGTGGCACCACTCACCATCACCCCTAGTGACCCACTAGCAAAATTCTTGCTTCTTGTTCCCATGACATTATGTTCTGCTGGCCTAGAGGTCTTAGTTCCAGAGGAAGGAGTGCTGTCACCAGGAGACACAACAATGATCCATCAAACTGGAAGTTAAGATTGCCACCTGGCCACTTTGGGCTTCTCTTACTTCTAAATCAACAGGCTAAGAAGGAAGTTACAGTGTTGTCTGGGGTGATTGACCCAGACCATCAAGATGAACTCAGTCTACCACTCCACAATTGAGGTAAGGAAGGGTATGTGTGGAATACGGGAGATCCCTTAGGGCATCTCTTAGTATTACCATACCCTGTGATTAAGGTATACAGGAAACTACAACAACCCAATTCAAGCAGGACTACAAATTGCCCAGACCTGCAGGCATGAAGATTTGCATCACTCCACCAGGTAAAAATCAAGATTTGCTGAGGTGCTTGCTGAAGGCAAAGGGAATACAGAATGAGTAGCAGAAGAAGGTAGTCATCAATACTAGCTACCACCATGTGATCAGTTGCAGAAACAGGGACTGTAATTGTTGTATTTGGATTTCCTCCTTATTTTCTTAATATGTTTGTGCAGGTATACACTTGTATTAAGAAATGATTTCCATTTTATTTATTTTCTTTTTCCTTTATCATGTGACATAAGATTTGTTGACTTCACAACAGCATTTAAGTGTTGTTAACTTCATGTATTAGCATTTATGTTAAGAAATAGTACAGCTGTACAAAGGATAGCTGTATTATGTTAGGCATAATTATGATGTTATTATTCTTTATTTGAAGATTATGTATGATTTCAGGAGATATGTATGGGCTCAAGTTGACAAGGGTGGATTTGTGATGGTTAATATTGAGTGTCAAGCTGATTGGATTGAAGGATGCAAAGTATTGTTACTGGGTGTGTCTGTGAGGGTTTTGCCAAAGGAGATTAACATATGAGTCAGTTGACTGAGAGAGGTAGACTCACCCTCAATCTGGGTGGGCACCATCTAATCAGCTGTCAGTATGGCCAGAATAAAGCAGGTAGAAGAATGTGGAAGGACTTGACTTGCTGAGTCTTCTGGTCTTTGTCTTTCTCCTGTGATAGATGCTTCCTGTTTTTGAATATTGGACTCCAAGTTCTTCAGCTTTTGGACTCATAGACTTACAGCAGTGGTTTTCCAGAGACTCTCAGGCCTTTGGCCATAGATTGAGGGCTGTGCTTTCAGTTTCCCTACTTTTGAGGTTTTGGGACTTGGACTGGCTTCTTTGCTCCTCAGCTTGTAGATGGTCTATTGCAGAACTTCACCTTGTGATCATTTGAGTAAACACTCCTTAATAAATTCCTCTTTATATATATATCTATCCTATTAATTCTGTCTTACTAGAGAACCCTGACTAATACAATGTTAAAAACTGGCAAGCCAAATATTTCTGTGACTACCCATTGGAGTTATGAAGTGTAGCAAATGAAGAATTAAGAACAGGAAATAATAAAAATGGCTGCTGATACGGTTTGACTGTGTCCCCAGCCAAATCTCATCTTGAATTGTAACTCCCACAATTCCCATGTGTCATGGGAGGAACCCAGTGGGAGGTCATTAAATTATGGGGGCAGGTCTTTGCTGCATTGTTCTTGTGATAGGGAATTAGTCTCATAAGATGTGATGGTTTTAAAAATGGGAGTTTCCCTGCACAAGCTCTCTCTTTGCCTGCTGCCATCCATGTAAGATGTGACTTGCTTCTTCATGCGTTCCACCATGATTGTGAGGCCTCCCCAGCCATGTGAAACTGTAAGTCCATTAAACCTCTTTGTTTTATAAATTGCCCAGTCTCGGATATGCCTTTATCAACAGTATGAAAATGAACCAATACAGTAAATTGGTACCGGGGTGGGGCACTGCTGAAAAGATACAAAAAATATGGAAATGACTTTGGAACTGGGTAACAGGCAGAGGTTGGAACGGTTTGGAGAGCTCAGAAGAAGACAGGAAAATGTGGGAAAGTTTGGAACTCCCTAGAGACTTGTTGAATTGTTTAGACCAAAATGCTGATAATTATATGGACAATGAAATCCAGGCTGAGGTGGTCTCAGCTGGAGATGAGGAACTTGTTGGGAACTGGAGTAAAGGTGACATTTGTTATGTTTTAGCAGAGACTGGTGGCATTTTGCCCCTGCCCTAGAGATCTGTAAAACTTTGAACTTGAAAGAAATGATTTAGGGTATCTGATGGAAGAAATTTCTAAGCAGTTAAGCATTCACGATATGACTTAGGTGCTCTTAAAGGCATTCAGTTTTTTTCTTTTTGTTTTGTTTTGTTTGTTTGCTTTTTGAGACAGAGTTTTGCTCTGTTGCCCAGGCTGGAGTGCAGTGGTGTAATCTTGGCTCACTGCAGCCTCTGCCTCCTGGGTTCCAGTGATTCTCCTCCCTCAGCCTCCTGAGTAGCTGGGACTACAGGCACACACCACCACACCCGGCTAGTTTTTGTATTTTTAGTAGAGACAGGGTTTCACCACGTTGGCAGGGATAGTCTCGATTTTCCGACTTTGTGATCTGCCTGCCTCAGCCTCCCAAAGTGCTGGGATTACAGGCGTGAGCCACTGTGCCCAGACAAAGGCATTCAGTTTTAAAAGGGAAACAGAGCATAAAAGTTTGGGAAACTTGCATCCTGACAATATGATAGGAAAAAAAATCCCATTTTCCGAGGAGAAATTCAAGCCAGCTGCAGAAATTTGCATAAGTAATGAGGAACCTAATATTAATCACCAAGACAATGGGGAAAATGTTTCCAGGGCATGTCAGAGACCCTTGTAGCAGTCCCTTCCACAGAGGGCCAGAGGTTTAGAAGGAAAAATTGGTTTTGTGGGCCAGGCCCAGGGTCCCTCTGTTTTGTGCCGTCTAAGGACTTGGTGCCCTGCATCCCAGTCGCTCCAGCTGTGACTAAAAGGGACCAAGTCAGAGGCTCAAGCTGTTGTTTCAAAGGGTGGAAGCCCCAAGCCTTAGCAGCTTCCATTTAGTGTTGAACTTGCAGGTGCACAGAAGTCAAGAATTGAGGTCTGGGAATCTCTGCTTCGATTTCAGAAGGTTTATGAAAATGTCTGGATGCCCAGGCAGAAGTGTGCTGCAGGGACAGAGCCCTCATGGAGAACCTTTCCTAGGGCAGTGCAAAAGGGAAATGTGGGGTTGGAGCCCCCATACAGAGTCCCTAATGAGGTACCACCTAGTGGAGCTGTGAAAAGAGGGCCACCATCCTCCAGACCCCAGAATGGTAGATCCACTGACAGCTTGCACCATGTGTTTCACTCAACACCAGCCCATGAAAGCAGCCAGGAGGGAGGCTGTACCCTGCAGTGCCACAGGGGCAGAGCTGCCCATGACCATGGGATCCCACCTCTTGCATCAGCATGACATGGATGTGAGGCATAGAGTCAGAGACGATCATTTTGGAGCTTTAAGACTTGGCTGCCCTTCTGGATTTCAGACTTTCATAGGGCCTGTAGCCCCTTTGTTTTGGCCCATTTCTCCCACTGGGAACGGCTGTATTTACCCAATGCCTGTACTCCCATTGTATCTATGAAGTAACTAGCTTCCTTTTGATTTTACAGGCTCATAGGTGGAAGGGACTTGCCTTGTCTCAGATGAGACATTGGACTGTAGACTTTTGAATTAATGCTGAAATGAGTTAAGACTTTGGGGGACTTTTGGGAAGACATGATTGGTTTTGAAATATGAGGACATAAGATTTGGGCAGGGCCAGGGGTGGAATGATATGGTTTGGCTGTGTTCCCCACCCCCGAAATCTCATCTTGAATTCACATGTGTTGTGGGAGGGACCTGGTGGGAGGTGATTGAATCATGGGGCCTAGTCTTTCCCATGCTGTTTATGTGATAGTGAATAGGTCTCATGTGATCTGATGATTTTATAAAGAGGAGTTCCCCTGTACAAGCTCTCTCTCTTTGCCTGTTGACATCCATGTAAGACGTGACTTGCTCTTCCTTGCCTTCTGCCATGATTGTGAGGTCTCTCCAGCCATGTGGAACTGTAAGTCCATTAAACTTCTGTCTTTTATAAACTGTCCAGTCTCGTGTATGTCTTTATCAGAAGCACGAAAATGGACTAGTACAGCTGCCTTAGGAAAGGAGGACTCTGGGTAGGATAAATTACTTTTGAAGAGTATAATTCCTTCCATTTTAGTTGGTATTTTTTTCTACCAGGTTTATATTTTATAGCTGTAGTAGTGTGTATATGTATGATAATTATGAAATTTGTATCCAGATAATGATCTTTTAAGACTTTTTTTCCAAGAACAACAAATCTACAGATAGGGACAATTCTTTGAAATCTAAAAAATATCTAGATTATCTTGAAGACAATCTTCAGGCAAAAAATCTACACTGTCATGCAGCTTTCTAAAACTTATGCAGTTATCCTTATAAAATTGATTTTCTCATTGATATTTTGGTTTCATTTACGCAACTTCATTCAAAGCATCTGAAAATTTATTCAATGAAGCTTACCATACTGAATACAGTGTTGAATATATCTTGCCCCATAACACTTTGAGATATATGACCTAAATTAGGTGAGTCTTCTTAAAGGAAATATAAGGGCTGGTATATTTTGCTTCTCTTGAGGAACTGACAGCATATTTCTTAGGAAAAACCAAACGCAACTCATTTAGACAAGTGATTTCCAGACTTAACTGACCATGAGATTCATCTGATGTAAAAAGCACACACATATTGTGTACTAGTCTGTTTTGTGCCCTTATAACAGAATAATCCAGACTAAGTAATGTATAATGAACAGAAATTTATTTGGCTCACTTCTGGAGGCTGAGAAGTCTAAGATTGAGGTTCCACATCTTGTGAGGGCCTTCCTGTTGAGTCATAACCTGGTGGAAGTCATCATGTGGCAAGAGAGAGGGCTACAGAGAGCAAGAGGAAACTCACTCCTGAGATATCAACATTAATCCATTCATGAGGCTGAAGCCCTCATGATCTAAACACCCCCCACTAGGCCACACCTGCCAGTATCATTACATTGGGAACTAAGTTTCCAACACAAGAATTTTGGGAGACACAGTCTAACAACAGCAGCTGTCTCCTGAAGAGTTTGATTGAGTTGGTCCATGTAGAAACCCAGGAATCTCATTACTTAAGTCCTCCTAGAAATTCTGAGGCATATTCAGGTTGAGAGCTGTTAACTCTGCTGATCTTGTTTCTTTTTTCCTGGCCAATATGGAACTTGGGACAAAATTAACTCTGCTGCTTTAATACATATTTATGACTCCACAAGCCCTGTGTTGTTTCCCCTTGACCTCGCTCTTTTAGTTTCACTTGGATACATTCTGCTCTTGATTTCAGAAAAAATAAAGAGATAAATAATTGCATAAAATTTATGAACTTTCTAAACAGGTGGCTTGTATGCAATTTGTTTTAATTACTTCTGAATTTTTTTTTTAAATGTACTCTATTAAGTTCCTGTCTGAGATGCAGGGACTTAGTAGCTGATCTTACATGTTTCAACAGGACTGTAAAGAAGACCTATGTTGTGGATATGGCATGTTGGCTATATCCCCAAGGACAGCAGTCTTTGAGAGTGAGTTCATTCACCAAGAAATATATTTGTGTTGTGTACACCTTGCAAAGAACAATAACCTTAATAACATGGAAGAGAGGTAGAGTTCTCCTGACAGGATATTCAGTGAGAATTGCATTGAGGGTAAGAGCGCTTAGAGTCTTATGGTTAGTATGTTGCTAAGATGCTCTGAGTGGAGGGAAAAACTTAAGTTTTGGACTTTTCTGTGGTATCTGCGGTATTTTGGACAATTTTTTAAAATGCAGGTGTTGAGAGGTTACATGTCATGAAATTCTCACTTTGGAGGACTCTCAAAAGCCAGGTACCAAAAAATTCAGGAAGTGACTGGAAGGAGTTATGTCCCCTAAGGCTAGCCCTGGCTTCAGAATTCTTCCTCCCTTGATCTTCAAACACAAGCTCCTTCTAATTAGCATGTTTACAAGACATAAGGAAGAACAGAACTGGTTATCAAGAATTCACCTTGATGTAGGATTATCTAACCCACAAGGGTGGCTGGTGTTTTTTTGTTGTTTTGTTTTTTGTTTTCTATCTTAAAAGGCATTGGAAGTAGGAGGTAAGATGGGGGTGGCTAGGACATTTTCAAGTCCTGAAAGAAGCTGTGTGGCAAGTCAACTGGGGCAATGCGAGCTATTCTGGAATCACCAATCTTCAACTGGACATCAGAGGATGGCTACTGAATTTGAATGATGACTCAAGTCTTCTGCAGTCCATTAGCTATAAGACCCTCAGGCAGGTGTCTTCTGAAATATGAAGAGAAAATTAAGCATGAAAAGTTTGTTGCATGTCTTGTTTGTGTTATAACTCAGCTTGAGACAAAGTGAGCTTTGTGGAGTCTTACCCTCTCTTCCCTAGTGAGCTTGGAATTGGATATTAAAGGAAAAAACAAAGAGATATTTGTCTTAGAGCTTAGAGCACTGAACAAAACAGAGTGTGTGTGGGGGGGCAGTTAACTCTTTTGTGCTTCAAGGTAGCTGTTGCTATGCATTTTATATACACATACATGCTCATAGAAAGCAGCAAAAACATAATATTCATAATAAAGTGTATGGGGAAATTGACTTTATGTATATATTGTACCCAGTAGTATAGTTAGAAAAAAAAAAAAGAATAACGAGTTCATGTTTTGGCCACTTCAATAAGAAATGCTTTCTTTCTATGTAGCTCAAGGTAACAAGATCCAGATGAAAAGAAATGACACCACTCAGAGCAAAATAGCATTTATTTCTCACTGTCTCTAGTAATGTGTGAGGGAGGAAGCAGGGGGCCTCTTTCTGACCAAATTATATAATTACTGAAAGTGTCAATGGTAGAGGAATTCTGGAGAGCCTTATGCATTTAGGAATATTTCTAAAAATTCTAATTTAAAAAAATAGGAAGAAGAAGAAGAAGAAGAAGAAGAAGAAGAAGAAGAAGAAGAAGAAGAAGAAGAAGAAGAAGAAGAAGAAGAAGAAGAAGAAAAAGAAGAAGCAGCAGAAATTGTGAAACAAATAAGCTGTTATATCACCAAAATCCCTCCCCTCACCTCCACTTTTTTCATACACACCCAAATGAGAAAAAAGTAATTTAAAGTATCCTCTAATGTTTGACATACTAAAAGCTAAGAAACTCCAAGATAATTTAGATAAATCAAATATTTTCTTCCTTTCATTTCCCAGATCTGTGATTTATAAGCAAGACCTATGTGCTTTATCCATTGTGAACCCTCCTCATCCTCATTCAATCTTGGAGACCAGCATTTTCAGAAACAAATAATCCTTAAAAAAATAAGAAGCCAGAGAGGGATGAGTAAGGGGTGTGTGTGTGTGTGTGTGTGTGTGTGTGTGTGTCTTTCACATCTATGAGCAAAAGCAGCTTTCTACAACAAAAAGCAATGCAATCTTGTTGCCTTGAATTGCCATAGGGGGAAATCATCTTTTTCCCCCAAGGAGAAATTTTTAGTCACTCATCCAGTGCAATAAATGACAGTTTTTCTGTCAATGTAGGGTTTTTTTTTAACTTCTCACACAAAAAGCCTAAAGCTTGGATATTTGTAGGAATGGCCTTCTCTTCCCTTCCCCTGCAAAATTGCCCTGCTCCTCACCCCATTTAACTATGAGAATGTTAAAGACAATTACATGAACTTTATATCTGATGGCAAGATATCATATTTATTTTTTATTGTCAAGAAGAGTCTTTTGGTACTTTTTTCTTTTGCACCCTTAGGCCCTGTGAGAATATCCAGGTATGGGCATTCTGAGGAACCATAACTGACATCCTCCTTTTTTGTTTTTGTTTTTGTTTTGTTTTCTACCACTTTCTCAATGAGGACAAGTCCAGGGTTATGATATACATATGTCATCACACATGTATATTACATATACATATGATATACATATGTCCCCACATGTCACCTTTAGACTTTAGCAGTTATTGCCAAAGCAGGTTGATTGTTCTTCATCAGATCAGTAACACTGAATATTAATTGACATTCATGGTATATAAAAGTTCTGATTTGTTTTGTCTATGTCCATTAACAAGGTCTTGTTCAATAATGAGAGCTTCCATTTATTGGCAACTTGCCCTGTGCCTGGCATTGTACTCATATCCTTCATACATTTCCCATGTAATATTTTCAACAATGTGCAAAGAATGGTGGTTGTCCATATTTTGTAGAGTAATTGCCATTAAATTTTGAATAGCAGTTTCAGCCATAATATGCATAAGAAGAGTATTCAGTTTCCACTGCTGCTGTAACAAATAACCATAACTGTAGTAACTTAAACCAACCCCCAGTTGTTACCTCAATCCTGTAGACCAAAAATCTGGCCAGGGCTCCTCTGGGTTCTCTGCTCAGGTTGAAATAAGATGAAAATCTTGTTTCTGGGTTCTCATCTTGTTTCTGGCTGGGTTCTCATCAGGAGCTGAAGGTCTTCTTCCAAGCTTATTAAGATTTTTGGCAGAATTCAATTTATTGTGGCTGTAGGGACTCATGGGGACTTCTTTAAAGAGAGCAGGAGAGTATCTGCTGTCACTCAACTCAGTCAACTGATTAGGGACCTTAATTACATTTGGAAAAATCTCTTTTGCTTTATAAGGAAACATAATCACTGAAATTATATTCTATCATATTCACTGTTTCTACTCCCAATCAATTGGGAGAAGATTATAATGAGCACATACACCAGAAAATGAGGATTTGGGGGTTCATCATAGAATTCTACCTACACAAAGGGGGTTGCCATTTTTCCCCATTGGCAACCATATGGACATTTCCTAGAAACACTGCAAATAGTTTTATTTTTAAAAAAATATTTAATAGTGTGAAATTAAATTTTGAAAAAAATTAAAATGTTTAGCTTTATTAAGAACATTTTATTTATTTTTATCTTGATATTCATTCATGCTCATTTGGATCTTATTTTTTAGATACTTTAAAAATTAGCTATGGAGTATCTAAAAAATAATTTTAGTGGTTTGATGTTTTTTACATTTCCTGATTGACATTTACTCATGGGAGAGGCTGTGCACATGGATCTCAAGTGTCCCTACACATAACTTCTGAGTGTGTCAAACCATAAGGCCTAACTGCCCTCCCTCTGAGTGATCCTATAGCTAGAAACATAACCAATTCAGTTGATTAAGGTCTCCACAACATGAGTATCCTGCAACTGCTTACTTCTTAAGACTGAGGCTATTTTGGATCTTTTCATATAGTCTGCCATTTGAATATCTCTCAAATAAATTAGAAAGTAACAGACTCATCTAATTTAATAAATGGGAAAAGACTTGAACAGTCACTTCACAAGTGAGCCATGATGCCGTTTATGCATCTTAAACTGGGGATATGCTATGGTTAACTAAGAAAACTAACTTCACAGCAACAAACTCCGCTAATTTGGGACTCATCAAAATGTAGATCAGGAATGCTAACATGTGACAGTGCCAACACCTGCTGAGGCTTCAGTCTTCTGAGGAGTTGGTGAGTTATCTAATGTACAATGTAGAAGAACAGACAGGTACTAGTTAACTTGAAGATGCATCACTTCATCTCATCAATAGTTCTCTAGCCGTGCGTGGTGGCACATGCATGTAATCCCAGCTACTTGGGAGGCTGAGGCAGGAGATTCTATTGAACCTGGGAGGCAGAAGTTGCAGTGAGCTGAGATTGCGCGGCTGTACTCCAGCCTGGGCAACAGGAGAGACTCTGTCTCAAAATAAATAAACAAACAAACAAATAAATAAATATAAACATTGTAACATTAGTGATATAGTTTGGGTAGTTGTCACTTCCAGAACTCATGTTCACATCTGCTCTCCAGTGTTAGTGGTGGAGCCTAGTGGAAAGTGTTCTGGCTTTAAGACAGAGCACTCATGAATGGCTTGGTGCCATTATGGCAGTAGAGTGAGTTCTTGCTCTGTTAGTCCCCAGGAGAAATGACAGTTAAAAAGAATGTGGAACCTCCCTCCCCTCTCTCTTTCTTCCTCTCTTGCCATGTAATCTCTGCACATGCTGGCTCCCTTTTCCCTTTCACTATGAGTGGAAGTAACCCATGGCCCTCACCAGAAGTAGATGCTGGTGCCATGCTTCTTGCATAGCTTGCAAGAACAGTGAGCCAAATTAACCTCTTTTCGTTAGTTTCTCTAACACCAGTGTCAGATGTTCCCTTATAGCAATACAAATGGCTATCAAAATTTACAGATGAATCCAGAGAAACATATGACTATTTTATTTGTTTATGTATGTCATATTCCACAAACTTGATAAAATAACTTGGTCCTCTATGAACTAGTTATACCTGTGAAATTATACCATAAAGCAAAGAAGCAAAATAACATGACAAAATGAGCTAACTAGTAGAGTTCTAAAGAGCTAAATTAAGCAGTAATAAACAAAAAATTAAATAAAATTAGTTTCAAAAATTAGTTTTTCCTGTCTTCCATTGGAATTTCAGTTGCTTTTCTCTATGCCACTTAAATATTTTTGCTTTTATGATAATACTTTTCCCTGAGTAATAAAATGCTGGTAAGTTTGAGTCTTACTGGCAAATATGTTTGCAGCAATTCACACAGATCATAGTTTGAGGAACATAAAGCAAAGTCAACTGCAAATGAAAATTTCACGTCTCAAACTTCTTGCACAAACATACACAATCACCATGGGGTTAAAAATATATTTCTTTTCTCACAAAGACAGCCACCCTCTTAATGTCCCATGCCCAATCAAGTTAAGAAATAAAGCCCTCTTGGGTAAATCATTGCTATGCTAATGAAATCCAGACAGGCAACTTGAAACTTGAAACAGAAAAAACAAAATTATCCAATGGAAATCATTCATTAGCAGTCCCTGGTTCATTGAAACTAACAAAATGTGGAAGAGACATGACCTGAATGTGTCACAGATGATAATGATCTTATGCCTATGCTGTACTTTCTATGCAGATGGATCCAAAACACTTTTCTGAGTTTCCTAAGGGGTGGGAAATAGACAGTTGACCATTGCCACAAATTAGTAACTTCTGGAATAACTAACAGTATAGGCTGACAACTAGATTCCATTATTACCCAAGAGTTTTAAGAAACTTAACAGGACTGTCTCACTGCAACCTAACCAAACCACTAGAGGAATTGAATAAAGAAAATACCCTAATACCAATTCATGTTCACACCAGACCTAATGTTTGCCTTTAGAACCAATTATGGAAATAACTAACAATTCCTATTATCTCTAGTATGAACAATGTCTACTTGTTGCTGTTATTGTTGTTTTTATCTTTTAATCTCTTTCTAGAATTCTACTTAAAATAGTTAAATAACCTACCTCAGGGTGAATCAAGTAAGCAGTATCAATTGCATGCATTTTTCCATCTTGTATAAATGCTGACCTGTAGCTGCTCCTATGCTGGCAGTACACACACACTTTATCACAGAATTGAGCTCAGTCAAGGGAGTACGTTTAGACAAGTTACTGAGGCAATCTCACTCTCACCTCCGAAGAGAGAGAGGAGATATAAGAACTGGTTGCAGAGTTCAAAGGCAGTCTCGGTCAATTTTTCTTTTAATTGACTCCTGCATACTACTGTCTTTGCCAGCTAGCATCAATCCAACCATCTTTTGAAAACATACACCAATTGCCCTCTGTAAATTAGTGCACACACTTTAGGTGGTGTCTGATGAGACTGTGTTAATTAGGTGCCCTGACCTTCCTTAGGGACAGGCAGGTGCCCTTTCTAAGTTAGGCCAATTGAGCAGTCTTTCCTTAAAAACTGTAAACAGGGAAACAAGACTGAGAATATTTGAGGTCATTTATTGCAGCACGGTTGCAAATCTGTTGAGTTTCTGGTACCAAAATCCTCTGGTGCTGCTCCAGTCTGCTACTTTGCAAGTGTGATCCTTAGGTTTTTCTTTCTGTTCTGTAAGACTCTCCATACATTTCCAGTAAAAATCCTACTGACTTAAGTTTTTCAAAGTTAATGTTGCTTTCAATCAAAAACAAATCCAGTGTTCAAGTTCTATTTCTGCTACTCACAAAAATATAGCTAAAAATTTCATTTCAAACTTTCAATCCAAAGGCATTGGTTTTAAATAGATCTTTTATTGAAGTAAAACATATACAAAGAAAGTGCATAAATATAAACATATAGTTTGATGATATTTTACAAATAAACTTGCATATACACCATTCAGAAGGTATCAAACTTCGTTTCTCAGAGTGTGATTCATTTACCAGTAGCCTTGGCATTGCCTAGGAGCTTGTTAAAAATGCAGAATCTTAGCTCCCACCCAGACCTATTGAATCAGAATCTGCATTTCAAAAAGATCTCGAAGGAGATCTATATGTAGACTGAATTTTGAGAAGTACAGATATAGAACATGACCAACTCTCTAGAAATCTCCTTTATTAATCTACTCTGGTCATTACCTCTTCAAAAGTAGCCACTTTTTGATTAACCATGCCTTAGTTTTGCTATGTTATTGAACTTTCTATAAAAGGATTCATGTTATCTACTTTCTGCAGGTCTGGCTTCTTGTACTCAGTATTATGTTTAGAGATTCTTCCATGCTATTGCATGCAGAAGTTTGTTCTTCTTTTATTATTTTTAATTGCTGCATGAACATACCATGTTTCATCTATTTCACTGTTGGTAGATACTGGGATTCGTTCATTCAGGGACTGCTATGAATAATGCCGGTAGCATCATGGCCCTTAGAAGACATACTGATGTATTTCTATTGAGTAAACTTTTAAGATTAGAATTGTAAGGTCACAGATATGCATGCATGTGTTCAGTCACAGTAGATAATGACAAAGAGTCTCCAAAGTAGTTGTACACATTTACAGTCCCACCATTGGAGTATGAAAATTATAGTTGTCCTAAACCATAACTAATAACTGACATTGTCAGACGTTGTTTGGCCAGCTAGATGTGTAGTTGACTAAGCCATTCTGGTGGTCGTATAGTGATATCACACAGTGATTTTATTTATTCCTTTATATATGGATAGAAATCATTGTGTGTACTTAGCATGTCCATGATGTTTTGAAGTACATATACATTATGGAATGGTTAAATGTAGTTAATTAACAAATGCCGTATCTCCTATAGTTATCAGTTTTATGGTGAGAGCACTTATCCACTCTTTGCATTTTTTATGAATACAACATATCACAATTAACTATAGTCACCTTGCTATACAATAGATCCCTTAAATTTATTTTTATCTATCTCACTGAAATTACACATCTTTTAACCAATATCTACCCATAACCTTTCTCCTAACCACCCCAGGCTCTGGTAACCAGCATTCTACTTCTCTCTACTTCTATTACATTAAGTTTTTTTAGATTCCACAGATGAATGAGATTACATGTTATTGATCTTTCTGTGCCTTACTAATTTTAAGTAACATAATGCCCTATAGGTTCATCCATGTTGTTAATAGAAAATGACAGAATTTCCTTTTTTTGTGTGGCTGAATAGTATTGCATTGTGTATATATGCCATATTTCATTATTCATTTATCCATTGATTCCATTTCTTGGCAATTGTTAATACTCCTGCAATAAACATTAGAGTGAAGACATCTTTTTATAGATAATTTTTAAAATAAGTCCTCAAAAGCATAGCCAAGAAAAGCAAAAATAGACAAATGAAATTGCATCAAACAAAAAAGACTCTGCACAGCAAAAGAAAGTCAACAGAGAAAATAGACAATCTACATAATGATATGAAATATCTGCATATTTCTTATACATTGTATATATGTGATAAAGAGTTAATATCCAAATTATATTTAAAAACTCAATAGCAAGAAAAGCCTGGGATTAAAAATGGGGACAAGACCTGAACAGAATGGGAGAAAATTTTTGCAATCTATCCATCTGACAAAGGGCTAATATCCAGAATCTACGAAGAACTTAAACAAATTTACAAGAAAAAAACAAACAACCCTATCAGAAAGTGGGCGAAGGATATGAAGAGACAGTTCTCAAAAGAAGACATTATGCAGCCCACAAACATATGGGAAAAAGCTCATCATCACTGGTCATTATAGAAATGAAAATCAAAACCACAACAAGTTACCATCTCAGGCCAGTTAGAATGGTGATCATTAAAAAGTCAGGAAACAACAGATGGTGGAGAGGATGTGTAGAAATAGGAACGCTTTTACCCTGTTGGTTGGAGTGTAAATTAGTTCAACCATTGTGGAAGACAGTGTGGTGATTCCTCAAGGATCTAGAACCAGAAATACCATTTGACCCAGCAATCCCATTACTGGGTATATACCCAAAGGATTATAAATCATTCTACTATAAAGTCACATGTACACTTATGTTTATTGTGGCACTGTTCACAATAGCAAAGACTTGGAACCAACCCAAATGTCCATAAATGATAGACTGGATAAAGAAAATGTGGCACATACACACCATGGAATACTATGCAGCCAAAAAATCATGAATTTCTGTCCTTTGTAGGGACATGGATGAAGCTGGAAACCATCATTCTTAGCAAACTAACACAGGAACAGAAAACCAAACACCACATGTTCTCACTCATAAGTGGGAGTTGAGCAATGAGAACACATGGACACAGGGAGGGGAACATTACACACCCGGGCCTGTTGAGGGGTGGGGGCTAGGGGAGGGATAGCATTAGGAGAAATACATAATGTAAATGATGGGTTGATGGGTGCAGCAAACCACCATGGCACATGTATACCTATGTAACAAACCTGCCTGTTCTGCACATGTATCCCAGAACGTAATGTATAATAATAAAAAAAATTATCGCCCAGATCAAAGTCATAAACCTTTCCCACTAAGTTTTCTTCTACTTCTATTAGATCAAGTTTTTTAGATTCCACAGATGAATGAGATTGCATTTTTTTCTAGTAGTTTCATAGTTTCAGGTCTTAGATTTATTCCTTTAATATGTTTTGAGTTGATTTTTGTATATGCTGACAGATAACAGTCTACTTTCATTATTTTGCATGTGAATATCCATTTATCAACACTATTTATAGAATAGTCTGCCCTTTCCCCATTTTGTGTTCTTGGTGCCTGCATCAAAAATCAGTTAGCTGTAAATTTGTGGATTTATTTCTTAGCTCTCTATTTTGTTTCATTGGTGTATGTCTTTGTTTTTATGCCAGTACCATATTGTTTTGGTTACTATAATTTTGTAGTGTATTTTAAAGTCAAATCATGTAATGCCTCCAGCTTTGTTCTTTTGGTTCAGGATTGCTTTGACTGCTTGGGGTCTTTTGTGGTTCCATACAAATTTTATGATTTTTTTTTCTATTTCCGAGAAGAATGTCATTGGTATTTTGATAATGATTGCATTGAATCTGTAGATTGCTTTAGGTATTATATACATTTTAACAATAGTAATTATTCCAATCAATGAACATAGGATATTGTTCTATTTATTTGTGTCTTTTTACATTTATTTTATAAGTGTTGTATAGCTTTCAGTGTAGATTTCTCTCACACCTTTGGTTAACTGCATTCCTACGTATTTTATTTTTACAGCTATTGTAAATGGAATTGTTTCATTGATTTCTTTTACAGATAGTTTGCTATTAGTGTATAGAAACACGAGTGATTTTTTATGTTGATTTTGTGTCCTGCACTTGTACTGGATTTGTGTATTAGTTTTAATAGTTTTTTGATGTAGTCTTTTGAGTTTTCTGTATAAAAGATCTTGTCATCTGCAACCAGGGACAATTTAACTTCTTGTTTTTCAATATGGATGTCTTTAACTTTTTTTTTTGCTTGATTACTGTTGCCAGGGCTTCTAGTAGTATGTTAAATGGAAGTTGTGAAAGTGAATTTGTTTGCCTTGTTCTAAATCTTAGAGGAAAAGTGTTCAGCTTTTCCCTGTTCAAGATAATGTTAGCTGTGAGTTTGTCATATATGGCCTTTATTATACTGAGATACATCTCTTTTATACTTAACGTGTTTCAAGTTTTTAACCATAAAATGATGTGGAATTTTGTTAAATGTTTTTTCTGCATCTATTGAAATGATTATGTGGCTTTTGTCCTTGTTTTTGTTAATGTGATGTATCCTGTTTATTCAATTGCCTATGTTATACCATCTTTGCATCCTAGAGATGAATCCCAGTTTATGATGGGGAAGGATTTCCTTTTTTTTTTTTTTGGCGGGCGGGGGGGACGGAGTCTTGCTCTGTCACTAGGTTGGAGTGCAGTGGCATGCTTACTGCAAACTTCACCTCCCGGTTTCAAGTGATTCTCCTGCCTCAGCCTCCCGAGCAGCTTCGACTACAGGTGCTCCATTACACCGAGCTAATTTTTGTATTTTTAGTAGAGATAGGGCTTCACCATGTTGGCCAGGATGGTCTTGATCTCTTGATCTCGTGATCCACCTGCCTTGGCCTCCCAAAGTGCTGGGATTACAGGTGTGAGCCACCGTGCCCGACCTGGATCTTCTTAATGTGATTTATTTTGGTAATATTTTGTTGAGGATTTTTTTAATCTATATTCAAAAAGGGTATTGGCATGTGTTTTCTTTCATGGTTGCATCCTTCTCTGGTTTTATTATCAGGGTAATATTGGCCTTGTAGAATGAATTTGGAAGTGTTCCCTCCTCCTTAATTTGTTGTAAGTGTTTGAGAAGAATTGGTATTTGTTCTTCTATAAATGTTTGTAGAATTCAGAAATGAAGCCATGAGGTCCTAGGATTTTCTTTAATGGGAAATATTCTATTACTGATTCAATCTCCTTACTCGTTATTAATTTGTTCACATTTTCTATTTCCTTATAATTCAAAATTGATAGATTATGTGTGCCCAAGAATCTATCCATTTATTTGAGGTTATTCAATTTATTGGTGTATAATTGTTGATAATAGTCTCATAATTCTTTTTATTTCTACAGTTTCAGTTGTGATGTCTCCTTTTTGATCTCTGATTTTATTTGAATCTTCTCTCTTTTCCTTAGTATAGATAAAGATTTGTCAATTTTGTTTATCTTTTCAAATAACCAACTTTTTTCTCAATCTTTCGTATTGTTTTGTTCACCTTTATTTACTTTATTTCCAGTCTGGTCTTAATTATATCTTTTCTTCTTCTAATTTTTGGTTTAGTTTGCTCTTGTTTTTCTAGTTCTTTGAGGTGAAATGTTCAATTGTTTATTTGACATTTTTCTCCTTTTTGATAGGCATTTATTGCTATATAAATGTGTAGTTGAAAAGAATGTGTATTCTGGGGCTGTTGAATGAAACGTTCCTTTTTTTTTGGCGGGGGGGTGGACGGAGTCTTGCCCTGTCACTAGGTTGGAGTGCAGTGGCATGCTTACTGCAAACTTATGCAAACTTACTGCAAACAGACCTAAATGTCTGTTAGGTCTGTCTGGTCTTGAGTACAGTTTAAATCGGATGTTTCTTTATTGATTTTCTGTCTGGGTGATCTGTTTATTGCTGAAAGGTGGGTGTTGAAATCCCCTACTATTATTGTATTCTAGTCAGTTTTTCCACTTAGACCCATTAATATTTGGTTTGTATATGTACTTGTTTCAATGCTGGGTGCATATAAAATTCTTATGCCCTCTTGTTAAATTGACCCCTTTATTGTTAGATAATGATCTCCTTTGTCTTTTTTTACAGTTTTTGACTTGATGTCTATTTTATCTAATATAAGTAGAACTATTCCTGCTCTCTTTTGTTTTTCCTTTGCATGGAGTATGTCTTTCTATCCCTTCACTTTCAGTCTATGTGTTTTCTTAGCAATAAAGTGAGTCTCTTTTAGGCAGCCTATAGTTGGGTCTTTTATTGTTGACCATTCAGCCACTTCATATTTTTTAATTGGATAATTTAGTACATTTACATTCCAGGTAGTTATTGATAGGTAAGGACTTAACTGCTGCCTTTTTGTTAATTGTTTTCTAGTTATATCTTAGATTCTATCTTTCTTTCCTATTGTCTTCCTTTATTTTCTTTAGCAATAAGTTTTGATTCCTTGCTTTTTATTTTTAGTGTATCTATTATAGGTCTTTGCTCTGTTGTCAATCTTAGGTTATAAGAAACATCTCATAGTTTTAACAGGTTATAAGCTGATAACACTTAGCTTTGATCACAAAAAAACAAAACATTGTACTTTAGCTTCACTCCTCTCCCCTACATTTTGACATTTTGATGTCATAATTTACATCTTTTTATATTGCATGTACTTTCACAAATTATTGTAGTCATTATTTCAATAGTTTTAGCTTTTAACCTTCATACTAAAGCTATCATTACATACCACAATTAGACTATTATATAATAGTATTTGGAATTTGACTATGTACTTACTTTTATCAGTGAGATTCATATATCCAGATGTTTTTGTTTTACTTATTAGCATTTTTTTTCTTTCAAATTGAAGAACTCCCTTTAGCACTTCTTGTTAGAAAGGTCTAAAGGTGACAAACTCCCTCAGCATTTGTCTAGAAAAGTCTTTATTCTCATTCATTTATAAAGAATAGATTTGCTGGGTACAATATTATTAGTTGGTACTTTTTTCCCTTTAGCATTTAAAATATATTATTCTCTTTATTTCCTGATTTGTAAGGTTTCTGCTGAGATGTCTGCTGCTAGGCATGTTGGAGTTCCATTATATGTTATTTGCTTCTTTCCTCTTGCTACTTTTAGAATCCTCTCCTTAACTTTGATCTTTGAAAATTTGGTTATAATATATATGGAGGTAGTCTTATTTGAATTGAATCTGATTGGTGACTTTTGATCTTCTTGTAGCTGGATGTTTACCTTTCTCCATGTTTGAAAAGTTTTTTGTTATTATTTCTTTAAATAACTTTTCTACCTCTTTCTCTCTCTTTAATCCTTCTTGAACACCAGTAACTCATATATTTCCTTTTTTAATGCTATCCCATCAATCCTGTCAAAGTTCTTTATTCCTTTTCATTATTTTTTCTTTATTCTTCCTTGTATGTGTATTTTCAAATAACCTAACCTGTCTTTGCATTCAGGTTCTTTATTTTGATAGATCAATTCTGCTGTTAATGCTTTCTATTGTATTTATTTATTATATTTTTCAGCTCTATAATATGTTTTAATTTTTTTATTATTTTAATTTTTCTGTTAAATTAATTTTTCTGTTAAATATCTCTAATAAATTTCTAGGTTGTTCCTCTGTTTCTTCTTGAAGTTTACTGACCTTCTTTAAAATAGAAATGTTGAATTCTTTGTCAGGCAGTACATTCTTCTCTGTCCCTTCAGGGTTAGTCACTGGCTTCATATTTTTTTCTTGTGATATCATGTTTCCCTGTTTGTTCTTAATTCTTGTGGTCATATGTCACCTTCTTTAAGTGTCTTCACCTTAAAGAAATAGGTATTTATTATAGTCTTTTCAGTATGGTTTTGTCTGAGAATGTTCTTCAACAGTAAGGTTATCAGAAATTCTAAGCAGACCGTTATAATTTCTAAGCCCAAGATTGCTGCAGTGTTAGTGGGTGCCCTAAGACCAGGACTACCACAGTCAATGTAGCCAGGATTGGAGTACCCTGAACTCCAGGACTGCTGCAGCACCTTGTAGGAATTCCATAGCCATCAAGGGACACCCAAAGCCCATGGTCAATGAGGCCTGCCTGTCTCTGAGGTTTATCCAGAACCTAAGACCACAGCAGTTGGCCATTGGTGATATAGTTCAAAACTTGAATGCATTTTGCTGGGGCTCACCTAGTACCAGGGCAGGTCTAGAGGCTCAGTCCATGAATACTGGTCTGGAGTCTGAGGCCATGGTTGGGTTTTTTGTGTTTTTGTTTTGTTTTGTTTTTTGTTTTTTTGCTGAGTTTTACTGTGGTGGGACTGGTATTGGGATCCAAGGCAATGTCCTATGCTTACTTTCCTTCCCAAGTTGAAAGCATCTCTCTCCATCCTCTGCCACCTAAGGTTAAAGGAAGGGTAAGTTGGGTAATGTAAAACTGTCCTTTTCACACTCTTCAGTGCATCTTTTCTCATTACTGTGCTATAACCAGGTACAGTGATCTCTCACATGGTTTCCTTCGCTCCTGGAAGGTATTTATGTGCATAGATAGTTGACCAAATCGATTTTTCTGCTTGGGTACAATCACCAGAGAACCTTATTCTGCCATCTTGCTCTACCCTCTGTCCCACCATTGTGTATTTTTTGTTTGTTTGTTTGCTTGTTTTTGAGATGGACCCTCACTCTGTTACCCAGGCTTGAGTGACATGGCTGTGGTTTTAATTTGTATCTCCCAATTGACTGAAGCTATTGATAACTTTCCATATGAATTTGTCATTTGAATATCCTCTTCTGTGAAATGACTGTTTAAGTCTCTTGCCCAATTATTAAATTAGGTTAGTCTATCTTTTTCTTTTCAATTTTTAGAAAATTTTTCTAAAGTGTAATTTAGACAATTTATCATGACAAAGACTCTCTCTTTTGACCAAACTTACGTCAGCCTCCTTTGAGTCCTCTTTCTGTCTAGGCTCTGTCTTGAGGATCTGTCCTAAGACCTCTTAGTCCAGTTTTAGCAAAAATTCTCCTAAGTCAAGTATATAAATCCTCCACTTATTATATCTAATCAAATTCCTTATCTCCCACTCTCAATATCTTATCACCTGGCCTCCCTTCTGCAAAAATTCTGTCAACCCAGTTTAGTCAGAATTCCCTATCAGCTTTTATGTTTACTCCTAGAGTTTGTACATCTAGTGACACCCACCTTGGTCCTTAGCTATGAATTTTCTTTTTTCCTTGTATTAGAGTAAGCCCAATCTCTCACTCCTACTGCAAAACCTCATTGTGATAGTCCCTCTAGATAAAGTCTGCCTTACCATCTTTAACAAATGCTATAAATATCTTTTTCTTTAACAGTCGAATATATGTTTTCCTAGATCTTCGCCCACTCTGTGGCTTGGCCTAAACAAAATTTTTTAAATTCGATAAAATTCACGTGTCAGTCATTTTCTTTATGTTTTATTGCTATTTATATTCTCTTTACAAAGCAATGGCCAGTACAATTCCAATCTATTTTCCCTTTGTATAGTGGAAGATAGAGAAAATATGGAAGATAATAACTCCTCCAGTCTGGGAAGATAACATGCTTAGCTAAAAAGTATAATTTTTGCTTACATTGATATTACCGGTAAAAAGAATAAACTACATTTGTTGTAATCTCTAATGACAAAATGGTGATTCTTCATCCAGATACCTGTGATTCTAGAAATAATACAGAGCCAACCTGCCTAAATTATGAAACTACAAGTAAAATCTGCTATGTTTACATTGCAAATGGTTTACCAAACCACGTGTTATGAGTTGAGAACAACTCTGGTTAGTGAAGACAAGAAGTTAATATTCATAGATTTCTAACTAGGAAGTTTCCTTCACTCACATTATACTTAAACAATAAAATTAGGCAACTGCTGAAACAAAAGAATGAATGGCTAGTTTTACCTTTAAAATGTAGATTGGTACAATTACTAATCCAAGTAAACACATGGCACTGCTTGGATTAAAAAAAACTCATATTTTCAAATCTTTATTATGTACCTACAGTGTGTCAGACACACACACACACATACACACACTAAGCTACTGAGGTGATTATTCTTTCCTACAGACCTACAGACATGCCATCAGGAGTGTCTTCCATGACATGGGAGAGAAGAAGAAACACCATTCCTCCCATGAAGTCAGCAGAGGCAATGCTGAAAAATAATAATGCAGCGAAGACATTCTCACATCCTACAAGGAAAAACAAATTAAAGTGGAATGTTTTCTTTGCTCTAGTGTATATTGATTTTGAAAAGACATATTTTATTCGGAACAGCAGTATAGAAAATAGACACTCTCCATTAAACATCTTTTCATGGAAGACATTTTATATCATGTTATTGAACTTAATTTGATGTCAAATAATTGAGATGGGTGGCGTTATTCCTATTTCACAGATGAGACAACTAGAGAGCAGAAAAAACTGAACAAACAATATGGCCTAAATCACACAGCTAGGAAGAGACCCCAGCCCCTGACTTGGAGAGTGTGACCTTCCCATTTCTCCACAATTTCTCTTCTAGTTGGGCTATTTTCTTCACTGGATTTAGATCTTTGCCTAAGAAGCTGAACACTCCACACCCACCATTGTCCACTCTTCCAGTAGAGCATTCCCATCAGCTTGTCCACCACAGCCACTCAAGAACACTGAGAAGGACACAGATTCAGCAGAATTCAGAGCAGGGGCTGGTGTGACTAGGGAGCTGCAGAGAAAATCTTTCTGCAATTCCCTACGCAGTTGGTGGTGTGCCTGAGCATATTTCTTAGTTTTGCCCACTCTACCTTTAAGGTCTTAGCCTTGCTTTTAGGTTTCATCATTTGGTTTGCTTATGGAAAAATTTTCCATTACATTGCCTCTATTCAATCGGAATCTCCAGGACAAAACATTCTTTGTTCAATAAGGAATTAAATACAGACCATAAGAGCCTTTAAACTTTAGGAAGTCCTGGAACACTGGTTTTAATAATTATGTCCTGTGTGAATAATGAACACACCTGGACTACACCAGACCATATTTCATAAAGAGTCCTATTGTAGTTTCACTGTCTTTGTATAAAAATGAATCATAATCTGGAGCGTGAAATAGTGAGAGGAGGGGATTATGGCGGAAACGACACAGGCCCTGCCATCAGATCGCCACCTGTGTTCCGGGCATGCCTTGACTTGCTGATAAATCTCAGGCAAGTCACTCAAGGCACTTGAATCTCAGTTTTTGTTTCTCTGCAATGTGATAATGGTACTACAAGAATGTGTGGTGAGCAATAAAGATGATAAAGTTATAAAAATACTATGCTGGCATTTATCTTTTTAAAGACAAACTTCTGAGGTAAGCAACCATAGTGTCAAGACACTATGCAAGCGGATTAAATCTTGTCCAGGAGCTTGTCCATCTCCATGTACAAATCAAGCAAAACAGGCAGCATGGAGAATCCAGAGAGTGAGTGAAAAATAGCTCAGGGGGACATGAGAGAAATGATATTTAGATGAGCAAGCAGTTAGGCTCATGTCAGAGCATGAAACCAAGTCAGTCCTGTGAGAGGATGGGGGAAGGCCGTGCAAGTTGCCAAACACAGAATTCAGGAAGTGGAACTGAAGTAAAAAGCCTAATTTGTTACCAGATTTAAACGTAAGGGCTGTGGGCTCCATAACCAAAGAGAAGCAGCATCCTCTCTCATACTGAACTGAGGAAAACAATCAGCACAGCCAGGGTTAGGACTGAAGAATTACCCCAGCAGCAAAGCAACAAAATGGAAGAATTGTGGAACCAAAAGCTGAATCTCTAGCTGCGTTCTCCTGGGTAATCCAGGGTTATTAGGTTGGTGCGAAGGTGACTGCGGTTTTTGCCATTGAAAGTAATGGCAAATACAGCAATCACTTTTGCACCCATCTAATAGTATAGTTCTCTTTTAAAATATTTTCAGAGACTTATCATGTACTCGAGGATGTAGCCTTCTCCAAGTTAACCATGTTTAGTTTCTTTAATTTGGCCTCATCTTGTGGTTCTGAGTGGCCGTTATAGTTACATTCTTCTGGGCATATTATAATTTATCAGTTTTCAATCTTTAAGTAAAGAAATGTGACCACTGTGCTATTCCTCTGTATTTCTGGAAGCTGTCCTTGGTAAAACTCTAAATTGCTTTGGCAAGAGGGGCAACTTAGATCAATCACAAGGTGTGCCCAGCCCACCCCCATCTGCTGTTAAGCTCTATCTCTGACCTGCATTTGTGCACTGGTTCATCTGCAAATCTCAGCCTCAGACTTTTTGTGTACATCTAGAAAGCATAGTCTAAAATATTTTAAAAGATTTTCCTGTAAAGACGGAAAAAAACCCTCCTTTCCATTAGTATTTCTTGTGTCTAATCCATACAGTCAAGTTGCCAGATTTCTGACTAGGCTCATTAATTTACTTAATTATTAGATTTTATAAATAATTGAACCCTCAATTTAAAAAGCCTCAGGGCATAGCTCAATAAAAACTTACATTAAAATATCAATGAGCAGCTGCAATAATAACAAAAATAAAACCTATCTGCATAAAACTGCTTACTTTGTCCATGACTTTGTCTGGACAGACCAATTTATAAGAACAAGTTTAGCCTCCTGTAATTAAATAAACTTGTCAGAGCTCCCCTAGGCCTGGCATGCATGGGTTTAATAGACATGTTTTCTGGTGACATGTATTGCCTCTAACATCTTAAAGTAAAAATTGGGAAAGTGCTGAGCCTTTTCTGGGGGGCACTGGTTTAGACATTGTGCCCCTTAGGGGTTAAGCCTAATAGCATCACAAGTCTTTCAGTAGGTCACATAATTTCTCATGACCATAATTTTCAAACTTTAAGATAAAGATATTGGAGTAGATTTTTTTCCATTTTTTTTCCATCTGAAAAATTATGAGTCTATGAGAAACAGCATCAATGAGTTAGTAATACCAACCACTCAAAATTTTGTTGCTATTTTATATCTTGGATATTATGCACTGCAGCTGGCTATACAATTTGATTTCCAAACTTTAGAATCATGTCACCATTAGCAGTTTATATTCATTTAGAATCCATGAGCCCGAAGTGATTTATGGAATTTTATGGAACACAGAGAAGATGTGATCCTTGCCGTTGATGTACTTACAGCAGAACTTTTGTTTTGCTGTATACTCAATTATAATAACAGACTCCTTTTCCATATGCAGAAATATCTCCCAGAAATAATTAGCTGCAGACACAAAACAATTAGGTGGTTGCAACCTCATAAAATGTGGTTGTTGGTTAATTGGCTCATATTCACATTATGATATTTGCATCTACCACCTTACTACCTGCAAAATTTTAGCTCACAAAAATAGAAATGAGGTTTCAAAAATATGCCCTGGCAAGTGTAGTCTAAGTAGTCAGTATGACCTGAATTTTCTATGGACATTCTTAATAGCACTGAAAAATGTTCAAGCATATGGAAATGAAAAATGTTAATTTCTAGACTGCAAACTCTTTTTCAGGAAGAAATATAATAAATACCAAGGGCTTAGAGCAACACCCAGTCATCGCCTCAATTTTCCATCTAAACCTATTTTTCTCTGTGGGTTCATTGTCTCAGGACTTTTATACTTGAAGGCATTGGGTTGTACTTTCTTTTTAGTTTCTTGACACCTTGCCTATGGTAGGGCCCATGCATGGTGAAAAGGCTACGCATCAGTAAAGCATATTTGTTTTGAGTAGATTTTTTCCCTTTTCATTCTAGTTTGAACTAAATTCTTCATTTGCTATCAAAATATCTCACTACTATATATTAGAACTACTATATACTAACCACTTCTAATCTGAGAATCCAAAATACATTTTTCCCCTTTAATCTGCACTGCACAATTTGAAACCAGAATCCTGCCACTTAGGTTTAATTGATTAAGTTAACCAAACCAGCTCATTGATATATCCATTTAAATGCAAAAGGGCAAAAAGTGCACGGAAGGCTGAAATAGTTACAAAAGAGATAACTTGGTAAAGACTCTTATGGACTGGCATCTATCTCAGCCATGACTGGCATTAACATTATTAACCCCACTTCTAGAATTCAAAATTACTCAGTATGGAAGTTCCCACATCAGAGAAAAATAAGGGGAAAAACTTAAACGTTTCCAGACATTTTCAGGTCTGGAATCAGTTCTGCCAAAGCAGGGAGCTTTGTCTGTTTATGAAAGAAGGGGTCTTCACAGCATCTTCCCAAACATTTTCCTCTGTGAAGACAGACTGGTATTGGCTTCAAAACCCTTTGACTTGTTGCTTAAACTGCTGAGGCTGGTGTTTTCAACACCTATTTTTTCATCAAATCTTTGACTTTTAGCCATCGACTTTTGCCCGTTTTGATAACATCAGATGACAGCTGTGCCCTGTTGAGAATTGAAGCTGCTTAGCAGAAACCTGGGTAGCTTTAGTGCCTTGCTACACGAAGAAGTTCACTTCAAAGGATGAAGAGGAGGAGAAAATGTGTTAGGAGGAAAAGGTGGAAGGCAAAAGAGAGGAGAAAAGACAAGGAGAGGAGAAGGGAAGAAAGAGGAAAGGGGGCAAGAAGAGGGAGGGAGGGAAAGAGGAGTAGAGGGATGGTAAAGAAGAAAAAATACCAAAGTGTGACTGTGGGATATGTCACCTGATTCAGCCAGTCTGAGTCTTGTTTTGTTTTGTTTTACTCAATCTAAATCCCTTATTCCGGTTTTCCCAAAGCAATGTTTTGGGTGATGGAGAGAAAAAGAAAAGAAAGAGAAAAAAAAGCAAAAAGCAAGATCTTTGAATATCAGAGAATGCCAATATGGCCTGAGCCAGATGCAGAGGGAAGAGATGAAAGCTCAGCTCAGATAGATATGCCACAGCTGGCGTTAAAAATGAATTTAGAGGAGGCTACCTGGGCAGCTGTCCTGGAACTCCAATACCAAGTTTCATTTACCCTTTACTGACCAGAGAACACTGCACTGGTGCAGAAAGAATGGTACTTTGAGACAGTAGCAGACATATTCCATGCTTCCTTAATTGCAAAGTCAAGATTCTTTAAACATATTATGAAATAGACCTAAATTAGATAGACTCAGAGATTGCAATTAAAACATCTTTTGAGAGGTATGAGGAAAAGGGCTAAGATATTTGTTTGTGTAGTGTTAGAGAAGAAAAAAAGTTGAAAATCATTTCTCTTAATTATTTTTAGAAAATACAATAGCAGAAGCATCTTTGCCAAAGGGAGGGAATGTGTGTTTTGTGAATAGCTAAACTTTTAAAGGAGGTGGGATCTGGGTATCTCCTTTATTTCCAATTATAACTTTGTAATTTATTATTTATGGAAGTGTAATAACTTGGAAAATCAGATCAATACATAAAGGTTAATAAAATTAAAATTAAATTCTAGTTTAGAATACTGACCACAGATATGTTTCTCCTCTACTTTCTAAATATCCAATAAATGATGGTAAAGGATAATAAAGAATATAAATACATATAAATCTACAAAACCCGGAACCACCAGAAAACCAGAGATTTTGCCACATTTCTGGAAGGAGAAAGTATATAGGAGAGTGTTGTCCTGTGAAGTCAACCAGGAAGACAGAGCTCAAAGTGAGGGTAGAGGGAACTAATGCGGGGAGGGGCTGCCAGGCTAGCTGGTGCCCTCCAGAGAGGTTCTAGTATTATACTGTGAGAAAGAGTAAGCCTGAAAGAGAGAGATTAAGTGAAGATCAACAATCAGGTAACCCCTCCATCCCAGCAAGCATGATTACTAGTAACCTGGTGTTTACTCCAGGTTTAAAAAAATATAAAAAAAAATTACATAGTCATTCTCTAAAGAAATTTAACTATCTACATGGAATCTGGGAGCTGGAGAAGGTTTAGAATTACAGAAGAATGCCTTTCTTGTAGTATTTAGGGGTCTGTGTTCATGATCCTAAATCAAAGCCTATCCATCAACAAAACTCACCTATATGCTCTGAGCCTCACACCAGATTTATTCATTCCTCATTCTTGAATAGGAACAGATACGTATCTCCAGAAAGTTGAGGAATATTTTCGCATGAATAGAAACAAAGACAGAAAACAAAAACAAACAAAAACAAAAAACATGAAGAATCAAATAGAATTAAAAACAAACAGGATTTTGAGAAAGCAGGTAAAAGAGAAAAACTCAAATTATTGTCCTTGGAGAAATGTAAGAAGATACTGTATTCGTCAAACAAGAACAGTCTACTATGAAAAATGAACTATTGGAGAACCAGAAGAGTTTCTAGGAATTTAAGATATAATTTCAGGAAAAACAAAGAGGAGAAAAAATTGAAGAAATAACATATCTTTCAGAATGTGCAGCACAAAATGTGAAAAGGCAAAATGTGAAAGAAAAGAAACAGAAGAGTTAACTCCAAAAGTTCAATGTCTAATTAATATTAGTATCATAAAGAAAGAACAGAACAAATGAGGTAGAAGACAGCTGTCAAATCAATAGAAAGAAAGATTGACTACACTGCACGCAGGAAGGCATGCAATTTCAACATGAAAATGCCTGGCAAGGGCCAAAGAAGAGTCATGAAAATGAAGTAAAATATTAATGTGAAATTACAGAACCCTAGATATTAAAAAGGAAGATCTGAAAAGTTACCAGAGTGGGGAAAATAGGTTATCTAAAGATATGGAAGGAGAAGGAGGAGGAGAAGGAGGATAAGGAGGAAGAGGAGGAGGGGGAGGAGAAAGAGGAGGAGAAATGAAAGGAAAAGAAATAATAATTATTATTATGAAATGAAAAATCATGCTGACAACAGTAGAAGCAAATAAATTTGGCACAAGTTGAGACATTATTCTTAAATTTCACACTTGCAAGTGATGAAAGTTGCTGGAAACAAATCTTTTAAAGATCATTTTAAAAAGCAATATAGTAAGGGGTTGTATTATGGAGATGATGAATTTTCTCTTCCTGTTGAATAAAAACTGTATTTCGTAAGTTGCAGTTTAGGATAAAATTACAGTGACATCATTCAATGCATTACAAAAAAATCTGTATCTGAACTATTAAAATAAAAACACAAATGATTCTGAACACAGCCTTTGATGACTTCCCAGATGGTTCCAGAGAAGATGGCAGTGAATGTGGAGACTCTGAGAAGAATTATCCCATAGACATAAGAAAGTAAGAAAATATTTCTAAGTTAATAGTATGTACATATTATATATGTTCCTACATTTTTACAGTACAAAATTACTAATTTAAATATAACAGGTAGCCAGTCAACTATTTTACAATGCATCATAAACATATATATTTAAGTTAGCCAATTACTCTATGAAAAACACTCTTCACTTGGAAAAATTATAGAATCTGCAATGATTTTAGATGCAATAGAATCATGTTATTGATCTTCATAAAGTAAAAGTAATAGTAGAGCTGACAGAAGTTGAAAAGTAGATAGGGAAAAGAAGATGTAAAAGTAGAAAAATAAGATGTGAAGTTTCAGTTTTGTTAAATAGAACTACAAAAAGATGACTACAAGTAGAGTGCAAATGAAATTCTTACCTATCATAATAGGAATTCAGTAGATAAATTTCAAGTTACTAAGTGAAGAAATAGAAATAGCATGTTAGTCAATAATTTGTAGGCAAAAACCTTTAGAATTTTAACAAAAATGGACAGAAGTGATTGTTTCTCTGAGGAGAGAATGTATTTGGGGAATTGTGGTGTTACTCTTGAGTGTTCCTTATTAAAACTAACATAGTTTAAAATTCATAGATTATATACAAATATACCAGGGCACTTAACCTTTATTATAGATGAGAATTTGGTGCTATTGATAGGCTTGGTTTATAGAGAGGAAATTGAAATTCAGAGAATTTAAATAACTGCTTGGGTTTCACAGCCTTTTCAGTAGGAGAAATGAAGCTTATAACCAGATCTTCCAAATGCCATGCTCTTTGGAAATCTCAAAATAGGAGTAGATACTTAATAATATTTTTTCCAAAATGTTTCCCATCTCCTCTCATGAATGTATAGAATGCATTTTAATCCAGGTGTTGGCAAACTTTTTCCTTGTAAAGGCCAATTTTGTACTTTGTCAGCTATGTGGTCTTTGTAGAAATCACTCAACTCTCCCAATGTAGTGCAGCAGCAAGAAGACAATATGTAATTGGATAAGCATGGTCTGATTTGGCTTATAGGCTACAGTTTGCCAACTCTTGGATCAATAAATTAATTATTTCTCTCTTCTAATTTTCATTCTAGTTTCAATTTTGGGGGCAAAGATGGCTATGCAATATTTTCACTGAGCCTATTCTGTAATTTTCCTCTAACCCTGTATAAGTCCATTCTCACACTGCTGTAAAGAACTACCTGAGAAACTGTGTAATTTATTTTTAAAAAAGAGGTTTAATCAGCTCACAGTTCTGCAGGCTGTCCAGGCTTCTGCTTCTGGGTAGACCTCAGGAAACTTACAACCATGGTGGAAGGCAGAGGGGAGGCAAGCACATCTTCATATGGTGGAGAAGAGAGACAGAGAAGGGGGAAGTGCTACACCCTTTCAAATAACCAGTTCTCCTGAGAACTCTATCACAAGAACAGCAACGGGGAAGTCCACCCCCAGGATTCAATCACCTCCTACCAGGCCCCTCCTGCAACACTGAAAATTACAATTCTATATGAGATTTGGTTGGGGACACATAGCCAAACTATATCATTCTGCCTCAGCCCCTCCCGAATCTCATGTCCCTCTCACATTTTCAAACACAATCATGCCTTTCCAATGGTTGCTCCAAAGTCTTAACTCATTCCAGCATTAACTCGAAAGTCCAAGCCCAAAGTCTCAACTGAGACAAGTCCCTTCCACCTATGAGCCTGTGAAATAAAAGACAAGTTAGCTACTTCCAAGATACAATAGAAGTACAGGAATTTGGTAAATGCTGCCAATCCAAAAGGAAGAAATTGGCCAAAGCAAAAGGGCTCCAGGCCCCACAAGAGTCCAAAACCCAGCAGGGCAGTCATTAAATCTTAAAACTCCAAAATAATCTCCTTTGACTCCATGTCTCACATCCAGGACACACTGATTCAAGTGGTGAGCTCCCAAGGCCTTGGGGAGCTCCACCCCTGTGGCTCTGCAGGGCACAATCTCAGTGGCTGTTTTCATAGGCTGGTGTCGAGTGCCTGCAGCCTCTCCAGGTGCACAGTGCAAGCTGTCAGTGGATCTACCATTCTGAGGTTTGGAGAACAGTGGCCTTCTTCTCATAGCTTCACCAGGTGGTGCTCCAGTGGGGACTCTGTGTGGCTCCAACCTCATGTTTCCCTTTCACACTACCCTAGTAGAGGTTCTACATGAGGGCTCCACCCCTGAATCAGACTTCTGCCTGGACTTCACTGTCTGTATCATTATTAGCATTTTGGTCACAACCATTCAACAAGTCTGTGGGAAGTTCCAAACTTTCCCTCATCTGTCTTCTTCTGAGCCCTTCAAACTGTTCCAATATTTGCCCATTACCCAGTTCCAAAGTTGCTTCCACATTTTCATGTATCTTTATAGCAATGCCCCTCTTCTTTGGTACCAATTTTCTATATTAGTCTATTCTCACATTGCTATAAAAAACTAGCTAAGACTGAGTAATTTACTGGAAAAAGAAATTTGATTAGCTCATGGTTTCTGCAGGCTCTTCAGGCTTCTGCTTCTGGGGAGACCTCAGGAAACTTACAATCATGGCAAAAGGTGAAGGAGAAGCAAGTATGTCTTCACACAGCTGGCAAGAGGGAGTGAAAGAGTGGAGGGGGAAGTGCTACATACTTTCAAACAACCAGATCTTGTGAGAACTCTATCACAAGAACAGAAAGGGGGAAGTCTGGCCCCATGATTCAGTCACCTCCCTCCAGGACCCTCCTACAACATCAAAGATTACAATTCTGTGTGAGATTTGGGTGGAGACACACAGCCAAACCATATCAAACCCCTTCCATTATTACATGCAAGAAAGTGAGACCACATAATAACACAGGTGTCCCTTCCACTTATAGCTCACTTTCTTCCCCATAACTTGGCTTTGCATCTCATAAACTCTGAAAATTACATATCATTTTTATTGGGGTGGATGGGTTCTCTTGCATATTACTTATTTAATTAGGCCAAATCAGAGTAAAAAGAATACATCATTATTTTCAATGCTCAGAGTAATGGGGCAGTGTTATCCATCGGTCTAGGGACTCTGTGGTAATTAGTGAAGATCATGTAGGGTAGGTAATATCCAGGATGTGTGCATGAGACACAAATGGAGCCTAAAGCTAGAATTAGATCCAGGAAGGGGCTGTTCATTTGATTGTTTGACAAATAATGATTCATTTGAGATGACAGAATTGAGGCATTTGAAGAACCCAACATATAAGTAGATTCTTGAAATACCATCAAAATAAAGTAGAAAAAGATATCTATACTGTGACAATCAGTGAGCTGAAAACTGAAGAACATCCTCTTCCTGCAGAAGAATCAGCTCTTTATTTTTCTATCCAGGTTCTCTATGCTAAGATTTAAATCTCTGAGATAGAGAATTCCATTGGTATAGCCACGGCCCACACCTTGGGTAAAGAAGAATAGACACAGACTCTTCACCACTCTTGGACTCCATGCAGTAGGGCTAAGAATTTCTTCAAAGGAAAATCAAGGTGCTACTACCAGACAAATAGAAAATAGATGGTGGACAGGCAAAAACAAATGATGTCTACTACAGTTTAGATGCACGGTATCAAATTTTTGAAAAGGTAAACATATGCTCATTCCGATAGTCTGTGTGTCTCCTTAGATAAAAATAAGCAGGCCATTGCTTTCTTGTCATGTAAAGAGACCTTTCTCCAAATATAATCTTAATTTTCATCAATATCTTTCCTTTTTTCCTTTCTTTGTTCTATTCGTCATTCCTTTATTTTGCTTTCCTTTTTGCATTGAAATTTTCTTTCAAGTGTTCTTTTCTTAGTTTCTTTGATCTGATTGATAAAGTTTTTAATGCTATGGAACTCAAGGCTGTTACATGGAAAAAAGCGCATACTTTACAATGTCACCACGGTCCAATCTGCTATTCCATATCTTTGTATTAAAGTGGAAAAACAGCTGACCTAACTCAGTCTTCTTTCCAAACAGAATTAAAGTCACATGCACATTGAACTGAATATATATGTTCAAATTTTAGATAAAAATTATGAAGTTATAATAATGAATGTGTTACCTTTTAAAAGTTTGCACTAGAAAAAACTACTGACAACATGGCACTTAGATATATAATAATTTGTGAAGGTCAGTAGAATGCATGTTTCTGCTCATATTTACCTCATTGGGATTGGTTCAGTTCCAGAGCTATAACCACATAGTTTCAAGATATGAATGGAAACTAAATTTTCTAAATTTTTTTTCCTCTTGAAAAATGTTTGAAATCCAATTATTCAAATTTATTTGGATGAATTAGCTACACTAAGAGATAGGTAGACCTGTTGCATTCTTCGAAGAAAAAAGTGCTGTATTCATACTTTTAAAAAACTTTGGCCAGGTGTGGTAGCTCACGCCTGTAATCCCAGCACTTTAGGAGGCTGAGGCTGGTGGATCACAAGGTCAGGAGATCGAGACCATCCTGGCTAACATGGTGAAATCCCGTCTCTACTAAAAATACAAAAAATTAGCCAGGCGTGGTGGCATGCGCCTGTAGTCCCAGCTACTTAGGGGGCTGAAGTAGGAGAATTGCTTGAACCCAGGAGACGGAGGTTGCAGCGAGTTGAGATCACGCCACTGCACTCCAGCGTGGGCAACAGAGCGAGATTCTGTCAAAAATAAATAAATAAATAAAAATAAAAAAAACACTTTAAAACTTAATGCAATGTTTTCTTGATTGAATCCTGGGGGCACTTAACATGTGTAAAGTGTGGGGTGCATGTGTGTGTCATTATTATTAACTTTGACAGAGACAAGTATCCTTACCATCTAACTTTAATCTCATCAAAACGCTTCTGTTTGCTTCTTATAATTTGTTTGTATAAACATGTTCTATTATTTAATCAACTGTAGTACAATACTTATGTTTCAGATGATCATGCTCAACATCTGATCACTCTCTTGTATATCCAGCATTTCCTGAAAGTACCAGCCCTACTCTACCAAAGAAAGCAGTTTTGTGAATCAGTAGTTTAGAAAATGTAATTTTTATAAAATCCACCTAACTTTACTTAGCACATCATTTCATAGACGATTGATTGACTGATTGATTGACTGAGACAGGGTCTTGCTCTGTGGCCCAGGCTGGAGGACAGTGGTGCTATCATAGCTCACTGCAGCCTTGACCTCCTGGGCTCAAGCAATTCTCCCACCTCCGCCTCCCGAGTAGCTGAGACTATAGGCATGCACCACAACACCCGGCTAATTTTTTAATTCTTTTATAGAGATGAGGTTTTGTCATGTTGCCTGGGCTGGTCTCAAACTCCTGGGCTCAAGAAGTCTGCCCACCTCTGCCTCCCAAAGTGCTGAGATTACAAGCATGAACCACCACACCCAGCCTCACAGACTTATTTATTATGGGATGTTTCTCCCCTTGTAATTCTTACTAGCACATACTAATGTGTTAGTATTCTTAGAAACCAAGAATTTGAATATCTCAAATATCTGTTTATTTGATAATATGTAGATGAGTAATCTTAATAACTGATCAAAATTTCTGTTTATTTACTGAAAGGCTTGGGAATGTATAAATAAAATCTTAGCCTCTTGGTTGAGAAGGCAAAATAGAACATAGTAACAAAATTAAAATGTGAGAAAAAAGATGTGACAAGGTTTTACTTTTAGCATTCTCCAATTTGAGAGAGCAGAATTTTGTAACAATAAACATGTTCCAAATTATGTATAAGAAGATGTAGCAAAGGCAGTTTTGAGTGAGACTTTGGAATTTTTGGACTTCTGATCCTGGCACTCCTGTCTGGGTTTCGAAGGTCAGAGGAAACTAGAGGAGAAAGGAAAGAAAGAGGGAATGGCATCCTTATCTACTATCTTTGCTTCATCCTGATGGTCCAAACAGAACCTTTGAGAAGTCAGTGGGGATACAAACATAAAAAGAACTAATGAGAGGCCAGGACACCAATTAACCAGTTCACTGATCAGAAGGCTCAGAACCTTCTAGTTGCTACTACTTCCATTAGAAAATAATTGTTTGGGGGCAAAGGAAGCAAAAATCAACAGGAAAACGAAGCAAATACCTCTTACGGAAGAGGGAAATTTATAGAGAACAAACATCATTGGCCATTGTGTTTTCCTTAACACCATGTGCCAGATACACAAGAACTGAGTTTTCTGAAACACTGTGACAGCAAAGTTTGCTTTGCCTGTGACAAGAATGAAAGAAAATGAAGAAAGGGAAAGAGGAAAGGAGGGAAAGAGGGAGAGAGAGGGGAAAGGAAGGAAGAACACAAGGAGAGAGGAAGAGAGGGAGCAAGAGAAAAGGAGAAAGAGGAAGGATGAGAGAGGGAGAGAGGAATGGAAGGAGAAGCAGGAGGGGGAGAAGAAGGAAGGAAAGGAGGGAGGGAGGGAGGGGAGATAAAGAGATGCTGTAGAGGAGGAAAACTTGTCTTGTCAATAACTGGTGTTCGTGAGTGAGTGAGAGTTGGCCTGATAGATGGCACTGTGCTGTGTGACCTGAGCAGTGACTAGAAGCCAGAAGAGTTGGGTTCTATTCTCTACCGTCTTAGACTCTATTGCCTGAAACGAGTCCCTTCACCTTATGCACTTCCTTTTCCAACTTGAAAATGTTAATCTAGAGGAAAGCATGCTGACATAGTCTAAGAATGAGACAATGTGAACACTTGAGAAAGACCTGAAATAGTTAAAGGCATGGTCAGGCTTGGGAAAGGCTTACTGAGGCCACATGTTTTCCCAGTGTATGACCTGCAGGCACACACCTGGGCTCGGTCAGGTTACAGCCCACTCCCTACCCCCCAGGTCAGGCCCTGGTCAATGATAGACCTAGGACCCTCCTTAATTAAGCATACCAATCACCTAAAGCAACAAGAGGGTATTTGGGAATATTGGATGTCACTCAGCCTCTCTTTAGACTTCCTTTCCCTTTAATTATTTCAAAAGAAAAACACTAACTTTTTTTTAAGTTAAAAATAACAAAAGCAAAGTCCCTTAAAGGAATGGATATCTGTAGAGATTAAGTAATGAATGACTGCCTGGACTTTTAACTGCCCTGTATCTGCTGCCAAAGTTGATGCTACTTTGAATTTAGGCAGCTCTAGATTCTTTAATTCCACCTGCTTGGCCCTACCGATGCCTCATTTGGAAAATGTCAATGATCAGTTACCATCTGGTTTCCTGAAAAAAAAAAAAAGTTTGGAAATGCTTAGTTGATTCCTTCTTACTTTGAATCATTTTGTTGCTGTTGCTGATGCTGCTCCTTAAATCTAAGGAGCCAGTGGCTGTTTAAAAACATTAATGCTGCTTTCCTATTCAAGGAGAGATTTTCTTCAGAAAGGTCCCTAAATCACTAATGGCTTTCAGGAATTTATCACATCAAAGAGAAAAGAGAGAAACTTTCACTTATCCAATGGGAATTACAGGTATATGGGAGGGCCTCCCTCCAGCTAAAAATTAGATGAGTCAGTTGCAAGTTTATAATCGATCTTATGCAATATATGTCATGAAGATTTAAATATAAAAGAGGCTTTGCTTCTCCCTTTATCAGAAAGTAGAGTTCAGAAGATAAACTAATGAAACTTGATTTTTTAAAAAGCTCTAGTTAGGGACTATTAAGCTATATGAATTTCCTTTATTCACCCTCTCATTTCATTTCATAGATAGAGATTTCATTTATATATATATATATTTAGATGTATATATTTATATATATCTAGATATATATTTACATATATATTTATCTATATTTATATTTATATATCTAGATCCATATATCTAGATATATATATTTAGATATATTTATATAGATCTAGATATATATTTAGATATATTTATATACATCTAGATATATATTTATATTTATATATATCTAGATATATATTTATATATTTATACATATATTTATATATTTTTAGATATATATTTATATATTTATGTATATATTTAGATATATATATTTATATATTTATGTATATATTTAGATATATATTTATATATTTATATATTTAGATATACTTATATATATATTATATACTTATATATATTTATATATGCTTATATATTTATATATTTATATATTTTTCTATATATTTATATATACATTTATATATTTATATATTTATCTATATTTATATAGTTTTATATATTTTATCTATATTTATACATTTATATATTTTTATATCTATTTATATATTTTATATCTATTTTTATATATTTTTATATATATTTATATATATACTTTTATATATATATTTGAGATGGAATCTTGTTCTTTCACCCAGGCTGGAGTGCAGTGGTGTGATCTCGGCTCCCTGCAACCTCTGCCGCCCGGGTTCAAGGGATTCTCCTGCCTCAGCCTCCGGAGCATCTGGGACTACAGGTGCGCACCACCACACCCAGCTAATTTTTGTATTTTTAGTAGAGACAGGGTTTCACTATATTGGCCAGGCTGGTCTTGAACTCCTGACCTCATGATTCACCTGCCTTGGCCTCTCAAAGTGATGGGATTATAGGCATGAGCCTGGCCACATTAAAATATTACTGAATGGTGTTTACAATGTCAGCTCTAGAATATTAGTTAACACATTGCTTTATTTGAATTTTTCAACAACCCCTTGATATCTGTATAGTTGTTATTAATAGCCCCATGAGGAAACAAATATTTGGCGAAGTTATGGCTTGCTCAAGACCACACAGTGAAACCCACTCTACTCGAAAACTCTAGAAGCTCATTTTTCATTTGTTTGCTAGCATAGAGTCTTCAAAAGTGAAGTCAGAAATCAGTAACTCTTCTACCAGTTCTTTTACTGCTTTGCCCTTTTCAATCATCTTTTTTTGGTACCCAGTGGCTATTTTCCAAGACATCCCCTGCCCTCTTGGCTAATATCACAACCTTTGAATTTTTACCATAACTCCTTATTTTTGAGAATTATTTCCACTTCTGTCTTCTTTCCCTCCCTTCAAGATGACAATCCTCTAACCTGAAAAACTGAACTGCACATATATTATTATGTGACAATTGCATAATTGCCTGTCATATCCTATATTTTTGGACTTTAGCAGAGTTCTCCTAAATAAAAATTGTAACCTAAAGAACTTAATGATGATGAGAATTAAAAACAGAGATCGGCTAACATATTGTTAATTTGGTAACCCACCAAACAAATAATCTATGCAGGCAGTCGTGCCCTACAGTGCCTACATAAATATGAATACTGACATTTAGATCAAATTTGTTAATAACATTCTTAGCATAAGTAATTACATATTATTAGCATAAGTAATGATCCATATTGCTCATATATGTATCTCTAGGAAAATCATATAATGCACTAGTGAAATGAATGACATGAGATTTTGGCTTCCCTTGTAGGATAGGATGTAGTATTCAGGAGGATTGTCCAGTGTTAGTGTAAGATAGACCTGGGTTTGAGTCCCAGTTCAGTCACTTATAGGTGATGTGACCTTGAACATGTGCTTAATTTCTTTGTCTCTCAGAGTCATCAAGGAAGGAAGGAAGGGAGGAAGGGAAGGAAGGAGAAAGAGAAGGAAGGGAAGGGAAGGGAAAGGAAGGGAAGGGAAGGGGAGAGGAGGGGAGGGGAGGGGAGAAAAGAAAAGAAAATGAAAAGAAAAGAGAAAAGAAAAGAAGGCCAGGCACAATGGCTCATGCCTGTAATCCCAGCACTATGGGAGGCCGAGGTGGGTGGATCACGAGCTCAAGAGATCAAGACCATCCTGGCCAACAGAGTGAAACCCTGTCTCTACTAAAAATACAAAAATTAGCTGGGTGTGGTGGCACGCCCCTGTAGTCCCAGCTACTGGGGAGGCTGAGGCAGGAGAATCGCTTGAACCTGGGAGGTGGAAGTTGCAGTGAACCAAGATCATGCCACTGCACTCCAGCCTGGTGACAGAGCAAGTCTCCATCTAAAAGAAAGAGACAGAAAGGAAGCGAGGAAGGAAGGAAGGAAGGAAAAAGAAGAAAGAAAAAGAAAGAAAGAAAGAAAGAAAAAGAAGGGAGGGAGAGAAGGAAAGAAGGAAGGAGGGAAGGAAGGAAAGACTATATTTCCCATACAGTGGTAGTACAGTATTAAAAAATAATGTCTGTAAAACCAACCCATAGCTCTATGTCTGGCACAGAGTAGGCTTTCAAAAAGTGGTGGCTTCCAGCAATAAAAAAGCAAATACTTACACGTTGCTAGCTTTTATATCCTTTGCAAAGAGAATAAATTGGAGTTAAAATTGAGTATAAGAAGGTCTCAGGTTCAGAAAATCAGAGGCTAAATATTTTCTAAATGTGGATTCTCCCTAGGTTGAGATATTTCATATACAGGAAATGACAATAAGCCAAACACTGTTTAAGAGAGATGTGGAGTTTTTGCCTCAAAAATTAATTCTGTAGCTTCAAATTAAGCTCACCACATGTAAAGCAAAGTTTACTTTTAATCTTTCTTAGTCCTTACAATAAAAGTTACATTTTCAACCAACAGGTTCTTTCTATTAAACTCCACACTTCACTGGCATAATTAAGACTCATCTAGAATAGAATCAACTTTGACATGTGGCAGGAGAGGCCATAGTTAATTCCTTATTACCTCATAACCTTGGATGTGTTGAGATGTGTTTCTGTGATGGAGCAAGGAAGCCAGGTGTTCTTCCCCCACGTTGTAAATGTCTCCATTCTCAGGCTTAGGCTTCCCCTCAAGAGGGCAGCCACTCAGTGACTGGCCTACTCTAAACCTTGTCTTGATAATTTACGGAACTGTCCAACCACAGCTTAAATGGGTCCTCAGAAAAAATGGAGCCTAACTTCCCAACAAGTGAAGATGTTCCCTCTGCAATCCACAGAAGATGACTCTAGGAAAGAAATAGGAACATTAATATAAATTTATTTCTGGCTGGGCACCATGGCCCATGCCTGCAACCCCAGCACTTTAGGAGGCCAAGGCAGGGAGATTGTCCGAGACCAGAAGTTCAAGGCCAACCTGGGAAACATAGAAAAACCCCCATCTCCAGAAATAAAATAAAATAGCCAGACATAGTGGTGCAGACCCACAGTCCTAAGTACTCAGGAGGCCTAAGCAATCAGGAGGATTGCTTGAGCCTGTGTTTGAGGTTCGAGTGAGTTATGATGGTGCCACTGTACTCTAGCTTGGGCAACAGCATGAGACCCTGTCTCTAAAAATATATGTATGTGTGTGCACAAACACACACACAGTGTTAGGCCATTCTGTTTTTGTTGTTGTTGTTGTTGTGTTTTTTGTTTTTTGTCTTTCTTTTTTTTTTTGAGACAGTTTCACTGTGTTGCCCAGGCTGGAGTGAGTAGCTCAATCTCGGCTCACTGCAACCTCCACCTCCTGGGTTCAAGCAATTCTCATGCCTCAGCCTCCTAAGTAGTTGGAATTACAGGCGTGCACCATCATGCCTGGCTAATTTATATAATTTTAGTAGAAATGGGGTTTCATGATGTTGGCCAGGCTGGTTTCACACTCCTGACCTCAGGTGATTTTCCCTCTTTGGCCTCCCTTACTGCTGGGATTACAGGCGTGAGTCACTGCACCCGGCCTCAGTCATTCTTGTGTTGCTATAAAGATATATCCAAGACTGGGTAATTTATTTTTCAAAAGATATTTAATTGGCTCAAGTTCTGTATGCTTTACAGATATCATGGTGCTGGCATTTGCTTGGCTTCTAGGAAGGCTTCAGAAAGCTTACAATCATGACAGAAAGTGGAAAGGAGTAGGCATGTCACATGGTGAAAGCAGGAGCAAGCAAGAGAGAGAGAGAGTCCAGGGAGAGGTGCCACACACTTCTAAATGACAAGATCTCACGAGGACTCACTACCATGAAGACAACATCAAGCCATGAGGGATCCACCCCCATGATCCAAACACCTCCCACTGTCCCTACTTCCAGCATTGGGGATTACAATTCAACATGAGATTTGAGCGAGGACAAATATCCAAACTGTATCACTCTGCTCCTGACACCTCCGAAATCTCATGTCCTTCTCACATTGCATAATACAACCTGCCTTCCCAACCATCCCTCCACATCTTAACTCATTCCAGCATTAACTCAAAAGTCCGAAGTCTCATCTGAGACAAGGCAAATGCCTTCCACCTATGAGCCTGTAAAATCAGAAACAAGTAGTTACTTTCAAAATACAATGGAGAAGAGGGGTGCAATGGCTCACGCCTGTAATCCCAGCACTTTGTGAAGCCGAGGCCGGTGGATCACTTGAGGTCAGGAGTTGGAGACCAGCTTGGCCAACATAGTGAAACCCCATCTCTACTAAAAAAATACAAAAATTAGCTGGGCATGGTGGTGCGTGCCTGTAATCCCAGCTACTCGGGAGGCTGAGACAGGAGAATTGCTTGAACTTGAGAGGCAGAGGTTGCAGTCAGCCGGGATTGTGCCACTGCACTCCAGCCTGGGCGACAGAGCAAGACTCTGTCTCAAAAAAAAAAAAAAAAAAATACAATGGAGATAGAAGCATTGAGTAAACATTTCAGTTCCAAAAGGGAGAAATTGGGTGGGGACAGATATCAAAATTATATCACACACATACACACACACACATCCAAATTATAGCTCACACACACACACACACACACACACACCACACACAAAGCATGCTACTCCATACAGTCCTACCTCATTTCTGTGAAGATATCAGGAGTTACCTATACCTAAAACAAAAAATAGACCCTATTCCTAAAAATAGTAGTAGGGAGATTAGGAAATCGCTTTCTAGAAGAAAGGAAGGAAATTTAAAATTTTTTTTCCTAATTGCAAACTAAATGGCTTCTTGTTTAATAAAGATATCATCCCAGCACTTTGGGAGGCCGAGGTGGGCGTGGTGGCACACACCTGTAATCCCAGCTACTCGGGAGGCTGATGCAGGAGAATCACTGGAACCCGGAAGCAGAGGTTTGCAGTGAGCCAAGATCGTGCCATTGCACTCCAGCCTGGGCAACAACAGTGAAACTCCGTCTCAAAAGAAAAATAAGAAAAAAATGAAGATATCAACGAATAGTTTGCTGTTTTATTTAAAATGCAATTAAATAAAAAAAAACTTAGGTTCTGGTTAATAAAATTTTTCAAGTTATGAAGTCCTATTTTGTTTTCTTTTTAAAAAATTATTTTTAACTCTTTTCTGCTTTTAGAAGTTTTTTATGCTTACTTTAGATAAAAAGTATAGACAAATATAGAAAAGAGCGATGAAGCAATACAAACTACTCATCATCCCTCCATTTACTTAGAGTGAAAGGTTATTAATATTTTGGAGTTTGTTCTAATCTCCCTCCCATGTGTTTGTGTGTATATATTGGTTTTACAGGAATAGCGACATATTTTGTCATATGTGTTACCTGTTTTCATTCATAGAAAGTAATTTCATACACACTTCTTAATGCCATTTAATATCATTAAGGCAGAATATTACTGGCTATATATTAACCAGCAATAGTAGTATATGCCACCCAATTTTTGATAGCTTGCAGTGGTAACATTTTACATCAACTGGGAGAAATTGAATTAATTAAGCACTGATGATAGAAACTTTTGTCAAGGCTGAGGATGGGGTTAGGTCCTCACCTCACGTTATAGACTAAAATAAATCACAATTATGGTTAAATGTAAAAATTAAAATATAAAATATTTCTAAATATGCAGTAAAGCATAAAACAAAAGTCTATTAAATTATAATTTGAAGAATTTCTGTTTAACAACAATATAACATGTTAATCAAATTAGGAAAAACATTTGTGACACTTTAATAGCCAGTATATGTAAATGGGTAATATAACATATGAAAATAATTACAAATTACAAATACTCCAAGGAAAAATTTGTAAAGCACATTAGGAGGCAAATTTCAGAAAAGAAATGCAAAATATTCAATTTCAGTAGCAATCAAAGAAATATACTCCTCCAATGCCATTTTCTATTCTTATTGGTTTACTTTTTCTTCAAATCAAATCACCACCTGACACTATAGATATAAAAACTATTATTCTATATGTAACTTTTTTCCCTCAATGCAGCGCAAGTTACATAAAAACTGTTGTCCTTTTATTCATTGTTGTATAGCCTCAATAACAGGCCTGTTTTAAAGTATGTGTGAGTCAGCTATGACTATGTACCAAATAATCTCAAATCTTAGTGTCATGTAACAATAAGTGTTTACTTATTGTTCAGTCAGCCAAGATGACTCAGCTTCATAGTGCAAGTTGGCTTATCGTCCTCCTGTGATCAGCAGGCAGAATGGGGCATGCAGCGCTTCAGGGGATGGAATAAATACAAGAAGGTATGACCAACTGTGTCCCGAGTTCGTTCCTTCCAGCGTGTTCGTGGTATCACTGACTTCAGGAATGAAGCTGCAGACTTTGTGATGAGTGTTACAGCTCTTAAAGGTGGTGCTGACCCAAAGAGTGAGCAGCAGCAAGATTTATTGTGAAGAGTGAAAGAACAAAACTTCTACGGCATGGAAGGGGACCCGAGTGGTTGTTACTGCTGTGTGGGGTGGCCAGCTTTTATTGCTTTATTTGTCCCCACCCATGTCCTGCTGATTGGTCCATTTTACAGAGTGCTGATTGGCGCATTTTACAGAGCACTGATTGGTCCATTTTACAGGGTGCTGATTGGTCCATTTTACAAACCTCTAGCTAGCCACAGAACCCTGATTGATGAGTTTTTACAGAGTGCTGATTGGTGCATTTTACGAACCTCTAGCTAGCCACAGAGTGCTGATTGGTGCGTTTTGCAATCCTAGCTACAGAATGCTGATTGGTGCATTTTACAATCTCTTGTAAGACAGAAAAGTTCTCCAAGTGCCACCTGACCCAGAAGTCCAGCTGGCTTCACCTCTCACAGCCATGAAATCTCATTTTAAGTCCCTCTTACATATCTTCTAACTGGAAATTCATCAAAGGAAGTCACAATACCAAGCTCAAAATCAAGGGTAGGAAGCTCAAAATCAAGGGTAGGAAGCTCAAAATCAAGGGTAGGAAAGTATACGCACCTATATATACACATACATGTACATACATATACACATGCATATATATATGGAGAGAGAGAGTGAGCATGCTAAAACAAAAAGATGTTACATTCACCTATTATTAATATGCTTAATTGCAATAGGCAATGCTAATGAAAATGTGCAAAAGTGAGGTTTATATCCTTCTTTGGTCCAGTAATTTATTTCTATGAAATGAACATTACAACTATAACCAGAAATGCACTTAACATTTTTTTCCATGAATGTCTATTGCAATATTATCTATATTACAAAAATTGGAATCAATCTACCGTTATTCTGAGATGGCTCTTTCTTTTCTTACTGTATTTAATTTGTCCGAACATAGTCAACATTTCTCATTATTGCATATGATGGCTTGCAATTGGCCAAATAAGAGAAATGCATTTTTTCCCTATGAAATCTTCTACAACTATTTGAGTTCATTAATTTATAAATCATTGATGAGCATCTGGTGACTTTTAAAAATAAATTAGTAATATTCCTTCTGTCCTAAAATTGACCAAATAAACAGATTTCTGGGGAGAGAATGTGTCTATAAAGCTCACAACAGTTAAAAAATGTGCAATGATAGATAAAGAAATATGTTCTGTATATTAAAGGGTCCAGATCAAGGACAACTAACTCAACTGCAAGAATCAGGGCAGAACCCTCAAGGAGGAAAAGTTCAAATCCATGCTTTGGGTCTAAATGTGATAAGAAATGGTAAACATTCACAAGGGTTAGTCAATATCAGTAATGTCAACAATACATAATACCTTTGAAAATGTCAAGATTACATTAATGTATTTTACCCATAGCTTTTGGTGGACATCTCCAACCCCACTTCTAGGGAGGGAAGGGGGCGCACTTTCTCTGAGTCCAAACCCTCTGGAGAAAATATGAAGTCAGCTTTGTTAAGTGACTCTAATAGGGTACAGGAATGGATTCCAGCTACTTCTGGTTCTCGGTCCTGGTTTTACTTTCTGTTTTATCGTCCCCAATAAATGTAGCAGGGAGAGGAGATGAGGGTCCATTCATTTATCAAGGTTGGTTGGAAAAACAAAAGTAATTGTAATTGAATAGTCTTCTCTTATTTCATAACATCCAAAATATAAACTGATGGAAATTATTCATTGCCAAAGGCCACTGTGACAGGCAGAAGGCTATCAAGTAGGTGGCATGGCAAAGCCACTGGAAGGCTCACAGGCATTATATTTTATTCTTTCTTTTGTTCACCCATTTATTAATTTGTTTAACAAATATTGCAACAAATATTGGAAGACAGACTCCTTAGTTTCTTAAGAATGGTTTAGGACCATAAACATATTTCTTATGATGATCAATTAACACTACATTAATATTCTCAAAGAGGGTAGTAAGCTATCTTCAAACCAAGGCCCATCCGCATCCTTGCTTAATGGGTTAGAAACACTGCATTTAAGAAACAAGAGTTTGTTCTCCTATCACAAATAATTTAAAAGACCAAATCAGGAATTAAGTGAATCTAAGTATTTTATTCTTTCTAAAAATGTAAAGAAATGGAGGGTCACTTAATCCAAAGCACCTGCTACTCCTTTTGATTCATTTTGGGTAAAAGTGGGCCTTGAGGGATGGGCCTGGAACCCCTGATTTAAGCAGCATCAGCAAAAAACAAAAACCGAAAAAAACCCCGGCTTATCTTTATCTGGAATTAACTACAAATTCAATTAGAATAAAAATCTTCACCCACCCCGTGGAAAAGATTTTACACAAAGAAAAGCAGATGTTGCAACAACATTGAGAGCACTTTGCTTAGCAGTGTATGGAATTTTCCATCTTGTAAGCCCAATCACCGGTGAAAGATACACAGAGCCAGCTTCTCTAACTCACAAAACGACTTCCATTTCCCATGCTCCTTTAATTAGATTTACTTCTTTAACCAAAGTAATATTGGGTTGAAGGAAGGAAGGGCGGGGTGGGGGAGACTCTACTTAATACTGGCTTAGCAAGTTTAGAGAAGGATGAAGGGTAAGAGGTGGAGGTCTATTTTGGGGTTATTTTACAGATAAAGCTTTTCTTATTTATTAGGAGTTTGTTCAGTTAGAAAAAAATAGTAACAAAATTAATTGCTAAAGGTTATGCTGAGATCATACCTTAGTTCTATTTTCAGCTTTGAACAGATTATAGGACAATGAAGCATAAATAGAAATTAGAAAAGATTTTGAACAGACGCCCTGTAGCACTTTTTCACATCGGGATGAGAAATGTGCAGAACGGCCTATGAGGCAAAGTTATAAATGGAGAGGAACCAGGATCATGTAGGCCGCACTTGGGGAATAGAATGTGGGAACAGAAGGGGCCTAGAGGGGCTTCAGTGACCTCTGTTTGGTTTCTGGAAATGTTTTAAGTTTGTCTTTTTTAAGCCTACCTTAATTTGTATTTGTTAACCAGAATAGAGAGAGAGCCCCAAAGACAAACCTGAGTTTTTGCCGGAGAGAAGCCGTGAACTTACTTGCTTATAAACTTAATTGCAAGTGACCATTCACTCTTCAGGGTTGTGCCCAATACCAAGTAAGACAAAACAAACCCATATGTGGGTCAGTTTCCATTTCTTTCCATACATTGATGTTGAAATATGTTGAAATATGCCATAGTTTTGTTCAACTTCTTCTCATTAAGGATTAGGAGAGTCTCCTAACAGGTATTTTCATTTTTGTCTCCTTAACTCAATTTTGGACTAACTCATCTCCCAAAATTCAGCAAGACTGAGTTTTCTAAAAAACAAAGCTAGCTGTGAAAGTCTCCTGTTTAAAATGAATAAGGCTCCTCATCTTCTTAGGGAAAAAATATCCTAGCTCCTTATTTTCTACCAAGCCTTCTTCTCTTTCCTGGATCATTTCCTATTGCTTGTTTCTACTCTCAATCAACTTCCCTCCACTTCCCTTGAACATGTTAAACCCTTCTTAAATTCGTCATTGTCAATTCAGTTTGTTTTATACTTTATTTATTTAATGCCTCCTATGTGCCGGGCAATTTCTTTCTTTCTTTCTTTCTTTCTTTCTTTCTTTCTTTCTTTCTTTCTTTCTTTTTTTTTTTTTTTTTTGAGATGGAGCGTCACTCTTTTGCCAAGGCTGGAGTGCAGAGGCATGATCTCGGCTCACTGCAACCTCCGCCTCCTGGGTTCAAGCAATTCTCCTGCCTCAGCCTCCCGAGTAGCTGGGATCACATGCACCTGCCACCATGCCCGGATAATTTTTGTATAGAGACAGGGTTTCACCATGTTGGCCAGGCTGGTCTCGAACTCCTGACCTCAGGTGATCCACCCGCCTCGGCCTCCCAAAGTGCTGGGATTACAGGCGTGAGTGCCAGGCACTTTCACAGGCACTGGGGTAGGACAGTAAACAAAAACAAGTAAAATCCCTGAACTCTTCTAGCAGACATCTTCTAGTAGAGAAAGATGGACTATGAAGCACATTTAGCCAATAACAGAGCATGTGGATTGCCAAGAGTACTATGAGAACAGCAAAGATGTGAAAGAACAGTGATGCTTGGACAAGGTGGCCAGCAAAGGTCTCTGTGCAAAGGCAACATTGGGTTGAGTAAAATAATGAGGGAGTGAGATGATGGAATGGCAGCAGCCTGAGAGCCACCTTATATCATCCACAATTTGGGGGTGCAGAATTCATCCAGAGTGGGGGCCATCCATTGATATTTTTAAAAATCCTGTGTAGGGTATTCTAATGTTTATTTAGGAAAAACATGCTTTCAAAGATAAAGGCTTTGGCTTCAACTCTCAGTCACGGCCATTGGGTGAAGACGTTGCATGAACTTATGCATTATATCTCCCTCTGATTGACAAGTAAAGAAGACGAAATATGGCAAGAGTGGAAACAGGGAGACTAAATAGGAGGCTACTGCATGTGGCATGAGGAGAGGTAGGAGGGTTTTATTGGATATGGTAACAAATGGTCAGTTGAGCTAAATGTTAAAGATGGGGCCCACAGGATATCATTCTTACATATAATGTTCCTAGACCCTAGAACACTAGGTCCACTTCTATTCATTTATTCAATCAGATTTCATCAGGGCTGTTCCTTGTACTCCCCAACATGGGAGTTTGTTGTATGCCTGGCCCTTGCAGCCATCTGAGTTTCCCACGCTCTCTAGGTGCCGTGACGGCTCCATAGTGAAGTGCTTCTTTCTCTGTGTTATGACAACACCTTCACGCCTTGATACACCAGGAACCATATTCTCATTTTATTGTTTTCATGTGTATCTCTCTAGATTATATGTTGTTCACCTTCATATCCTTGGAGTCTACCACAGAGCCCTGCAATTAGTAGGTGTTAGGTCATTGATGAATGCATGATGAAATGAATAAATGAAAGAATCAACAAATGAATGAATAAACAAATAAATGGATTCTTTGTACTAGAGTCTCATAGCAAAAACCAGAAAACAGAAAACAAATTCGTGCACAATGTGGAACAGTCATCTCTTTGTTAATTAAACATTTCCTAAGCCTCCTAAACTAACATAGCTGTATGTTCTCAGTAGATGACTAACATTTCCTCAATTGTAAATTGTGATAATACATGAGGTGGAATGTATTAAGAAGAAGACAGCAACATCTAGCTGCAAACTCTTCTGTCTTTTCCCAGTCTAGTGGCACAGTATTAGGGAGGTGCTGTAAAGAGAAAAAGGACCAAGCCCTATGGACTCATTGTCCTCTAGAAAGCAGGTAGTGCAAAGGAAAAACTGCACAGCAGGGAGGCTGGTTGTTGGTGTAGCTCATCTTTTTAAGCTGTGCACAGCAAGCAAGGGAAAGGACACTGAAGAACCAAGATGGTAGGTTAGATTTAGCATGTTTAAGGAAAGGAGAAGGAGAGGATATCTGAAGTTTCAGAGTGTTGAAGAGGTCAGGGATTAAGAGTTTACTGTAGCCTCTGAACTTGGAAACTCTTGAATGCCTGAGGAAGATATAAAAGATGGGATTTCCTCTTTAGTGGTGCTTTGTTAAATATCACATACTCTGCCATTCAGCTATGGAACCCTGCTTTTAAAGATTTCACATAAAATACTAACACATAGATTATAAATTAAAAAATGCATTCAGCTTAGCTTGGAGCCTGGCACACAGTTAGCATCCAGCAAAAGTGAGTTCTTTCTGCTGTGGTACTTGAAGAGATAAGAAGCCCTTTCTTGTATAAAGTAAACAATTTGGGTGATGTTTATACTAAAATACCAGACTTCACCAATACCCACCACTACATCCACATAACAAAACTGTACTTGTAATTCTTACATCTACAAAAATAGAAAAACTTTTTCTGTTATTATTATTGTTAAGAACAACAATAATAATAATACCGCTGCAAATTATGAAGGTTTTTCTTAGGCTAACCTCAGTCTTTTTTTTCTTTTTCTCCTAGAGACAGGGTCTTGCTCTGTTGCCCAGGCTAGAATGCAGTGGCACGATCATAGCTCACAGCAGTTCAATCTCCTGTGCTCAAACAATCCTCCTGCCTCAGCCTCCCGAGCAGCTGGGACTATAGGCACACACCACTGCACCTAGATAATTTCCCTTTTCTAATAATTGTACTGATCTATGTTGACAGACTGTAAAAATTTCTATATATGTTAGCACTCATTTTAACACTCATTTAGTCTTAGAGTTAAAAGAGTTAACACTCTTTTATTTTAAGACAGAGTTTCGCTTTTATCGCCCAGGCTGGAGTGCAATGGTGAGATCTCAGGTCACTGCAATCTCCACCTCCCAGGTTCAAGGGGTTCTCCTGCCTCAGCCTCCTGAGTAGCTGGGATTATAGGTATACGCCACCACGCCCAACTAACTTTTGTGTTTTCAGTAGAGACAGGGTTTCACCATGTTGGCCAGGCTGGTCTGGAACACCTGATCCACCGGCCTTGGCCTCCCAAAGTGCTGGGATTACATAACATTCATTTAGTCTTAGGTATTTCATGCCCACCGCCAGTTCCTGTGTCAATGTCTCTTTAGTTGTGTTGGGAGCCTTGATCTCTAGTAGACATTTTAACAAAAGTTCCTAAGAACAATAAAAAAGCAGCCCTTCCTGATCATTATTTCATTTTTATTTCATCCTGACTACAGTTGGTGAAATATTAATAAGTAGGGTAGCTATCATTATGCCCATTTAACTGACAAGAAAGTAGGCTCAGACTGGCTGAATACTTGTCCAGGGTTACATGAGATTAAAGTGACAGTCAAAATTCTTTGGGTCTAAGTCCAGAGTTATGTAGCCACTGAGTTACAAGGCTTGCAGAAATGTTTTTGTAAATTAAACTTTCTATTTTAGGATAATTGTGGATTTATTTGCAGTTGTAAGAGAGAACGCAGAGTGATCTTTTACCCAGTTCCTTCCAATGCTAACATCTTGCAAAACTGTAGTGTAACAAACAGGATATTGACATTGCTACTGTCAAGATAAGAAATATTTCTATCGGCACAGGGATACTTCGTGCTGCCTTTTATGGCCACTCCCTCTTCCTTCTTATCCTTCCCCCTCCTTAACCCCTAATGAGTCTCCATTTCTATGATCTTGTTATTTCAATCATGTTGTTATATAAATAAAACAATATACTATGTAACATTTTAAAATTATTTTTGTCACTCTCCATAATTCTTTAGAGATTCATCCAGGTGGTTCCAGGCATCAGTAGTTTTTTTTCTATTAGCATGCATGTATCACGGTTGGTTTAATCATCTTCCCCTTGAAGGACATCTGGATTGACTTTTTGTTTTTCTTTTTTGTCTTCAGTTCTCAAAAGTTTGACTATGAGTGTCTTGCTATGAATTTCTGTGAGTTTATCCTATTTGGGATTCACTCAGTTTCTTAAATCTGTATATTTATGTCTTTGGCTAAATTTAAACACATTTCAGCCATTATTTCTTAGAATGTTTTTCAGGTCTGCCATCTTCCGGTCTTCTAGGACTCAGGGAATGCAAAGGTTAATTTTTTGTCTGTCTGTTTGTTGGTTTTTGGTTTTGTTTTATTTTGGTTTTTTTTGCTATAATCTCGAAGGTCTTTGAGGTTCCTTTCATCTTTTTTTCACTCTATCTTCTCTCTGTTGTATAGATGGTCAATTTATATTGTTTCCTCCAGTTCACCAATATTTCCTCTGTCTCCTCCATTCTGCCCATGCATTGAGTTTTTTATATTGGTTATTGTATTCTTCAGTTCAAAATTTTCCATTTGACTCTTTTATCTTCTATTTTTGGTTATGACTTCCTATTTCTTTGTTGAAGCTTTCCAAATAAATTTTCATTAGCTACAAGAATGTTTTAATTGTTCATTGGAGTATTTTTATGATGGCTGCTTTACAAGCTTTGCCAGATAATTCTAACATTTGTGTCATCTTGATGTTGGCATATATTTATTATCTTTTCTCACTTAGTTTTAGTTCTTTCTTGTTTTTGTATGATGAGTAATTTTCCACTGAAATATGGACATTTCAATATGATGAGACTCTGAATCTTATTTAAACCTTTTGTTTTAGCTACCTTCATCTCACACCATCCTCACAGACGAAGGTGGGTGTCGCTTCATTACTGCCAGGTAGGGTAAAAGTTCAGGTTTCTTAACTCAGCTTCTGTTGACCTCTGAAAGGGGGCTTCTCATTCCTGCTAAGCAGGAGTGGGAGTTTCAGTTCCCCACTAGGCCTCCAATAAAGCAGTTATCTCTTGGCATACATGGGAATTTGCATCCCATGAATATTGTATTTGGATCTGCCTTCAGTTCTGGACACAGAACTTGTGGAGACAGAGGGCTTGTGGTAAACAGAGATTTACATTCCTATGAAGGAAATTAATTTTCAAGTCAATAAAATAAACTGCACAGGTACATTCTCTGTACTTAGATAACTTTTGGCCTACTCTGCCTAATTAATTATGAAGATTTTAAATAAATCATTCATTTCTGAAGAAAGTGTTTTCTGACTGCCCTTAGCCAAGCAGATGTGTCTATTCTATATTCTCACATGCTCACATGCCACCCCTTTATGACCCTTAGCATATATGCAAATTTACTTATTTGTGTGGGTCCCTAAACTAATACCTCTTCCATTGCCTGCATCTTTCAGGACAGCAGGGGCTTTGGCTGTTTTTCTTTACTATTGTCTTCCAAGTACCTAGAAGAGTATCTGAACATGCTAGGAAGTTGCTACATTTTTGTTTAACAAAATCTGCACCTAGGTGGACCTGTGATGTTCAAACCTGTGTTGTTCGAGGGTCCACTATACTTCCCAACATGTGAGGGATGGAAGTGCCTTGCTGCTGCTCTCCACATGGCTTCCACTGATATCACAGGATTAGGGGGCAGGGGTAAAGTCCCTCCTTCCTACTCAGCCTCCTCTGACACCATCTAATTAGTTTTTGTGGAATTTGGCTAGAATAGAGTGGTTATTATCTAAATGTTTTTCTGTCTTGCTTGGTTGCCCCTTTCCTTGTCCTTTGGCTAGAGACAGAGTAGTCTTTCGCTGGGGCTTTTCTTGTCCTTTCCCATTATTATTTTGGGGTTCTTGGTTCCTTGAACTCTAGGTCTGAGATATATCAGGCAAAGCTAAAAGTCAGGAAACTCACCTTGGTGTTTTCCTTGTATCCTGAGATTCCCTTGTCAGGTAGCTTTCTTCTCTCCACATTCCTGCCTTCTAATGTTTGTTTCTATAAATTCTCAGAGTCTTATCTGTACATAGAAGGAATAATAGATAAAATTATGTGTACTTCATCCTTAGTATAACATTTTTAAAGAACATTTGTGAAAACAAAGATGTCAATCATAATAACATTTAATGAGAAGATAATCTGAGTATCTTATTGCTACCATTTATCTTAAGGGACAAATTCTTTTTCCACGTTGATATGGAGGCTTAAACTTATCGACATTTTCATTTGAAAAAATAATATGTAGATTATGCCAAATCTAAAAATTCACCTCCAGTCCCCAAAGAAGCAATTCCCTTGGCTCTTCTGTGTGTGTACTGAGGTCAATATGGCAGCAGGTACTTCATGAGGCCGCGTTGTTGAGGGAACCCAGAGGATAGACAGATTGGCCATTTTTCACATTTAATTTCCTTGTTCATACAACTGCACAACAGCACTGAGTTCAAACCTGCCAAGACGAATTTATACCTCACTAGCCCTATTCGTTAATTACAGAAATGGCATTTATTTTAAGCACCAAAATGTACCATCAACGAAAAGATGGACGCAGCATCTAACAGTGCTTCTGATGATCACTCAGACCATAAAATTCTATTTTTTTGTTACTGCCATTTTTTATTTTCCCAGCACTTTAATATTTCTTCCCAAAGCAGAATAGCACAAAGATTTTTTTTTTTTTTTTTTTTGACACAGGGTCTCACTCTGTCGCCCAGTCTGGAGTGCAATGTCGTGATCTTGGCTTACTAAAACCTCCGCCTGCCAGATACAAGGGATTCTCCCATCTCAGCCTTCTGAGGAGCTGAGACTACAGGTGTGTGCCACCATGCCTGGATTCTTGTATTTTTTGACAGAGATGGAATTTCATCATGTTGGCCAGGCTGGTCTCAAACTCCTGATCTCAAGTGATTCACCCGCCTCAGCCTCCCAAAGTGCTGGGATTACAGTCATGAGCCAAAAGTGCCCCGCAAGAATAGCAAAAAGATCTATTATGGATTTAATATAGAACATTTTTAAGCGTGGCAAAACAAGTAGATGATGGTTAAAAGGTGACATGACCAATAGGTTGGTATGTTATGATGGCATAAACCAATCATTTTACATGATTTTCCACACTAAATTTCCCGGATGTTGTGGCCATGAGCCAAGATATTTTATGTCATTAATCCACTAGCTAGAATTTAGTTGAGGAGCTAATTCAGAGAGCTTGGAATAAAAACTTTGAGTTGGGTTTTTGGTAACTGACATGTGCTATGTTTAAATGAAATATGCTTGTTGCACCACTGACCCAAACGAGCAAAGTGCTAAGGTATTGGAGATGATTACTTATTTTACATCATCAGAAATGAAGTCTAAGGAGAAAAGGTGCCACATTTTTGCCTGCTTTTTTCTTTCCTAGGGCTATCTATACCCTTGACAAATTTGATGTTCAGAATTTTTGCCCTTTAGAAGTTTTTAGTAGAGTAATTTGAAAGACAGGTGCTCATTTAAGTGAAAACAAAATTATATATATATACATACATATCGCCATATTTTTCTCTCAAAAAGTTAAAAATGACTTGTGGATTTTGCTTAAACATTTAAAAATTCATTTTTTCAATGATCAAGAATTACCAAAATGATTGATATTTGTGTTGTTATTGTTTCTAAATATAATAGTGCTGCTTAAAATGGTCATGATATGCATTTACTTTAGATGACACTTTAGGTGACTTATAAAATGCATAGTTTAGACTGCATAGGCATTCTGAGTTTGCATTAACATAAAAAATGTGCATTCTAATCCCACTTAGGTAACATAGAGAAAAAGTCTACACATCAGGAGAAAACAACTAAAATGGAGATAGGAACTTGTTTTTTGGACACCTTTTGGCACCCACCATCACAGATTTTACAGTCTCAATTTCTCCTGCACAGATCCCACTGACAAAGGGTATTACATTTTGCTGACATCAGTGACCTGGCATCACGGAATTATTCCCTGCTTCGGTTTACAGAGGAATAAACCAGTAATTAATTATATATCAGAACATGAGAATCGACCTGGCAATAATGTACAGGCTAAGAACTCTATTTACATATGTAGGTTATTTAAAATATGTCTTGTTAAATAAATATTTAAAACACTTCCTTATTTAGCTTATACACTGTTTGGACTGAAGCTGCAATCCTCATTGCAGAATGTTCGAAAGAGTAAGAGTGTTGTCAGAGATTTTCATCTCTGCCTGACCTGCAAAATCTCCTCTTTGTGCATGGCAGGGCATACAAAAAATCTCTTTAATGAAAACAACAACATAAACTATCTCTATTGGCACTGACATAAATAATGAAAGTAGAAATTTCATCCTGAGAAAATCACAAAACTTATTTTTAGGTTGAGGGAAGTAGAACAAGAGGCCCAGGCATAAATTAATCACAATCGACATGACCACCTCAGAGAGAGCAGTTAAAAGTAGACAGTAAGGGAAACAAATGATTTCACAGAAAAATGTTCTCCTCGCTGTTGGTCTTTTTCCCCTTGTAAATATCCAGAATTGCTTTTAAAGTGGAAATAAAATAAAATACAGGACTTAAGACTTTTCCGTATCTCTCAAATCAATATACAGCCACAATTTTGAAACAACCATAATAATGAGAATACACAAGACAACTCCAATAATGTGGGAAGACAAACTTTGCAATTCACATCATGGCCACACTAAGACTCAGTTAGGGTCCCAGAAGGTATTCAATGTATTTCTGGGGGCTCAGAAATTAGCTTTTTTTGGGAGGATATCTCTATACCTGCAACTGCCCAGTTTTCTCCAGAGCATGTTTGCTCCCTTCAGAATGGAATCCCGACCATGACGATTTCTGATCCACCAGGGGGAGCAGTTCACCAGCACAAAACAAGCCTTCCCCAAAGGAAGTCGCTGAAGGCGCCTTTTCCTCTCAATTTACACAGCTGACAACGACTCTGATTTTTATCAGTTCTCCTAGATGTGGCACTCATATACCTCATACTGATTTCATATGCCTGACCTCATGCTGGTGGGATATGTGTTGTTCCATCACGGACACATATGCCCATGAGCAGGTTTTTCTGTAGGACTTGACATTCAGTCCTTGTAATTTATAGAAATTCCTTGTTTTATTATAGGAAGTAATTTAGTCTCTGCTTCTTCGCCAGCTTTTATGGACAAAACCGATAGATTTATCAAACTGCTTATTTCATACTTATTCTAGGGCAAGGACATAGTGGAGAAGCTGATCTTTGGGGTGTGTGTAAGGAGGTATGTGTGGGAGAGGTACTCCCCCGCAAGGTCTTGAAGCCAGGCATCTACCACAGCTTGCTGATAGCACCCCTTCTTTCTCCAGCAAGCCTTTTTCCTGCCCTCAGACTAGAGCCCTGGGACTCGGAAGGAAAACAGCTGCCAGAGAAAGGCCAGTGTTGGTGATAAGCTCTTTGTGTGCAAGCTCAGACTTGAGACCAGCCTGTCCAAACAAAACAGCGGTGGACTTCAGGAGAGCTGTGTATGGGTAGAGAACCTCAAGCCTGCTGGTGAAAAAGCCAACCAGAGGACTACACTAGCCCTTGTTTTGCAAATGGCTCCACAATCCACTGAAGGAATTTCCCTAGGGGCGCCAAGTTTTAACTTTGACAGAAGCCAGTCCTTTTGGCCCCTTATCCCAAGTCTCTACCCTGGCACTTCAGCTCACTGCTCTCTGACAGTCCTTACTTCTTAAGGTGTAGACTCTGATCAGCAGCTTTGGCATCAGCTGGGAAATTGTTAGACATGCAGAACCTCAGGCCCCATCCTGGACTTTTGGAGTCAAAATCTGCCTTAAAAAAAAAAAAAAAAACAGGTGACTAAAGTGCATGAAAGTTGAAACTATGCACAAAGACTCTTGTCTCTGAATAGGTCTGCTTCTATTAGGATGCAGAAAAGATGCATAGTTGTGTTCTTCAAATAGAAGTCATAGATGTCAAGATTATTACACGGCCTTATCATATACGTAACCAAACTCTCAAAGCAGCAGGGACAAAGCAGAGAATTTAGTCTTTCAAAGAAAAGACTTGGTTCTGGAACATAGCAGCTTTCTGGCACCTCATTTGTACTTCATAGGTACTGACTCCATTGGGAAGATTAAGTGAGCACCTGACACACAGAAGATTCAGTTGACCCTTCTTTTCCTCTAAAATTGAGTTTTCAATCTATGAAAATCAACCCGGGATTTGGCTATTAACATTTTTTTCTTTAACTTTACTATTTTCTGCCTTTTTTTTTGAAGGTAAGGTTTTGCTCTGTCACTCAAGCTGAAGTGCAGTGATGCAATCATAGCTCACTGCAGCAGCCTCGAATTACGGAGCCCAAACAATTCTTCTATCTCAGCCTCCCAAGTACCTCAAACTAGAGGCACACGCCAATACACACAGCGAATTTACTTTATTTTATTTTTGTAGAGATGGGGGTCTCATTATGTTACCCAGGCTGGTCTTGAACTGCTGGCCTCAAGTGATCTTCTAACTTCAGACTCCCAAAGTACTGGGATTACTGGCATGAGCCGCCTTGGCTACCTTTGCTAATATTTTATTACTTCTGAATAAACCGTGGAGAAAGAAATAAATCTTAAGCCATCCTATATATTTACTCATTAGTTGCTTTGTTTAATGGCTTTGAAGAGGAGAAAGTTGAAAGAGCTAAAATAATCATTTGAGATTTCTGATGAGATTCCAAGACTTACCTTGGACACTGTTTTATCAAGGCTAACTAAAGAAGGGGAATTTATTCTAGAAAAAATAATAAAGAACTATCTCATTAAAAATACCCCCCAAACAGCTAATTTCCAACCACACATCTGTTAATATTGTCTCCTGAACACTCACAGCTGGATGGAGTTAGTGACAGGTATTTGAGGTGTCGTAATAGGACACATTGTCTGTATTTCTTTGATGACTTAAGGAGCAATATTCTGCATTGCTCATTTTTTCTCTGGCCTTTACACTATTCTTTTGCAAATGCTGTAATGTGATATTCTGAATTTTGGCACAAATTCGTTAGAAGGCAAAACTATCCTGAGTATCAACTGCTTGGTTACCAAGTTGGATGTAATCCCTTCCGAGGAAAATCAGTTATAGAATTATGATATTGGGTTTATTTCCTGACAGGGTAGAGATTTAGCATGGCAGACAAGAGGGAAGGCTATCCTCAAATCTGATGTCCTGGTTTTGCCCAGGCCTGACCAAGACATTTAAATTCTTCACACATCGAAGAGACTCCTGGGTTCCGGGCCCCTCTATAAGGTCTGGGGTGGGCATGGGGCAGGGGAGGGTAAACATGCAGCTCAATGTGAACAGCGTGGGAGGGAAAATTGGCTTGCATACAGGGAGCTAATATCCAGAGAGTTTTTGACAGCTTCTCCCAAGATCTTCTTTCCTGCCCTTCCAGATGGCCTTCCTCAGACAGTTTTCCTCTCTGGGGTCTGTCATTCAATTTTCAAAGGAAATAGCGACATTCCAACGACTAAACTAAAGAGAAGTATTTACTTGTTATTCCAGACCTACTTCAAAGGACATACAGATTTAATAAAATATAAGCAACTTCGTTATTTACTCCTCACCCCTAAACCAACTTCATTGTTTTACTCAGTAGTCCAGATAATTTCCTTACTATTCAGTTTATATTCCAGAACATCACATTTTATCGGTTTCAGCTTCCAAATATTCGGCATGATGTGCCCCTACCCCAATTAATATTATAAGCTTCTGTAGAAACCTAGCAAGAGGAATGTTGAATTAATATGAATGTATCTGATTTATTAAAATTTCATCTTGAATAGAGATGGAAAGAATAGGCAGAGAAAGGGAGATAAGTCTCCTCCTGATGCAGACTCATTGCCAACACCAAAAAGGGTGAGAACCTCAGGACTGGCTCAGAACCTCAGGACAAATATACCAGCCCCGGTCAGAGCTGGCTCTGCATAGACTGGAAGTTAGAGAAGGTGAGGGTCTCATTTTCAGGGTGCACTGGATAAATTAGATATAACAACTCAGTGAAATGGGAGCTGCTTGCTTTTAAGGACACAGATCTTCCCGTTCCTTCTGGGTTTCTTAATTTTTATAGCCATAATCAAGGACGATAAAATTGTTTTTTCTTGTTAAGCATTAATGTAAAAGCTGAATAGTTAGTGTACATTATCACTGCTCTTTTTTTAAGCGTTGTAGCCACATTCACAAATATCAAAGTCCTTTGCAAGATGAAAACAACCTCAGACATGTAGGAGTGGAGTATTGCCAACATCTAGGAGAAAAAATAAAATGTCTTTCATTCTTTCATTCCATCTTGGGCCAAATTTCTTTGGAGAGGGACTTTTACTGGAATGTGGTAAAAATATAAAAAGTCTGAATGTCGCCCATAAGTGCCTTTCATTGGTATCCCTGTAAAACGAGAGACAGAGAGAGAGAATCCTAACATTTAAAGGGTTTGGGGATGAAGCCCTTCCCTTATCTTTTAATCTTTTATCCTTATAAGCATTTCCAATCTGCAAAGGAAAGGGATGAATCCTAGAAATGATTCTCATGATGAACCTCGAGGTTAAAAAGTGGTTTTCTGTGGCTCAATTCTGTTGAATCTTATCCAGGCTTATTCATATCTGCAGTATAAGGCAAGAGAAAGAGTTTAGAAAAATGAAAGATTATCAGGAAGAAACAAAGCTTGCATTCTTAGGAAGTTTATCATCAGAGCAGAATTTTCTGATACTGGGTACGTATTTCCTATGTCAGCCTTGCTCTGGAATCTTCACTTAATAATAGACCCACAGGAAGTGTCCCTTGTCAAGCTATGGTAAAGAGTTAATTGCTTTTAAATCATCTTAAACTGAGGCATCCTGGATTTCAGTTAGGTAGCTATCAAATTTTTGAAAAATACTTCAAAAGAACAACCAATGCTTTACTCTTCTGACTATCTCACTTTTCAATTTTTGATATTTTATTTTATTATTTTATTTTTTGTGTGTACAAACATGCCTTTGAAATATAGACCACAGCAGGGTCTGTCAACCTCAGCACTCTTGATATTTAGGGCCAGATAAGCCCTTGTTGTGGGAGACTGTCCTGTGCATGATAAGATGTTTATCAGCATCCCTGACCTCTACCCACCAGATGCCAGTACTAACTTTCTCCTTCCCCATTTATGAAAATTGCAACTATTTGCAGACAGTGCCAAATGTCCCTGAGGGCAAAATCACCCTTAGTTGAGAACCACTTCACTGCTTTTTAGCTTAGTCCATGCTGAAACATTCTGTGACCAAGGGTCATTCTGTGAAAATTTGTATAACAACTCTTTGGTTTTAATATAATAATAACAATTATAATTATAATTATTTATTATTATCGGTATTGTTGGAACTAAGTTTGAGATCTATCCATAATAGCAAATGCTTTAGTATTTATTGGAGTCAGTCAGCTTCTAAACGTATCTCAATTGGTTATGAGCCAATTTGCCACCTAATTTTGGACAAGTTATTCACCTCTCTATTACAGAGTTGTCTCATCAGTAAAACAATTATACTACTCATAATTCTGACAAGTAAGAACAACTAATCCAAACAATAGGCTACATGTTGCATCTATGTGAAGGGACTACAAGAAGCAAAACTGTACAAAATAGCAACTTAAAAAGCATAGGAGGTTACATAAATATTAAATATTAAGCATTACTGGAATAATGTACAATTGTACTTCTCTCCTAAAAGGGTTAAAGTATGCCCTTAATACCAAGAAGAAACTTGGAAAATGGGAACATAACTACATAATATTCATCTGAAGAAATATCTATTATTCAATGTGTACATATTTCTAAATTCGGTTTCAAAAAAATTACACTCTTCAAAATAACCCCAGATAAACAGATATGTATGCAATCTAATGTGAAGGAGATTTTCAAAATGACATTTCATGAAAAGACAGAACACAGGATTAAAGCGCATGTGGAAGGATCCATTTTGCAGAGGTCAGATGTGTTGTGAGAAACAGTAAAATCAGGTAATAAAAGTAAGGACGGGGTAACACAGAGGTTGGCTTAACAAAAATAACAGAAGCTGATTCGAAGCTGGTCCTAATACTGTACCTAATTCATTCAAGTGTGCCTGGGCCCAAGCCCAGCCCAGAACAGAGTGCTCCGATGTTTAATGTGTGGTACAGCAAGTAGGGCAGAAGTTGGGAACAGAACACCAACCTTACGTCTTTGTGTTTATTAAGCTGTATCGCATGACGTTCACCTCCCTAAACGGTGTGCTTGGTGTGTCATGGGATACTGTGATGTGTAAAAGAAGGTAGCAGAGGTAGATTCAATCACTCCCACCAACAAAGACTTCTTTCTTAAGCCCTTTGAAAGGGTCTTTGGACACAGTTTCCTTGTGTAACAATCACTAAATCCTATTCTCTCGGAATGGTGATACGCCTTTGCTCCCAGCTACCCTTTGAGTCACTTCTCCTCTTTCACTGTGTGGTAGGTGACCTATTTTACAGGACTTTCACCAAATGTTGCCCCAGTTACCTCCAAATTTAATTCTAACAAGAGCAAGGCCATCTTGTGGGAATCAAAGTACTTATCAGGAAGCCTTGTGCAGGGGTATGCCTGCTTACGAAAGACTGGTAGCTATGTCTGTTTTCACGTCCTCTAAATTAATCCTGTGCTTTAAAAAACTCTTTCATTGAAAATAAAGGCTGTAAAAATAAAATAAAACTGCTGTAACAGGCAAGCCTTGATTTCTGAACAGAGCTTGACAGCCTCTACAAGGTAGGACCACTAGCTTGGAACTTAGTGAAGGCACAGCACAAAAATGCATTAACGTCAGCTCTGACTTCCTGTCACAAGAACTGAAATCACTTTGTGGCCCATATGTGCTGTTTCTGTGGGGTGGCTGAAAGGTGAGGTCATCTACTACCTGTAATTTCTTCATAAAAGCAAATAGTTTTTACCTATTAAAACAAACTAACATCGTTTTTGAGTGGAGAGTTGAGAACATTTGTTGATCAAATCAATATTTGCTTTTATTGATGAGTCACTGTTACAGTTGCTTAGAATTCCAAATCAAAGTTTAAAAACAAAATACCAAATATTCTGCTGTTGATTTGGGAATTAATAAAAATTAACATGAAGACTTTTAGTTCGTTTATATAATAATGACAAAACCCCAAATATATCTCCATCACAACTATTTTATTTTCTTCCCTTGTGTAGAAACTGAACAGGTTTAAGAAACTAACAAGCTCTCCTTGGCCTCTGTCTTGCCTGTGATTGGCATTTGAGGAGCCAGGTGAGCACTCATGGTGAGACAAATCTATCATTTCTCCCGGATAAAGCAACCCAAGTGTAGCTCTATGGATACGTCAGTAGTCCATAAGATTTATGTTCCCTCAAAATATCATCTTAAAGCAAGGGAATTTGTTGTTGATACACCAATAAACTTTCTTCTTATTTCAATTGAATCCGTCACCCTGGGTGTATTGATTTCAGTTTTCTTGCCTCAGCATGTTTTTTCTTTCCTTTTTGAAGTAATCCCCCTTGAAATTTGTAGTAAAAATGGAATCCATCTCGCTCCTTCCTTGGATCCACTGGTCTTGGAACTGAATTCTGCTTGCATGCAGACGTCCCAGGGCGTCAGAATTTGAACTTCTGTTTCTGGGCTGGGAACTGGATCAGTCGTATCCTAAACTAATAAATGATTTGGGGTTTGAGGAATCTTTTCTTTTTCTCTTTAAACTAATCTCAGAACAATACTGAATCGTAAGGTCGTTGTCAACAGCTTGCTCAATTTGTCCTTTTAAAGAACCTTTCCTTCCTGGCTTGGCCAGCTGCAGCCTCTTGACTCGAATGTGCTGTCTTGGATCTGCTCTGGAATTCAGTCTGGCCTCACATCTCAGCTGACTTTATAATTCAAATGTAATTGCTGATGCACATTCAAAAATCTTCAGGAAACTATAAATGCTTATTTTAGCTTATAAAAGTGGTGATATTTATATTTGAAGAATGTTAACATGACTACTAGAAAAATGCAAATTTATCATCCTCTACCATCTAGGACTCTGTTAGCAGGTCTCATCTGGGGATAAAGGTTTGAAGAGAGTTTTGTCTATTTATCTTGGATCTTAAAAAGCACAAAGTGCCAAAACAGGGTGTGCAACATAGTCGGTAAAAATAGGAGTCCGAAGTATGTTTTAATCCAAGACTTAGCGTTGACTAATAAAACAACCATCCTCGTTATTTTCTCCCTCATCCTTAAATAGCTATAAGATCTGACAGTATGTCCCAACCATCATTGGCCTCTAGTGAGAATGAGCTACTATGGGCCACAGCCCACCATCCCTGGGAGTTCACATCACAGATTCTGGAATCATCTTTACAGCTCAGGGATTAGCATCTTGAGTTTGGACTCTGGTTCATGGATGTTGCCTCCTGCCTCTCACCACCCCATATCTTCCTCTTGCCTGCTGCCTGATGTTTGTCTTCATGCACACCTTGTGGTAACCCTTGGGTTGCAGGATTAAGACCAAGTGCCTAAGCATAGACCTCAAGGCTCCTGACTACTCTACCCCTTCCTTGAAGGCACTCTGTGTCTTGGCCACTCAGAGCTACCTAACTTGCCTTGTGTCGATTTTCTCCTCTCACAACTGTAAGTCTTTCCACTGTTACACTTCCAGCTGCTTTAAATTCCCTTCCCCTTTTCTCAACCTGATACAGGATCCATATCCCTTAGTTTCTATAACTAGCTTTAGTTTCTATCACTAACTTAGTTCTATAACTAGCTTTTCACTGCAATAAGCCCTTTCAGTCTATGCGACAGAGAGAGGAGCTGTCCTCTCATTGCTCCCTGGGTCCCTTTACGTAGCTTTCACCACGCTGTGGTTATTGATTTACTCCTCTGTGTTTCCACATCCACCTCCAGGAGGCTGTGATCTTCCTAACCAGAATCCTGTTAGTTTTTGTCTCCCATCCCCTATTGCTCAATAAATGTGGGAGGAAGGAGGACAGAGAGAGGAAGTGGAGAGCCCTGGAGGTCTCACAACTTCTATTTGGAATTAACAGATCCACACAGGGCATCTTGACTCTTCTCATCCCCATGCCCTACACACCATACCTGGCCCCACCCCCACGTCTTCCTGGCTTCTGCATTTTACACACCACTCTGTTGAAGCCATATAGCTGCAGATCTACCTTAGGTCCTGTGTTTTCCCCTCCATGGCCAGGCCCTAGCTCATCGGTCCTCCAGGCCCAGCCCAACATGTATGTGCCACTCCATCATTCCCCAGTCTTGGGTCCTCTCTTCCTGGGCTATGGCCACAAGAACTTCTGGCAATTACTCAAGAAGTCTCTGCACGCACTTCCCACCTCATGACCTCGTATGCACATGGTGGCCACTATGTTCTTCCTCCATGCCTCCCTTAGCTAGATCCTCCTCAGCCACGGGATCTCAGTGTATAAATCACTTCCCCAGAGAATTTTTTTTTTTTTACTTCTCTGTCTGAAGCATTGACCTCCTTCTATCTCTCCTTGTTAATTCTATAGCAGCCCTTTTGTGGACTTCTTGGCAGACCACAATTTTATATCAATACTCTGGAGGGTTTTTTTTGTTTGTTTTTTTTTTTTTTGTTTGTTTGTTGTTTTCAGAGTCTCACTCTGTTGCCCAGGCTGGAGTGCAGTGGTGTGATCTCAGCTCACTGCAGCCTTCCACCTCCCAGGCTCAAGTGAATCTCTCGCCTGAGCCTCCCACGTAGCTGGGACTACAGGTGCATGCCACCACATCTGGCTAATTTTTAAAATCTTTCTGTCTCACTGTGTCACCCAGTCTGGTCTCTGCAGTCTCTGCAATTGCCTCAAGCAATCCTCCTGCCTTCCAAAGTGCTGGGATTACAGGCATGAGCCACTGCGCCTGGCTGTGAGATGCCACTTTTTAAATTGCCATGATCGAGCTATCTGAAGCAACAGTCCTTGTTTGTTCCCTGTTTGAAACTTTTCCAATTGGTTTTACTTTTTATTCTTTTGGTGAAGCATTACTATTTTAATTATCAAAAATCATAATGTGGTTATAGAATCATATCCGAAATGGGCAGGGAATACCAAAGAAAGTGAATTTGTATGTGACAAGATTTCTTATGGACCGCTGAGGAAGGGCATCACGTCTGTCTGCAGGGTTTTACTGTATGGATCCTGTGTAAATAGATCTGGTTGTACTTCATTTGCAGCTGTTGGTGCTTAACAAAACTAAGATGCTCTTGAGAGCACCAGATGGTCCAATCATGGAAGTTTAAAGAGTGGGTCTCCTTTGGGGGTTTTAGTGCCCATTAGAAGTTTACCTAACCCCCTTTCGTATGTGGAATTTTTATCACTATAACACAATCTAAGTAGGATCTCCATTGCTTCTTATGGGTGGACTTCAGAAGAGGGAAATATGTCTTGATTTTACTTCTTAGTTAACTGTTATGCTTGAAGGTGGCATTTTTGCTCTTTGAAAACCTAGGCTTACGATTTTCCCGTTTTAAAAAATGAATATTGCTTAAGGCATTTTAGATCTCATGATTTTAGGATGAATTCATGAGACAATAATTTAGATTGTATATTAGAAAAATATTTGATCTGGGAAATAGCACCTCAAGGGAAGAGGGAGATGTCCCACTGCCTGAGTCAGACTAGTTTGGATAAAACTCGGTGGGGGTGTGGGGATGGGGCAGGGAGACCAAGCCAAAGGAAACTGGCTCGGTCTAACAGAACATGGTTTTTCCATCTCTAATTTCTGAGTTTGTGACTCTTGTGGGAATTTTTCAACCCATAAAAAGTGCCCTTTTTCTGTCCCTGGTAATGGCCTAATGAAATAAACACTCATAAATATATGAAGTTCCCAGAGATAAGATCTGAACATCAGCCGCCTTTTACCTGGCAGTGGATGTTTTATCACCAGTGAATTGGTCATGTGATCTCTTTCAGCTTTTTTTCTCCCCTCAAACTGAAGGTCAGAATTCTTGTGATTGGGTTCTTTTAAACGTTCTGAAGCCTAAGTGCCTAGTGATTAAATAAATTTACATCTTATACACTTTCTAACACTCAGTAAAGAGATCATTGGATTTTATCAGCTGCTTGTGATGTTCAGCTGAATCTCAGCAACCCTGGCCTAGGACAGAGAGACCGTTTAGAGACAAGGATAGAGGATCATAAACAGGAAGCAGAGGTAGACAGAGCTCCCTGGCTGTCAATGTTGAATTAAAACAACAACAAAAACATCCAATGGCAACCGTGACATTGCCAAGATTTGCTTCTGTGCGAATGGAGCTTTCTTGGTTTCAGAGTTTCCAAGATGACTTTGTGGTCTTTCGCCAATAGGGTAAGGTAGTACTAACCTGCCCTCTTCTTTCCCAGGTAATTCTCTATAAGGAAAGAGGCTGAACATTATCCTAAGCCCAAGAACACAGAAACAGAAAAAAACAATATCACATGTTGTCACTTTTATAAGTAGTAGCTAAACTTTGGGTATGCAAGGACACAAAGATGGGGACAATAAACAATAGGATTTTCCAAAGCAGGGAGGGAACAGGTAGAGGGTTAAAAAACTGTCTATCAGGTACTATGCTCACTACTTGGCCAATGGGATTATTAGAAGCCCAATCCTAAGGATCACACAGTATACTCATATAACAAACCTGCACATGTACCCCCTGAATATACTTTTTTACAAAAGAAAAAGAAACAGGCCGGAAATAGATTAGATTTGGTTGTATGCTTTTATTTCTTAGCGTCTCATGATCAGTCACAATTTTACTCAGTGTATTTTGCTCTGAAAAAACATAAAAATGCAGTGGTGGTCTGTTCCTGATTCTAAGGAGCCGTGAGTTCAACTAGAGAGCAATAAGGAAGGCAACCTCAAACCTCCCCTGCTATGTTGAGGGCAATGCACTCCTGAAATAGAGTGAATTAGAACTTCCCTTGCCCACTTCCTGTTCCCTAGAGCTAGCTCCCTCTTCCTAGGGAGCTGTTTGAATCCTGAAGAATATGTGTGCTTCCCATGGCTCTTATCCTTGCTGCCTTTGAGCTAAGATGAAGCCTTCTCTCTGCTTAACAACAGCACAGAGAAAAGTCAAATAAAGTGGATGCCTGAGGATGTGTGGAGAACCAGGACAGATTTGCTGTAATTTCATACTTCCTGGTTCTATTTGTGATTCTAGACAGTATTCATGCTTCCACATAAGCCCATGCCTTGGGATATGCATACACCTTCAATAAATCAAACACTTAAAAATGTATGTGTTTGTTCGTTTGGGCATTCAGTAAGTTATCCTAAATGCACTGAGTCCCCGCCACAGCCCAAGAGGGCAGAGTGGCAAGAGCTCAGTATGAGATCCCCATGCCTGGCTCTACTCCTTGAGACCTCAGATGCATACCCATCAGTTATGGGACTTTGCATGAACCATTTAACCCCTCCAGGTCGCTTTGTTTTTGGATGGAGACTGGAAGTCACATTACTTGCTTTGGGTATTTCATGGAGCAGTTGTGGATCTCTGTTACTATGGAATAATGTGTATCCAAGGGTTTGGCATTATCAAATGGCCAGACATATATGTTATCATTATGGAAAGATTACTACTGAAAAATAAATTTATAAATGGAGTAGTCAACATGTAAGGCATGGTTCTACCTCTTCCAGGCTCAGTCATTATAAAGAAGAAAAAATTCCATGTCATAGTGGTCAGAAAGGCTTTGTAAAGAGACACAGGATTGAAGAAGGGAAAGGTGTAACCATCAGAAAGGAAAAATATGGGCACTGCCGATGAGGCCCTATCAGTAGGGTCCAAAGGACTACAGCTTGAGCATATCTCCATGACATCATTCATTGCACTGGATTTGCATTTTCCATCTTTGTGTCCACTTCTCAGCTTTGTACTGATTGATTTTCATTTTTTATTGACTTTCATTGCTCTAGTGCCTGGTACATTTCTTGCCAGTACAGGTCATATGCAGGATATGTTGGACATATAGTTTTGTTCAACATAAGAATACATAAACAAAGCAATGTACCTTAGAACTGTTCCATCTCCAAAATCTCTCAGAGCTTCTGCTGTCTAACAACAATCTCCTTTCTCTTTACCACTCACAGGTGCAGGACAAATTGTTTCTCACTGTGACCTCTCTTCCACCATTTCTAGTTTTCCGGACTATGCAAATTTACCTCTTCCCTCACCCCACAGTCAGACATTGCATCCTTATCCTCCCTACCACCCAACTTTCCCACATCCTCGTCATTTGATCACATCTCTCATATCCATTCTCAGCTGGAATCTACCAGTCACCAAATTTCTGCATCCCATCTGTTAAGATGCCTACTCATGCTGAATGGGATATGGACATCACTAGTATTTCCAACAGTATCACATCCAGTTAGTTCTTGTTATAGTCCCACAGTAAAGAGTCTAAAATATATCCCCATACCTCAACACTTTCCCATGGTCTTGGAAGGAGACCTCACTGCTGAGTTATTGAGAAGATAGTGGCCACCTAGTCTACACAACATGCTGTTCATTCCTTCAACGCATGTCTGCAGGTCTTCATTAGTTGCTTCTATCTCCATGTAGTGATTTCTTTTCTTTCTTTCTTCCTTTCTTTCTTTCTTTCTTTCTTTCTTTCTTTCTTTCTTTCTTTCTTTCTTTCCTTCTTTCTTTTCTTTCTTTCTTTCCTTCTTTCTTTTCTTTCTTTTTCTTTCCCTTTCTTTCTCTCTTCTTTTTTTTTTTAGAGAAGTTTCTCTCTTGTTGCTCAGGCTGGAGTGCAGTGGTGCAATCTCGACTCACTGCAACCTCCACCTCCTGGGTTCAAGCAATTCTCTTGCCTCAGCCTCCCAAGTAGCTGGGATTAAAGGCACCTGACACCATGCCCAGCTAATTTTTATATTTTTAGTAGAGATGAGGTCTCATCATGTTGGCCAGGCTGGTCTCAAACTCCTGACCTCAGGTGATCCACCCACCTCAGCCTCCTAAAGTGCTGGGATGACAGGCGTGAGCCACCGTTCCTGGCCCATGTAGTGATTTCTAACTGAAGGCCCTACCTCTCATCCTCAAGACCTCCCTTTCTGATTTCTTAATTTCTTCCCTTGCTGTCCCCTCAGAAGATCCATCAGGGGTATCCTGCCATCTCTGACATTCCAAGTTTCCCTCTTCATTGGCTCTTTTCTCCCAATTAATTGTACCACTAGATGATTCTCCAAGAAATCTGGACTCTGTAGTCAAATAATCTTAGGAACTATGATATACCATGTCACCATTTTGGATATTTGTAAGACAAATATAGCCAATTAAAGATAGTAAAGAACCTCATTCACTTTAGTTTTATTAGGGTCTCCTAAATGGTTTATAACTTTATCCTTTTTTTCCCTTTGAGTAACACCCATTAACACTCTACAAAACTCTTGAGATGCGGAACTCATTTGGACCACTGCTTTGACACATAAAATGTCCCCATCTCTACTATTAAAACAATAATCAAACAACTAAGACTTTCATGGTGTTGACAATCCTCAAGATTGTTTTCTCATTTCTTCTTCTTACCACTATTTTTATTGAGAAGTTTTTATCTCTAATTCTCCTTCATACAGTTCTCATTACTTTAGCTACCAATTAAATGTAGAGGCTCAATCTATAGCTCCCAGCTCTCTCCTAAATTAAATTGCTATATTTATTTCTGACTGTGTTCTTGATGTCTCCACCAGTTGGCTTCTTGTAGCATGAGCAGAACATGTTTGTACTAACTTATTATAGCTACCAACTACCACACCAGACCAGCCCTCAGTTGGTGGTACCAAATTCTTCTTTGTTCTTTGTCCCATCATTAATCTTTTGAACTGAATATGAAAAAGTAGGATGCATTTTTTTAAGTCAAATATACCTACAGAATTGAGTCATGCTCCATTATTTGCTAATTATTGAGCCTCACGGTCCTTATCTGTAAAGTAATGGCAAGAATACTTATTTGTAGAATAAATAATAGTGGTTGCTTCATGCATATAGTGTCTTTTCCCTTTGAAATATCTCACAGTTCCATTTCTTCTTTCTGTTTCTCTTCTACTCCCACAGTTTAGACTCTGATAACTTAATAGTCTCAATATTTGCTTTTAGGACTTTCATATCTCACCCCTGTCCAGAACAATGATGCAGTTACACTATAAAATATATTGTGTGTATATATGTAATTATAAACCATTATATTGCTATACTGTCACAATAATATCCTAAGAGAAAGACATGTATATGATAAATAGTCTTTCCATCATACAGTGTGAAAATTATGCTTTATTTCACTTGGCATCTGAAGTCATGATTTTACTTTAAGTACAACTAAATATTTGGAACAACATGGACCTTTATAATAGAGTTTGCTAAGTACATTTTCCGCTGTCTCCTGAGAACTGAAAAAGCTGAGAAATGTAGTTTCGGACCAGAGTACATCATCCTGTCAATGCTACTGATTGTTTTACCAACTGGACTCATAGATACATGGCCAACACCCAAGGAAGGGAGGAAGAAAATGACAGTGGCTGAGAGATATAAAATATCCCCTTCGAACTTCATAATTTGGAATTTTTAAAAATATTTATAATTTACAAGAATAAACAATGAAGTAATGGTCCGTAGGGTTCTCTGTGGCCACTTTGGACTTTTAAACAGTGATGGGTCACTCTTAAGTATCTAAAGTTCAAATTCAGTTTGGATCACAACCATGGCATTCAAATAGATAGATGAAGTTTTTCAAACCTCTGGAGATTGGAAATGTGAGCTGGAAATCTCATGCCCCTTCACTGTATTTTTGATTCTTCTGGTTTTGGCAGAAGTGGGAAATGAAGTTTAAGTTGAGCATTTTAGATTACTAAAAGTTAAACTGATAGTTGTCCAAATATGGACTTACAGATATCCATAAAGCACGCCCCTTTCCAAAGTTCACAGTTTTAGAAAATAGATAGTCTTCATTATCTGTGTTTAGTTTTTAATTAATTGTTTGTTTTGGATAGTTAATAGTAGAAGAAATTATACAGTTGACCAAGTACTTTCTCCACAAATTTGTTTAGCTCCCAATTATAGAAGTGGTTTGAAACACAACTCGACTACCTTATTTTTTCTTGCTGAATTTAGAAAACTCTCTCTCTCTCTCTCTCTCTCTCTCTCTCTCCAATTCCTTAGTTACTTAAAGTGCTTAGTTCCATTGGAAGGGATAACACATCTCATTTGGTTTAGGCACATTAAGACTGGGTCTACACACTCCAGAGGTGAAATGCAGCAAGACTGAAAAATATCGTTCACCTGATTTCTGGAAAATGCAGGTGATGGAATGTCAGGGCAATAGTTGGGATGGCACCTTCAAGTCCATGCTATTTACTTTGGTGGCAGAGATAAACTGTAGATAGTCAAATCAACTAATTTTTTTTGTTTGATCTGAATAAGCTGAAATTGCTAAAATGTACAATGTAACACTTTCTATCATGTAACTCACAGAAAGTAAATTTAATTGGATCTCAAGGAGAGAAGGACACATCAGCTCTAAAAGGTATATTAAGATACTCTCATCCAGGCTCCCTCTTGTAATAAGTTTGAAAACATGTGCCCTACCCTGGAGCTTTTTGTTCTTTCCATGACACCATGGTTTTATTCAAAGCAAAAGTAGCTCAGGGAGGAGCAAGAACATACTATGACTGCAGTCAACAAACAGGCAGAATAGGCCGGGCGTGGTGGCTCACGCCTGTAATACCAGCACTTTTGGAGGCCGAGGCAGGCGGATCACCTGAGGTCAAGAGATTGAGACCATCCTGGCCAACATGGTGAAACCCTGTCTCTACTAAAAATACAAAAACTAGCTGGGCATGGTGGTGCACGCCTGTAGTCCCAACTGCTTGGAAGGCTGAGGCAGGAGAATCTCTTGAACCCAGGAAGTGGAGGTTGCAATGAACCAAAATCGCGCCACTGCACTCCAGCCTGGCGACAGAGCAAGACTCTGTCGAAAAAACAAACAAGCAAACAAACGAAAAACAAAAACAAAAAACAGGCAGAATAGTTTGTGCCAGCTACCTCTTTATTCCTACTAAGTGCAACTGTTCCTCGCACTTAATAGGTGAGCAGTAGTAGTAAATCCTTATTGAATTTAATACATATCTTTGAGAATCATTGTTCAGGCTTGATATCCAAAGGAGAAATGAAAATGCCAACCAAGGTGAACTTACATGGTTTAATTCCTTTTGTGTCCCTACACCACCTTCCAGTCCCATCCCATAAGCTAAACACCTATACACAACAACCCAGGGCAGCTTAGAAATCTTCACTGAGACAAGGGAGGGATTTATTCTCCCAACATTTAGAACATGACACAGAGGACCTGGGTTCAAATCCTGAACCAACCATTTACTAGCAGCCACATTATGGAATGTTGCTAAATTATGGAATACCTGATGTATGCCCTCCTTCAACAAACCTTGCAGGGGCTCCAGAGAAACATGTACTGTTCAAGGCACTGGAGATGAAGCAGACAGCAAAACATTTCCCAGATGCCAAGCTGATTGCAGAGTATATCAGTATAGTCGAGATGCCTCTAAATCCTCCCATTCTCTTACTTCAAACCTACTGTCTTGAGATCTCTCTAGTGAAACCTAGGGGTCTATGTGGAGCAGGCATGAACCATAGATACAAATATGGTAAGAAGACAGTTTCTCTCCTCTAGGCATTCCCAGTATGGGAGAGCCATATGCATATAATTCATTGCAGGAGTGTGTTAAGACCTTTCATAGAGACACAAACCAAGCATTCTGTAGTTATATTCAGAAAATATTTGAAATTTGCCTAGAGAAGTTAAAGAATAAGTAACTCACTTGTTTTATGTAAGGATAAATTGAGACACAGGATGTGAAAACATTTATTAATTGCATCATTGATATAAACATGTAAATATATTTTTGCTTAGTAATATATTTGAATATATATTAACAGATATATATGATTTTCTAATATCACATATATCTTATACACAGCCAAGTATGTTTCAAGTTCCTATTATCTGAAAGGATTAAAAAATAAGCTCCAAGTTGCTCAACAAATCAAATAAATTTTATATTCTGAAACTAATAGGCCACTGCATTAAAACATTTTGATAAGTATAATTACATTTTCTCTGATCTTTTAGTATTCTCTTACTTGGTGTGTGTGTGTGTGTGTGTGTGTGTGTGTGTGTGTGTGCTTGTGTGTGTGTGTTTCTGGCTTCCTTCTTTATTAAAAATCCTCATTCCTATTGTTTGTTTGCCTAATGTATGTAAACAAAAACTCTCTGGTTAAGCCCAATTAATACAATGTAGATTAGCATTCATTACTTACAAATTAAAATTATTTTTATTTAATTTATTACTAATAGGCCAGAAAAGCACCATTTATTCTTTTTAAACTCTTAAGTTCGCATTTCACTTGATTTTTCGTGCTAGTCTATAATGAGTAATACTTGTACTACAGAACAGAAGGATTCTGGAGAAAGATCCTCCAACTATTCTCCATCCCCCACAGATGCTGTGGACATTTGAGTAGACTTTTGTACACCCCAGCGGAGTTTTTGACTCACTCCCCACTCACAGCACCATCTGAAAAACAGCAACAAAATCATAAGCACAGAGAGGTTTGGACTTCTAATGCTACCGCTGAGTATTATCCTTACCCTTGGAATGTTCATTTTGACATTTTTATCCCTAAGTCATTCACTACTAATGTAAACATGAGAGCTTGTTAAAACAGTTCCCTGAGCTGCCCTGCTGGAAGCTTCTTTCAGGCTGGAGAAGTCATCTCACTGCATCTCTTTCTAAGCCCTGTTTTGGTCTCTGAGACTCACTACAGCCTGACTTCTTACTGCAAGCAGTACATTTCGATATGAAGTCTCATCAAATGCTTTTCTTTGATGGGGTACAGAATCCAGCATGTTTCCTGGCTGAGAACACTATAATATCTGCAGGGAACTTTCACAAGTTCGTTAGGCAAGACCTTCCCCATAAATCTAGCAGTTGGCTTTTCAAGGTGCTCTTTAGCTAGAGCCCACTGCAAACATGTCGAGTACTTCTTTTCACACCTGATTTCTTTTCAGAGTCCATGAACTCAGCAACTGGTGAAGCCACACTTGAAAAAAATTTAATGTCACTATTCAGTTGGTTGTCAGTTACAAGGCCTGAAATTCTTCTGGGGGCATCTCAAGATGCCTCACTCTGATTCATTGTCAAGAGGCATTATGGGTAGCTGAAAGACTGAGCTTTGGAGAAAAGGCTGTCTTGAGGCTCAATTCTGACTTTGCCACTGGAGACTTTGGGGGAGTTATTTAACCCCAGAAGCTCAGTTGTTCTCATACACACACACACACACACACACACACACACACACACACACACACACATATATATGATAGTACACACTATAGTTAGTGTAGATCTACGATTATTGTGAGGACTAAATAAAATTATGCATAAAGAGCCCAGCAGTCGTAGGCCCTTAATTAAAAAATAGAAAACACAAATCTATTAAGTAAACTTTCTATAGGAATTTGCTTTTTAAATCAGCAAACCTCCTACAGTCAGTTGTTTTTCTTTAAGTTCTGTCAGCATGAGGCTTTTGGAAATGTCCCTAAAGAGCCTCTTTTCTCCTTCTATTACCTTGAAGTTTGAAGTGATAGAAAGTTTTCATTGAGAAAAGTAAGGCCAGGTTCTCAGGATGGCAATGGTTTCTACCAATCAGACCTGAAATATATGCAAGTGACATAAAATGGGCTCTCATTTTACATAATTAATCGCTCTCTATTTTAAACCTAGACTATGTGGCCAGCTTTCTTTCACTTTACACACCACTCCCTTCTTTCCAGCCATCTTTCAGTGTACTAAGAATAGTCATATCCTAAACCTAAACTGAACTGGCCTCGGATTTTTTTCTTTATACTCTACAGTCTTTTCACTGCTCTAATTCTCTATCATGCCAGAATGTTATAAAGAAGGCATTTGTTTATTTGAACTAAGTCAATGACCTTTTCAAGCATTTTCATCATGAGTTCCATATTACATAGAGTACCTTCTGTGCATAATGAACAAATAGGATCAAATTCCGGGACCTTATAGGATAAAACTACATTTCCCCTCAGGTCTTCAACTTTTTAAGGAGATTCTCTGCAGAACAGATAATGTTGATATGATATTATGGAGACATATCATGACAGGGTAGCATTTTGTCGCAGCGGTGATGTCTGAACTTCAGAAGATCTGGATTCTGAGTTTGAACACACTGCCAAGAATGTGGATTTCTTTTTAAAGCATCCAGATGTTTTATGTCTGTAGAGCTAGGCTTTTGGAAGCTGTTTATTTGTTGGTTTATATCAGGACAAGAAAGAGTACATTGCCTTCTTGAGTCTCACTCAAGTCATTTCCAGAGTCTGAGAAACGTACCACACCTTCAAATACCTATTCTTGATTCTTTAAATGTTTTGTGTTGGACTTTGGTTGACGGTATCGAAGCTAGATTTATTTTAAAACAAACACACATTTTATTTTAAGCAAAGTCAAAATGTTAAATGCCATTGCATACAAATTAGGGAATGGAATGGAGGACTGGAGGGATTATTAGAAACTGACTTTTTATGACCTTGATATTTCCCCACAAACACCAAAGGGAAATCAACCAGGAACTTTATGTCCTTCCGCCTCTGTGTGCTTAAATGTGTCACGTGTTAGAGCTGTCTCTGTCATCTGTATACAGCTGCCTCTGTACGCAGATTCCACGATGACCATCAGTGATGGAGACTGGATTATTGAGGTGCAAGCTAATTAACTTTTGATTCATTTTTACTATCATTTATCTAAAAGAGTCACAGCACCGAGGATTTGGCTCCCATGGAAAGATTATGAACCACTTCACTCAGCTACCTTACTTCTGGAGATATTTGACTAGCTTTAGGTCATAAATAGAAAAACTTAGTGTTTCCATTTGGCAATTCATGTCCCTTAAGAGCACAGGTTTTTGACTTCGTTGACTGCTGTGTTCACAGTGCCTAGAAAAACACAGCCCATGCCTGTTGCTCCTAACGTATCTGCTCAGTGAATGACTAAATGCTTCAGACCAGTATTACGAATTGCCTCCATTTTGAGCATGAACATCAGATCCAGATTATCCAAATCACAAATTTTGTTATTGTCTGTTTGTGTGTTAAGATGAAAAATAGACTTTCCCACAATGATGAGTGAATTGTTCATAGAAATAGTTTGATTACGAGGAAGAGTTCTGTACTTGAAACTTCATGGCAGTGGCGAAGATGTCTCTCTCTCTGATGAGATCCCTGAGAAATACCATGAATTGGTATCCACCTTCTTACATATATTGGAATCTGTTCATACATTCAGAGTAGGCACTTTCCCAAAACATTTTAAGCTTTTATGTGTTTCTGTTTGTTTTTTGAGACAGAGTCTCACTCTGTCACCCAGGCTGGAGTGCAGTGGTGCAATCTCAGCTCACTGCAACTTCTACCTCCCGGGTTCAAGTGATCCTCCTGCCTCAGCCTCCCAAGTAGGTGGGATTACAGACGTGTGCCACCATGCTCAACGAATTTTTGTATTTTTAGTAGAGATGGGGTTTCACCATGTTGCCCAGGCTGTCTCGAACTCCTGACCTCAGGTGATCTGCTCGCCTCGGCCTCCCACAGTGCTGGGATTACAGGCGTGCGCCACTGCACCCAGCCATATTTTAAGCTTTTAAATGTTGTGCTTCATTATTTGATCCATGGGTTGTCCAGAGAATAGAGCAGAGTTTGGTTCAATTATTTTGGGGTAGGAAGTAGAAGGCACAGGAGTTATTTATGGTAGTGGCTTTTATTTTGTATTATTAAGTAAAACTTATAATTTGTAGTTAGAATAATAACTACTACCAGCACTGTTATAAAAACAACTACCAATTATTGAGAGTTATGTACCAGGTACTATGGCTTCACAAAGCTTTATGGGATGGGTAGTATTCTTTCGGTTCTACAAAAGAGGGAACTATAACTCAAAGACTTCCACAAGAATGTAGAGCTAGTAAAATGTTAAAGAGTTGGGATTTTAACCCAGATATGCTAGATATACGGTTTACATAATTCTGGTTAACAAATCCTAAGTCCTGCTTTTCATTTTTGTGAATGAGTCATCAAACATAAGAAGTTATGCAAACCTTAATGAACTACGTTAACCTTCTCATAGGCTTCCAGAAAACAAAATAACGGAAGCGCACAGGTTACCTTAAAGGTGCACTGTTTACATCCCAGACTAAATCAGTGCTCATACAGCTGCTGAGAAAACCACATGAGAGCTAGAAACAGAAGGGAGGGATCTATAATGCTGCACTGTACTTAAGTTTAATATCAAATTAAGTTTTTTGTTTGTGCCTTTTTCAACCAATGATATACTGGAAGACATGCAGTTTCCTAGGGAAAAAATAATTCAAGAACTTCCAAAGTTATGCTTAGATAATGTGTAAAGAAGGCTAACAAAGAAGAGATATAACTAGAAGAGATTTTAAGCATCACTCAGCTAATCTTCCTACTTTGTGCACTATTTGTACCAAGAGATAAGGAGGGAAATAATATGGTAACTATCTTGTACTGAATGGCATTATATAAGCAATGGACACATTCAGGAGAGGATTACAACAGAAACCTATGCAGTTCCTGCGTGGTACCTCACTTAGTGTCACTTTATTTTGTGCTGTCAACTATATTCTGTAGTTAAGTTCGGCTCTCTTTCTTTATATATGTATGAGTCAGCCACTTTCCCCATGAAGATTAAATGAGATAATGCATGTGAAGTGTTATCTAAACCATAATGTGCCATGCAAGTATTAGATATTGTCAGGGCCCAGGAATTTATAAGAATTCTCCAGTTATTCTATAAACAGGTTACAAGCCAGTGATATAAGGCTGCTTGAACTACTGTGCAGGGCATTTGTTACATCATCAAAGAAAAATATGGGCAGAGGAAGGATGAGGAAATAATCGGTGAAAATTTTTCTAGTTCTTAGAAGATTTCACTTCTATTTCTCTGAACTAATGTGTAATAAATCTTTTTCTGGCTTCTGGCTTTCCAGGACCTGGAAGTCAAGCTTCCAACAGACTGGAGTTGAAACTGGTAGCAGGGAAGAAGGAAAAACTGGTCTCTCCTCTAAAGGATGTTGTCATTGGGAGGATCTTGGCATAAGAAGCAGTTTTTTGACCTTGAGGCTACCTGAAGGGTTTCCTTAATCTAACTGTGCCCAATTACTAGCAGTTTTCACAGCAGTATGTTTCAGCAGCTTATCAAAGAATAGAAGCAGACAGTAAAAAGAGAGGGGACAGGATGGGTTTCAGTGGTTCTGAATAAGTCAGGCTTCTGGTGACCAGCAAAGGAAGAGCCTGGTTTCCATAAATCAGAGAGGTAGTTAGCAAGGGTGAGTTGGGACTTAAGGGAACTTTGCCTTGAAAGCCCAAAGACTTGTACTTGTGCCTTAATTATACAGCTTAGGTCCTCAGAGAAGGTTGTGACTTAGAGTAGGTGAGGCTGTTCTGTCAGCTGACCAGAGGAGAAAGCGCTGATCTTACAGGCATAAGAAACTGACCTTGGGTGAAGATGAAAGTATATACTCCTTTTGGGTTTCCCATTGCTCAGCAGAGTAATGGTTGTGCTGGTATTTCGCTGTCTGAAGATGTAAAGAAGTGTCTTCTATTCTGGTGGAATATTAGCAATCCCTGAACCTCTCCTAATCGAGATGTCATGTGTACCCTCACATCAGACTAATTGAACTCAACAGGTTGGTGGGTGAAACTTGGGCATTTTATTTTTAAGCTTTCCAAGTGATTCCAATTGCAGTCAGGCTTAAGAACGATTTACTTAAAAGTTTTAAGATGGAAATTTGCAAAGGGCTGCTATTCAAATCACTGTTCCTACAGCTACTTAGGTGTTTATGATCTAAGACGACACCTGGATATGTGTCAAAGGCCAATTATTAAGAGGGTCTGGCAGTGAAAACTGATATCATCCAGGTGGGCCTTCTCTAAGATAATAACTTGCTGTGAAGCTTCATGTTCGTTTCCACATTAGGAATGCAGAGGCAGCTTATTAGGAGGAAGCTGGCGTGGTCTGATTCTAGAGCACATGCTGTGGGCTCTATTTCTTTACAGTACACAGAGGAGCCTCAGGACAAGGCCTTCCCCACTCCTCCAAATGCCCACATATCAGACTAGGGGGATACTCCCTTTTGAAATTAGCCAGCTTGCCTCTGTCACTGACTGTTGCAAATGACTACTGAATTTATAAAACATTCATTGATGTTCCTTGTTGGGTTTGAGATTATAAATCTTTTTCTGCCGGGCTGTCACTGGGAGTAGACTGGAAAGCTGGAGACAAAATTCCCATAGCTCTGGTAGACACAATGACTGGCATAACCACTAGAGACTGGATAGTTCCAAAAATACTCAAGAACTTAAGAATGTTAATATAAGATAATGAATACTGAAGAACTTGAGAATGTTAATATAAGGTAATGAAGGCAAGGGATATGTGGAAGGAAGCCTATTGAAGATTCCAACAATCTTGATTATAGTTTTGTTGCTTTTTTTTTTCATCTTTCTTTACCCGTTGTGCTAGCATCTCTGCCCAGTTCAAAAGGTTATGAGAGAGACCAGCTAGAGCAGAACTGGCCGGAACCTGGAGTTTTGACCAATCACCAGGGGCTGATCTGTAAAAAGTTTGGGCTTCTAAGGAAGTCCAAGAGTAGCTGACTGGTGGATAACTAAGCAACAATGTGAAATAGGGCTCCACGGCTGTCTAGCAACAGACATGGGTAGAGATCCAAGATGGAGGGCATCTGGTAAACACAGTAGATCACATGAATCTCCAGTCTTGAGCCCCAGAAATGGGAGAGCTGGCAGGACTCTAAGAGAACCTGTTGTAGGGTGCCCAGAATAGGGGTACTATACAGGAAAACAAGGCAATGAGTTGTACTTGGGCACATGGGCAGGATGAAACACATTAAACTGGACTAGGAGTTAAAGCCTTGTCCTGTGAAATCAACCTTGAGCCCAGCCTCGAGAAATGAGAGAAGAGTTTGTCCAGGGGCCAAGGGGACTTCACGCTTGGCTGATGAACTCCTGGTCTACAGCTCCCTGAATTCCCCTTACCCAAGGTCAAGATGAGTTCCAGTCATGTCAGGGCTGGACCTGTAGGTTGGGGTTAAGTGGTTCCAGCTTCTATATAGAGGCAGGAAGCCAAAAGGATCATTACCATAAGTATTTTTTTTTTAAATTCACAATTCTACTTTCCTCCCTCAACTACAATTTTGTTATATGGACATGTTCTAAGAGTATGTGCAGAGGATAACGATTAAATAAACTTTTCCAAGTAAAACACAGTTAAAGGCTACTTCACTGTGGCCAAATGACTTTCTGTAAGGCCAAAATTACTTACTGTAGAGAGCAACCAAATGCATTTGATGCTCTTTAATGCTCTAGAATATCTAATATTATGTAGAGCACATAATATACTTTAAGTGAGTGCATATCAATACATACAAGAATATCATAGCTATGAGAGAGGCATATAATTAATATATTTGAAATATCACTACTATCCCCATTCTAGCTCAAAGTGTGAACTGATTTTAAATTTTTTTTAAGCTTCTGCAAAACTTTATTCTTGTTTTCTCTCTTTAAAATTGTAAATCTTAAATATTTAAAAGATATCTTGCTGTCATGTAATATCCGATATTCACACACACACACGCACATAGGTACACAAATACACAAATGGAGACTTCCAATGAGAAAACAACCTTGTAAAAGGAGTTTTACAAGGGAGTGCTGTGTTAACTGACATATTGCTGAGTTAGCAACTAAATAACCAGCTACATACATCCCTTTTGTATCATTGAGTAGCATGCATTCTTAAAGTGATAATGGAACTAAATTTGGAGAGAACAGGCCCTTAAGTTTCAATTTATTTGTTTCACAATCGCAGCCTCAAACTGAAGGGAAAATTACGCTGCAGTTTGATAAATAAAGCACTATACATTCAAAAACAAAATGCAAAATGGAAACTTTTAGAACTTCAAATAATCAAGGATCTTAGATTAATTTCATCAGTGGTTGAGAGTTTTTTGTTGTTGTGAATTTGCTGGAGAATTTAGTATGAAAGCACTCTAACTAGTGTCTGATTATATCAGTGTCTCTATTTCCTTTTAGAACACACATCTGTTGTTGTGGGGGGTTTTTGGAGAGGAGAGTGTGGTTGTGGTTATTATGGAAATACGGCAAAACCAAATATTTTAAAGCAGATGAGAAGAAACCCACAAACAGTTGGCTCACAAATGTTGTAATGCTTTCCACACCCAGGCATAAAGCAAGTGGCAGCGGCAGCAGCAGCAGCGTTCCTGGTGGCCTCTGTTTTATCTGTTTCAAACACTGGGCTGCTCTTGTTAGTTAACTGACTGGAGATTGTTTTCTCCCTTTATCCCCTCTCTCTCTTTTTAATTGTTGTTACTCTGTTTTGCCTGAAAGCTGCAGTATCTCACTGTTCATTATTCCCTGTTCAGTCAAATCCTGTCCAAAATTAACTCATTGTGTGCTGGAGTTCTTCTCAAGCTCTCTTTTCTTACAAGATGCACAAAATAGACCTCACTGTAGCTCTTTCAAGAAGTTTGCATATCATACGGATAACTCTTTGAACTAACTCAATGCTGACTTTACTGGGCTGTGTTTCTTTAATATTTACAACTTCTAACTAGAAATATTTCCAATTATTAATAAGAAATTGTTATAAAATTCTAAAGTTTCAACCATTTTAATCCTTTCTCTCTCTCTCTCTCCCTCCCTGTCTCTTATATAAACCTAGTTCCACAGACCCTGTTTTGACTTTAGTTTCTCTTTTTTATTTTACTTGGAAATTTTTAAAAGAGTCTTCTGAGTCTCCAAACTAAAGCTATAAGACAGAAAAAAAAAAAAAGCCATCAGTCAATACAGCTGGGGAACTAGTTTCTCATATCAGCATCGAATTCCAAGGTATTCAACTTGAACTAAGTGCAGCCATCAGAAAAACCATAGAAATGGGAAAGTTGCTGTTGTAAATTAATGATTATTTGCTGTGTGCGTTAGAGTTGCGGTTTGTACCACATTTTATTGTGATGTTTTATTCTTACTCAGTGCAACAGTAATTGGGTCTTAAACATGATAAAGTATCTTCAAGGCTGCATTGGTAGCTGAGCTGCCTACGGCAGGTTTTTAACTCTAGTTAAAGAAGGTTAATCAAAGCTAATGAATCTGTTTTATCCATTGCCATGAGTTTTTTTTTTTTTTTTAAATGTGCCAGGAGGTGACTGACCTAAAATCCGGATTGTTCAGCTGTGAAGGCAAATACATCTTTAGCATAATGATTTTGCAAGCCTCTTTGATGGCCCTGGGTCCATGGATGGCAGGTACCTGCAAGCTCTGTAGTTTTCTTACCTTTCTACCACTGCTCACTCTTCTGCCATTAAAAAATACGAGCCTTATGAAAATACAGGAGAGGGAATGCAATCCCACACTACAGCCTTCAGTGTGAGAATATCAAGAGACTGTTGCATTCAGAAGTTCAGAATAGCTCTGCTCTTTATAAAAGAATATGAGGAGCCCCCTAATAAGGCCAATTCATTAGAACAAGTGTTTGTTACTAAAACACACCACGCAGGACCACAGGGATCCGAGCCAGACAGCACGGCAATTAAAGTTGCCTCCCTTCCAAACGCAGGCGGCCCACCAACTCTCACCCACGAGTTCTGCTTTGTTTTCCTATTAGAAATGTGATTGAAGAATGCAAGTTCATAATTTGTTCATGCAGCAGAAGACTAGTAACTCTCTGGTTGCAACATCCTTTTATACACTTCAAATCAGAATTAAAAAAAAATTCAGGTTGCTTGTGTGTGTCCTTTCTGAAAGCGCAGGAGGAGCAAAACCTTTTGCTCTGGGAATCTACCTTGCTGCCTAGAAAACATTGCCTAGTTGCATTTGCAAAAACGCTCAGCGAGAGACCATCCTCCAAATATCTAAAATCACAGTAGTGGAGGGTTTTTAATTTTAAGCCCAGCGTTTACAGAAAACACACACACACACACACACACACACACACACACACACACACTCTCAGCCTGCAGTGACACCTTTTCCCTCCCCTTTGGTGCTCTGCGGAGCTTTGGAATGAGATTCATAGCGACTCAGGACTGTTGCTGGCAAGGAAAACCCCCTGCCTACCAGACAGAAAGAGGGGCGGGGAGGGCCATTGTGGCTTTCCCTCCTGCTCTCTTTTTAAGCCCAAATAATATTTGTACTTTGAGGGGAGGGTGCAAAAAAGGGATCAAGATATGAAGCAAGGCAGAACCCAAAAAGCGAGGGGGAGAAAAAAGCTCAAGGAGAGAGACCAGCTCTGGTCCGAGAAAGGGCCTACATCACAGGTTTCAAAAGCATCTTTTTTCAGTTTCACGAGCCACAACCCCCTTGATGAAAACTAGTTGCGAAATTCAGCGCCTGTTAGGCCTCAGCTAATTAGAAAAAATGGGCTTTTTTTCTTTTCCTTTCTTTCTTTAGCACCTTTTCTTTCAAGCATTTAGTCTCAGGAGGGGGATCCAGGCTCTTGGCCGGGCTGTTTTGAAAACACGCCTTTGAATGCGTCTCCCTAATTCACGCCTTTTGTTTTTCAGCTTTTGTGTTTGCCAGTTTGACCATATAACGTTATACATCTGGTGTATAGCTTGTTGGGGGCTTTTTTCTCCCAGGGTTCCTATGCATTCCCTATAGGACCCTCCTGAGCTTCAATTTGAGCGATCGTGTAACATAAAGGGGGTAAAGGAGAGCCTAGGAGGCTGGGGAGTGGGGGGAACGAGGGAGCAGGAGAGGGGAGGAGGCCTGGGGGAGACAGAGAGAGAAATGAGTGAAACATAAAAAAAAAAAAAGTTGAAAAGAATTCTTTTGCTCTCTTCTTTTCTTCTCACTGTTGCGACTGGACCCTGAGTCAGCCGGCGACAAGGCCTCGGTGGGAAAATGAAGGGGCCACAGAATAGATAACTCATTGGAATTCTGGCAACATATTCGTAAATAAAACAAAAGTGGGGCGGCGGACTGGGGGAGGGAGTGTGTTCCTGGGGAAGCGCAGAGCTGCACAGGGCAGGGCTAGGAGGACATTTCCAGGGCAGGCTCCCTGCCTTGCCTCTTGCAGGGGAAATCTAAGATGGTCAAAGGAAAGGAATCCAACGGTTTTGCCCAGGCTTGTTTAGCAAAGCTCTTGCAGCTGGAGCTGTTTATTATTGCAGCTAGGAAGATGCTCTTCCAAACACACTTCCCAAGCTGAGAGAGCTGAAATAATCTATCCTATTTCTTCAGAGCCTGCAGGGTCTGTGCCTCAGAAAGGGGTTTCTGTTAAAAGAGGAACATTCTTGAGCATGGTTATTCTTCCCCAGCTCCTCAAGAAGAGGCATCCCCCAGATTTAGTTTGCAGATATCTTTCCCAACTCTTACCTCCCATGCGCACTTTCGATAAAACAGCTTGGATACCGCTTCTTGGAATGATGATACTGATGTAAGTTTCTTGACTTAAAAGCTCCCAGTCTTCTAGTGGATTTGGTTGCTATTGGTGCTCATTGATGGGTAATCTTGTGGATGAGCTCTCATCTCAATTTCTCCATCTGCAAAATGGACATATCTTAATATCAAAGTCACAATTCTTAGTTTTCACATACCCGGATGGTTACTTTTGTAATGAGTCAATTTCATATTTTTGTTTAATATATACATAGTGTGTGTGTGTATCTGTGAGTACATAAAACCCATTATAAAGATATAGTGTATATTTTGGTGGTTGTGATTTTGTATGTCATCCAACTGCTCTAGAATAACTCTGCAAGTCTGATTTTGGCTGAAAGAAAACCTAGAATAAATAGGAAGACAATATGTTTGTGGCGGTTGTTTAAAGCTAATACCAGCAGCTTTTTCTTTTCTTTACTGCTGAACAATTTCAAAAGCAATACTAGGCATGAAAGCAAAACAAACTCATTTCAGTGCAAAGCTTATGAGTTATTTGTGTTTCCCTGAATTCAAGGAGGGGGTGGATGGGTAGGAAATTTGTTTTAAATATAGAAATGGGGAAAATACAACAAACTCCACAGAATATCTTGGAAGGTTCTGCAGCTTGAAGTGCAGAGTTTATTACAGATGTGATGTAACTTGTGGGTATAATTTTCAAAAATAGCTGAAGAATACACTGTGAGAAATCTTACCAAAAGTACCATTTTCCCCAATATATTTGTAACTCAAGTTACCAGCTGATTAACCCCTTGAAAAGAGTTTCTGTAGGTGGAAATCTATATCCCTGTCTGTTCTTAATCAATCCAGCCACATGACCAATAATGTGGATGCAAGGGTTAACACAATTAAATTAACAAATGTTTGGAAGGAAATGGTAAAATTGGTTTTTAAAAAGATGTTTAACAAAGACATTTTGCTGTTCCAATCAGACACATAATTACACAATAGGCTATTTTCAGGAATCTATTTTTTCCTAAATGTTAATCAGACCAGAAGAAAACGCCTGTTAGTCCACATTGGGATATGCTGTAATTCCCTTGGAAAAGTAACTTACCTTAGGGAAATATTTTACTTCCCAGAAAAAGACTGTTTATTTACTCTGAATTCTTTCCCTTGCAAGGTTGTTGTCTGGTTTTTGTTTTTGTTTAAACTGGTCTCAGAACATGGAGAAGTACGACCATCGTCAACTGAAACAAAAACAAAACAAAACAAAAAAACCATGGACTTGAGCTAAAATTCTTAAATGAATTGTTTAGCTTCAAAATGTAAAACTGTCCCAGCAAGAATGTCACAAAGTGTAAGCACAGAAGGATCTGTATTTTACTGAAAACATTCTTTATATAACACCCGGAGAACACGAAAAGAATGAGCCACCCTTACTTATATTACAATGTCTGTATTTATTATCTTTTCAAGTGTGCTTAACAAGTTGATACCATTTTCTAAAAGGTTTTTTAGTTTGAGACTCCTAACTCATACACCTGCTCTCTTAGGTCACAACTGTAAGTCCAGAAAAAGGTGTGCTTTATGTTTCTGTGAAAACTGGCTTTATTTCTAGTTATAAGGGAGGCTGAACTTTTAGGTAAACTTGGTGCCAGGTAGCAGCAGCAGGAGCAACGTGAAAAAGAAAAATGGCAGTTACCCACTTAAGAAAATAACATTCTGTTGATCGACAAACACCCTTTAAATTTTAGCTATTAACAGCTCTTACAGAAACAGGAACTGCCAATAACAAACTTGATTTCTAATGTCCCCAAGGTAATAATAATCCACTAATTTGACTATATCCCAGCTGGCCTATACAGCAGTTTCTATTTGTTTTTTGTTGTTGTTGTTGGTTTTTTTTTTTTTTTTTTTTTGCAGCAGGGAAGACTTATCTTTCTTTGGGAAAAAAAAAAGGTGGGGAGTGTGCTGTAAAGTTAAGAAGGAGTGTGGAGAGAAAACACATGGAAATTTAATGTGAAAGTTTCTTGTTGCAATAAAGCTGTTAGGTTTGGCATGTAGACTGTTATCAGATGGTTCCTTTGACATTACTTGAGCCTTTCAGTAAGTAAGACAAGCCTGAAGGATTAGGTTGTCAACTTCAGCCTGTCATCTTTGAGCAGAAAAAAAGAATTCCTTTTCTTTTTCTTCCTTTCTTTTTTTTTTTTTTTTTTTTAGGTTGCATCTTCCTTCACCAGCTTTGAGCTTTGGAGATCGCAGCAGAGGTAGTTACTGGAAGACAATCTCAGGCCCACATTGATCATGGAAGTCTAGCTTTTAAAGATAAGTGAGCCAACCAAGCTGTAAGGCTAATCACCCTGTGCAAGTATGAATTTATCTAAAGAGGATTTCATGTGGAACCCCCGGAGCCGGCCGCCAAACGGATGACTGCACACTTTAAGAAAGTTCGTGGGACTTCTCCCAATCAACTGTCAGGCCACATAAAGGGTCTGGAACGCGCTGACTTAAGCAAATAATATTTAGCCATCTAAGGATACCGTAAGGCCCAAGATTTTGCTTTGTTGGCGCTGACAGGAAATATTGATACATATCAAGTAACACTCCTGATGCAAAAAGCGATATGTGTCTCCTTTCGGCACTATCTCTGTTTAGGAAACACCTTGCTTTAAAAGAAAGCACAGGTGGGGGCAGGGACAATGTCAAACCCAGCACTTCACTGGGTTTTCCAGCTTTCCTGGGATCACAATTTCATGAAAATAGGAACTAAGCAAAAGTCGTCTCCTTTTTGAAAAAAACCAAATGTATTGGAATTTGAATTTGCAAACTCTCAGAATGTCTAGCTGACAAGTGAACCCTGCCCATAACCCCAAAACTATTCCTTAAGTTTATTAACCTAGGAAACCTGCCACTGATTAGGTTTGGGTGTGTTTCTCAGCTTTTACAATAGTCTAAACTATATTACAACTATGTGGTTACAGGGCCTAAAAAGTAAATTGAAATATGTGGCTATTAAGTCGCAAATCCCCTCAATAGGACATGTGAGTCAAAACTCAATTTTTTGTGAGAAGTAATGTCTGTAATCCTATTGACTCATCATTTTTAGACATTTGTGGCTTTAATTACAGGGGAAAAACTGTAATGTCCTGTCTTGGGAAAATTTGATAGGGAACATCGGGCTGTTACCATAGAATAAAGGTTGCGTTGGAGGATTTAATTTAAAAAGGAAAAAGAAAGAACCCTATTTTATCAGAATACTCTAAACATTCTCCATCAGTAACGTTGTGCCTGAGGTGATATCCTTGAAGATGCTGGAGGTGGCGGTGTTAATGAAATACCCGTTGGCATTAAATAGCATTTCTAGAATCCTGATTGTAGCGCTAAAAAGGAAAGTGAATTTTCTAACAGCACAATAAACAAGGGGAATTACGAAAAAAGAATCCGCTGGTTCTGTAAGGAAGATCGCTTCCAGTTAAACAAAGAAATTTAGGGTCGTCTGCTTTTCATGAAAATCACATACATATGGCCTTTGAAATTTGTCACTGAAGATGGTTTTGCTCTAAGGTAAAATTCACCACTTTATAGCTTTTCAGCCGCAAGTCTCTGGATTTTTTTTCTTCTCTCTTTTGGCCTGCAGCCCAATATGAATGTATGATCACTAGCACAAGAGTTAAACATCTGAGTCTTTTTGAAGTGTCTTCAATGTTACAATGATGTGATGGTTGATTGCCTAGCAGTCAGTTTAGAAAAGTCTGCATTCTGCCCCCTAGTGGTAGAGATTAAAGTTTAATGGCTGCTTCATAACACGTAATGCCTTTTTCCCTCCTTTTCCATATGTTAAGGATATAGAGCAGTGTGGGAATTACTGATGAGTTTTGTCATAATCTGTAAAGTGTATATTTTAAGCAGGAAAATTTCTAGACTGAATGGACAGGTTTACGAGGCACAGGGTCATTTGATGTATGTTTTGTGTACTCTGCTGTGCTTTGCCAAACAATATACATCACCACTATAAACAGACATTGTCCCTAATACAACATTCCTTCTGGGAAAATTTTGGGACTTCTTAATAGAAGCTATTAACCAAAAAGTGCATGGTGTTGCCAAAATTATAATATTATACACACACACACACACACACACACACACACACACATATATTCAGAGAAAGCATGGTATACTGTCAGATACTGTGGAACTTCACATTTCTTTTCAGATGACCATTTTTTGTACAGGAGGTAATAAAAACAATTTGCACTAGTTATACCACTTACTACTCCACAGGTCACATTCCCTTTGTGTTCAAGTTCATAAAGAAAACCACGCACACCCAAAGTAAGGGTTTGTGATGTCCGAAAGATTTTGATGTGGGAAACGTTGATCACGCACAGCTTTTTTTTCAGCTGACAATGAAGTGGAAGACATTTGTTTGAGTTTTTATCGTATCCTGAGTTCTTGCTTGTTTGTTATTCATCTTTAATGTAGAACTCATATCTTGCATGCAGGCAAGTGTTGGAAGGCACACAAAATCAAGCACCCATGATATAGGCATCATCCAATGAGTGTGTGTTTAGATCTTGCAGAAGTGAAACCCCATGTTGGAGGAAGACGGGACAGACCGAGGAGGAGAAGGAGGAGGAGGAGGCATCCGTGGAGAGTGGACAGGCGGGACAGCTGGACCATGTGTAATGTGTCAGTTTGCTTCTGTGCCACTATTGTGTTGCTGATGTTGGAATGCAGGGAAGGCGCTAGTTTATTGAATAAGGAGCCATGTAAATTCCAGCTGTCAACATGTGATCACTCCCTCGGACAAAGAGAGAGGCTTTCTCCTCACTCATATTTGATTTCTAGTCACAGCTACACATTTTCCAGAGCCCTCATTGCCACCAGGCTACATCTGAGTAGCCTTTGGCCAGCCTTCTCTTTTCAGACTGGTTTTGCAGGGTGAGTACCTGGCTTGTAATGGTGTGTTGGCTGGCATTCAAATGACACAGTCAGAGTTAGTTCAAAAAGAATGCTATGGCTGTAGTGATAACAAATAATCAATAGTATTTTTAAAGCAGAATTCTTGCTATTGTTTGATCTATTTCAGTATAAAAGGCAAATGCTTTACTCAAGAAGAATAGTCCAAAACAACAATTCATACACTAGGTAGCTTTTCTTATTGTGAGACATGTCAACTGGGTTGTAACCATGTCAGTCTATGCCTTTCTTTAAAAACTGCTCCAGGGAACCACAGGTCCACAGAGGGACAGAGAGGCGCTCACTTCTTATCTTGCTGTCTTGCTGTCTAGCTCTGTACCCTCGCCATGTGGCTTGAGAGAGGCTGCTGACATTACTGAGATTTTGAGTGGGGTTCTGGGAAGCTCTCTACAGACTGGAAGGGGAGGAGGAAGAGGAGAGTGAGGAGCGGGAGGACAGGAGAAAAGCATTCTCTGAGTAAGATCAACTCCAAAGCAGCTTGAGTCTCATGGGAGTTTAATTAGAGGAAAAAAAAATTCATCCTTGTTCACACAGGCAAACATTATTCATATCTAGGAGATCTTGGATGCCAGTATTTTTTTTATAATGGGAAACATAGAACATTTTGTGGTGTGTGGCAAAATCGCAGTGTTTCTTTCTCCTTGCTGCAGAATTTCATTATCTTGAAAGAACTCAAAATGCTACAACATTGGAACGGTAAGGCTCCTTACCCAGGCACACATTGCTTCCTGCTGCCGTGATATGGCACTCCCTATAACTCTGCCTATAATTTGCAGTAAGAGGACTTTGATGCTTCTTTAAATATACATATATTACATACATATGGATTACATATGTATTTCACTTTAAGTTACTCAACATAAAACCTCCATAAATTTCCATAGGGGTATTTTCTAGAAATACATGGTTAAACATTGGATGAAATGGAGAAATTTCTGGTGTCAGGGTTGCCTAGAAAAACTCTTTTGACCTAAAAAAAATGCTTTTTTAACCCCCATTAATTTTCTAATAAAAAATTAGCTCCAATTTCAAAATGATTTGGTGACATTTAGCTATACTGATTTTAAAAGATGTAAGGGTAGCTTCATATTGAAATCATTCATCGGTGGTCAAATCATTGCCATGACCATCATCTTCATCCACTATTGAATGGTTTGCTGTTGACTAACAGATACTGTGCTCAACACAGGGAAGGGCACACAGATGTAAAAGAGGATGTTTTCCTCGCCTTGCCTGGGATTAGAGTGAGGTGAGTGAAGCCTATGAACAATTTTTTTTTTTTTTTTGAGATAGAGTCTTGCTGTGTTGCCCAGGCTGGAGTGCAGTGGCGCCATCTGAGCTCACTGCAACCTCCGCCTCCTGGGTTCAAGTGATTCTCGTGCCTCCGCCTCCAGAGTAGCTGGGATTACAGGCACGTGCCACCATGTTCAGGTAATTTTTGCATTTTTAGTAGAGACAGGGTTTCACCATGATGGCCAGGCTGGTCTCAAACTCCTGACCTCAGATGATCTTCCCACTTTGGCCTCCCACAGTGCTGGGATTGCAGGCGTGAGCAACTATGCCCGGCCTGAACTTTGATATTTTTTTTGTCATGGATTGTTTGCACTCATTTTGATTTTTCAGTATATTTCATTCTAATATTCTTTCTCTTGATTACTAAGATTTTTGGTGCTTCCTTAAATTCTGTACCCAGAGAAGTGCCTCATGGTCCATCCCTGCTGGCTTGCCTCACGTGGAAAGATGGAGGCTCGCTTGTTTGTTTCTGTCTGTTCAGCTTTTTAAGATTTCACAGAAATCAATTTTAGCCAAAACATCCTTCGTGAATTCACTAAAAACACATTTATAGACGGTGACTTTCCACATCCTCTCTCAAAGGTGCTTTTTGGGGGCTCCCAACACTCAAATAAAAACTCTTGCTATGTGCACTGATATTTTTCTGTCTAGGAACTAGTTTTTTTCAAATTTAGGATGGAATAAACAGTGATTTTCCTGCACACTGTTTGTCTTACGTCATTCCTCTGATGCCTTCCAAGAGCCCTGGTCAAACCTCTTCCCAAGAGAGGGGTTTCTAATCAGCCCCAGGCTCCTTTGCCAGCTCTTCCAGGTAACAATCCATTTCCCTTCATCCTTCACCTGATTAACTGCCCCCATCTGCTGTGGATTCCTGTTCTTAGTCATGCGTCTCTCCCCAATGCTGCCCTCTGGGCAGTGGATTTCAGATTTCCTTGTACCGGGCAACATATGTTCTTCAACTCTGGAGCCTCATGTCAGACACGGCCACTGCCAAGACGCTTGACATGGCCTGCTCCAAACTTCTTCTTTGCTAATTCAGCCTAGAGAGACAGCGTGCCAGCATGGAGAATAACACCGTTAACATGTGTTTACGGGCATTAAAGCGCAGCTCTACACTGTTATAAACCCCTGGCATATTTGACCTGGAAGGAAAAAAAAAAAAAAAGATCTCCGTAGTGCAGTACTTGGCTTTTTCAGCAGATTGTGAGTTCACTTAGACGACTGGAAAAGACAAAGGGATGAGAGAAAGGGAGAGCAAGAGCAAGGGGAGAGAGAAATAGGAGAGAGGGGGCAAGAGAGAATATACATCTCTATTTGTACCATTTAGCAACAGAGAAAGAAATGCAGAAACCACCTCTCAAGTCAGGAGAATGCTCCAACCAGCCAGGGTGTTATAAATTAGAGCCTGTCAGTATTACAATGTATATTAATAGTCACACCTCTTTTTAATGAGTTTGGCATTGGCAGCTGAGAGGAAATACAAGTCATCATGGCTCTGCTCATGCAAACCCCGACAAAGGAATCCGTAATAAATCTTCCTAGAACAGCACTCACCATAAATATGTATCACATAAGGCATCTGTTTTACATTCTGCATATAAATCAGCATAGCGCTGAATAGCAATGAATCAGCTTCTCAATGCCTGATTTGATAACAAATCGACTTGGATCTTAGGAGAGAGAATTTACAGCCCTCACCCTCAAGACAGATAGTCAATACTTAAGATGAGTGCCAAGTTAACTTTTCTTCAGCAACCAAGTTTACAGAATGAGAGTCCTGAGGCTGGGGTGGGAGCCCAGCGGGTGGGGCTGGACAGTTCCTGGGGGAGGGAAAGCAGTCACTCTTCCCAGGGAGAGGAGCTTTGAGGTTTGCAGCTCTGGATTTGAAGGATGTCGTGTGGCATATCTCTGCATTCTGCATCTGACCTCCTCTCCGCTTTGTCCCCTTTCTTGGATCTCCCACAGGTACAGTTTCCGCAGGCTGTAATGATGATGGAGTCATCTTGGTGGTGTCATTTGGGGCGGGGATGGGGAGAACCCAAGGTGCCCCCCCAGGCCGGGTAGGGCTTTCTCTCTGCAGCCTCTTCACCTGTCCCAACTTGGCTGGGGTGACTCCCACGACTAAGGGAGGAAGCAAAGCTCTGACCCCTTTCTTTACAGACCGTTGATAATAACTTCCTGTAAAGACCTTTTATTCCAGGCTACAAAATGAGTGAACAGTATTTATGGCATTTTTCCAGTATCAGAGTGTTGATGGGATCAGGTCACAGAGGGAAACTTGAATGGCTCTTTATTGTCAGAGCACTGCCTGATACAGACATGGCCAGCCACACAGAGATATGAAATGCTTAAAGACTGCACAGGCAGAACAGCCCCTCTAAAGTCTCTGCCAAGATAAAGGCAGCTGTTCCGGCTCACTTAGGTTGGCGGAGCAGAGAGCAGGTACCAGTTGGGCAACTGGGTGTAACCTGGGGAGAGCAGATGTTTTTTTGCAAAATTCTGAAGGCAACACTTTATTTGCTCCTGGTTTTTTGTTTTTGTTTTTTTTTCACTTCAGCTATGGGTCATCATTCCTTTTTCTTTGCAAACATCCATCTCATTTGTAGTAGGAAGCAGCCACTTACCATATTGTGAGCTATGAGTCTTCTTAAACACTGTCTATCTCCTAAGGCCAAGCAGTTGTGATCTCTTTTTATAGGCTCAGCTGCTGTGGCCTTTCCAAATAAATGCCTGTTTGGTGACCCATGTCTCAACCCCAAAGTGAGAAATGTATTTCAAAATTGCTTCAAATACTGCCTATATTCAATGCTTTTGGATCTAACTAGATTAATTATAAAAAGCCCTCTTCCGTTGGGTTTGGATAGATAACTAGAAAAATGGAGTCTGAGCTTTCCCAAAATCCTCTCCGATTTAAACTAATCACAAATCTACTACAGCCACTATATTTTTATCCCTCACTTTAGAAGATATGCAGGTATGATTGTTCATTGAAGAGGCTGTTGTGTTTACAGGCCTCTTAAAATTCTGGTTTTATTGTTCAAAATCTCCAACGTACCCGAAAAACAATTATAATAAAAATTGCCCGAAGTATAATCTATTTCAAGTATCAACTCACTTAACTATTTTTCTTGTCATGGAACAATTTGGATATATGCAAATACTAGAACTAGGGGTGTTTTTTTCCCCTCTAAAAGACATTTTGCAGTGTCTGGAAACGTATAAAGTTATTTTTACATCTCACAATTTGGTGGTGGTGTTGGGGGGTGCCACTGGCACCTGAGAAACACCAGATGCTCTTAAATACCCTACAATGCACAGATGGTACCTCCATTCCCATCCCCAGCTCTGCCCTCATGCAACGAAGAATGATCTGGCCCAAAATGTCAATAGTGCCAAGGTTGAGAAACTCTGTGCTGGAAGAGATTGCCCCAAACTGGATTCTAAAAGAACTTGAGTTGGCGTCCCAGATCTGTGGATTCTGTGACCTTGAGTAAGTTACTTATCTCTCTGATCTCTTCTGAAGTGAAAAGTGATCAAACTGTCTGGGTGTGAGAAGAATATAAAAGGATATATGTAAAATATCTGGCCAGAAATAAGTTCAATCATTACTTTTCTCCCTTCTTTTCCCTAACAAAGTGTAGTAAAAGGCTCTGCCTCAAAGTGAGTTCTGAGAGAAAGGAGTTTTGAAGTACTCATATTTTTCACTGATTTGGTAATATCTCAAGATTTTATTACTTGCCTGTTTAAAAAAAAAAAAAAAAAAAAAATATATATATATATATATATATATATATATATATATATATATATGCGCCAGGTAGAGTTTGGTGAACTGAACTGAAGTTGTCTTTTTGGTTTGAGAGACTGCAGAAAGGATTTTAGTCTTCATTTAAAATTTTCTATAGTGGTTCCAATGGCATTGTTAATTTTGGGTGAGAAAAGCAGAAAAACTCTAGGTTTGGCAAGCAGACAGACCTGGATGCAAATTGTGTGTCTCTCCTTCTTGACTTTGTGACCTTGGGCACAAGGTATTCTTTCCAAGATTCAGATTTCCTCATTGGTAAAATGGGCATCATGACTTCTATATTTCAGATTTTTTGTTGAACAATAAATAATATAAATAAAGCAGTATCTAACACAAAGCCAAATGGTGTTGAGGATCTGCCTAAATCACAGTAGTTGACAGTAACAGTTCGCCTTGCTTTTGTTCTTGCCTCATTAAAGAGATGAGAGGTAGGCCAAAGGCAAGGAACCAAGGGCTGCCTACATGCAGGGAGCAAGCCCCATGGAACGGACCGGGGAAGACAGCTCACCTTTCAGGGAACAACCTGTTCATGGAAATCAACCCTACACATTTGTGCAAGATCTTCCAACTAGAAAAGTCTCCTAACATTCAGCCTGTGGTTTTTCAAAGAGAGGAAGTGGTCAGGTACCACATATTAACAGAAGGGCTCTGTGACAGACTGTATTTTCCAAAGATGGCTGCAACAAACTCCTATCCCAGACCACCCACTGAGAAACTCCGTAAATTAATTCAAGGTATTTTATTTTAATATAATTTTTGATATGCTCATTTGTTTCCATTTATAAATGTTATGCACACTCATTATAGAAAATTTGGAAAATGCCATAAAAAAGAGTTAAGATAAAAAAAATCAAGTTAGCAGTGATATTAAGATACCTTTTTGATGAATTTCTGCTTTCAAATGTGTTTAGCTACATAGTTTGGATACAAAATTATAAGTGACCACAATGCTAAGGCTGTGTCATCACATGCAAAACGAAGTGCAAATTAAAATAGTTATTGCAAAAATTTAGGCCCAGAACTTTCTTACCTACAGAGTCCCTGTAATTAAGGAAAGGTGTTTAGGATAATTGCCTCCATTTACCACTTTAGTTGTTTGAGGGAATGAGGTATCAGGAACTGGCTGGCATAAATTTTTCTTTTCTGATTATATAAAATGCTTAGTCCGACTATTTTTCTCAAAGTGGTTTTTTTGCTCAATGAAAAGCCGTTTTTAAAAAAATTAAATATACTTTGATTCAGTTGTCAAAAGAATCTTCATGTTTTCAATAACCAAATTACCAATCAATTCTATCAATTTAGTTTAAAATAATAATAATAAACCAACCCAGTCATTAATGAATTCAAAACAGATATTTCAAGGTATAAAATGTTCCTTGAAATTTTTCTTTTTCTTTCTTTCTTTTTTTTTTTTTTTTTTTTTTTTGAGATGAAGTCTCACTCTGCTGCCCAGGCTGAAGTGCAGTGGCGCTATCTGGCTCACTGCAACCTCCGCCTCCTGGGTTCAAATGATTCTCCTGCTTCAACCTCCAGAATAGCTGAGATTACAGGTGCATGCCACCATGCCTAGCTAATTTTTGTATTTTTAGTAGAGATGGGGTTTTGCCATGTTGGCCAGGCTGGTCTCAAACTCCTGACCTCAAGTGATCCACTGCCTCGGCCTCCCAAAGTGCTGGGATTACAGGTGTGAGCCACTGCGCCTGGCCAGAATTTTTCTAATAAGTGAAATTAAATATACTGTTCATATTATGCTGTTATTCCAAATTGAATTTACAGGTGGCAAATAGAGGTGAGCCAGTCTTGGTTATGCACTATATTTGCCCCCATAGTGCACGCATGTTAGTGAGTGTGGGGTGAGGAGATGGCTTGAAGACGAGGTAGACAAGAGAGGTTGTAAATATTTTCTAATTTTTTTCCAATAATTTAGAAGAGATTGCAAATATGTTCTTTTTCCAAGACTTAAGTCAGATACAAGCCTTCCCAATGACGTGTGAAAGGCAAATTTTGGGGGTGCTCCTAATTTTACATCCTATGTCTTATATTAAAAGATGTTGAATAAGTTCTTAGGTAGCACTTAGGATTAAGAGTCACACAGCACGCCTGTAACCCCAGCGCTTTGGGAGGCCGAGGAGGGCGGATCACGAGGTCAGGAGATCGAGACCATCCTGGCTAACACGGTGAAACCCCCGTCTCTACTAAAAATACAAAAAAAAATTAGTTGGGCATGGTGGCTGGCACCTGTAGTCTCAGCTGCTGGGGAGGCTGAGGCAGGAGAATGGTGTGAACCCGGGAGGCAGAGCTTGCAGTGAGCTGAGATCACACCATTGCACTCCAGCCTGGGTGACAGAGGGAGACTCTGTCTCAAAAAAAAAGAAAAAAAAAAAGGAGTCACACGGAAAATTGACTTACTATGAAATCATCAGAGGAGTAGATAATAGGTAAACAAAAACTCCCTTTGGCTTCTAGTCCAATCTTGAAGGCAAATACAGATTAGAAAAAAGCAAAGCTGGAACCCTGAATGTCACAGCCACACAGGCTATAGGACATAGGACCCATAAGGAAAAATCAGGGATCCCGGGGACAGGCAGGAGGTGGATTGGATGTAGGAACTATAATCTGGTGAGGAAGGGAGAGAAAGACTTTTGCCAGGAAAGGATGGATCGTACTGCCAAGGAATGCAGAGTGAGGCATTTCCTAGCACTGCAGACTAGCAGGACTAAGGGTTTCCTACTGGTACACTGTCCACATTCCTAAGCCCACATTTCCATTGTCTGTTTACTTAGGGTATTTTTTGGCTGATTGTTTGCTCATGTATTTGTTTCTTACTTTCAAAATGACTAATTTGAGAGCAGACTGCCATTCTACGAGTCATATTATGCAAAAAATAAGTAGATCGAAGCACAGGGACCATCTACCTTGCAAAACAAAGTCTTTGGTTCATTCAGAGTTGGTTAATTTTCTCAGTGCTTTTCTCCCCCTGGTGATGTTGAACAATTTTCTTTCTACCTATCCTCACTTCCAATGTGCTTGTTTTTAAGATCATAATTTGTTGATGAGTGGTTGTTTGCCAAGACCGGTCTTAGGGTCTGTGAAACACTAAAGTGTATATAATAGGCAAATCCTCAAGCTTTGTTTCAAAGATGTATGCTACCTTGACATGTAGCATTTTGTATTTGACAAAAAGGCAAGAGATCTGCATAATCTAGACAAAAAATGAAATCTTGTAATTTGCAGCAACCTGGATGGAACTGGAGGCCATGATGTTAAGTGAAACAAGCCAAGCACAGAGAGGCAAATATCACATGATCTCATTCATATGTGGGAATGAAAAAAGTGCATCTCATGAAGACAGAGTAGAATGGTGGTTACCAGAGGCTTGGAAGGGTAAGGGGGATGGAAGGATGATGGGAAAAAAAACCGAACATAAATACTGAACTGTACACTGAAAAATGGTAGAGACGGTATACTGTATCTGTATATTTTATCTCAATAAAAAGTGTAAGATATTAAAAAATAATAGGCCACGCACGGTGACTCACGCCTGTAATCCCAGCACACTGGGAGGCCGAGGCGGGTGGATCAAGAGGTTGGGAGCTCAAGACCAGCCTGGCCAACATGGTGAAACCCTGTCTCTACTAAAACCGCAAAAATTAGCTGGGTGTGGCAGCGAGCACCTGTAATTCCAGCTACTTAGGAGGCTGAGGCAGGAGAATCGCTTGAACCCGGGAGGCAGAGGTTGCAGTGAGCGGAGATCGTGCCATACCACTTCAGCCCGGGTGACAAGAGCAAGACTCTGTCTCAAAAATAAATAAATAAATATATACATACATACATATAAAATAATAATAAGAAGTAAATGTGGCTGGTTTCAAGCATGAGTGTGGTAGACTAATTGGGATCTTTTTGCCAAGGTAAGTATCATGGTGGGTGTGGTATGTGAAAGGCTTGGTGCCCAGTTGAAAGTCCTGTTCTCACATCATCTGCCTCTCATTTACGCTTCCTGTTACGACAGTAACCAGGGGTGATCACAAAACAGTAGGAGATGTATTTCCTGGTTTTTGCCGACTAGTGAGCATCTAAGAGACACTTGTAACTTCTCTGTGCTTACTCACACTCTGGGATTTCTCTCTCTCCAGCTTGGATAGGTAGTTCCTCTTCTTTTAAAATCATTCAAAACTATTTTCCCAACTGGCCCTATGCTTAAATAAAGCCAGTAAATTTAACTACGGTTTTCACTCAGTAACTCAGAGTACATAATAACTAATTGATTATTTAGTTTTAACAAAAGTGGCAAATATTAAAAGATATGACTTTTTTATGTAGCAAAGATAAACTCTTCTCCAAATCCTGCCAAAAGTAATTCTGAAGTAATATAGAAAGGGAAGGGAGAGAAGGAAAAAGAATTTACCAAAGACAGACTTTATATATGAAAATCAGTAGATAAACATAATACTAACTTGAGAGTAGAAATAATAATAATAGTAATGATGATGGCAAATCACAAACGGATAGTACTAAATTTCCCTCCCTTTTCACCACCTTACAGGATATCCCGTCTAGCTGCAGAAACAAAACATGGAAATGAATCAGTCGATAAAGGATTTTCTCTCATTAAAGATGTTGGTGATTTTGTCCCGTGTAGGGGAAGTTGAACATTAAGGTGGATGTCCATAATCTAAGGGGACCACGGTCATTCACTCTCCTTGCTATGGGATGCAAACTGTTTTGCATGTGATAAGAATGCCAGGCTAAAAGTAAAAAAAAATTTTATCTCAGTATGATAAGAAATTACGCCATAGACTGACCTAAACATTGAATTTTTTGACGATTGCCCCCACTGATAGATTTTGTATTTCTTAGTAAATCTCAGGAAATTAATATCCATGACAGTCTCCATAGAAAATACAAAATAGAATCATACAAAAATTGTGTATAATTTTTCTTTATGGGGAAAGAGATGGAGCAAAGAGCAATAATTTTGAGGAGGTGGGACCACCAGAGAGAATAAAAGAAGTTCTTATATTTAAGAGAAATTCAGAGGTCATTCAGAAACTATTATCGTGATATTTCTCATTTCAAAGAGATGTAAGTTTCTCTTAAACAATTTATATTTTTAAAAAGTTATAACGGAAAATGAGTGAGAAGTGAAAAGTCCCTTTTATTCCCAAGGTTCATATGACCCAGAAATGAACTTGCCCTAAGAATCAGGTTTAAGACATTCACTTTCAAGCTTTAGAAGGCCTTGAGCTTCATTTTTCCTGGAAAGATAAACTTAATATTATACATGTTATCATCCTGTTGGGATCAAAATGGAGGATTTGCTGGGATGAAATATTAAAAGATGGAGGATGTGAAGAAAGATTTATGTAATGCTAATTTCAGGCAGCTTTCAAGGTTAATGCTTGTCCAAATTTTCATGGCCAATTCCTCTCGCCCAAGGACCACATGGGCAGCTCTGTACTGCTTGTCACTGTCATCAGCCACTTGTGTGACACGTTGGCTGCAATTCAACAGTAAAGCATGCATATTCTCTACTGAACATTTGGGGAGCCTGCAGGCAGCGAGTTGCGATGTAAATGGAAAAAAAGAAAGTCTGATCATAGCCCTCACCATCATAAGTTATCTAGGTGTCCTGCTCAGGCTTCCAATGTGGGCACTCACACAGGCCACCCAAACTGCTGACATCCTTCATTGACCTTTTCACAGCAATTGTGAGCCTAATGACTTTGTTTTCGCGTTTTGGAACTGAACTTTACAAGGATTGCTTCCAATCCTGGGTGGTGCTGAGAAAACTCAGCTTCACTAGAATTTGGCCGAGACCACCAGATGCGTTTCATGTGAGGGCCTTTTCCCATAATCTGACCAGAATGGTTTATGAATGTTCTGGGGAGCAGAAAGCCGGCCCCGGAGGCTGAGAAAGGGCTGTGCCCTGCTCAGCTAGGAGACCACACAGCCGTCCTCTTTCCCCTCTGAGTATTTATAGTTAAGAAACCACACCACCCCTCTCATTCGGAAGCTGAGGGTGAAAGTGGAAAAAACCAGAAACACAAATTGCATCCTACAGCTGAGAAAGTCTCACTCTTGGAAAAGCTAGAAAATAAATAAATAAAGGGGAAAATCCAAATGGGATCGCTCTTCAAACACACAAATGATCTTATGTTAACAGTTGGGATTAAACAGCTGTCTCGTGGTTATGCGATCATAACAGATGCTGTGTGCAAACGTTTCCTGCTAGCTTTGTTTTGGTTATTGCTGTTTGTGCAGTTCATTGGGCTGAATTCAGCTTAAGGGATACAGGTTTTTATTATCCTTCTGTGCTGCGCAGGCAGCTTCATCATCTCTTTAAGAGGAAAGGGGGCGTGTGAGAGGGATAGTTGGAAGGGAAATGGAGGGTGGGCTCTCCCATGTCACATTGGGAATGATGTCATATTGATGAAATTCCAACACACTGGTTTATGACCACTTTGCCATTAAAGTGGTCCCCAGCTCATTTATGAGTTTTTTGTTGTTGTTGTTTTAAAATTTTGTTTTAGTGGAGGCTGTGTTCAGTTCTAGTGCAGTTTATGCAGCTGGAATAGAATTTATAGAACATAGAGAAAACGTTTCCCTTCTTTCTTTCTTTTTTTTTTTTTTTGGATGACTAACAGATTACAACGTTGTAATGATCCCTATCTTGCCTCTTCCTCCCATGCCCTCCAGAGATAAAATGTAGTGGCTGATTTTGATTTTTCCTAGAAGTTTCATTTCATCTTAGAAGTTGGGATCGCCTTCTCTGTGTCAGCCAAGTGAAGTGGTGAACTATCACTGTTTTTGGAAATTCAAATTTGGAAGCCATTTTGGCCTGAATTATATTACTTAGTCAAACCAAAAATATCCTCTTGGCTTAAATTCTTCAGAAAACTGCCACAATTCATAGCACACTTTGCCTACCAACGGATTTAATTCTATTACTTATATCCCAGCCTTAAAAAATACAATGCAAATGGCAGAAACAATATTTCTGGGTACAAAAAGCACCTGTCTATCATAAGGAGGAAGTACAGAGAACGACGTGGGCCATGTTTAGGGGTTCTGGCCAAAGCTCTGACTGCCTGTCACCCCCATGAGGACCTCGTTTCTCATCTATAAAAGGCTGATTGTCCATGCATTCACTGGCCAGTAGTTCATCTGTGCTTTTGGAAATTTTGGATGGGGGAATGGGAGCAGATTTGATTGCTCGAAACCTTATCTTAGGAATCGTACCCTTTCAGTAGGACCATCCTAGCACAGCCAAGTCTGACAGCTTTACTGAAGCAGAGCTTTCTATAATGTGTAAACATATTTAAGGAACTGAACTTAAATTGCTATCTTTTTCTCACTCATTCAATTCAAGGGGTTGAATGATTACTTTTCAGGTCTTACCAGCTCACAGAATGAAATTTGGCCTTGTCTGATAAGTTGTCAAAGTAGTAGCATTTCTTTGTTTTAAAGACATTTCAAAATAATTTCATGTACATTTAATGCTTGATCCTACTAACAGCTTCTGGAGGTATTTTTCTAATCTTACAGAAAAGCAAGTCAAGGTTCATCCTATAAGGTAAGTATCATATCTAAGTTGTCCAAGTTTATTCAAGTAGTGATAGAGCCTACATTTGGACCACATTAGGCACCAATGGCCAGATGACATAGAGATTAAGAAGAGTATTTGCCCATAGACCTCTTGTTGTCACTGACTTTTTGAGTTTGAGACCAGCGTGGGAAATGAAGGGAGATCTTGTCTCTACAAAAAAATAAAAGTAAAAGAAAATTAGCTAGGCCTGATCATGTGTGCTTGCAATCCCAGCTACTCAGGAGGTTGAGATGGGAGGATCCCCTGAATCCAGGAGTTTGGGGCTGCTTGCACCACTGCACTCCAGCCTGGATGACAGGGCAAGAAACCATCTCATGAAAAAACAAGCAAGCAAGCAAACAAACAAACAAACAAACAGACAAAGAAATCCCTGAATAGCAGCTCCTTTTGTGGGGACAAGCCTGTGGCAACCTTGTAACAAAAGGTCCTTTGAAAGAAGATATACAAATGGCAAATAAGCACATGATGAGATACGATCCCACACCCACAGGATGGCTAATATCAAAAAGAAAAACACAGAAAATAACAAGTATTGGTGAATATGTGGAGAAGCTGGAATTCTTATAGATTCTTGGTGGCAATGTAAAATGATACAGCCATTGTGAAAAACAGTTTGGTGGTTCCTCAAAATATTAAAAATAGAATTACCATATCATCCATCAATTCTACATCTGGGTATATACTTCAAAGAATTGAGAAAAAGGTCCTGAAAAAATGGGTTCAAATCAGTGTTCACAGCAGCATAATTTACAATAGCTAAAATGTGGAAGCAACCCAGGTGTCTATTGATGGATAAATGAATAAGCAAAATGTGTTACATAGATATGTCTTAGTTAGTTTTATTTGCTATAACAGAATATCACAACAGAAATTTATTCACAGTTCTGGAGGCTGGAAGTCAGAGATCAAGCTGCCAGCATATCAGGTTCTGGTGAGGGCCCTTTACTGGGTTGTAGGCAGCCAACTTCTTGCTGTGTTCTCTCTTGGTTGAAAGAGAGCTAGTTATGTTTTTGGCCTCTTATAGGGCACCATCCCACTCATGAGGGCTCCACCCTCCTTATCTAGTTACTTCCCAATGAACCTACCTCCAAACCATCACATTGGGAGGAGAGCGTCAAGACAGGAATGTTCGGTGGACATAAATGTTCAGTCCATGGCAACATACAATGAAATATTATTTAGCCTGAAGAAGAAAGGAAATTCTAACATATGCTACAACACAAACTAATCTTGAGGACATTGCGCTAAATAAAATAGCCTAGTCACAAAAAGACAAATACGTTATGATTCCACTTATATGAAGTACTTAAAGTAGTGAGAAGCATACTCAGCTTTTCCGCATTGTTATGTAACCAAACACTACAGTGTGCAAATTCAATACCTGTAGAAGAAGTGCAAATCAGGCCATCAGAGCAGTTTGATTTGTACCCTTTCCTTGATGATTAGAAGTATCCAAGATCTTCATTCTTTTCTTTTCAAGCTTGCTACCAATTAAAATGTAAATCTCTCCAAGATAGAATGTTTTAAGCACTTTTATCGTTGAATGAATTTCAGATCCTTTAATCTTCTGTCTTTTTTGCTAAAACAAAGATTTTTAAAATATAAAAGTAATAGAGAAAAAGGGTTAATAGCTAACGTATGCCAGGATGGAGGTGAACAGCCCAATAGAAGAGTTAGCACGGGTTGTGAGGAGACAGTCGACAGAAGTGCCAATTTAGATGTCCCACAAGCAAGTAAGATGGTCAAACTCACTTGGTGGCAGGAAAATGAAAGCACCAAAACAGTGAAGTATCACTTTACATCCATCAAGTTGGCAATTTTTTTTTTTAAAAAATCACCAATTGCAGGCAGAAATGTGCAGAAAAGGGTACATTCATACATCACTTGTAAAAACCTGAAGACTTTTTTGCATTTTGGAAAAGCAATCTGATAGCATGTTGTAAATTTAAAAAATATATGTGTGTATACATATATTGGTATACGTACACATACATATATATATACATACACACACATATTATACACACACACAAGTGTGTGTGTGTGTATTCTTCCACTCAGCAGTTCCATTCCCAGCAATCCATCTCAAGAAATAAACACCTTCCTCTTTTAGGCAATATGCAGAATGTGTGTGTGTGTGTGTGTGTGTGTGTATGTGTGTGTATAAATATATATGTATGTATGTATATATTATTCAGCCTGAAATACTATAGTTAAGAGTGATATAACAAACATATATATATAGCACATAGCATTCTTCCTGGGTACAAAAAAAGAAAAAGTGAATCAAGCATAATACATTCATATCATGGAATAGCATGCAATAGTTAAAAAGAATAAATTAGAGCCATATCAATTGACTTAGATGGAACCCCATGAAGAACTACTCAGTAGGAAGACACTTATATAGGAAGCATATAGCCTATTTTGGGAAAACAAGTAATCACTCACAACCATACACACACACACAAACACACACACAATCACATGCACCATCTATATCCACCCATAGAGGATCAAAGGATTATAATTGTATAAGAATATATGTGCTTGGAAATATGAAAGAATTAGCACTGCGTAATTCGTATTATTTCCCTGTGGGGAGCTGGGCTGATGTGAGGTGAGAGAGCAGAGACTGAAGTGAGTTTACAAGCTGAGAAGAGAAGGAATAACAAAAACATAGTGCCAGTGGAAAGGAAACACATTTTTGTATTTTTTTCTATATGTGGATATAGGTATAAAGAAATTTATATTAAAATATTAATCTCCCATATAGTATTTTTTATAATTAAAAATCTTGAGGAAATGAAGCTTCATGAGAGATACTGCCCCTCTTAAGACTATTATAATAGCTTTCTCAGTCAAAAACAAAAATGAAAACCTGAAATCAGTGGCTTGGGTCATTCAAGTTTTGATGTGCAAAAATTTCACTGGGCCATTTCCTAGGAAACTAAGTGGTTCTCATTTCACTGTTGTGTACGCCTTCTAGAAAGCTGAGGAAGGAAAGAAGGCAATAGTTCATAATTGGCTGAGCATTATTTCCTAAACATGTAGAGGTACCATCTATAATAAAGGCTGAAACTGAGCATCATTGGTTATTGTTTTAAGTAGTGGCCAAGTTATCAAATGATACTGCGTTACACTCCTTCCTTGACTCTGGGAGCTGTGTTAGGGGCAGCTAAGGATAGCAAGGCAGGGCCAATTGTGTATCCTGGTGATAGGGTATAGCTCTCAACACATAATACTCTAAATTGGTTTCCCAATTTGTATTTCTAAGATAGGAATCCAACTTGCAAAAGTGAAGATGGGGCTGTTTTACGCCATGTAATCCTATTCCTAATTTATTTTCTTTTTCTTTTTTTTTTTTTTTTTTTTTTTTTGAGACAGAGTCTTGCTCTTTTGCCAGGCTGGAGTGCAGGGGCGCGATCTCAGCTCACTGCAATCTCCACCTCCTGGGTTCAAGTGATTCCCCTGTCTCAGCCTCCCGAGTAGCTGGGACTACAGGCGTGCGCCACCATGCCCAGCTAATTTTTGTATTTTTAGTAGAGATGGGGCTTCACCGTCTTCAGCAGGATGGTCTCGATCTCTTGACCTCATGATCTGCCCACCTTGGCCTCCCGAAGTGCTGGGATTACAGGTATGAGCCACTGCGCCCGGCCCCTATTCCTAATTTCTTAACTTTGGTTCATCTCTCAGTTGGTCAGTCACAAATGTGAATTCTTTTTCGAGAATTATGGTACAAGGATGATCAGTTTTGAGATTATTTGAAAATGTGTATATGAAGCCTTTATCTACTAGCGGAAAGCTTTATTAGTGACAAAAATAGATGAGTCACTGTCAATTTTCCACAGATCTAGGTAAATGCTTCTCTATTACCTTTAGCATTTCAGCAGAAGTGTCTATGGTCAGCCCATTTTATGTTGTTACAGGTCATTTTTTTCTTTTTTAAATAAATTTCTGTATGTTTATATATTTACTTTAATAATTTAATAATCTTCTCAGCCTGATTATCTTTTCACTGAGTTTGCTTGAAAAGCTGTGGGCCCATGAACTACATATCCAGATTGTTTCTAAATTCAGTAAAGTTTTCTTTAATTTTGTCTTCAACTATTGTTTCTATTCTAGTTGTCCTGTCTTCTTCTTCCAGAAACTATACAAATTCTAAGAGTCTATCTTCATTTTGTTATCAGTGTCTATATATTCTTACAAACTAACACCATATTCTTACCATTTTTTAATAGTTCTTCAGTGTATGAAGTTGGTTCATGATATCACTAGTAGAATTTTCTGTCTTTCCTTTCTTCAGTATAGTTCCTACTCTTTATGGTGATCAAATTTTGCTTTAATTCTGCAATCGCATGTTAGTTTATCTTGTGTAATTGATATGATACATCACAGTTAGATACTATGCAAAGCTCATAGTATCCAACTCATACTGAACTTTGCTTAGTATCTAACTCTGATGTATCACTGGTAATTTCTTTACCTTATAAATCAGCATAATTTCTCTCAAACAGTCCTCATTTGCACAGATGCCAAAACGTATAATGTTATTATTTCCTGGAATGCTCCTTAAGAGATGCATTAGTTTCCTATTGCTGCTGTGACAAATTTAGTGGCTTAAAACAACACACACACTTATTATCTCACAGTTCTGGAGGTCAGAAGTCTGAAACACGTTGGCAGAGCTATGTTTCTTTGGAAGCTCCTGGGGAGAATCTGTTTCCTTGCTTTATTCAGCTTCTAGAAGTCAAGTGCATTTTTTGGTTCATGGACCCACATCACTAACACTCCCACCTGTGCTTTAGTAACATCTCTTTCTTTACCTCTGGTCTTCCTGGCTCCCTTTTAAAAGGACCTTTGTAAATACACTGGACAATGCAGTATAATCCCCCATCTCAATAACCTTAACTTAATCACATTTGCAAGGTTACTTTTTGCCAAGCAAGGTAACATATTTGTAGGTACCCAGGAGTAGGACTTGTACATCTTTTTTTTTTTTTTTTTTTTTTGGTGGGGTGGGGGGCATGATTCAACTCACCACAGATAAATTTACACACTATTATCTTTATCTTAGTCACAGGCAGGTACATAAACTAGGCTTTTTATTCTAATCTCCCTTTCCAGTTTGCTCAGAATTTTTGAGGATGGTTCCCAGAAAGGGAAGCAGAAGAGACACTGTTGTTGATGGCGTTATTAATACAGATTTTTCCAGGCTAAGCCAGCAAGCTATCTCTACCTGATCTCACCTCCTAGCTATTTGTCTATTCTCTTTTGCAAATGTTTCTCTCTGCCACCTGAAAATGGTAATTTTTAAAAATGTACTTGATATCGTTTGAATATGTGTCCCCACCAAATCTCATGTTGAATTGTAATCCCTCATGTTGGAGGTGGGGCCTGGTGGGAGGTGTTTGGGTCATGGCGGTAGATCTCTCATGGTTTGGTGCTGTCCTCGTGATAGTGAGTGAGTTCTCATGAGATCTGCTTGTTTAGATGTGTGGAACCTCTCCTCCTATTCTCTCTCTTTTGCTCCCTCTCTGCCACGTAAGATGCTTGCTCCCCCTTCACCTTCCACCAGGATTGGAAGCTTCCTGAAGCTTTCCCAGAAGCCAAGCAAATGCCAGCACCATGCTTCCTGTAAAGCCTGCAGAACTGTGAGGCAACTACACCTATGTTCTTATAAATTACCCAGTCTCAGGTATTTCTTTATAGCAGTGCAAGAACAGCCTAACACAGTATTTAATTTTTTTTTTTTTTTTTGAAACAGAGTCTTGCTTTGTTGGCCAGGCTGAAGTGCAGTGGCACGATCTCGGCTCACTGCAACCTCCACCTCCTGGGTTCAAATGATTCTCCTGCCTCAGCCTCCCAAGTAGCTGGGACTACAGGCGTGCTACCACACCCGGCTAATTTTTGTATTTTTAGTAGAGACAGGGTTTCTTCATGTTGGCCAGGATGGTCTCAATCTCTTGACCTTGTGATCCACCCGCCTTGGCCTCCCAAAGTGCTGGGACTACAGGCATGAGGCTCCACAGTAATTAATTTTAAGAAACTGACTGACTGACTTGCATTCTGTAGTAAGGTGCATCGCCAGCTCACAGTTTACTTCCCACTGGGTCCCAAAGGGAAGGAAGCCCCTGGACAGGGGAAAGGAACACACTCCCGTAGTGCTGCCCGTCATCTGCTATGTGTGCAATCCTTCCTCCTGTCATCAGTCTCTCACTTTGGCTTTTCTTATAACTTATCATTTAGTGGTGTATTTCTGTCCTGTTACTCAGTCTATTCTCTTGCATTTTGCTCCAATTTCATAAACACCAAGTCTTCTTGTATTTTACTGATTGAGCCAAACTGTTCTGACTTTTTCTCTGGTTCTGACAACAGAGCACATGCCATTTATCACAATTGCCATATACTTTTCTTTGTCCTCCAAGTTACAGTTGCTGTTGTTCCCTCTGTACTCTTGCTTAACCAAAGTGCCCTCCATCCAGAACTAGTATTGAGTAGAGCACTCTGGAGCACCACTCACTCTCCACTTGGGTGCTGACTAAAATCTCTTCTCAGAGTCTCAGCTGCTATCAGTTTCATGTCAATTACCCTAGCCCAATTCCAAGTATTTAATACCAGTGATCTGCTAGACAAAAATTGGATGTTATCCTAAGGCTACTGCCTAGTATGTGATAAATTAAATTTATACATAAAAACTACGCCCCATAGAATTTACCTGTCCTGAAGGACTCTTCTTGTAGGGACCGCATCTCCCACAGTGACATTTGCTAAGGCGATTCCCCACCAATGCCACACAGTTATCCCATTACATGTACTCGACAACACCTGTGTCTGCTTATCTTTTTTTGGAAATACACAATTCCTAGCAATGTTAAAAAGTTAACTATTAATCAAGAGGAAATAGAAGGGAGAAACTAAATTCTGAGAGCCTCAAAGAACCTGCAGGTACATAGTATGTTCTTAATCAGCCTAAAGGGTGATTCTCATGGGAGGCAGTCAGGGTGGAGAGTTGAGAGGGGGCTGGAAGAGCACAGAAAGCATCTTTTAATTTAAACTCTGATGGCACAGCACAGATGATGGATTGATTTATCTCTTCTGGCTGCTTTCATCAATACTCCAGTTAGTGGAAATTGTTCCCAATTTGGCAAAAGTTTGTCAATGCTAGGGTTCATTTTTAACTTTTTCCATGACTTCATGGGGGGAAGAGTATTATTTAGATGGCATTTTAAACCAAACTCTTTACACGTGATTTCTCTTCAAGGAAATGCTATGCAACACATGAGAGGAAAGGAACATGGGACAAGCAGAAAGAGAAACACTATGTTAGAGTGAGATAGCAGGCAGCTAGGCTTCACCAGGGAATCGGTCATGGGTGCTGAGTCTTATTATGTAAACTAGTTCAACGCACCTCAATAGGCAGCTTCAGATTCTGCATACTTCCAAATTTATTTGTATTCTGGTAACAGAATTGATTTAAAGTCTTTGGGTTTGCTTAGTTCTTTCTGGCCCACCTTCCTTTCCAGGTCAAAATCCTTCTCTCCACAACTAAAGTCACTTGTTCCCAGTAATTCTATCCTCTGCTTTAACTGGAATATTCCCTAGGCCTCTTTATCAAGTCCACTGTTTTCCCCAACCCTACCCCACAATGACATATTCTAAGTATCTACTCCTGTTTCCCAGTCATTTCCAGCTGGCTTATCTATGGGCACTAAACATCCTCCTAGTTGCCCCTGAAACTCTGCAGCCCTCAGGAAATCATCCTGCTCTTGCCATTAGTTCTATTAAAAGCTTGTTTTTTGGTCTCCATTTTTGTTCCACTTTGTTTATTTTCATTTTTTAAATTTTATTTTATTTTTTCAGACAGGGTCTCACTCTGTTGCCCAGGATGGAGTACAGTGGTGCAATCACAGCTCACTACAGCCTTGAACTACTAGGCCTAAATGATTCTTCAGCCTCGGTCTCCTGAGTAGCTGGGACTATAGGTACATGCCACCATGCCCAGCTAATTTTTGTTTTGTGTTGTTTGTGTAGAAACAAGGTCTTGCTGTGTTGCCCTGGCTGGTCTCAAACTGAACTCCTGGCCTCAAATGATCCTCCTGCCTCAGCCTCCCAAAGTACTGGGATTATAGGAGTGAGTGAATCACTCTTCCAAGAGTTCCTATCCTAAACAGGCAAGTTCTAGTTCAATGCTTGTTACAGGACCAACACATCAGACACCTTTTCTAATGACTCTTCCAAAAATCAGCTCATTTACATTGTTTGGGGTTGCTTCATTCTGTTTTCCTCCAGTAAATATATAATGTTTATGGGGGAATTATTTATTTATTTGCTACAGTCTTCTTAGATTTTGCTTAAATTATTGAGTAAAACCAAGCCAACCCTACCTACCGGGGAAGAAAAGAGCTTTACCCTCCCTCCCTAAGCCTGTTGGATATGGAGACCCTGGCCCCTTCCCAGCCCCTGCTAGATTGGTCTCATGTGCCTCATTTTTGGCTTCTCACAGTCCCCTTCCTCAGCTTCTGTTTTTCTTGGACTTCTTCTTCCCCTAGGAACAGGATACAATCACCACAGCTCTCAGTGGGCTTATAGTTTCCAATAAGTTCACAAATACTCTAATTTTATTTGATGATTTCATAAAGAAGCAATGGGGTTTATAGTTCTTTGCAAAAGTTGTTTTGCATACCCAAGGTATGTTTGCAAAGTGTATCTGTTTCAAATAAACAGATAAAGAGCTATTCATAATAGCTACTACTAGTTTCCACCTCTTTCTTAGGTGGTAAAGAGCCCTTCTGGTTCACACTGTACTCTAAGACTCAGTTTCTGAAACTCAAATCTCCTTAATTTTGGCATGGGGAATAAAGTCTGCCTAAACTTGCATGCTAGATGCTGAATTAAGCTACTTGGACTAAAGCCTAAAGCAGGATCCTAGGCTTGGCAAGATTTACATACACTGCCATCCAGAAACTGCTTCCTAGTTTTCCATTCAGGTACGGGTTCCTGGATCATGTACTCTAATTTAACTGTATGGAAGGGACTCCCCAAAAGCTTTCAAAGAATCTTTTCCTGAGCTCCAGATAAATGCGAAATAACACTGTCACACTTTTTGCATGCTCTCAAACTTTCCAGAGAGTCAGAGATGGACATTTAGCAAGCCACCCTTAAGGAATGTGGGCTTCCCACAACCCAGAATGATATTTCTCCAGTTGGTACAACAAGATGAAGCAGAAGCACCTTCAGAAGATTATGCTACCGAGAGCTGATGTTATCCAAAAATTAGAAAATTACCCTTTTCCCAGCCTCTACAATCATCCAAATTGGCCTCTAATCATTAGAAAGAGATATTTGGAAATCAACATGGAGTTAGTTATTATTCGTACATTTAACAAATACTAAGCTTCTAGTCATAGCAAGCATTTTCTAAGTACTAAGCACACATTGGTGACAAAACAGGCCAGTCAAGTGCTATCAGGCTTATAGGTTTAGGAAAGAGATATACAAATAAGTTTCAAAATGTAATCTCAGCACTCTTGGAGGCTGAGGCAGGCGGATCACTTGAGGTCAGGAGTTCAAGACCAGCCTGGTCAACATGGTGGAACCATGTATTTACTAAGAATACAAAAATTAGTCAGTGTGAGGTGCATGCCTGTAATCTCAGCTACTCAGGAGGCTGAGGCAGGAGAATCGCTTGAACCTGGGAGGTGGGGGTTGCAGTGAACCAAGATCAGGCCACTGCACTCCAGCCTGGGTGACAGAGAGAGACTATGTCTCAAAAAAAAAAAAAATGTATAGTTGAAAGTAGTAAGTACTAGACAACATAATATGTAATAGCCCAAAACTGGAAGCAATTTAAATGACTACCAATGAATGAATAAAAAAGCAAATGTGGTATATCCATACAATAAAATTTATATGGAAATAAAAAAGGAATGAAGTACTGGTATGTGTTATCACTTATAAAATGGATGTGAAAATATGATGTTAAGTGAAAGAAGCTAGCCACAAAATACCACGTATTATATGGTTCCATTTATATAAAATGTTCAGAAAGGCAAATCTATAGAGATAAGAAGTCGATTAGTGATTGTTTGGGTCTAGTGGGGAATGAAGAGTGACTCCAAATGGCCATGAGGGAAATGTTCTAAAATTGAGTTGTGGTGATGGCTGCATATCTCAGTAAATTTATGAAAATATAAAAACATCAGATGTTTGCTTAAAACAGATGAATTTTATGGTAAATAAATAATACCTCAATAAAGTGGTTAAAATATCTAAAAATCAATTAAGCCAATAAACCCATAAATTATTACTTGAAAAATAATGATTATTGCTCTAAAGGAATAAAAGACCGGGGAGTTACGAAGGATTAGTACACATAGGTGTGTGTCTCCTTAAGCAAGGTGGCCAGTGAAGGTTTTGCAGAGGCAATACCATTTAATGGGGTGTCTGAATGGAGAGAAAGAGCCACTCACAAGAACTGACATGGGAAGAGACTACTAGAGAGAAGGACCAGCTTGCACAAATGTCCTGGGGTAGGAAATACTTTGGTTTTTGGGAGGAACTCCAAGAAAACCTGTGTGAGGGATAATGATGTTCTATCGGGCCATATGCTCTCGGATAAGGAGCTCGGATTCTGTCCTCAATGTAGTAGCAATCCACTGTGGAGCTTGGAGCAGCAGAGCTATATGCTTTATTTCTTTATATTAATCTGGGATTGAAAAGGAAAGAGGGAAAGTTGGAAAATCAGAACAGATGCCATTCCATGGCCCAGGCGATAGGATGTCAGAAGTAAAGATGGGTAGAAATAGACGGATGTGATTTTTATGTTTGAGATGGACCTCATCAGGACTGCTTTGAGATGAGGACTCTAAGGAGCGAGGTAGAGAGCAGAATGGGATATGACTCCCATATTCTAGATAAATCAGGTCGGTGAATTTGCTAACATGAGGATGATTGAGGTAGAACCAGGTTTGGGAGGTGGGAGAATCAAGAGTCTCATTTTAGATACATTAGGTTTAAATGCCTATGAAACCAACAGAAGAGTGATGGAGCAGACAATTGAAATGTAGGATTGCAAAGGAGACTGAGGAGTAGTAACCAGAGGGGCCAAGGAAAACTCAGGACAGTGTGATAACACAGAGTTCTAGAAAAGAGAGACTTGTGAGAAAGTGGAGGATGCCCAGTGCTGCTGCTCTGTTGGGTAAGAAGAGGACTGGCAGATGGAGGTCAGTGCACCTGACAAATGCAGTTTCTACAGGATGATGGTGGAAGCCACACTGGACCAGGTCAAGGTGTGACAGGAGTGAGGATGTGAAGGATGTACATGGAGATAACTCAAAATTCTGTCTGTAAAGAAAAGCTAAGGGCGAGGCAATTTTAGGGACATGAGTTGTAAGGAGTGTTCGTTTATCAGCTGAGATTAGATTTGGCTGCAAGTGATAGAAAAATATAACAACAGCTTACACTAGGTAGGTGTCTATTTTTCTCTCCCATTGATAATGTTAAGAGGTAAGAAGTCCAGAGCTGCTATGGTGGCTCCCCAAACAATGGGGGCCAAGATCTTTCTCTCTCACAGCTCTGCCAACATCAGTATAGGAGGAAGTGATGAAGGGCTCAGATCCCTGCACTGAGGATGCTTCCAAGAGCTTGAAATACTGCATGTGTTTACTCATTCACACGGCCTCACCTAGCTGCAAGAGAAGCTGGGGAACATTGCCCGTTCCAGGTGTTCATGGACCCAGACAGAAGCATAGATTCTTGTACCGAGAGAAGGAAACAATGGATATTGGAGGTCAACTATCATCTTTTGCCAAATTAGAAGTCAGCTATCATCTTTTGGGCTTGAGTTTTGTTTGTTTGGTTTAGGTGTTTATACTGCCTAGTGTGTACACTGATCCAGTAAAGAAGGTACATTAGATGCAGGAGAGTCATGACCCAAAGTCTACAGAATTCTTCAGAAGGATGAGAGGATAAGATCTTAAAAAACAAAACAAAAAAAAACCCTGACCTTTGAAAACAGAAGCCACCTTTCATCAGTTGTAATCTTGAAGGAAAAAAGACGGTGTGGATATAGGTGAGTTAAAAAATTTAAAAATATTTAGAAAATGAAGTGAAAGATGAGGGATTTCTCAATTGATGGCATTTACTTTCCAAGTGAAAGTTGAGGCAAGGTCAGTTTAGTGTAAGCCACTGGTTTGAGTAGGGAGAAGACACTGTCTTGGAGACTCAATTCAATAGGGAGACTTTTTAAAGCTGCAGGACAGTGGTGAGAGTCCACTAGAGACATTAAGATTTTATTCTGTTTGTTTGTTTGTTTGTTTGTTTGTTTTGAGATGGAGTCTCACTCTTGTCGCCCAGGCTGGAGTGCAATGGTGTGATCTCGGCTCACTGCAACCTCCTCCTCCCAGGCACAAGCAATTCTCCTGCCTCAGCCTCCTGAATAGCTGGGATTACATCCACACACCATCATTCCCAGCCAAGATTTTATTCTTTCTAGTGAAACCAAGATTAGCCGGGATCAGCCACAATTAGCCAAGCGAAGCTGCCAGCACAGGTGTGGAGAAGGAACACAGTGGTGCTAATCCAAGGTTGGGGTTCGGCAAGGCAAGTACTAAGAAAGACTAGAAAGTGCCAAGTTGTTACAGAAACTTGCAAGGAAATAATTTTAATCATCATTATCATCAATCAGTTCCAATAACAACTGTTTTTTATTGAACACTTCATTTGCATAGGGCATTTTTGACTTATAAGAATTGCCATTTTATAGCTTCACTTTATTTTTTAGCTTTCACAGTTAATGGAATATATTACTATACATGGAAAATTGTTCCTAATTTAAGCCCATTTCCCCAAATGTTATTACTTTTACCCCTGAAGAAAAATAATCTTGCCACTTCCTCTTCATCATTTCATACTCCTGTCACCTTGTACCTTCTTCCTCTGTAGAACAATTTACTGAACATAGCTCAGATTCTATTGCTTATATCATTCATATTCCTCTTCTCTGAACTCCCTAGAAGTTCTCCGCCCCTCTTTGAAGTGTGGGACCAAATCTGAATGCCGAAGGCCAGCTGAATGAATAAGGGAAAATCATCCCTTATTTAATTTACTCTCCAAAGGATAATGGTAGAGGCTTCATTTATACAATGTGTCATGAAAGGAAAGGTGGGGAAAGATGAAAGGGTAGCTCCACAATCTCAAATGTTCCCATTATGATGCAGGTCGGGTGGCCCTTAATAAGCTGCTTGAGGGCTTATTTGTATTTCTAGTGGCATTTCATTCTCTTGAAGGGGTTTTGCTGGGAGACTAGATTCCCAGGTCAACATACCTAGATGAAAACAAATGCTGTTATCGATACCAAAATCCGTTCAGTGCTGTTTTGCTGAATTTCATATTTACATTGAGTCAATTATTAAGTAAACATGTGAGAGAACGTAAAAATTCCTTTCAGTGTTACTCTATGGGAAAAGTCACCCAAGTTGCAAAATGTGATTTATACTCATGTTGCATTAAAGGAGGCAGTAGATGGGCTGAATTGGAGGACTCCTGGCCTTTAATTGCCTTATTCCGAGAGTGTCTTCCCATGATATCTTGAACTGTCTCCTTTTTTTTTTTTTTAATTTCTACTTTTATTTTATTGTGGTAAGAACACTTAACATGAAATCTACCCTTTAACAGATGTTTAAGTGTACCTTACAATATTTTAACTATCGGTACAATGCTACACAGTAGATCACCAGAAATTATTCATCTTGCATAACTGAAACCTTATACCTATTGATTACCAACTCTCCATCTCTCCCTCCCCACAGGCCCTGGCAGCTACCATTCTACTCTCAGCCTCTAAGAGTTTGCCTATTTTAAACATCTCAAATGAGTGGAAACATGCAGTATTTGTCCCTTGCGACTAGTTTATTTCACCTAATATAATGTCCTCAAGTATCATCCGTGTTGAGTGGAAAATACAAACTCGTTTTCTCTATTGTCTCACGACATGCTTCTGACACCACACACTGGGGTGGTTTTCCCCACACATCAAGCAAGCAATCAATTCTACAGCAGACATCAGCCGGGCACCCTGCAATTCAACTCTGACGTGATCTACCTGGAGACTGCCTCATATCCCACAGGTTGAGGGTTCCATCTCATGAGACTGCCTCCACTTCAGATGTTAATCACAAGCCCCAGGTTGTTTCACCTGTGCTTCTGATTGGCCAGCTATAAATCGGGATTTATAGCCAGTGACCCCCTCCCTGGGTCTGATTAATTTACAAGAGTGGCTCACAGAACACAGGAAAACACTTACATTTACGGGTTTATTATTCAAGGATACCGCGAGGGTTGCATATGAAAAAAAAAAGTCATAGGGCAAGATATGGGGGAAGGTGTGCAGAGCTTCCATTCTCTTTCTGGGCACACCATCCCCCAGGAGCCTCCAGCTTGCCCAGGTTTCCAGAAGCTATCCACACCCAGTCCTTTATGGTAATTTCATTACCTCATGACTGGTTATATCACTGGTCATTGGTGACCAACTTCACCTTCAGCCCCTCTCTTCTCCTAGGTGGTTGAAGGATGGATTTAAAAGTCCCAACCTTCTAATTCTCTCTTCATCTTTGCAGTGTTAAGTCCCATCCTGAAGCTATTAGGGACTGCCAGCCATTAGTCAAGCCTCAAGCATACAAAAACACACTTTTCTCTTTGGCGATTCCAAGAATTTTAGGAGTTATATGCCAGGAAGTGGGGACCAAGACCAAATATATATTTCATAATATCACATATTGTCACATATTTTAGGAGTTCCTTCTTTTCTTTAGGCTGAATAATATCCCATAGTAGGTACATACCACATTTTATGTATACATTTATCTGCTGATGGACATTTCACTGGCTTCTACATCTCAGCTATTGTAAATAATGCTTCAATGACATGGGAGTATACCTTTGTGATCTTGATTTTAATTCTTTTGGATAAATACCAAAGTGAGATAGCTGAATCATATGGCAGTCCAATTTTTACATTTTCTAGAAACCTTCATACTGTTTTCCATAGTGGCTATACAACTTGGCATTCTTACCAACAGTGTTCAAGGGTTCCAGTTGCTCTACATCCCTCAACACTTGTCATTTGTTTTTTTGAAAATGGCTATCCTAACAAGTATGAGGTACTATCTCTTTATGGCTTTGATTTGCATTTTTTATGATAAGTGATGCTAAGCATCTTGTTTTTCATATACCTGTTGGCCATTTATATGTCTTCTTGGGAGAAATGTCTTTGCAATCCATAGCTCATTTAAACAATTGGCTATCATTATTATCATTATTTTGCTATTTAGTCATATAAGCTCTTTGTATACTCTTGGCATTAATCCCCTGTTGGATGAATAGTTTGCAAATATTTTCTCCCATTCTGTAGGTTGCCTTTTCACTCTGTTGACTATTTCCTTTGCTGTGCAAAAGCTTTTGTTCCCCTTTGCCTACTTTTGGTTTTTTTGCTTGTGCTTTTGGCGTCATATCTATGAAATCATTTCCAAGACCAATGTCATGACATTTCCCCCCTCTATTTTCTTCTAGGAGTTTTACAGATTCAGGTCTTTAGCCCATTTTGAGTTAACTTCTGTGTATGGTATAAGATATAGGTACACTATCATTCTTTTGCATGTGGATGTCCACTTGTCCCAACACTATTTGTTGAAAAGACAATACTTTCCCATTGTGTGTTATTGACACCCTTGCCGAGTTGACCACAAATACATGGATTTATTTCTGTGCTCTCTATTCTATTCTATTCTATTGCTCTATATTTCTGTCTGGACTTCTTCAATTTTTAATTCCTGTTACACTACTCTATCATCAATTTCCTGGGAACCGTAAGAACTACTAAAACCTTTGCTTGTTTTGTTTGGTGATTCAATTTGTTATTGGGATAAAAGTATATTTCAAACTATTTCTGTAAGAACAGAATCTCAAAATACAAATGTTATTTTGTATATTATTTACAAATTCCCAGGCTATGAGCTTAATTTATGGTCATCTGCAAAAGGTAGAAAACAAGGTTTTGAGTTGAGTCTCAACTTGCCTGTCACTAAATTGTACAGAATAGATGGTAAGATGGATTCCTTGTGAGACATAACTTTGCAAGCCCCCAGGCAGGAAATTCACCCACTAGGACTTGGGAGTCACCCAAGTTGTATTTGTGCATCCCTTAAAAAGCAAGACTGGGCCGGGCATGGTGGCTCACGCCTGTAATCCCAGCACTTTGGGAGGCTGAGGCGGGCGAATCACCTGAGGTCAGGAGTTCGAGACCAGCCTGACCAACATGCAGAAACTCCGTCTCTACTAAAAATATAAAATTAGCCAGGTGTGGTGGTACATGCCTGTAATCCCAGCTACTCAGGAGGCCGAGGCAAGAGAATCACTTGAACACGGGAGGCAGAGGTGTGGTGAGCCTAGATCATGCCATTGCACTCCAGCCTGGGCAACAAGAGTGAAACTTTGTCTCAAGACAAAAAAAAAAAAAAAAAGATTGCAAGACTTCCCTTTCCCTAGGCTCATCAAAAAAGTAATTAAAGTAAGTGTATGTAGCCGGGTGTGGTGGCTCACGCCTGTACTCTCAACACTTTGGGAGGCTGAGGTTGGCGGATCACCCTTAAGTCAAGAGTTAGAGACCAGTCTGGCCAACATGGTGAAACCCCATCTCTACTAAAAATACAAAAATTAGCCAGGCACAGTGATGCACACCTGTAGTCCCAGCTACTCGGGAGGCTGAGGTAGGAGAATTGCTTGAACCTGTGAGGCGGAGGCTGCAGTGAGCTGAGATTGCACCATTGCACTACAGCCTGGGTGACAGAGCAAGACAATCTCTCAAAAAAAAAAGTATATGTATAAAATATGTGTATATAAGTGCGTATACAGATATACCATATATAATTTATATATATATATAAATACATACATATCTTATGTATGTACATTTATAAATATCTGTAAATGCAAAGAGGCTCCAGATTTACCTTTTGAATAAAATCCAGAGTCACTACTATCTTAATTTTTGCATGAGTTATCTGCAAAGCAAATGAGAAGTAACTAACAATTTATTTAAATAGAAAGAAAATCCCCTCTGCTATTTATTATAAAACACTTCATTAATTTATCACCGGAGTTATTGTCTCAAACTCACTAATGTCTTCTCTGGGCTACTTTTCATAGATTATTTCTTGTACATTTGCAAGACGTTACTGAGTCCCAGGCAATGTCCCAGATGATCAGGGCATTTGTGGTACCTGGTATTTGGCTTCTATACCATGCTCTATAGACTAGATGGGGTGTGTCAAGGAAAGGATGTCTCCATTTGCCTTTGTCCTTAAGAAAGTGAGTAACTGTCTCTTTCCTTGCCTATTTCTTCCATGGAGAATTTACTGGCCCCAATTTAAAAAAAAAAAAACTCCTACCACACTCCCATTTTCTGTAAGTGCAATTAGTTGCAGGTACAAAATTTGGAGCAAAGAGGCCTCTCGTGGCCTGTTGTGCCTGCAGTTATCCAACTGTGGCTGCAGTTTTTCAGTGCACAACTGATTGCACCCACAAAAAGAAAGGCTAAACTTTGAAAATGGGTCCCTTTAAGACAGTTGGGGGATTGCATGCCTCCGGTTGGCAAATTGCAATCTTTTATAGAGGCACAGCCATCACTCTGGCTCGCACTGCCAGTCTGAAATCCAGGTTAGGCATCTTGCATGAGGGAGAGACCTGGCTGGAGAGCAGGTGCACAGGACTCTCTCCTCTCCGCCCACCACTTGCCCCCCTTTCACCTTGAGCTACTCATGGACTATGCATTAGTATTCAGCATTCCTGACTCCATCTCCTGTTTAGTTCACCAGTCACTCTCCAAAAGGGTTTGCAGAGAGAAGCTCAGTCGGTCACACTGTCAATATAACACATTTAACCAACTCTAAATTTGCTTTAAAGAGACAGCTACCAAGATTGACTTTTGCAAAGTGACTCACTCCACCACGCGGCAAAGCCGTCCGTTTGCTCTCGACTGTTAAGTGTGTCACTGAGTACATAAGAAAGGGTTTTGAAGGAATTCCAGTGTGAATCCACTAATTCAATAATCCAATACCATAAATTCAAGTAATGGATATTAATACTATGTTCAAAACACGCTCACAACTTTGATATCTCTCTTTCTCAAACAGACAGAGCATGCGTCGTGAGAGGCTCCTGATGAAATAATAAAACCCAATTTTCATCTAGAAACAAGAATCATTATAGGAGGATGGTAATTTACTTTATATGACCTTCAATTGATTATTCTGTGGCTGCCACACAAATATCACAGGAGCTATTGATCGTAAAACCTACCAAATAGATCTCTAATAGCTTTTACTGGGCAAAAATAATTATGCTTGCACTGTGGTCAAACACACATAAACCAATGTGGAGGTATTAATATATGGCATTATTACCCATCTGTCTGCTAGGCATGGAGAAGACCCTTCACGGGAACACTCTATGTCTAAGCTCCATGAAAGCTCAATATCCAAGCCAACAATTACAGCCAGTTACACAGAAAAATTGATTACCGTAACTAAAAGCTAGAGCTGGAGAGTAGAGGCTGCAGCTTGCTTAAGAAAAGTAAAATAATAACAAGAGAAATCCTAATTGAGGGGGAGTCCTGCTGCAGTGACTACCAGGACTCAGAAATTGCATTTCCCTGTGGTGTCAGCAGCCGAGTAACTTTTCAGAGTCAAGAGCTTTCTATCCAGCCTAGATCATGATCAATGATCAACACTCGTAAAAGGTCAGGGTGTCTAATCAAAGACCAGATCATCTATCTCTCAAGGTAAAGCGTACAACATAATCCAGAAATGTGGCGCTGCTGGCCATGGAGAGTGAGAAAATCCAAGGGAAAGAGAAACTTCAGTTCCACTTTGGTGAACAGGAAGAATGTTCTGCTCATACAAAATGTGCAGCCAGCCTTCTGCGGGCGATCCTCAGTGGCTCAGGTGGGCCTGAAGGGGATGAACAAAGGCCACGCTCTGAAGGGGGAGCTTCTCCAACATGCTGGGCTTCCAGGTTCTGATAAAAACATTTTAGACTTCAAAATGTCACAGCAAGTCTATCACTTGCTCTCCAATTCCCGAAACTCAGTATTTTAAAAAATAATATGTAAATATAAATGCACCAACAGCAAATAACAAAAATCCCAAACTGCTATCGAGGTGTTAAAATGAGGAGTGATACATTTTAACAACCAGAATGAATACACTAAAATGCTAATAGAACTGAGTAGTGGAAAAGAAACAAAAAGAGAGATCTTGTTTACCCAATGTGGGTTCTGTGCATATGCTTGAGTGGAGAGGGGAGACAACTGTGGGATGGGGGCATAAGTATATCCTGTGAAACAGAACAGAATACTATCCCAGGAATCCCGTTCATATATCTCATGAAATAGAATCAAATAATATCTCATGTAGCCCATGAAACAGAACAGGATTGGAATGCACAGCTGGATGGCTGCACATGCCAAGGATTGGAAAGGTTTTCCCAAAATACCTATGTCTAACCCCAAAGTGCTTCTGCCTCCACCACACCCCAGACCAATCAAACCAGAGTATTAATTTTGGCATTTGTATTTCTTAAAACAAAAAACAAAAGCCTATGTGAATCTCACATGAAGACAGGTTTGAGAACCACTAACTTTAAAGGGAGAGACCCTTTTTAGGGAAGGGAGGTCCTTAGAGATGAGGAACCTCCGGTTTCCCAAGGGCACCTCTCCTTCTTCTGCAGAAATACAGCTCGCCTGTTTATTTCTCTTCCTTTTTGGCATTAGCAGTTCCAGTTGTTAAAGGCAGGAAAACTGGAGTCATTGTCTCTCTCTTTTTCATGATTTATGACTCAGAAGCAAGACAGGGGCAGGAGGTTGGAGGGTAATGCTTGCGGCTGTGGTTGCTGTTATTTTTATTTTGTATTTTTCTTAAAGAAAATAAAAGAAATATGCTTTTCTGAAAAATCTTGAAGCCTTGAAGCCACCTGCAGGGCTGTTGTTTTCCAAGGCCTTGCACTTACGTAATTGACATCTACATAGACACACTCCTGGAACATATCGGGGGAGGCAGGCATTCTGCTTGTTCTCATTTGTTCTCAAATTACATGATAAAATACATGTTTTGGACCTTTTAAACCAAAGGGAGTTATTGAGCCCGCTTACAAAATCCATAACATGTTAGCAGGACTTATCTAGCTGCCTCCACAGAATAGCCAAGCAACTCTACACCCGCTTTAGCCCCCACAAAAACAAGCGGATTGCACTACAAATAATTTGCCTATTTGGAAAATGAAAGCTTCTCTGTAGTTTGAGGTCCTATTTTTTCTTTAAGTTGTTACAGTCTTTTCATGGTCCTTGAGGTCTAGGTTAGGTTTTTGTTTGGGGTAATTTTTGTATCCTATGGATACTATTTAATCTTTAGTATTGAGTCAGTATTTCTCACTTAGGCCTTAGGGGAATACTGCCTGAAGTATGTAGGGGGCATGCGGAATTCAGACGTGGCTTGGAAACTGCACCATGGGTTCACCCAAGAAACAGACCAGAGGCAACACATTCTATCACTAAAACGTGTTCTCAGTTACACTTCCCTTCCAAAGGTAAGCATCTTAATTCTTCAACTTTTTAAGAGGCTAAACCCAGTGAGGGCCCGTATGTCCACAAATAGATGACACACCCATCCAAAGCACGCGTGTGTATTAAGGGACAGCGTGTCCTCCCACGTTCCAGCCGCCCCCCTGGCTGCCAGCCGCGGGCTCAGCGCACGTACGGTCCCTGTCACCCGAGCGTACCTGTCCCGTTCTGGCCTTGGAGAACGCAGTGGCTCACAAGGGCACCGCTAGCACGCGAGGCGCGGCGAAGGGAGCGGAGGGAAGCGGCGGGCTGTCGCGCAGGTGCGGCCCCACCTGCCGCCGGATTGGCCGCGGCGGCTGCGGCGCTCCGCGGGAGGAGGGCGGATGATGGATGGCCTGTCTGCCGGCCCGGGTCCGAGCCGCGGGGGCCGCCGAGGGAAAGACGGGCGCGCGCGCGCCGCTCCGTGCCCAGCGCAGACAGCGAGATGCCTGCACAAAAGGATGGGGCTTGGAATGTTTGGATTTTGAAGATTAGTTTCTATTATATCTCTGTGGGAGAAAGGAAAACGCGCTATGGGAAAGTGGAGGGCGAAGAACCCCCGAATAATTTCGGACTGATGTTTCACAAATCATTTCGCCAGGGAACAACCCGCGAGCCTCCCCTTCCCAAATGGCAAACAGTTCAGAAGTCTTATTTGTCATGTATGTGAATGATGCCCTATCAGTATCTGAGAAACAACAGGAAATCAGACCTGAACAGTTGCATCCCCTTATCTCGGGCAATATTAAACCCATTGAAAATGGGTTAAAAAGGAGGGGCGTGGACAATACACTTTAGATATTCTACACAGGCTAAAAATATAAGATAATTGGCTAGTAAACGCTAGTAAACTTTTTTTTCGAAAAAGAAAAAAATAGAAGGATGTGCCCGATATATATATATATATCTATATATATATATATAGCACATTAGGATATGCAACATTTTCATAATTTATCTAGCTTTTACTTGTTTAAAAGTCATGAGCAATTTGAATATGTTTTGTTTGCCCTTGCAAAAGGATGACGGTGCATTGTTTTAGGCAATTCTATTTAAGAAGTGTCCTTTTTAACACTGGTTAGGTTGAGAGTGAGGGTCGAAGCAGGCAGACGGTTAGCAGGAGAGAATAAGTCGTGAACCACCATAGAAATGGGGCTGATAGAGAGCTATTGTGTCATCCGGGCTCTTCTTTGGCGACTGAAAGACAGACAGGTCCATTCACTGCAAGCATTCCTCCTGCGCAAACCGCCACGCTGAAGGTAAAGCATCTCCTGTCGAGGAGGCAGTCAGTCCTGCAGGTGCTGATTCATTTACTTCTGAGAGTAAAATAGTTTAGAAAAAACCAGATTTTTTTTTCTAGGAGGAAAATGATTTTCTGCTTAATTGTGCTTTTGAATTACACCATCTTCCTCTGCCATGTCCACTACCACCACGAAGAAAGTGAAAGCCATGTTTAAAATAGTAATAAATGAGATGGAAACATATCACCAAGGTATATTTTATATAACTGATTGAAAAGCGAGTGGGTGGAAAGAGAGAGCTTAAGTACAAGTGTTTCTCTTTCAAATACCATATGAACAGAACAGTAACTTTAGAAAAAAGAAATGGGAAAAGGAAACATAATAATCCCATCAGGCTAACAGGGACAGCATATACCAAAAAAATGCCCATGTAAATTAAATGTATGCATGCTTCTTACTAGAATTGTTTATATGTATGCTTACATACTTATAAAAGAGTACATTTGAATTGTGGGATTATGTAGTGATTCACACAGCATTATGTCGAAGGGACTTTTTAATATTATTAGAGAATATCCATATTAACCAATTTTAATAACTGCATAATCTTTCATTAATTGTATATATGGTTTGCTCAACTATTTTCCTGATGTTGGATATTTAGGTTGCTTTTGGATTTCACTAGAGTAAATAACACAGTAAGGAACATCTTGAGGCAACATTTCCATGTTTTAAATTATTAATTTCAAAGAAATTTATTGAAGTGGAATAAATGGGCCATACATTAGGAACATTTTCGTAGTTTTTTTACAATCATTTTCAAGCTAACTTACAAAAAAAAGTATTGTACCGCCCCATCCTGCCAGCAGGAAAATCTTGTATTACATTTTTTTCAGCTTTGTTGAAGAAAAATTGACAAATAAAAATTGTATATATTCAAGGTACACAATGTGACGTTTTGATATATGTCTACATTGTGAAATGTATCACATTTTAAAAAAAAGTATGCTCCATGTTATTGAGACTATTTGGAAAAGTATTTGGTAATGTAGCAGGTGGGAATTATTTTTTGATATTCATTTTCTTTAGTTATTAATGAAGTCCTTTTGTTTCTTTAAAAATTTCTTTCCTCTCTTTTGGATTTTGGTTTCTGTTCAATCATTGAAATAGCTCTGAAGTTGGTATATAAAAATAAAATATAGCATTTTTACAAATCACTCTTTCATAGTGTTAATTTTGAACTAGGTTGATAACCCTGGTTAAAATGGTTACAGCAAAAAAATTCTTCACAAATTGAGCAAAGGTGCAGTTTGAAATGACTGATAGAATTCAGGTTTCCAACAAACCTCTGCTTTCCTTCCATGGTGGCACATAAAATGATATTATCCTCTGTGAAATTACCCCAGAAACTTAAGGTACCTGATAGCAAATCGTATTCTCTCATTAAGACATAGAATCGTTGATCCTTGCACTAGCTTTCTTCCTAGTCTGAAGATGTATGCTGTTCTCTTAGGCTGTGATGTGGTCCTTCAAAAATGCCTTTTTGCGTTCCGGCACCTTCCACAAGTGCACCAGTGCCCAGTAAATAAAGTAGCAGCCCATGTCCCTTTTAGCAAAAGCTATATATCTGTTCAGACTTGTAATTTGCTCCGTTTATATCCTTTGCCCTTGAACTCTGGTTATTAACGCAATGTTTCTCCAAATGATGCCATATAACTCTGCTCCAAGCACATTCACGGTGACACCACGCAAACATTCTGAGGGCCAGGGCCGGGTGAGGAAGGGAAAAAATGACGGCTGAATTGTGGAAGTTGCAGTGCATTACTCAAAATGGAAGGGCTGTAAAACTATGACTGTTAATATTCAAATTGCGACAAGGCCAGGGCCAGACTTTGACTGCAAATATTCTGAGGTCTGCTTGGAAAGCAATTTAGCAAAGTAGCTTTGATTAAAAAAGAAACAACCAGAACACTTCTCCCAAGAAATGAACTAAAAACCTATCAAAGGATTTGAGACAGGTGTCCTAATTATACATCTTAAGAAATTATTTGTAGTGGGTTTGGAAAGGAGGTTTGTTCGGTTATAAAATGTAGATTGTATGTGTAGGAGAAATATAGACCAAATTCCTTTGTGAAAACTATAATGAAATATACCAATTTTTGCATCATATATATTGTATAAGACAACTGGGCATTGACTGGGTTTACTACTGTTTTCATTTTTTAAATAAAAATTTGCTAATTAATATTGTGTAAAATCTTGGACAGGGAGTGGGACTAGTCTCCCTTTAGAATATCTGGGAAGGGAATGCACTGATTAACCAAATTAATAATTTAGGTAAGATCGCAGAGGCTCTGCACAACCTACTTTGCAACGGAAATTGTTCTTCTACATTTTAGAAAAGGGCATTTGCAAAAGAGCTTCTTTCCTTTGAAATGAAAAAGTCATACATTTAAAATAATATGGCCAAGAAAGAGCTCGTGCACATTAGCCTATTTCAAAATGGTGTATTTGTTTCAAAATAATGTTTTTTAAAAAGGTAATTCTCTCAAACATCTTTATTTTCATAGACTCACTTTGAAGTGACTTCAGGTCACAAGTTTTGTGTTTTTTTTTTTGCATTTTACTTTGAAGCAAAATGTTCGTGGCCATGGGATTTAATCTATACACCTCCTTCCCCAAATCCTAGGCTATGCATAATGCAGTTCATGCAAAAATGTTGATGGGAAGGAGAAAATAATATACCATCCGATACCGAATTTCATGCTGAAATGTAAGCTACTGTGAAACTTCTAGGCACATGTCTGTATTCTTAGTACTCTGACTGTGTGCCTTTAAAGAGAAGTAAAGAAAAGAAACACTAATAACTATTTCAGTTGACTATACTGTTATTTTTTCCCAGACACAACATGATTGGGGTACATTTGCATGTGCAAACACACTTATATGAGTATTGCCAATAGAAAATAAATAAGCCATAGGTGCCCTAGAACACCAAACACACTCTTCTTAAAGTGATAGCTGTTCCCATGTAAGTATTATTTCCAGAGGAAAATGAATGCTAGGCTTCAAGTAGGTTGTAGTAAGAATACTTTGGAAAACAGTCTTTTCATGAATATAGAGCTACCTATTTTCTTCCTATTCTCTCTTTAATCAACTGCACCCAAATTAAAGGAGGTGTTTCACCTTTGATCAATGAGATTGGTCTAGTGACCTTAATTTGAAGACACTTTTTGGCCAATGAAATAAAAATGTAGATGAAACATTTTTTTAAATTCTAAGAATTCTAGGATCTCATACTTACTAGATAAGCAGACTTGACAGACACCTTGATGACGTCGCTCATCTCTGAATGCTCACAAGCTGAGCATCTGATGAGTTCCCAAAATCTACTTATTGAATTAAATGCATTAATGGATGCAAGTGAATGTTTATCGTTGTACACCATTTTGTTGAAATATAACACAATGCTGGGTTGTACAATATTAAGTGATTTTAATTAAAGTAATTCTTGTGTTATGGTTTCTTATATCCAAAACCACAAAATGTTTATTTTTATAAACTTCATTCATAAACTTATGACCCCATTGTGCTAGTAAAACAAAGTTTGGAGAACCTGGCTCCTACATTCTCTCCCGTTGTCATGGCTAAATAATTGCTGAAATGCACATAAAAGGGGAACATCACACTCTGGGGACTGTTGTGGGGTGGGGGGAGGGGGGAGGGATAGCGTTGGGAGATATACCTAATGCTAGATGACGAGTTAGTGGGTGCAGCGCACCAGCGTGGCACATGTATACATATGTAACTAACCTGCACAATGTGCACATGTACCCTAAAACTTAAAGTATAATAATAAAAGAAAAAATAAATAAATAAAATAATTTTTAAAATAGGAAAAAAAAAGAATAAAACTGTGTATGGTGTTAGATGTCTATTTTCTACAATTGAGAAGGGAAGTTATATATTATTTAGTAGAGAACATGTGTTTTGTTTGTGATAGAATAAGAGCATTGCTTATTACAAATCGTGAACAGTTTGAACTTTGATGACTGCAGATTAAACTGGATTTTCTATCTCGGTCTCCTAAATAAAGTACCTTTACATATGTTGCGGATTATATGTGGCATAATTATATCAATTATAGTTTCTAACATTTAGCTCCAAAATATAGCAAAACATATTCTTTCACTCACCCATTTCCCTTTTCCTTTTTTTTTTTTTTTTGACAGAGTCTTGCTCTGTCATCCAGGCCAGAGTGCAATGGTGCAATCTTGGCTCACTGCCACCTCCGCCTCCTGGGTTCAAGCGATTCTCCCACGTCAGCCTCCTGACTAGCTGGGATTACAGGCGCACACCACCATGCCCAGCTAATTTTTTGTATTTTTAATAGAGATGGGGTTTCCCAATGTTGGCCAGGCTGGTCTCGAACTCCTAATTTCAAGTGATCTGCCTGCCTCAGCTTTCCAAAGTGCTGGGAAGCCACCGTCCCCAGCCCCATTTTCTTTTTCCCAAAGGCAACTACTTCCAACATTTCTATTGTATTCTTTCAGAATTCACTTCCCTATCGATATGGAACCTGCTGGTCTTCCTCCCATTCTTCTTCTTAGCATTATTTTAGTTTTAGAAATCATCTCTTGACTTTCTACTAAAGATGAAGACTTGTCTCTCTATACTATTCACAGCCCCATTTATACCCACGTTCTTATTTTCTGAAGACAGTTATATTGCAATTTTTGTTAAATTAGTATTCAGTGTGTATTATCACTAATAAATCTTCCTGAGGGCTGTGCTAGGGAGTAAACAGTTATTTATTGACTTATTTTGCTAAATTTCAGTTGTGGTGTTAACAGTTGATTTGTTTTTAGTCCCTTCCCCCTACCTTTTACTATCTTTAGGTAGTTGCCCCTAAGCCATCGTTACACTCTCGGTCAATCTCTCAATTCCCTCCCAAGATATTTTCATACATCAGTTACTTCATGAAGATTTTCTAGGAAAAATCCTTCCAGAGCTTTCCGTCTACCTTCTTCTAGACTAGGTGTCCTTGGTGTCTGGGCACAGCTGTCATCCTGGGCTCTCTCTTCACATCTCTCCTGCCATGAGCTCCTGCAGCTGCCTTCTATGCTGGGGCTCCTATTTTCTCCAGCCTTCATGTCTCTTTCTTGCTTTAGCCTCTCCTATGTGGAGCCTGTCCTCCAGCGGCTGCTATGAAAAGGTGGGGAGATGGTGCGGTCTAAAAATGTTTTGTTTTACACACACAGTTTACTTGGTACCCTGGCTTGGACTAGAATTTCTTTTTCTTCTGCGTTTTACAAGCATTTCTCCATTTCTACGTGTTGCCGCTGAGAAGTATGAATTTATTCTAATTCTGATCCTTTTCATGTGATTTCCTCCTATCTGAAAGTTTAGGATAAACTTTTTCACTAAGGTGGACACTGGTGTCAGTGTTTGTCCATTGTGCTAGGCACTTAGGAGGCCCCTTGAATATGGTATCCTACCTTGTGTTTTCTGAACTTCTACAGAGTTTTGTGCTTCTCATATAAGTCTTACAAATTTCTATGATTTCTTATTTTTTAATTTTTGTTCCCATTTTTGTAGTACTTGTACAGTTTCAGGTTGCCCTGTCTTCCACTTACCTCCCTGAAGATGTTAAGGGTTGTTATTTGACATTTCGTTTGCACATTCTTTTTTAAGTAGTTTTTTTTTTTTTAATTTTTGTTTGTCTTAGTCTCCAGTTTTCATGTAAAAAACTTTCCTGACATATCAGGCGGTCCTTGGTCATCTGCTCATATCTACAATAGGAGGATTTGAAATGTGATTGGGAGCTCTGGTTATATGGGTGGAGCATATATGTTACAGTTGGACCATTTCTAGCCAAGCCATTTTACTGACGAAGCCCAGTTTATTCTTTTCTATTGATTTCCCAGAGAAGGTTCTGAAGGTAAAGGCACAGACCACAGTGCTTTGCTTTCCAGTGGAAGAACACATTTGTGTGTTTCAGTATCTACCCTACTGATGGTCATGTAATACTGTCTTCAGTTTGCTACAGCTCAGATGAAATAGATGCCATCTGTTTTATCCTCTTCAGAGAATAATTTTTCAGTGTTCTATTGTGGTGGGTGAAGGGCATTTGCCCTGCAACATCAAAGAACAAAGGAGATATGGAGCTCTAAAACAACTTTCAATGAACCTCACTTTATTTTTTTTTTTTTTTTGAGACAGAGTCTCGCTCTGTCACCAGGCTGGAGTACCGTGGCACGATCTCGGTTCACTGCGACTTCTGCCTCCCGGGTTCAAGCGATTCTCCTGCCTCAGTCTCCCGAGTAGCTGGGACTACAGGCGCACACCCCCACGCCCAGCTAATTTTTGTATTTTTAGTAGAGCTGGGGTTTCACCATGTTGGCCAGAATGGTCTCAATCTCTTGACCTCATGATCCATCCACCTCGGCCTCCCAAAGTGCTGGGATTACAGGCCTGAACAAACACACCCGGCCCAACCTCACTTCTTTTTTTATTTTATTTTATTTTTATTATTATACTTTAAGTTTTAGGATACATGTGCACAACATGCAGGTTTGTTACATATGTATACATGTGCCATGTTAGTGTGCGGCACCCATTAACTCGTCATTTAGCATTAGGTATATCTCCTAATGCTATCCCTCCCCCCTCCCCCCACCCCACAACAGTGCCCGGTGTGTGATGTTCCCCTTCCTGTGTCCATGTGTTCTCATTGTTCAATTCCCACCTATGAGTGAGAACATGCAGTGTTTGTTTTTTTGTCCTTGTGATAGTTTGCTGAGAATGATGGTTTTCAGCTTCATCCATGTCCCTACAAAGGACATGAACTCATCATTTTTTATGGCTGCATAGCATTCCATGGTGTATATGTGCCACATTTTCTTAATCCATTCTATCATTGTTGGACATTTGGGTTGGTTCCAAGTCTTTGCTATTGTGAATAGTGCCCCAATAAACATACGTGTGCATGTGTCTTTATAGCAGCATGATTTATAATCCTTTGGGTATATACCTAGTAATGGGATGGCTGGGTCGAATGGTATTTCTAGTTCTAGATCCCTGAGGAATCACCGCACTGTCTTCCACAATGGTTGAACGAGTTTACAGTCCCACCAACAGTGTAAAAGTGTTCCTATTTCTCCACATCCTCTCCAGCACCTGTTGTTTCTTGACTTTTTAATGATCGCCGTTCTAACTGGTGTGAGATGATATCTCATTGTGATTTTGATTTGCATTTCTCTGATGGCCAGTGATGATGAGCATTTTTTCATGTGTTTTTTTGCTGCATAAATGTATTCTTTTGAGAAGTGTCTGTTCATATCCTTCGCAACCTCACTGCTTTATTGCAACTCTTCCCTTTAGCCTGCCCTTACAGAGGTACCTGGAACCATAAGTTCCCTTAGGTGTTAGGTTTTCCCCATGGTCAGCTTAGGACTCAGTGTTCTCAGATTCACCAAATCAGTTACCAAGCATGCTTCTGTTTTCCAGCTTTAGGTTTTTTTGTTTGTTCATTTCTGCTTTTCTCTTCTCTGGTTTTTCGGCCAGTTGGGAATTATGCCCTAAAAATAAAACAGAAAACCTTTGGTCTTATGTACCAGTTTTCACATGACAGTGTGTTCAATTCACCATCTTTATCCAGAGCCAGTTGTATATATTTATGTATGTTACAAACAGATGATAATACAGTTAGGATGATCTGTTAAAATGGAACGGAAAAGCATATTTTTCAGAAGTGTTTGATTATTTTATTTGTGATTATAAAGCACTTTGCAAAAAAATTAGTTAGAAATACTGAAATATTATAATTTGTAATTTCCCACTTTTTCTAGAAGATAATTTTTTTTTTTTGAGACAGAGTCTTGCTCTGTTGCCCAGGTTGGAGTGTACTGGCACGATCTCGGCTCACTGCAACCTCCACCTCCCAGGTTCAAGCGACTCTCCTACCTCAGCCTCCCGAGTAGCTGGGATTACAGGCACCTGCCATCACGCCCAGCTAATTTTTGTATTTTTAGTAGATACAGGGTTTTGCCATATTGGTCTGGCTGGCCTCAAACTCCTGACCTCAACTGATCCACCCACCTCAGCCTCCCAAAGTGCTGGGATTACAAGCATGAGCCACCACCCTGGCCAAGAAGACACTAATTTTGAATACTATAAGTCCCGATGTCTTCTTAAAGTTAGCTCAATATTTATATTGTTTAAATACTATTTTCTAAAGTAATGTATTACTAATTATTTCAGCAACTGATTATTCCCCACATTAGTAGAGAATGGCAGTAAATGCAGCCTATGAGCAGAACTAACTACAAATGCAGCCTACAGGTAGAACGAATGATGCAGAACTGAGTTCTGCATTGGCCAACAGAGGAAAAGGTACCATACATTAAATAAGATTAATTTATATTAACAGATTATTGAAGGATGAAAATTAAAATAGGAAAAATAGATTATAGAAGAGTTATATTCAATGATATAAGATTTAATTAAAGCAAGTTATTTTGAATTCAACTTATGTATACAAACTCTATTAAACTGAGGGCTAGGCCTTAAACATACTTATATAAAACATTAAAATAAAATGTGCTACTCAGCATCAAAATATTGAGAGAACTATTTTGGATATATGATTCTTTGTATTTTGTTTGAGTAAAACTTTATATACTAACAGTGATTTATTGAATTAACCTCAATAAATTCTAATTAACAAGAAAACTATTAGATATCTAAGAATGTTCTATAATATTATTGCTTCCAGAATTGCAGATAGTGGAGTAAAAATTGGAGTGAATAGAAAATAAGATTAAACAAATATTACCAACTTTAATATGATTTTCATAAGCTTCCCAAGTCCAGGGCAATATATTTCTGGCTGTGAAAGTCAATACAAAATCACAGACTGAAATACTCGACGTGACTTGCAAAAGTCATTTTTGGGCAAGCTGTTTCCTGAGAGGTAAATTAAACTAAAACATATCTTGTATCAGACAGTTTTTTTTTTTTTTTTTTTTTAAAGAAACTGGATCGTGGCCTTGTTTTCCAAAGAATATCACTTTATCCCTGGTTGTCAAATAGATATTACCATTGTGAGACTGAGTTTGATGGCAGGCAGCAAATACTGATTAAGTGCAGGCCCTGTTGCTTGAATAAATGATTTTTTAATCATTGGAAATTAAACGCAAAGGTTTTCCTCACAATTTGCAACTTCTTCCTGAGGTTGTAATTAAAAGAGGGAAGAGTATTTCCGGTGTTTATCAACAAAAGATTTGAGCCAGAAACAGTTGGGTTCAAATCCCATGTCTGCCACTTATGAGCAAACTATTTAATCTGTTCTGTGGTGACCACGAACCTCCTGTGTAAGTGGAGATAATAGTAACCAGTGTTTGTCAGAATTCAACAAGGCATGTAGCACAGCGCCTGGTTCGGAGGGGGCATGTGTATAGCTGAGAGTCATTGGTGCTATTGATGATTTTGTGTTTGGCCTCATGTCTCTATCACTGTTAGTAGTAGTAACTTTTTCTACCATAATTTTGGTGGTGTTGGTTTTGTATATTAAAAATATTAGAGATGAAGCTCCTTAAATGACATATTCTGTTACCAAATCAAACTGGTCCTTTATGCGTGTTTCTCTGGAGTTTTGCCCATGATGCTGGGCATTTTCAAAGTGTGCAAATCTCACTGCTCTGAGATTTCTCTGGATAAATCTGATTTACAGTTGAGCCCTTGCCTTTTACCCCTGTTGGTTAATTGTTTCCCTTCTTTGCCTTTGTAGGGTCTGCCATCATTCCTGGTGAGGAGGAGTCACCTAGAGTTTTTGATGCGGCCCTTATCTGGCCATCATGGCTCATAAAGGCAGTCCCTCTGGTACTGTCAGTTTCTTTGTCACATGTCCTGTTATTGAGGGAGTCATAAGGAGATGGATGAGCTAAATCTAATCAATCAGTCCTTGCCATTTTAGCCTTCCCTCTTCAGGCTAGGTGTGTACTTATGAGGCACAAAGTCAAGGGAAGTTTTGGTCACATTTTAATAAGTTATTTTTCACTTCATTATTTTTCTGAATGAAGACGTCATTCCCTGTCAACCTCCCAAAATGACCAATAAAGTTTCTTGTTTTTAAGATTTTCTTTCTTTAAATGCCACTCTGAACTCACAGACGTTTATGTATTTGATTTTTTGTTTGCTTGTTTGTTGTTTGTTTGTTTTTGAGATGGAGTCTTGCTCTGTTGCCCAAGCTGGAGTGCAATGGCACCATCTCTGCTCACTGCAACCTCCAACCCTCCGGTTCAAGAGATTCTTCTGCCCCAGCCTTCCAAGTAGCTGGGATTACAGGCACATGCCACCACACCCAGCTAATTTTTAGTTTTAGTAGAGACAGGGTTTCACCATGTTAGCCAGGCTGGTCTTGAACTCCTGACCTCAGGTGATCCTCCCGCCTTGGCTTCCCAAAGTGCTGGGATTCCAGGCATGAGCCACCGTGCCCAGTCTGTATTTGATGTTTTGATCTAATTATCAGCCACCAGAAAAAAAAAGAAAAAAACCAAAGCGCCTTTTGTCACTAAGCATAGCACATACATAAAAATGTCTGATACAAATGTACAGCTTAGTGAATTGGAAGGCACATACCTTTGGTATAGAACTTTGCCAACCACTCCCGATGTCTGCCACAGGTCCCTGACTCCCTAGTGTAACAGAGAGTTTTATTTTCATTGTATTCGTGTAGAAAGCAAAGGTAGGTACTTTAGGCCCTCAGACCTTCAGGTCCAAATATTTGAATGCATCTTCAGCGGTGTGAAAGTCTCAGGGAGTGGAGGTGGAAGAACTTGGAGGAGCAGCCCTCGTGTCCACACATGTGCTGGTGAGGCGCTCCACGTTGCGGAAGGAGCAGGAGGTGGTAAGAGAAGCTGAATGGCCAACAGGGCAGAGGTGGGGACCAGCTTTCCCTCTCCTCCCAACGTCTAGAGGAGAAGATTTCAAGATTCAAATGTTCTCTTTACATATCCAATAATGGTGATAGTCAGTAATAGTTTTTAAATAGCCTTCTTTGGAAAATTAACATGTTGACAGTCCACTGTGTTTTTTCCATCACTAATTATTTTTGTTTTTCATATTGTTGTCACTGTTTCATTAAATCTCCAAGGTTTACAATTTGCTAAACATACACTTATTGCCTGCCTGCTAAGTGGTGGATGCTGTTTTCTGAGCTGGGCATCCCAAGCTAAGTACATAGTCCCTGACTCTGCAGGTCACCTCCATGAGGGCAAGGCAGTCTATTTCTTTGCTCTCCTCTTCCCCCCAGTGCCAGCACTGTGCCTCATGCATAGTACATGTTAAAGAAGCATTGTTTTGAATGAGCTGATAAAACGACCTATGTCACATTTTTATACTTCCCTTATCACTACTGGGTATGTTAACTTATGTGATAAAATACATTTCCCAAAAAAGAAAAAACATACTAATGATTCAGCACTTATTTTTAGGGGCAAATAAGATGGAAAAGAGGGAGGGGGAAGGGAAAAGGCGTCCTGTCCTCCTTACCAGCTCTTGGCCTTGGGCAAGTCATTTAACATCATGGAAGAGAACACACTGGCCTTACACTTCTCAGAATGTCACCTCTGAGGGTGAAGATATATGTAGCAACATTTGGGCAGCTGTCAATGCCAGGTATCATTAACCCTTTAAATAATAGCAGCTTACTCCTAGACAGCACACTTTAATACCCTTGCCATCTTGGACATCCACACCCACTCCAACAAAAACTCCCCCCTCCACCAACACACACACACACACACACACACACACACACACACACACACACACAAATTTATTGAAGGAAATTATAGCGAATATAGCAGACAAATTGTATTTATTATTTTTAGTAGGTCAGATTGTTTGGACTTTGTGTTGTGTTATGTTTACAGCCACATGCCAAGCTCTTCCACTCTTACACAACATGGAGCCCTAGTTCAAGTTACCTGAAGGAGCTCTCTTGCATTCAAATTTGGCTAAGACTGTTTACATATAAAACATGTTTATTTGTTTGTTTGTTTGTTTGTTTATTCATGTTTGTTTTTTGAGATGGAGTCTAGCTATGCCGCCCAGGCTGGAGTGCAGTGGGCGTGATCTCAGCTCACTGCAACCTCTGCCTCCCAGGTTCAAGCGATTCTCCTGTCTCAGCCTCCCGAGTAGCTGGGACTACGAGCATGTACTACCACGCCTGGCTAAGTTTTTGTATTTTTTTTCAGTAGAGATGGGTTTTCACTGCATTAGCCAGGATGGTCTCAATCTCCTGACCTCGTGATCCGCCTGCCTCAGCCTCCCAAAGTGCTGGATTACAGGCATGAGCCACTGCACCTGGCCCCATATAAAACCTTTTTTACCTGAACTGATTAAAATTCAACTGGTTACCTACTACCTGCCTGATTCAATTAAGTTGTCAAAATGTTTCTTCATGCCTAAAATGTGCTTTCCTCCTCCCCTAATAAACTCCTACTTGCCTTTAAAATTTTACTATGAGGAAACATTTGTAACAACTTGAAGCAAAGTATTAATATTCTAGTATACAATGTTCTTACAAGTCAATAAAAATCCCATAGAAAAATGGACAAAACATGAATTGTGAATCCACAAGAAAAAAAGCAATAAACGTATAAAACACTAGTTATCAGATAAAAGCAATTAGAGAGACTGTTATCAATTATTACCTCCCCCTATTGACAGTAATTAGCAGAATATTGATAAACAAAGAGTGGCAACGATACACAATCATATATAGTTGATAGGAGTTGGCAAGAAGTTTTGTCCTATCAAATGTAAATTGGCCCGCCAATCCTACTTCTAGAAATGTATTCTAAATAACTATTACCATGGGTACAGAAAGATTTATGCATAAGTATTTTCAAGGCAGACTTGTTCATAACAGTGAAACACTGGAAATAGCCTCGATGTCTATCAAGTGGGTAAGTGATTCCATACATCTTTGTGTAGCTGTGCCATAGGACTCCAAGTATTCCTTAAACATGCCTTGCATGGAAGGACTTCTGAGGCATGTCAAGTGAAAAAAATGCAACAAGCAATGCTCATATGTTTGTATGCAAAAAATGAGCATGTATGTGTCAATGTGTGTGTTGAAATTTATCAAAAGGGGACTTGGAAGGATGCCATCAAATTTTAGAAAATTGATATTTCCTGGGCATAAAGGAATGGGGGTAAGGTAGTAGAGGAGAAATTAGAAGAAAGGACTCAGGGAAAGGTTAAAGGAGGCTCTCACACGTGCTATTCTTACCGTTAATATTTTTAAAATAGAATATATTAGGTATTTTACATTTAATGACAAAAGAAGAAACTTGTGGCCAGGCGCGGTGGCTCACGCCTGTAATCCCAGCACTTTGGGAGGCCGAGGCGGGCGGATCACGAAGTCAGGAGATCGAGACCATCCTAGCTAACACGGTGAAACCCCGTCTCTACTAAAAATACGAAAAATTAGCTGGGCATGGTGGCGGGCGCCTGTAGTCCCAGCTACTCGGGAGGCTGAGGCAGGAGAATGTCGTGAACCCGGGAGGCAGAGCTTGCAGTGAGCCGAGATCGTGCCACTGCACTCCAGCCTGGGTGACAGAGCAAGACTCTATCTCAAAAAAAAAAAAAAAAAAAACCAGAAGAAACTTGTTATTTCAGTTCAACATAACTCATCTTACAGAGTTATGTTATTTTCTTAATCATTTATGGTAGTTCTTCATACATTCTGAGTAGTAATATTTGGTTAAGTATATTATATTTTTCTGAACTGGCCCTTGTGCCTTGTTTCATGGTGTCTTTTCTTATTCATAAATGTGTAATACATAAGTCATCAATATGATGGCTCCTAAGGTTTCGGGTTATATACACCTGAGATTATACAAATACTGTCCACGATTTTATTCTAGTGCTTTTATAGTTTCAATAGAGTCATGCACTGCTTAGGGATGGGGAAATAATTCTGAAAAACACACCCTTAGATGATTTCATCATTGTATGAACATCCTAGAGTGCACTTACACAAACCTAGGTGACGTAGCCTACTACACACCTCGACCACGTGGTATAGCCTATTTCTCCTACTCTATAAACCTGTACAGCATGTAACTATACTGAATACTACAGGGAACTGTAACACAATGGTAAGTATTTTCGTGTCTAAACCTAAATGTAGAAAAGATACAGGAAACATACAGAATTAAAATGTTAGTGGAACACCATTGTATACATAGTCCATCCCTGAGCAAAATGGTGTTAGGCAGCACATGATTACACGTACCTCTCTGGTACACTTAAGATGTTTTTCTGTGCTATGAAGCACAGGTTTAACTTAATTTTTTTCCATAAGGGGTTAATCACTTATTCAATTCCAAACTTATGAAATGCTTGTTCTTTTCCCACTATTTTAAAATGTACATTTTTATTATAAATAAATCACATATACATAGGTCTGTGTTGGTATTCGCTCTTCTATTGATATATTTTCTCTATGACTTTGTGAGTACCACAGTCTTAATTACTGTAAGTTTGCAGTGTGTCTTACAATCTAATATAATAAGGTCCCATTATTATTCTTTTCTAAACTTCCTTGACTACATTTGTGTATTTTTCTAGAGTCAACTTGTCAAGTGTTATTAAATATCCTACTGCAATTTCGATTTTAACTGTATTCTAGATATATTTATAAAAATTGATATCTTTCTAATATTAAATTTTCTCTCTGACATACATCTCTCCATTTCACTTAATTAGGTGTTCATTTATGTTATCTGGCAAAGTCCTATTTTATTTTTTTGCTCACATAGGCATCATTTATTTCCAATTAAAGTTATTCCTAGATATAACATTGACATTTCTAGCTATAACATATTTATGACAATTACGAATGGCCTTTTTTATTTCCATTAGATTTTCTAGTTGATTATTTTTTTCTTAAGAAAGCATATTGCTTTCACAGTATTGGTCTTGTATCTGGCCATCATCTTATGAACTATATTACTTTCATCCATATTTTTTTCCATTTTTTACGTAAAAACTTAGTAAATAATTACATTGTCTCTAAATTATGACCTTCTGTCTTTTCCATTTTAACATTTACCTCTGTCATATTTTTCTCATGTTATTACATGAACCGGAATCTCTAACCTAGTGATAAATACCAGCATGATAGTCAGGCTCCCTGCCCCTTTTTTGTGAGTTTTGATGAGAATGATTCTAATATTCCAGTATTAAGTGTGATATAAAAACTGTATATTTCTGGTAGATATGGTTGAGACATGGCTTTCCTGTCTCAGTTTTTATGTTGTGCTATTGTCGTAGTTTACTTCCTTCCCATTTAAATCAGGAATGTCATTTATAACAAAGGTAACATAAGGTGCAGAGGGCACATTTTGGAGTCAGAATCTTACATAACTTGCATGTCTCCACCACTTACATTTTTGTACCTCAATGTATTCATCCAAAAGTGAATAAAATCATAGGACCTACTCCACTGAGTTATTTTAAAAATTAAATAAGGTGGGGCGCAGTGGCTCACACCTGTAATCACAGCACTTTGGGAGGCCAAGGTGGGTGGATCACTTGAGGCCAGGAGTTCGAGACCAGCCTGGCCAACATGGTGAAGCCCCGTCTCTACCAAAAATATAAAAAATTAGCCGGGCATGGTGGCAGGTGCCTGTAATCCCAGCTACTTGGGAAGTTAAGGCAGGAGAATGGCTTGAACCCGGGGGGCAGAGGCTGCAATGAGCGGAGATCATGCCATTGCATTCCAGCCTGGGCAACAAGAGTTGAAACTCCGTCTCAAAAATAAAAAAATTAATTAATTAAAATTCAAATTAAATAAGATCATGGGTGCTAAAGAACTGTAAACAGGGCTGAGTACATACTATTCACTAAGAATTAATAGTACTACTATAACTATTAAAGAAATTTTCATTTAATTTTCACCTTTGTGTAATATAGTGATTCATATTAACACATTTCTTGGTATTGCACCATTTTTACATCTCTGGAACAAACTTTGTGATCATGATTCATTTAACCCACTGCTGGATTGTGTTAGCTAATATTTCTATCTGTTTATAACTGATATTTTGGTTTACAGTTTTCTCTCTTTGTAAATGAGTGAGTTTGCTTGTGTGTTTATATGTGTGTGTGTCTGCATGTGTGTGTTTGACAATTTTGGTGTCAAGATTATACTAGCACCATCTAATTAGTTGGAAAGCCATCCACTGCTTTTTGTGTCTTTGGGCACTTTCCATAACATAGATTATTATATAAAGTTTCTATAATTCAGTCTCAAAAGCACGGAGTCATTTTTTTAACAAGCTTTTAGGTTTCTTCAATGATTATTGGTGTATTCAGATTTTCCTGGTCTTGATAGAACCTTGATATTTTATGTCTTTCTAGAAAACAGTTTTTTTCTCTGATTTCTATTTTTGGCAATAAGGAGTAAACAGTATTCTCATATAATTATTTTTTAAATTTCCTCCAAATTGATGGTATATCTTTATCTTACTTTTAATGCTGTTTTGATGTTTTATTTTGTAAGCCTTTTAAAAAAAGTCTTGCTTGGGTATGCCACATGTTTGTCTATTTTCTTGGTCTCAGCAGAGACTAGTGTTTAGACGTATTGTCATCTATCTTACATTTTAGTGCAATATAATCTATTTCTATTATTATTCATTCATTCCTTCTACTTTTGGGGGGATTCATTTGAGATCGTTGTTCATAGTTATTGAATAGTGTGCTGAGATCATATATGTTTAAAGTGTCCCATGCTGCCACATTTCTTCATTTCTCCAGTTCATGCGTGAGTGATTTTCGAACATCCATGCAACTAGCATGAATTGTGTGTCCACTGAATGTGTATTAAAATTGTTTCCCAAGAATGATGCCAAGCATGGAGATACAAACTCCTAGCTTCCAGTAACTCACAATGTGTTGAGAAAGCCAACTTTAGAGAGGAAAAATGTATGTAGGTAAGAAAGCAAACAAGTAGGGAAGGAAGGGAGGGAAGGAGGGATGGAGGGAGGGAGGGAGAAAGAAAAAAAGAAAAAGGAAAAAAATATATAGTAGAGTAAAATAGAGATAGACTCTAATGACATGCACAAGGCTCTACGAAATGACAAATTTGTAACTGAGGGACAATAATAATTGCTCTGCCCACCAAAATGGATTGTGATAAGCAATGAATGAATTAATGTATAAGAAAGGATTTTGAAAAACTGAACAGAAATATTAAGTACAATAGGTCAGATCAGTGGGACAAATCTTCAATTTCCACATGCAATCAAGGAGGCTGCCATTCTCAATGCCAGCTCCATTTCTAACTGGGCCACATACTTTAAAAAATGCCATCCAGGAAGTTCCTACTTAATTTCTACCTGGTATTTCATTTGCATTGCCCTTCCTCTATCCAATGCTAGGTTTTAAAATATTTTTCTTTGCAATAATATGTCGATATTTCTGTTCGTGGTACAACTGCTTAGTTATCTATTTCTTCAGGTATCTCTGTTCAAGCCAACACCCGCTAGCTTATGCTGAGTCTTTTTTTCCTGAAGATACTCCTAAAGAATACTCCATGATCTCATCAGTAACACCAGCCCATGTGACCGTAACTCTCACTCAACGGTACGTGACCTCTTTGAAACACAGTTTCAGTACTTGAGGGATGTATGGTTTGTAACCGGAAAACCATTATTCTACTTTGACACATGTTCATTAAAGGATATTCACTTCTTTTCACACATCTTTTCCCAAGTCTCTTCCCCATATTATTATGTATTATCTGATATTTGATATTTGGGGGATGCTGCCATAAAGACGTAGTATAGCATAGACTTCAGATCACATGTTCAGGGAACCTATCAACTGAGCTCTCTAAAGTGTTAAAGCAAATTTGTTTTCACCTGCAATCTTATTTCCTGTGACCTAGGAGAATTTGGCGCTTTGTACCTCAACATATTTTGGAGACATTAGTTTCTCAGTGTGATCTGCAATTGTTCTCATACTGATTTACCAGAAAGTACAGGACAGGTTCTAGTGTCTGTACGCCCACTCTTTACTTTCTCCTTTTGCAAAAGAACCACTTATTTGTAAAGGCAGACTTTCCTCTACCCGCTGCCATGTGGTTTCAATAGGTGCTGTCACTCAGATAAACTGCTGCCCTAGCCACATGAGTAAAACTCTGATCTGAATGGGCCAATCAGACTGCTTCACTTTTCTTGCCAAAATGATTTGGCTTAAAGAGTTGTGTTAGGCAGAACTATGACCTCCCAAGGACAGTCGCATCCTGATCCCAAGAAGCTCTGAATGTGTTATGTTACATGGCAAAAGGGAATTCAAGTGGCAGATAGAATTGAAGTTGTTAATCAACTCACTTTAAAATAGAGAGAGTACCTTGGATTACCCAGGTGGACCCAATGTAATCACAAGCATACTTAAAAATGGAAGAGGTACACAGAAGAGAAGTTTGGATCAATATGATATGAAAACTCAATCTGCTGTTGTTGGCTTTGAACTTGGAGGAAGGGGGCCATGGACACAGGAATGCAGGTGACCTCTAGAAGCTAGAAAACCAAGGAGATGCATTTTCCCTTAGAGCCTCCAGAAAGGAATAAAGTTCTACTGGCATCTTGATTTTGGCTCAGAGATCGATTTCAGACTTCCAAACTGCAGAACCATAAGGTAATAAATTTGTATTGTTAAAACCACTAAGTTTGTCATATTCTGATATAGCAGCAGTAAGACACACATCAAAGAGTATTCAAGGAAAACCGACCTAGACCAAAGAGATATGTTTCCCCAGGAATTTTGGAGGCATAGCTGATAGATAAAGTATGAGGCAAGCTTGGAATTGCCAGGGGAACCTCTGAGAAAGCTGGTTTGCAAGAAAAAGCTGAGAAGAGCTGAAATGAAAAATGAGAAAATCCTCCAGTCAGCCCTCCCTTCTTCATGGCTGGGGTATGCGGGACAATATACTCCCCTTTCCCATTTGCTGCTTTGAGCTGGGATATTTCATCACTTGCAATGAGAGGTCTTGAGGAACCCAGGTGCTAAGTGGCTATGTATGAGAGATTCCCATCAAACACAGGCACAGAGGGGATGGGGCGATAACACAGCCCAGAGCACTTCCAAGCCAAACATCTCCTATACATGGTCACATTTTTTAAAAAATTAGAAATATGCATGATCTCCAAGCCCACTTCTCTGCATTTTTCTTGAGTAAGTCAACTCTTGGCTTATAAATAATTCACCATCTTTGAAACTCACATTTACATTTGTTAAATTAAATAAGCAGGAGGCCATCAGCCTGAGGCTGTCTTTGTACTTTGAGTTTCTATGTAAGGAACTGCAACCTCACAGTATGTAAACGAGCCAAAACCGAACTTAGGAGTCTAATTTCTGTAATACAAAGCAGGGTCTCAGCCAATCACAAGCAGCCATGTTTCAGCCAATCACAGGCTGCCAACTGTTCAGACTGTGTCCCAAATAGGGCAAACCCCTAGGTATAACCAATCAAGCTATTTCGGTACTTTATTTCCCTGTTCTGCCTATAAATACTCACTGTCCAGTTTTGCAGACCTGAGTTCTTTGAATCTCTGGTTCTGAGTGCTATTTGATTCATGAACTTTTTTTTTCTCAAATAAACTGTTAAATTTAATTTGTGAAAGGTTTTAATTCATATTTCATAGTGTAGCAGAATCACGTAGTTACTCAAAAACTATGCGGACTTGATATACATTATTTATGTTTGTATTAATTTATTTGATGTTTCTCATGGGCTTTTGCTCCCTCTGTTTCATGGAGGAGCAAGGGACATAAACTTGAGAATAATCTGGTAACTTCTGTTTAACAGCATAGTTTGAACCATTTCCTTAGAAAGTGTGATATTTTTTTAAGTAAAATGTTCAGTCTTTCAGATACACCCTCATTCTCCTTTCCCTTTTCTATGTTAGCATCTGGCATATTAGGGACACTTGTTTTATCCTAAAGGCTCAAGGAGAGATGAGGTCCCTGAGTCATCATAGAATCTCTGGCCTCTCCTACCATGTTGCTGCCCTGGGCTGCTTCCTGCATAGGTGACATTCAGCATAAAGGCCACACCCCCTAGCTGCAGTCTGCATTTGGGCTAACTTACAGTTTGCCTTAGTCATCCTCGTCTGAAACTTCTGGTGGTCCCTAGGCAGCTTCAAGTCATCTCTCTCAGTACAACCAGATCCTCTAAGTCATCATGTTATTCATCTGACCCCAGGGCTGGTCTGTGCACCTGGTGGCTTCTACTTTGAAGTCACACTGGCTCCTGGTCCCAATGGGCCCCAAGGCAGCTTGGCTGTGCCTCACTAAGTTACCTTTGTGCAGATTTCCAGGCATACACGGACATTTCTCTACATTGGGTCCACTCCAGGTGTAACTGAAGACATCATGAGAAATGTAAACCATGCCCTCCTTCTCACTCTTCTACCTCCACAAGTTCACTGTGATGTGGTAGCCCCTGAGATGGTGTGTGTGCAGGCCCTGAGGTCCCAAACACTGGGCTGAATGTAAGGAACTCTGATCTTGATATTCCCCTCAATTTATCAAATAAGCTTATTTCTTTTGACCAAAACCTGACAAAAGGAAGATTAGGATACTTGTGATCTTCTTTCCCTCTGACCTGTCTCTTACCTTCTCTTTCTTCCCTTAAAAGGTCAGACACTTCCTTAAATTCCTTCACGCTGTTTCCTCCTGTAACTTGATTGTTGTCTCAGGCTAAATTGTCACCTTGGGACGTGTGGGGAGGGGAGTAGATTGAGACTAGTGTAACTTTCAACAATTTTTCACTGATTATGCATATTTACAGGACATTTTTTATTTTAAATTCACAGAGGAAATTGGATTCAATTATACTGTACACAAGATTGGGAGAAGATAGTGACCCTTCTTGTAAATATCCATAAAACATACCACTTAGCATTGTTGTCAATGCTCTCCCACTTTGCTAATGCATGACCATAGTGCTAGTCATGTGATTACAAGGTAGTCACAACAGGGTAGTTAACACATCTTACGCTTTACTAGTGTGGATATTTCAAGGGGTATGCTAATTTTTATCTTGACTTATAGTCCCATAGAGTGGTCAGGAATATGAGAAGTTGGTTCTCCAGGGAAAACTGTTTCCCAAATGTCATCGGAACATGAAGGGGAACAGAAAATTAATCAAGACAGTGACATTTTTTAAGGTGGACTACACAGGGAGGAGAGAAAGAAAATGCATTGATGGTTTAAGTGTGTTGGGAAGTATACTAGAGCGTACAGAACTAAGGCTTGGAAATTGATGCATCAAACACTCAATGACATATTGGCGGATAAACAAGCAAAATGATTGCTAAGTGACTGTCTGATTCATGTATCTATAGTGTGTAAAAATCCAGAGATCCTACACATGTGTTGTTGGCAGTTTATAGGAACAAGAACAAAAACTTAGGAGAAAAGTAAAAGCTCTATGGTCTACCTTTGCATGCAAACGTTGAACAGGCGTAAAAATTGCAACAGATTTTCTTGCTTCTAAAGTTGATTTCCCTTCTCACCTTTTTCTAAATTTTTTGGGATAATATATGTAACAGCAATTTGGTTTCTGACACAACATTTCTATCTATAGATTTTCTTGTATGTATGTGTTGGGGGAGGGGTGTTGTTTGTTTTGTTTGTATTTTTACATCTGAATATGTTTTACTGAAGTCCTCCTGGGCTTCTGTAACCCTTCTGCAGAGTAAGTCTGCTGCCACAGCTTTCCCCCACCTGTCCTAACTGTATACTTTAAGTGCCCTTAATCTGCAACTTAGTTCTCATTTGGTGAAAGTCGCACTTCACTTGATGATGTTGACTTTCTCAGCAAAGGGCAATGGCAGTTACTGAAGATGCCCTTTGCAGCAAAATCTCATATAATCAATTCTACTAAGGCGAGCTGACACTCCAGTGTACACTGGGCATCCGTGGATGCTATTCCTCCAGTTCCTTTATGAGGTCTGCAACATTTGGGCTGAGATCCACCAAGCAGTTGTTTGAAGTGTGCAATGGAGTAGGATTCTGCAAGACAGAGACAGAATCCCAACCCCAAACATGGCAGAGTGATGAAAATACCGGAGTCCCTAGAACATGGATGTGGGACTGGGCCTCTACTCTGCTACCTGCCACTTCCATAACTTTGAGGAAGTTCCTTATGCCCTAAGCAACTCAGTGACCTCATCTGGAAAATGAGGAGGGAAACCTCACACTATCACGATTAAGTGAGTTCATATATAAATCTTATAGAGCCCAATAGTAACTCTGCCATTTATTACTTGCATGAACTGGCAAATGCTTCTTTGAGCCTCAGTTAGGGTTGCCAGATTTAGCAAATAAAAATCCCACATGTCCAGCTAAAACAACAAACAATTTTTGGTATGAAAAATGTCTCATGTAAATTGGAATATACTGTACTCCAAAAAGTATTTGTCATTTATTTGAAATTCAAATTTAAATGGTCTTCCTGGATTTTATCTGTGAACCCATGTATTAATTCTCTTGTCTAATAAATGAGTATATTCATGCTTACCCTAGTTAACTTAAGAGGTGATTATGAGGATGACATTAAAATATAAAATATATATATATTTTTATGTCATCGTCATAATATGTAAAAGCTTTGTAAAATGTAACATGTGATTCAGACATGAGGGAATGCTCAAATTATTAGTGTAGATATTATGGTCATCATGAGTTCACAAATAGGTTGAGGAATGTACAGTGAAATTCAATGAGAGGAGATATTGTAAGTTATAGACCAGTTAACCTGTTCACCTCTTCTGAGGAGCCAGGCACCTCTGGGTTACTTGCAACTGACTGCTTATTCTCATTAATATGCATGTGTAGATTTCACTGGAAAGTACTTTTTGTACTTGGAGAGAGGAGGAAAGAGGAGGAGTATGAGGAAGATTGTGAAGGGGACTGCCAACCCTTATACAGGGAGGGTTATTTCCTTTTTAATTAAATTTCTAGACATGCAATTTGCCTTTTCCGATATATTAGGTTTTTCATCAGTTTTTTTCTCATATAGTGGCAAATCACGAATGGCTCATTACAGGAACAATCATAGGAGGGACCACTTCGGGGCCCACTCATACCAAGCCTGCATTTTAAGCATAAATACACCTTCAACAGAGAATTGCAAGTGAAAAGTCAAGGTGCTAAAAAAAGACCCAAGGGGATTTTTAACTCTCACACTTCAGGTGCATTCAGGAAAGAGAAACACCCAAATTCTTTCATTTTCAAAGAAAATAACATAAGATATTTCTATATCTTCTCATAGCTCAGAACTAGATCCCACAACAAATGGGTTCCTGCATAACTCAATTTCTCAGGATATAATAAATAAGAAGAAAATGTGACTTGTGCCTCTCCAATGCCCAATTTATTATTCTGTCCTTTTCTTAACATACATAACCCAGGCCGGGGTCACACCTGTAATCCCAGCACTTTGGGAGGCCGAGGCGGGCAGATCACCTGAAGTTGGGAGTTCCAGACCAGCCTGACCAATATGGTGAAACCCCGTCTCTACTAAAAATACAAAAATTAGCCAGACATCGTGGCGTGTGCCTGTAATCCCAGCTACTCAGGAGGCTGAAGCTGGAGAATCACTTGAACATGGGAGGCAGAGGTTGCAGTGAGCCGAGATTGTGCCACTGCACTCCAGCCTGGGTGACAGAGGGAGACCCTGCCTCAAATAATAATAATAATGATAATAATAATAACCCATTGTGTCAAAAACACAATCACTTCAGTGAGTTGGTAAGATGCAATTAAAGGAAGCTTCAGTGGTATAAATGAATTTTTATTTTGAAACGAATTCTGCCAGCTTCACATACACACCACCTCAGAGATGGGCAATACATAGAGCCAATAGCTAAAGCCACCAACTTGGCAATTTCCTCCAGCATATAGAGAAATAAATCTCTAGGGCTTCCTTGGCCTTTGACTTTGGAATACAAGAGCCTTGGATGAAGAGAAAGGTATGTTGAGCACCGGCTCCTGTGCATACAGATTCGGAGCTAGTCCCACCTCTGAATGAAAATGGTGACTTCCCCACTCTGGACTCTGACTCTCAGCTGGCAGGCACAACAGACAGGATAAGGCTTTCTGTGTATCCACACTCTGGGCCATCGTGTTTTATGGACACAAATTGAAGATAAGATCTAGTGATGGAGTCTCCAGCTACAGCTTGAAACCAGCCCATCAATGTCAGGTTCCGTTAAATACCTGATGCCGCCACTTTGCGGCAGTTCTGGTGGATAAAGGTTCTGTCAGGGTCAGTGTTTCAAGTGAGGTTCAGACTCTCATTTGCCATAAATGAAGAGGATGGGAAGTGAGCTGGGAGATTGTCAGACTAATATTTAGATAATTGCAATTTATCTCTTCTTAAGGATCAAGCTCATTGAACCCGAGCCGAGTTGGAGCTAAACTGTGTTTATAAGGTCTCCTTCCTCAAAGCTAGCAGTCTGAAGAAAGTGGAAAAGCCAGAGCTGGGATTTCCGGCTGACCTTGGAACCCGGAATGACCAATCCCAATAGCAATAATATAATAGCAAGAATAAACAATCATGAATATTGCAAATGCTGTCTCTCCGGTGCTGAGAAAAATTAATTTCCTATTTGAATCCCATTCACATAAATACTCATAATGATGTATTTAAATCCAGACTCTGTTAAATCCTAAGCCCACAGTACCTGAGCCAACAGCATGAGTCTCGCATTTAATCGGTTACTGTAATAAACATATAAAATGTTTTTTTTCATGAGAGGACAGAGCAGTGGCTACATAAAAGGACATCAAATGACACATCCTCCATCTCCCAGCAAATAAAAAAGCCATCAGCTCATAACAAGGCGGTGATAAAAGGTGCTGAGGCCAGTAAGATTAAGACTTTGTAATAAGGTCCGGGCGCCAAAACTGACAGCCATTTTCTTTTATATTTATCATGTCCTCACACTGGGGTGAGAAGCCATGGCTCGGTCCCATTGCTGGCTAGAATTTATAGCAGCTCCATTATTAGGAGATTGCAGTGAAATGGGGTAGAGGTATGGTTTTCTGAGAACGTTACGATAGTCTCCTACATTATACACTTGACAGGTTTGTCAGCTCTTAGTAACAAGCCTTGTAAAGTACTTTAATATCATTAGCACTATTTTCTTAATGTGTCTGCTCTCCTCGAAGCTTGAAAATATCATATATCATAGGCTGGAGGGTAGCATGAACTGCTATCTCCTTGTTTCTGGTTTCTTAAATGTGACTTTATAGTAACACGTAGAGTTGATGTTTTAATCAAAATAATGCAGCCATTTTCCTTTATTGATTATCAAGTAAATATGTATAAATACGTAGTTAGGGGTGGGCTACCCTTTTAGAGGATATTGGAAACACATAATGAATGGCTTTCTGTGGGTAATTTCACTGCCTGCTTACTTCAGTTATTTGTTATGTACCAAGAGTTTTTCCATTCTGCCCTCCTTCCCCAAAGATCTGTGGAGGCCACCTGCAGGAGAGAGGAGCCCAGTCAGAACCAAAACTCTGCAAGAACTTTCCAGACAGGCAAGGCCTAAATCAGACGCCTTTGAAATTTCTGCACATACATGTCTCCCTTTTTTGTAAACTAGCCTAAATTACAATCTGTTCTGTAGTTCATGGTGCATTTCAAAAGGACCCACATTTATTTTGGGTAAATCCTGAAAGGCTTTTTCTTGCTTTCAGTGATGAGCATATTGACTTAAGAATGTCTATCTACATTGCTAATGTAAACCCAGAGACAGAAATCCTGTGAGTTGACTCAATAGTTTGAGTTGTATAAGTGTTTTAAATTTCAAAAATAAACATGTATTGCTTTGTGAGGGTAATAAAATGATAAACTTGATTTATATCTCATTCTAAGCAGGACATCCATCTTAATAACATTGTAATATTCTCATATGTGACCTTGATCATAAACATTTAACTATTGTCAACAATAGCATTATCTATACCAAAAATAAGAATGGGCACACACACACACACACACACACACAGAGACAATCAAAGGGAAATTTATTATCAGTAAAACCTCAAATAGTTTTATAATTGAAAACATTAGAGTCTGCAAAATTTAGTTCATTGAGCTCAGACCAAAACACCAATCTTACTAGGCAGTGGTATCAATATTACTGTACATTGCCCCAAATGTGTGCTCAACTAGTTACTGAATGTATGCCCTATCTCCTGCACCCTTTATCTCAAATGAGAAATCAAGAGGTCTATGGAGTGATTTCCTTTTGGTCAAAATCACTGCATCTAGCTCAGGACCTAGCACATAGTAGGTAATCAATAAATATTGCTTGGAAGGTTGAACAGATGAATTCATTATTTCTCCCAACTTACATGGAGATTTATGTTTCCATTGGCCCATGGCCATCAAAATAGGTTACTTGCTGAGAAATAAACATGCACCAGATGGGAGGAGCTATGCCATCTTGATCTCAGATTAATCCAGTCTCTGCCTTTCTTTATTAACTTACATATATGCTTCTGCATTGAGAGCAAGACCACATGCAGATAATCTCAAGGCACTACATATTGGCAAATAGATACCGCTAGGCAATCCAAAATGTTTGTTAGCAAATTATTCTAATGAACTTAAAATACTTATCATTAACCATTTAAAAATATCATTTTGGGAATAGGAAGGGAAAAACAACCCAAGAAGAATTTAAATCTTTATCTCTACTTCTGCATATAATCTTTAAATTCTTTGGTTATGGAAATATTCAAAATATATTTCACAAAGTGGAAATATTAGGCTAAATATTGTCAGTGTAATAGTTTTGTTGCAGTTTGTTTAAACAGACATGTAAATTCTATATTCCTATTGCATTTGCCTAATTTAAGTGAAAAGAACATTGGACTCACTCTCTACCTACCTGAATAAGAAGACAGGGCAGGGTCAAACCTATATTTGTCTATTTTTATAGTCAATACAATAATCGCCTGGGATGGGTTAATTATCTAGTAACTAAGGCTGACTTTTCTTAGAATAGAAATGATTAAATTGTGTCTTTTTCAGTGGGGTCTGGTCGTCACATGAGGACCTAACTTAACCTTTTTTGACTATTTTATGCCTCTTCATCTGAAGGAAAACCATTAATTTGATGTGCTGAGAAACTGTCCTGTGAACGTGTTCCTGTTCACACAGTCTACTTAACATGAATAGGTTTTTAATATCTGCCGATTTGGAACTGTTGCCCATCAGTCCCATGGCTGCTCATAAAATCAGTTAGTCTATTTATTGCTAGAAATCACTAAGAATTAGACTTACTTAAGCCTGTAAATTTATCAAGTTTATCACATTTGGTACTGAGAAGATCTATTTTGATTAAGTCTTTATGTGTAAAATCAGATTAGTAAAAATTTTTGAGAGTTTCTGCACAATTATTTTTCTAAACAGGCCCGTACTTTCTCTATATTGTTGTATTGACATGTTTATTTTATATATCTGTGTATACACACACATATAACTTGTGTGTGTGTGTATGTATAAATATCTATACATACATATATAGATGTATATGTACATATCTATATATACACACATATATAACTTGTGTGTGTATATGTAGATATATTTCCATAGCTATATACACACACATAAGTTATGTATGTGTATATATAGATGTGTACATATACATCGATATATACATATCTACATATACACACATTATATATGTGTGTGTATATACCTACATGTACACACACAAGTTATATGTGTGTGTATCTATATATAGATATAATTTTCTGTATATTTTGATGTTTTGACAACTTTAAAAACCTTTTTGAGGCCAGGCATGGTGGCTCATGCCTGTAATCCCAGCACTTTTGGAAACTGAGGCAGGAGGCTCACTTGAGGCCATGAGTTCTAGACCAGTTTGGGCAACAGAGTGAGACCCTGTCTCTACAAAAAATACAAAAATTAGCCAGGCTCATGAGGTGGCATGTACCTGTAGTTTGAGCTGCTTGGGAGGCTGAGATGGGAGGATCGCTTGAGCCCAAAAGTTTGATATTGCAGTGAGCCTTGACTGCACCACTGCACTCCAGCCTGAGTGACAGAACGAAGACCCTGTCTCTAATAAAACCAAAACCAAAAACAAAAACCTTTGTGTCTGGGGAGAGACTGCCCCTCCAGGGGCTAGCCAATTCTTAGAACTCTGACAAGAGCATGTCTTTGATATGCACACTAGCCAATCCAGAGCCATATCTCCTCTTCTGGCCCTTATACTCCAGGAGGCAACATTCCTCTGCCTTAACCATTCCAGGGACAGGTACCAAACAGCTACAGACCACCCCTATAGTTTAGAGTTTCCTAAGTTATTCAAACTAACCCATCCTAAATCATTCACCCTGCCTTCCACTGCCTCTCCCACAGAAACCCCAACAAAGCCTCTGGCCCAAGCCTTCCACTGGTTCCTGTCTTCTGCCTCCTGACCTCCACGTCTTCCCCTTATAGCCCTGTGTGACATGCTGTGCCTCCTGTCGCTAGGACCTGAGAGTTTAACACACTTTGTTTTTCTGAACCTCTCCTCTGTCTTTTCTCGTGGCAGATCTGACTGACCATCACATTAAAAAAAAACCACAAAACAACATTCAAAGACAGTATTACAACATTCAGAGTTAGAAGGAAAATTCAACATCATGTAGTTGGTCTTCCTTAATCACTCCAACAGGAAACAGCAAATCAAAACTTCACTGTTTGGGCCTTCCTTCCTTGACTTACCTCCTGGGCAAGGGTTGTTACAGTTCTTCTTCCCCAAACCCAAATGAGACACATGGGGAGAAAAGATGGGCTCTCAATCAGGCCTCTGTAGGTCTCATGATCTAATTTACTTCTCCACTTCCACTTTTGAGATTCAAGAAACTGCAGGACATTTTCAATTGCTGAGATTTTTCCAGACAAACTCCTGGCCAAGCATCTTGACTCTGTGTTTAGTGCTCCACCAAAAATATGAATATTGAGTTAATTAACTGAGGACATTTTAATTAAATGCCTTATTTATAAGACTTGAAGACAACTGATTTTAAAATCAAAATGTCACCTTGATGATTTAAACACCTCGATGATGTTTTTAGGTTGACTTGTTTTTTCAATGAATATGCCCATTATTTTGACTTGGTGAGGTTGCAGGACAATGGGAGCTCATTCTGCTGCAAAATGGAGAATGAACTGATATAACCATGTTGGACAACAGTTTGAGATTATCTAACAGTTTGGAAATGTATGCATCTTCCGACATAGTAATTTGAGCTGTAGATGTATACTTGCAGAAATTCTTATACAGGTGCCCAGGACTATTAAAAATAGTCCACTGAGCCAGATGTGGTGGTGCACGCCTGTATTCCCAGCTACTTGAGAGGCAGAGGTGGAAGAATCACATGAGTCCAGGAGTCTGAATCCAATCTGGGCAACATAGTGAGAGCTCATCTCTTAAATAAATAAAAATAAAAATAGTCCACAACTGAAAACTGCCCAAATGATTATCAATGGAAGAATAAAAAAATAAACTGTGGAATGCTCATTCAATGGGGAGTATGCATTGGAGAAAAAGAACTGATAACTATGTGTATGAAATAAGTGAATCTCAAAAACTTACTGCTGTTGAGCAAAAGCAGAAGACATAGAAAGAGGTATTAATATGATTCCATTTAAATCAGACTTAAAAGCTAGCAAATCTAAATTCTGGTCTGATGAGAGATCTATATGAAGATAAAAAACTTCAAAGAGAAGGAAGAGAATTGTTAACAGGAAATGCAGGAAGGATAGTGATCCCAGGCGTGGGTGGGGCTGAGGAATGGGAAAGTGATGGTGAGGGTAAATAGATTTCATAAGGCACTGGTAATGTCCTATTTCTTAACTTTGGTGGGTAAGAGTAAGAATGTTTTAAAAAGTTCGTTATGGGTCTGTTGTGGTGGCTCGTGTCTGTAATCCCAGCACTTTGGGAGGCCACAAGTGCATCACTGGAGCCCAGGAGTTCAAGACCAGTTTAGGCAACGTGGAAAAACCCCGTCTCTAAAAAAAACACAAAAAATTAGTAGGGTATGGTGGTGTGCGCCTGTAGTTCCAGCTACTTGGAGGGCTGGGGTGAGAGAATCCCTTGAGCCCCGGAAGTCGAGGCTGCAGCGAGCCCTCTGCACCACTGCACTCCAGCCTTGGTGACAGAGTGACACCCTGTCTCAAAAAAGTAAGTAAAATAAAATTAAAAAGCTAATTATTTAAAATGCACATGTACAATTCATGCATCTTTTTAGTATAAATTTCAAAATTCAAAAACAATAGATAATTAAATGTAGGAAGGAGGTGGAGATGACTCCAAACCCACATCTCGTTTTCATTTAAAAATAAATAAATGAATAAAACTGACAGTGACCATCTAGTATTCTTCAATGTAGACAAAAATGGGTAGCCTTCTACACTGTGCAAAATTATTTCACAAATAGAAATATAGAAATATACTTTTGTAGAATATTAGATTTAAATCAAAGCTAAATGGAGATTATTTAATACATGTGACAATTATATGAGATCTCCTTTATTCTATACTTCTAATATATGCTTAATAGTTAACTGTATGAAGACTAAGATTTTAAATCAATTATTCAGATGTTTAAGTTAGTCAAATGCAGTCCATTAAAATGCCCATTGTTTTATATTCCTGTCTCCTTTTAAGACAATTTTCAAACGTGAAATCAGACACAAGTCAGTGTACATAAGTCCTTCATCATCATGAGAGGTGAGACCAGCTGGACTTCCTGGGTCAAGTGGGGACTTGGGGAACTTTCCTGTCTTGTAAGAGGATTGAAAAACGCACCAATCAGTGCTCTGTAAAATGCACCAATCAGTGCTCTGTAAAACGCATCAATCAGCAGGATTCTGAAAGTAGCCAGTCGTGGGGAGGATTGAAAAAAGGGCACTCTGATAGACAGAAACAGAACGTGGGAGGGGACAATAAGGGAATAAAATCTGGCCACTCCAGCCAGCAGCAGCAACCTGCTCCCATTCCTTTCCAAGCTGTGGAAGCTTAGTCTTTTCCTTCTTCACAATAAACCTTGCTACCACTCACTCTTTGGGTCTGTGCCATCTTTAAGAGCTATTAACACTCACCACGAAGGTCCGCCTCTCCATTCTTGAAGTCAGCGAGACCACGAACCCACCGGCAGGAACCAACTCTGGACACAATCACACCATCTCATTTCTCCCAGGTGTGTTTATGATGTAACTGTAAGGCCACCACTGTTGTAAAATTTTAGGAGATTTAGATAAATCTTCTCATTTTTGCCTTTTAGAATAGTTGATACCATTTGAATACTTTTTACCTTTGTCTTATTTTCCAAAAGAAAACAGGAGTAGATGACTGGCACTCCATGAAGTTTGCTGAACTAAGCAACTCATCGGAAACAATGAAAAACACACAAAGCACAATATCTCATTAAATCCTCTTTTTCAACTGTGCTGTAAGGCTCATATCATTATTATTATTCTGCCCTTTTACAGAGGAGAAAATATACAAAGAGAAGATGAAGAGACAACCAAAGTAAGTGGCTGTGGTGGGGTATGAAGTCTGGTGGTTTGTTTTCTATTCTGCTCTGATGTATTGCCCCCTCTCCCAGACCATATGATTGGGCAAAAAGTTTATTACTATAACTATGCATAGGTTATGTACTTTTATGAGCAAAAGAGTGATTTCACAATGTCTAGTGCAGTTCATTTACACTATTAAATTATTTTGCAAATTCTCATCATAAGTAACATTTACTATGGGTAAATAATTCCCACACCAAGTAAATAATTAAATTAAGACAGCAGTGTTTTTAATAGATACTTCCTTTAAAACATTTTCTAAGCTCCTGCTTTCTGGGTGAGGCTGACTGTTCTAGGAGGTGATTGTCATGTGCTTATTTTCATTTTTCAGCATCCTTCATCATCACAACAGGCTAGTAATTAGTGAAAATAACAATTGCTATTGGTTAATGCAACATTTCAACTGTCATCCTGCTGCAGTGGGAGAAAAAGTTATTTTGTAAAATGAGAGCCCAGTGGTGCAGTTGTATTGACTTTTATGTCATATTTGTTTCAGTTTACTCGTCAAAACAAGTTTCACAGCTCCTCCTGCTCCAGAAGGTTCCGTTTGCTTTATGAAAATGAAGCTGTCTTGTTTTCTGGTTCATAAATCATTGTCAAGCGGAGCTAGATAACAGAAACAAGTTCAGATTCTGGAATGATTATCCTTAGAGATGATGTATTAAATATACAGAATACAACTTGATTTTCATAAGCCACGTTGACTTTGCAGAACTAAGGCTGCAGGGGAAAATTATTTCATAAGAGGAGGGGTGAGAGCTCGCAAAATCTAACCAGGTGGGAACGATGGGAGAGGGAAGGAAGTAGAGCATTTTCACATGTAAAGATGTGTCTGCTTTCTCCAGTTTTCTCTCTATTATTTACCTAATGTCATTTAAGCATTTGGTGCCTCTGTCTTCTATTAACAATATGGGAAGCATCTTTAGAAAAGAAGAGCTTCTCCTTCTTCCTAGATTAACTACCGCTTTTCTTTCATCCTCTTCTCTGAATATTGTGGTATCATGTAAAATATTTCTTCTACCTCTTCGTAACTTAACCTCTCCCCCTGCAATGAGCTTGGTTTGAGTTGTACTTTTGGAGTTCCATATCTCATACCCAGTAGGCTTTCTAATGCCTCACCAGAGCCGCACAATCCACGGGAGTGAAATCTGGAGAAAAATCACAGTGGAGTGAGAAAGAGTCACAGAAATACCCTGAGATCAGAAGTGTCTTTGTGGTAACTCAGGGAACAGGTTTCTTGCCACTGAATGGTGCTGAAGCTGATTTCCTTCTGAATGAAGACTTCAGACCACCAAGCCAACTTAAAAATGTATTTTGCTGAAAAAGAGAGGTTTCTTCTGTGTAAAATGTATTTTACTTCCTATTCAACTGCTTAGTTCCTATTGGAGCTCTGTATTAGTCTGTTCTCACGCTGCTAATAAAGACATACCCGAGACTGGGTAAGTAATAAAGAAAAAGAGGTTTAATGATCTCACAGTTCCACGTGGCTGGAGAGGCCTCCCAATCATGGCAGATGGAAAAAGCATGTCTTACAGGGTGGCAGACAAGAGAAAATGAGAAACAAGTGAAAAAGGTTTCCCCTTATAAAACCATCAGTTCTTGTGAAACTTATTCACTACCACGAGAACAGTATGGGAGAAACCACCCTTGTGATTCAATTATGTCCCAACGGGTCCCTCCCACAACGTGTGGGATTATGGGAGCTACAATTCAAGATGAGATTTGGGTGAGGACAAAGCTAAACCACATCAAGCTCCAAATCTCATTTCAGACATGAAGCCTCCTCTCCCCCCAGCCACTATCTGGGGCCCAGTTTCTCTGGCCATTCCCTTAGCACATCCCTGTCACTGATCTCTCTTCATGCTTATTACCGGGATCATCAAGAATTTATTGCATCATTAGTTTTTAAAATATTGGTCTCACTTGGTAAGATGAAGTTCCTTGGGGGTAGATGTCCATGTACGTGCACACTGCTGTCTGTGGGCAGGTGCACACCGTATTAAGTATTCAGAGGCAGAGCATAAAGAGAAACAAAGAAATGTATTCAAAGCCACTCAAACTTTGGAGTAAAACTTTTTCTAGCAGGCAGTTTAGGTGGAAATCCTAAGTATAGTCAAGATTCTATTCTATTTCAATTAGTACAATTTAATTCTTACTCAGAATAGAAGGGAAGAATATGCAAAGAGCAAAATGACATAAAGCATTGTTATGTCACTATGTATTTCCCATGTTATGAACAGGAACTTTTTCTGCCAGGAAAATCCTTGATTTTCTTAAGACACTGCTGGGGAAGGTCACTTGTTCTGCTACCAAATTCAAAACCATGGGAGCCTCCAACTTTCAGCTCAGGTAGCCAGAGCCCCTAGAATGTTATAATCTTGTATTATCTGGCTTATTTGATTAATTTATGTTTTATGTACATATCTGGAATTTTTACTCATTTTTTCAGCAAAAGAGCAACGTGAGGAATTGGAAAGTTATTCAAAAACTTTAATAAATGTGGATGACCAGTTTGGGTGTTCATCTCAGTGTGTATTTTTGAAACTAGACCAGTTGTCCCATAGAAGTGACATTTATGGTTTCTTTGAATAAACATAGAAATGGACCTTCCCAGTATTAAAACTTGAGAAAGTTACAATTGTCTTATCTGAGGTCCCTTCTCAGGAAATAAACCATCAGGACTCCCAGATAGTATCAAGGAAGGGAAACTTACCAGATCACCACATCTGGACAATGTGACACCAGACCCCTCACCTATCATGACTGCCTACCCAACCATCTGTTTCCTGTTTACCAACTCCTCTTCCTTCCTGCTCCCTGATTCCTGTTTTCCCAGTTACACTTCTTCCCTGCTATACAAACCTTTAATTTCAGTCCACCAGGTGGATGAGTTTGAGACTGATGTATCTGCTCAGCTGCAGCACCCAATTAAAGCCTTCTTCCCTGGCAATACCTGCTGTCTCAGTGATTGGCTTTCTGTGCTGCGAGCAACAGGACTTAGACCAAACCCCAGGCATTTTAGTAACATTTTCAACGATACCCTTAGAAGCTTGTATCACCTGGATAATTACTTTAACCCGTCATTTCACTGTACTTACAAAAACTGGCTTTTGGATTTATAAACTAAGAGTAAAATGTCGATGTGAACTCTGAGCACTCTAAGATACGTGAGGTCTCCAGCCAGTTGGTTAATTCATGTGGACTTTGCACCTTTTACAAGACATTTATAAATATAATCTCATTTTCTATACCAATGTTATATAATGTTGGTGCTTCACTCTTTAGGAAGAGTGAGTTCTATGGAACAATCAATAGAGAAGCCCTGCATGGTTTATTTTCTATTATGTATAACTTACAGGTCGTTGAGTCAAGTACTGTGGCAAGATTTCTAAAAGGCCGGTGATTTTTAGGAAAGATCATCAATAACATATGTAGCTGAGCAAGCTAAAATAATTACAATCAAATTTCATGCTTCAGGGCATAAACTGATTTCCTGCAAGTGTCAGAAGGAAATTATGCTGCTTTCACCAATGTGTACTGCATTGGGTAAATGACCCACCTATTTTTGTTTGGTTTTGCCCTTTTTTCTGAACCTAATGTAGTACTCAGTTTTATTAAGAGTGCAGGTCATTTTAGCCCATGTCACTCCTTGGTTGCATCATATCAGGTTGACTTTCTTTCTGATATCCAGAAACTTTTCAATGGAACATGACACAAAATGAAGCCCTGGTTGAAAAAGTGTTGACTATAATGTAAATGTTTGTTCTTGGATTAATTATTACAAGTTGAAAGTCTAGAAGAGAGAAGAAAGCAAAATGTTATGATTTTGAATTTCAAGCCTGTGATCTTAAAAACGCACTGAGTATCATGTTTTCTCTTTGAGGTCTCTAAATTCATCTACTTCAGGTCATAAGTTTTATTAATCTTATCTCTTTTTCCGAGCTAACTTTTGCCACTGGCTCTCTCTCATTCAAAAATCTCAATCACAACCTGCATTTGCTCTACGCAAAACAGCTTTAGCATCGTGAACAATACATGTTAACTTTTGCCACCTTTTTTTTTTTTTTTGGTTAGTGGGCTGGGGTGAAAAGGAGGAGAGGAGAAGAGCGAGCTAATGGTTATTCTCAGACAGTCCTGGTGCTTCTTCTACAAATTTAGCGTGGAGGCCTTTGAGCTAATTACATTCTGTATATCTGAGCCAACTCAGAGAGCTTCACGCTGACACTCGGATACATCTGGGCCTGATAACAATTGCAAATGCTCGGGGCACACTTTAAAAAAGATCTTATGTTACAACATGAAACAACATGTTTTACAGTACTCAGAATGGTCAGATAAATAAAACAGCTCCAAGTTCAGAGCTTTGTGGGGGGAAATGTATTTTGTAACATTTCATTTAGAGCAGAAAAATTTCCCCACTGACAAGGGAACATTTGACCCTAACATAATGTTAAGTTCTACCCACAGCTGTTTGAGGTAATGGGCAATAGAAGACTCTGGGCTGCCTTTAATGATGTTGGCTATAAGATTACAATCATTTCCCATTCAGAGGGACAGTTTTGGACATTTTGGTCCGAGTTGAAAGTATGGAGGAGAATTTATAAAAAGCTACCTCTGCACATACCTCCAAGGAGAGAGAGTAGGAATGAAAACACTGCTCATTTCTAGGCCATATTCAGCATAAATGCCAGAAAGATCATGTTAGTTTATTTGGGAACTGTCTTTGGGGGCAGATTTGATGTGTTGATCACAGCCAGGTGACTTCTGAAATCATCATTCATGCTTTGGGGGGGATGTTGGACAGAGGAGGCAGAAAGGGAAAACAACTCCCAGAGCCAAAGTTTTGCATAAGATGGTAACAATTGTCAGTTTCCACCTGGCAATAAAACTCCCCAGCAAGCCCTTCTGCTAATACACGCTATATGGCAGTAACCGTCTTTCTTTCTCCTATGGAGAGTTGTAAAGTCATAAAGTAGATGAGTATTACTGATTTTAACCTGACATATTTCCCTGTTCCTTGAATTTGCACCTTAAAAAAAGTGTAGCCTTGACACATTAGTATTGAACACTCTTGCCCTCTTGTTGAGTACGCAGTAGCTTAAAAAAAATACTCATTTTCTTCATTCCATGCCCCTACTCCTTCCATTTTTCTTTAAAAATTGCCTGTAGTCACCACAGCTTTGTTATGGAGGGGAAAAAGTAACTTGAGCTATACCATTTGTAGAGCACTTTGGCGTTTACTCTTTAGTGTATATTCTCTTTCTTAAATTTAAAAACATATTAAAAGGGAGGTGTTTAGCTCCCATTTGGCAGATGGGACAACTGAGGCTGAGCTTGACATAGCGCGTTTTCCCAAATTCTGCAGCAGTAAGTAGCAGTAGAGCGCAAACTAATGTCCACGTGTAACTGGCATCAATACCCAAATAAAGTGCCTTTATTTATTATAGCACCTGACAATTACATAGCAACTTCAATTTTTCGGAAGTGCTTTTCTTTTTTTCCCTACATCATTTTCTTTAAAAAATAAGTTCAGTAGAACCCAGCCACATTTTAAAGTTGCCCAGAATTCAGAAGCACAGAGAAGTGATTAAACTTATTAACAAAGATACAGTCAACTAATATGAACGTGATATTCCTTTTAGATATCTATGAACACGTGTTCTCTTAATGATTATATGCCATATCTCTCCATGTATTATCTCAAGGAAGAAAATAAACATGGATTTTCATGAATGTAATTAATGTGTTCCGAGACAACACTTCACGTTTTACTGAATTCCCTATGTACTCAGTTCTAAGGTCATCTCTCCAGAAGACAAAATAGCCCTTTTTGTTAAGTTGTCTGGAGGTTTGGTTTGTTTGTTTATTTGTGTGTTTGGGGGCGGGGGGTACATCAGTTTCTCTAGAAAGCTGGCTCCTGCGTTCTCAGGGGTTATAAAAATGGGAATCATTTTTATTGGCAATCCACTGGAATAGTGCTGAGACAAATGGAAACTTGAAGATAAGGATCCTCTGAGGTGAGAACATACAGCTGTTGGGAATTGCTAGAGAATCTGACCAATAAAGGAAGTCACTATTTTTCCAGGCCTGAAGTGAGTTATAGGGCGAGACGGGTGTTGTATATTTATGTAAGGCAGCAGCAGGGAGTTTAAGCGGCTGTATATTGCTGAAAGAGCATCATTCACATTCAGGCAGAGACAAAAGGTGGAAATGAAGTAACATCCTGGCTGAAGAAGGCCTCACGACAGAATAATAACATTTCAGAGAGGGGGGCCGTGTGCGAGGCTGTGGGTAGGCCTCAAAATGAGGAAATGATCAAGATGCCTTGTCAGGCCTTCAGAAAACAGTTACACACACACACACACACACGCTCACACACACACACACACACACACAGGCACTCAGGATTAAGGCCTGGCCAAGCGTCCTTGGGAAGGAAAGTCATTTATCTTTCACAGAAACGCGTACACAATTACCCGCAACCTTCATCAGTACAGTCAGCAAGATAGGTTAGCCAAAACTACTAGAAAAAATATATATCAATACACATATTACAGTTACACTTCCATTTGGTATTTATTATTATCATGTACTCTAGCCTCACTGCATCAGTGTGGATACTAATTCAGGACAATATTTGAAGGACTAAAGTGGTTCTGGCTGCTCAAAAGACTCAAAGGAAGGGGGTAGGCTGGGGGGAAGAGACTGTCTTATCTCCTGTGTTTATTTATTGTGTCCTTTTGTTTAGAGGAAGTAGCGAGAAGAAAGGGGTCATGAAATTACACGCCTCTAATGACAAATGGTGAGAGGAGAGACAATCCACTTCAGAAAAATGATCAAAAGAGGAGGAAAGAAAGAATTTTAACATTCAAAAAATATATGTAGCTAGTCCGTGAGGCTCTTCTAAAACGCTGCACTTCTGTTTGGTAGAAATAGTTTAGGGTGCACCCAAATGCTAATGAAGATGTTATCAAATTTTTAAATGGTAGATTGCGTTGAATATTTCAGAAACTTTAGTCATTTAGAAAAAGCCTAATGTAGATAGAGTAAGAATCTTCTGTCACACAGGAAGCTCTTAGTTAATACTAAATTAGGGTGGTTATTAAAACACAGGATGGCACAGAACTGGGATGAAAATAGATATATTTTATCCTTAAAGTTTATTTGTCTTTGAAAGCAATATGACAATTATGAAAATTTTAAGTAAAATTAAAAGACGTCTTTGAAAATGTTTGTGGGCCGTGGACTAGATTTGTGAATTTTCTGTATTAGGACCAAGTACGATGAGATGTCAGAGTGAATTTATACTAGACAAACCATTCACTTACAACCTCATGAGTATCTTGCTTAAGTTTTTAGGGAATAGTAGAATCACAAAACGAATACACTTGTTTCTCTGTTTTTCATTTATTTTTTCTTCTGCAGCTACACAGCTAAATATTAAACAACTACGAAAAAACAAAGCAAAAAAGAATGCTGAGCTGAAATCATTTAATTTCCTTCATTGACCCTTCCTTAACATTGTGACAACTCAATGTTTCAGTCACACCAGAGGGGTTTACACATTCAACTCCAACATTATCAGAACATGGTATTTAGGAGGCTTTTCAATAGCCAAAGGCTAGGAAGACTAAGAATGAACACAGGGCTCTTCATCTTTCTAGAATATGAGCAATTCACAAATGGGAACAGTTCATACTGCATTCGCAGGTGAACTTACCCGGCACGGAGCTGAAGCCAAAGATTTCTAGGAATGACAGCTTCAGCACATCCGTGAAATGATCCTACTTGCCAATTTCCTATTTTTCCACAGGGGACATCTGAAGGGCTGGGGTTGTGCAAATTCATTTCTGGCTTCTGAAGCATCAGGTAATGGCTACTGCCAGAGGCAGGATTCCAAAACCATTAGCCCACTGGTCTGATCGCATATGAAAAAACCTAATATTTTGACCACACAACCCATCTCATGGCATGCTGGCCTGGTACTAAAAATGCATTGATGAAGAACATATTGTATTAGGTCACTCATTGAAGCATAGCTTAGGAGTGCTTTGAGAAAAATGCCATTTCCACAGGATTTGAGCTCCATTGAGAAAAATAATGTCTTAAACATAGATTGTTCAGTCTCCACTCTGTTTGTATACACACACACACACACGTATACACACATACACATATATATACACACACACATACAGAAAGAGTCACATATATATAAGGAATTTCTTAGACCAAGACACACACACACATACATATATATATATATATATATATATATATATATATATATATGGAATTTCTTAGACTAAGACATATATACATATATATGTATATATATATACGGAATTTCTTAGACTAAGACATATATACATATATATGTGTATATATATATACGGAATTTCTTAGACTAAGACATACATACATATATATGTATATATTTATATGGAATTTCTTAGACTAAGAATTTCTGGGTACATCAGCAGTGGTTCATATAAAAAGAAACAGAGGGGTAGGGAAATGAAAACACAGTCTTCCATTTTTTGGCTTCTCCCTTAGAATGTTTGTATAAGAAATCATCAGTTCAGTTGCAGGCATTTATGTGTTGTGGTGTGTTGGGGGGAAAAAAACCCTCCATTTAAACACGGATTTTAACCTTTCCACCTTAGCCTCTTACATTTTCTTTCCTTCCACTCAAAGCATTTAGGTAAATTAGGATGAGGTCCCTCCATAAAAATGCAAGGGGATCAGTTAAACTTTCACTTCTAATTTATTCATGAAGGAGCGAGGTCTTGCCTGGCCGTGCTGTGCGTCATCCTGTCAGAATGACTTTCTCTCTTGTTGAGAAGGGAGATGGAAAGACAGGAAATCGGGGGCTCCAGCTCTCCTAGTAATTGCTGTGAGAATAAAAATGTGAGTACTTTCTTGCCTGGTTAAGTGAATGTGAGCAAAAGTTTCAAAAATGAAGATAAGAACTAAATTAGCATAGATATATGTGCATGAGTGTAGGAACTAAAATATATGTAATAAGTGTATTTGTATGTTATAAATGCATAACATAAAACACATTTTATATAATACATGTATAATGCAAATACATACTGCATTTATAAATAGTGATCTATTTATCACTTTTGATAATATGATACATGATTTTTCAACAGTGTATAGGTGCACCATCAATTCAATGTACAAATGGATACAAAGTATTTATAATAACAGTGTAAGATATACTTGAATTAAATTTCCTAAATCAAGCTGTTTTCAGTTCTACTGTGTTGTTGCAGTTGTAACTTTGTGTAAGCTTGATGCTGTGGACTGTCCCCTTTAACCATTTTTGTTTCCATGCATAAAGATTAAGCTCTCTTTTGCCCTCTGTGTGCAAGCAAACACATGTGCATATTCTATGCATTGTTGAACATGTGCAAGTTTAGAAGATTTATTAGTCTTGTAAGAAGTCCTTCATTTTCTCTCTCAAATTTGATTGGTTTAATATATTTAATGTTCTGTCTTTAAAATTTCTCATCATTTTCTCTTTTTAATTCATTTCTTGTTTTGTTTTGTTTTTCCTTCCCTCCACTTCTGAATAGATTTCACATTTGGAGGCTTGTGGGAAAGGATGACAGAGCCTTATAATGTGAAAGACCTTATTCTATTTGATGAATAGGTTGCTCCGTTTTGCCATTCCCACCCTAGCATTCAAAAATTATCATCTTTTATACATGGGAAAAAGGGAGGGGGTGGGATCTGGCATTAGTTCTTTTAGTCGTCAGGAAATTACAAAATGTACACTTGCGAAGTAAGCGATTTTTGCAGTCTGCCTGCACATCCATCTTTTTAATGAGCCTTGTTTATAACCCGGCGCCATGTTTCCAGTCACCTACCCTGTTTACGTCTTTGGCCTCTTTAATTAAGAGAAGAACCAGTTAAAAGAAAGTAAGAAGAAATATTAATATGATCTGATTAATTCAGCTAGCAGGAGGTTATGGGGTACCAAGGTTATTATAACCTATAAAGGCAATGTGAATGAAGCTGTATCCATTTGTAATTTTATTAGGTGGAGCAAATTAGTGAGTCTGCATAGCAGTGACAAAAGACCCATTCCTGTTCTCCCTTACCCCCTACTGCAAGGGCCAGGTGCCCAAAGTTAGGCTCCATATTAGGCAAATGAGCTCTGATAAATCTCAGCTGCACATCTAATGAGACCCTCCAGAGCTGGCGTTGTGCTAATTTGGAAAGATTAGCTGGGGTGTTTGTGTATGGCGGGTGGAAGTCCAGTGAAATAACAGTGAGGCATGGGGAAGAGGAAGCCAAACCTTGAAAGGGTTAAAGACAGAAAGACAACACTCTCGTGGAAAAGATAAGGCCCGGAATAATTGACAGTGGGCAAACCGCGAGAAACAAACTATCAGGGGCAGCTTGAGGGGTGAAGGGAAAATTCTGTTTTAAAAGAAATAGCAGAGGTAGCTACTGTCTTTATCATGGGAAAAACAACAAAGTCCACCTGTGTGGGCTTCAGCCTTCCCATTTCAGCCCCTCTGACATCAGGAACCCACGTTTTGTCCACTTTCATGAAGTCAAAAGAAAGCTGCAGAGTTTGCTTATGGCAAAGATGTGGTGCGCCGTGATGAGTTAAGGAGAATTCAGTGCAAAAGAAAGGAGGCAGGGCCATGGTTTCAAATGCAAAGATTTTAGTATCTGTCACGGGAGCGGTTCTCATGGGCTGGTCTGTGGACTTTGAAGAGGCTTCATTATTCTGAAATCCTGTCTAGACAAATTTTCTTGGGACTCCAATGTGCAAATTATAGTTTCATTGTCTTGCTTCACCTCATCAATCCTTCTAAACTCTAATTTCAGATTTGCTGCTTATCTGGTATTTGTTCTGTCTTGACTTGGTATCTCCTGCCAATGGCTCCCATCCCTCACTGGCCTGTGCCTGACTTCTCAACCATCAGTTTATCTCTGAGAATTTGGAGGGACTCTCATTCACCTATTGTGTAGGACCAGATTTCCATTTAATCACAAGTAAACTCTACTCTTTTTTTTTTTTTTTTTTTTTTTTTTTGGACAGAGTCATGCTGCTGCCCAGATTAGAGTGCAGTGGTGCAATCTTGGCTCATAACTAAACTCTACTCTCTCTAACACTTCAAATATAATGTGATACTTCTTAGTCTGATACATATCCTGAATGTAGATACAAATCTTCAAGGGCCCATCTGAGCTGTTAACCAACTCTAAATTAGAAAACTTAGCCTTTTACCACTAGTCGAGCATTCTATTGAGTGTACTCTTACAATAAAAGAAAATCGTATTGGATAATAGCAGCAATACAGTCAAAAAAGTTGACTCCAGCAACCCAATGGAAAAAAAGAGGACATTCATTTTAAACAGGCATGCCAGTGGCCAAAATTATTTAAATGTGTTAAATTCTATTAGGAATTGGCATGAACTATGTTTAAAAATAATAAAAAATAAATAAAATAAACTTTTCTTGGCTCAGTAATTATTTCTACTCTGATCTAAATATTTGTTTTCCCCAAAAATTTATATGTTGCAGTCTAATCCCCAATACAATAGTATAAAGAAGTGGGCCCAAGGGAGCTTATTTGCTTCGTCCACTATGTGAGGACATGTGTAAGGCACCATTTATCGGGAACAAGCTCACACTAGACACTGAGTCTGCTGGAGACTTGATTTTGGACTTTCCAGCCTCTTAGAACTATGAAAAATACATTTCGGTTGTTTATAAATTTCTGTCTTTGGTATTTTTCTTACAGCAGCCTAAATATACTAAGGCAATTTCTCAAGAAAAAAAAATCTCTTATTGGAAATCAGTGAAAAGACAGAGCATTATTTTATATTTAAGTATTTTCTCTCCACCATGTGCAACATAACAGGAAACAAGGAGGTAAAACTGAATTGATCCATCAATCATGCAATATCTTCTTTTTATTCTAAATGTAACCCTAAAGTTTTTATAAAATTACACAAAAATGAATGTATATGAATATGGGAGGGCATTCTATGATGAACACATTAAACTCATTGGGATATTTGCTCCTGGGTGAGGTTCTATTTATTTAAAAAATAAAATTGCTTTAGCCAGTATGACCACTTTTTCAGTGGAAAATATTCATGGACATTTCAGTATTTATATAAAATTTAAATGATCTTTTGATCGTCCCAATCAGCTCTTGGCTTCCAGGGGCCAGATGAGAAATGGTTAAAAAAATCTTCTTAAGAGCAGAGATGAGGTGTCACTCAGAGGTAGCCAATACCATCAGAGTAGTGACTCAGCAACCATCTGTTGAGTCAAATAAGTTTCAAATGCATATCACACACAACTTGGGAAAGTGACCTGTGGTTTTCAATCAGAATCCATCCTTCTTTCATCCTCGATGCCACCATTACAGCATGGGCAACAGTGGTTTGAAGCACATCTTCTGGTCAGAATCCCAGGTCTGCCACTACTGTGTGTGTGTTTTGGCAACTTACTTAATTTCTCTTTGCCTTACTTTCCTCCTCCATACAATGGGGAAAATATTGGTAATGCCTTGCTCCTGGGGGATGATTTTGAGAATTAAATTATTATATACATGTAAATCACTTAGAAAAGCATTTGGCATATGGCAATATTCGATAAATGTCAGTTCAAATGACCATTTGGCCGTTTATCTTAGATAGCAGTTTATAGGGCTATCTCCTCCAATGCACGGCTGAGAATTCCTTGAGGTCAAAAATAGTCTTATTAACCTAGCTCAATAGCTTTGCCTAAAAAGAAGAACTCAAGACATCTCTACATCTTCTATATTGGGTAGGGATGACAGTAAATGACATAACCCCAACTAGAATACTCCTTTAACATTCAACACAGTGCCTCTGCTTTCTCTCTTAATCTTGTTTTTATTTTGAACAGCAGCAATAAAATATCAGGTAACTACATGCAAAGCCACGTGGAGGCTTGAATGTTAAGTGCCGCATATTACAATAGTAATAAAATGTTTACTTTATGTTAGTACCTGTTAGTTACAACAGGGGTCCATGAACATATCTGACCTTACTATTTCCCTTCCAAATAAAACACGATTGTTGATGTCAGTGCATTGGAAGAAACAGAGATTTTGGAAAACAGGCTCTGCCACCTTCTAAGCTAGTTTCTGTGTTATTAAATAGTGATAACACCCAGCTCATGGGATTGTGGTAAATCTGGGTGAAATAACATGTATAAAGAACCTGGCACTCAATAAATGATAATTATTGTTGTGATCATTATTTGCAGAAAATTTTACCTTGAAGGTTCCCATAAGCAGGAAAGACTGAGCAACCATCCATTGGCATTGATTGCCTTGCTAGTTGGTAGTAATGCTTTGATATAAAGGCTTCTGAGTCTGAACCCACACCTAGGAGAAAGAGTCTGTGGCTCACAAGCGATGTCTGCTTTGTGCACTGTTCAGGGAGGGCCGGTGCTGTGCCAGGCCTTTACTATGTAGACTCTAAGGCTGGAGTCTTTCCGGATAAATTCATCAATGAATTTCTTTGGAAATCTGAAGAAGTATGTAAACCCATCTTGGAAAAATAATTTGAGATGAATAACATAAAACACCTGTAAAACACAATTACTAAAATATTTAAAATTGATACTACAATCTGTGTTTTTTATTAACACATTAAATAACAAGATCTTGTGGCAGGTCTTATAACTACCATCATGTCAAAGTTGTATTGAGCATACATGATATTTTGAGATATCTGTGATCGTGTAAGGTCATATGAACATATTTATAATAGCTCTTGGTGGTAAATCATAGTTAGTACTGTTTTGATGTGTATTGTCCACATTCATGATGAAAGAAATGCAAAGTTGCAGTTCAAAAATACTGAAAATAAAGATGCAAGTATTGGCCATCCAATTTCATGGCCCCCTTGCTCTAAAATCCCAGATCAAGAATCTGTATTCTAGAACCCCAAGTTAAGACCACCTGATCTAAAACTGAGAATCTTGTTTTCACTTAATCAGGCTGGCATTTTTTTCCGCGTAATCACCCTCCCTATTTACCCTTCAGCACATACTCTTCTATTTTATGAAGTTACTAAAGCCATTAAAAGTCCAAGTCTTATAAATTTTTGTAGATACTTAAATTGTTCCTCCTTCCTAAGAATCAGTCTCATGTAATTATTATGGCGTTTATGTTTCTACTGGATAAAAGTATCTTGGCATAAATGTTAGAATTTAAATGATAGCCAAGTTTGAAGGTAGACACAAGAAAATTCATACTAAGCTATGACTATATTTTAAAAAGCGAAATGCTTTGAAAACAGCCATAAAGCAGGAAGTACCTTAAGTCTTAGGAAATATCATATCCAATTGTACAGGGTGAAAAGATTCAAATAAACTCTGGACAAGATTGCAGACTCTGGGATCTTTAATTCAACCTAAACTTTAAAGCTTTTTGACATCGACCCATATTCTTGGGTAAATGTGATAATTCATTCTCCTAGATATGAAACAATTCACACTGTTGGAGTAAAATCCCAGAGAATATATATAGCTGGGTGTATCAAACCATTTTAGACAGGCTGATGTGTCTCTGTGAAAAGGGAAACACAATTTAGATTAGAAATCCATTGTAAAGACAGGCTACAGGTCTAAATTGGTGCTTTACATATTTACAAAGGTTGTGCGTGTTATTGGCTCCCCATAAAAGAAACATGTTCAAAGGGATAATGTTAAAATAAAATCCTGTTCATGGCCTACACATCTTACTGCTGATTGAAAAAGAACTCAGACTGTGAGTCTGCTAACTTTGACCTTTCATAAGCAGACACATCTGTGGTTCTTCATGGCTTGTTTGTATTTGCACTACTGAAAAGATTAATTGATTGTTCAATAAATTATCACTTTACAGATCGGTTTAGTCTCTAAAACAAACTACCAATCACCTTGTTAACAAGTACATGTAAAGAATTGTTTTCAATAGGATAACCACTATCCCCTATGTAGGTGTGGCAATTAGATTATTGATTTTAGGTAAATGTCTGGTTAATTATGCAATAGGCTTTATTTCATCTGTTAATTAAGCTACGGCTCTTTTAAGTCAATAAGGTATAGCCCCAGGAGAAAAGAGAAGTTTCCCATTAGAAGAGACCAAGTGCTTCCTACAAAAGGAACAGAATGTGGACCACCTTTTCTTTCTCCAAAACCAAGACCCAAATGAGGGAGAACTTATATGAGTGAATTGTACTTCCAGTTCACATATCAGCTATTTCTAGAATCAGTATTACACATAAATCTGAACAGAAATACTTCTTATAAAAGAGACCACTAACTTCTCGTATACAACTGCCTGAGAGACACTCAACCTTCCTTGTCTCATTTGGCCTCACAATGACCAGCTGTAATGTGCTTTTTAAGAATCTCCACCCGAGATTCAACTCCTTCTCAAATGGCCTCATTTTCACTTAGGTAGTCATCACTAACTTTATCTAGCAGAGAGAAGCGACCATTTTCAGAATCTTCCTGGGGACAGAGCCTCCATTCAACTTAGCATCACCACTAGCACACCTTTCCCTGCCTCCTTAATTTTGACCAAAGATTGATTCATAGATGTTGACTTTTCCCTTTTTCCAGTTGGGATTTGATTGCGTTTTTCTGTTTACATTTTGAGGAGTGGGGTGAGGTGAGGGGAATGTGAGGTGGGGGGTTGCTAGGCCTGGACACCTAGAATCTGAGCTTAGCTGCACCCCTTACTCTGATTTGAGAACACGATAAAGCTTCCGACCATTTAATTCATTCCAGATTTTGCTTTGTTTGTCCTGAGTTCAGTGCTGAAGACTCACACATTTCCTGTCTTGAAAAGCTGTTAATGTTTTGTGTATAGTACATGCACAACATGAATTGAGTAAGTGAATGGAGGGGTGGGAGCCAAATTACATATTTGGAAAGGTTCTACTTAGGAAAGTCACTAGCTTCCAAACAATAATAAAGTGATGTTTTTTTCCTTAGGCACTGACCTAAGAGAATACTACGGTAATAATTATTGCAATGATACCACTAATATTTACTGAGCACTTACTATGCTCCAGAAATTATCTTAAGATAAATGACATGTATTATCTCACTTAACCTCTACAATAATACTTTCTAATACTTTACAATTGAAACTGTAATACATACAATAACACTTTTCAGTTATATACTTTACAATCTTCATTTTACAGATGGAGAAACGGAGTCATAGAACCCAATGTCACACAGTCACTAAGTGACAGAACTAAAATTCAAACCCAGGAAATATAACTATAGAATCTGTGCTTTTAACAACAATCCTATATGCAGAACACTGGGGTGCTACTGATTATTCTTTGTAGACCAAATGTATTAGTCCGTTCTGACACTGCTATGAAGAAATACCCGAGACTGGGTAATTTATAAAGGAAAGAGGTTTAATTGACTCATGGTTCCGCATTGCTGGGGAGGCCTCGGGAAACTTACAGTCATGGCGGAAGGTAAAGGAGAAGAAAGCACCTTCTTCACAGGGTGGCAGAATGGAGTGAGGGCAAGCAGGGGAAGCGCCAGACACTTATAAAACTGTCAGATCTCATGAGAATTCACTATCATGAGAACAGCATGGGGGAATCTGCTTCCATGATCCAGTTACCTCCGAGTGGTTCTGCCCTCGACACATGGGGATTATGGGGATTACAATTCGAGGTGAGATTTGGGTGAAGACCCAGAGCCAAACCATATCACCAAATGACTGATCGGAGTATCAAGAGTGTATCCAACCGACCTATGTGACCTGAAATCACTTTGGAAAAAATAATAGCCAATATTTAGTAAGAGCTTCTTTCATTTGCTCACTTCCAAACTGAACATATGGACTGTTGTTTTATAACTCACAGCTCAAACACTCAAGAAGGGGTTGGCATCTATGAAGCAGATTGGGTGCTGGCCATAGGGACACCTGTGAGTCCAGTATTAGTATCCCTCTTCCTGCTAATAACTTTAGCACTAGAAAAGTGAATCACACATAAATAAATAGCCCTTTCTCCTGACCAAATTACTTGCACAGCATAGCAGTAGCTAAAAGCAAGTATACATTATAATTTTTTTGAATATTCCCCGATTAATTTACAGTAAAGTTGGACACAGTCCTATTGACCACAGAATGACTTTTGCTGCCTCTTCAAAATCAGAGTATTTCCTTTTATGGAAAAAGTTATAATTATCTGAAGAATCCTAAACTGTACTTGTTAAAATATTCCACATAGAAGAAACCTGGTAAAAGTTGTGCTGGTGTTTGCATGAAGCCTGTTATACATAATTTTGTTTTCAATCATGCAAATGATTTTTTCCTTTGCAATATGCTAATGCAATCTGATTTATTTCAGTTGTAAAAGTTAATTACAATGTGTTTGTGAGTCCCTAAAGATGATGTATTAAATGTTTATAACCAGGATTATTAAAATGTCCTGTCTCAATTACAGAGCTTCTCTTTCAAACACTAGAACTAATTGTAGCCTTAAATCACAACAACCTCACTGTTAAAATTAACACAAGGGCAACATCGCATAATTTTAATTAATTTTAATTTGGCCAAAGCGAATTAATTTTTGTTTTCTAGGAGGACAGCTAAACTCTTTTGTAGCCTGCTTCCACCGAACATGGAGTTCATAAACTTCTTTTCTTCTTGGCATTTTCATTCCTCTGAGGATTATGCCATGGGATTGAATCCTTGTTTATATTTTGGTACCAATTTGCATATCTGGTTCTCTCCTCTCCTCTTTGCATTTCAGTAAGGAAATGAAGCCATAGCAGAATGTATACAGTTCTGCGGTCAGGGAAACAAATTTTTCACTGTGAGTTTCATAATGTTCTTAACCCAGGTCTTTGCACATTATGACGTTCAGAGTCCAAGTGTGGTGCGCTTTGAGACTTCCATCCTTAGCACCCATTAAAAAGCTGCCAACACCTCTTTCAAAGTTTGCAAAACGATGTTCTAAGAGATTGGTACTTAGAAGACATCATTTCTAGATACTTCCCTTTCTCCTTCTGCTCAACACATGAACTTAATTGCCTGTTTCACGTGATTTGTTAATACTAAATGTTTCTTTGTTGTGTCAGTGTAGGCTGTACTCCAATAGCAACAAACAGGATAATTTTCTATTTATTCCTGAAACTGAGGCATCCTTTTCTGGAAAGTTCTGTCTTCAGTGCTCATTTATCTGCATACAATGACTGTTCCATTTATTCAAATGAAAGTTGCTTTAAAATTAGAAATAGCCATAATAAAGAACTTTGAAAACACACCTAGAAAACATCCAGGGGGCCTGACTGACTTTCTAAGATGTGGTTTCAAGGTTCTTTATTGTGGTTATTTCTAAAAGATCAGTGATAGATACTCTATAGGATCTGTGTTTCATCGTGCAAATCGTAAGTTCTAAATGTTTGGAAGAACTGGATAAATTGTTTCTTATTTTAATTTACATGTAGAGACTTTGAGGTGAAATGGGTATTCATTTTTGCTAATCATTTAAATTTTAATCTGCCTACCCATATTTATAGGCATTCCTTCTACAATTGATTCACCAAAATCTTAGAAATAATCTCATTTTATCACCAACAGGTAATAATCAATCATAGCCAAAGTGAATCGTAAGTTTAATATTAAAAAGTTATTATACATCACATAAGCAAAATCTAAACATATCAAAAATTATTTGTCTAAACCAGTGCAAGAGTGAAAGAGGATGTTGTTAATAATTACAGGAGAACATTAGGCATAAAATCAGAATTTTCTGAGCAAACTGGAAGATCTGATTGTCTTCCACATAGGAAAATGAAATTGACACTCTTCTGGTTGTGTATTCAGTTTATCACAATTCCTCCTTTCTGTTCCTTCTTGATAAAGGTTGGTCTCTGGCAACCATATCTATATTGCATGATGCTACCCAGGATGTGGATGACTGGATTCATTATGGATATTTGATTAGATCTGATCTATAAAAATGCACCTTAAGACTCTTAGCTAACCAAGAGGAAACAGAGTTAAGCTCTGGGTGTGGTGAGATCTGTATTGGGCAAAACTCAGAGATGTGGGGGTTCATATGTCAGCCCATGGTGTGAATATATTTACTATATAATATAAAGCTGTGCATGTCCCTCAACAATCAGGACATATAAAAGCAATTGCAACAAAAGCAACAATTGACAAATAGGATCTAATTAAACTAAAGACCTTCTGCACAGCAAAAGAAACTATCAACAGAGTAAACAGACAACCTACAGAATGGGAGAAAAATTCTGCAAACTATACATCTGACCAAGGCCTAATATCCAGCATCTATAAGCAACTTAAATAAATTTACAAGAAAAAAAAAGCAAATAATTCCACTAAAAAGTGGGCAAAGGACATGGACAGACACTTTTCAAAAGAAGACATACATGCTGCCAACAAGTATATGAAAAAAAGCTCAATATCACTGATCATTAGAGAAATGTAAATCAAAACCACAATGAGATACCATCTCACACCAGTCAGAATGGCTACTATTATATAATAAAAATAAAAAAAAAACAGAAGCTGGCGAGGTTGTGGAGACAAAGGAATGCTTGTAACTGTTGGTGGGAGTGTAAATTAGTTCAACAGTTGTGTAAGACAGTGAGGTGATTCCTCAAAGACCAAAAGTCAAAAATACCATTCAACCCAGCAATCCCATTACAATCCCATTATATACCTAAGGAATATAAATCATTCTATTATAAAGACACATGCATGTGTATGTTCATTGCAGCACTATTCATAATAGCAAAGACATAAAATCAACCCAAATGCCCATCAATGATAGACTAGATAAAGAAAATATGGTACATGCACACCATGAAGTACTATGCAGCCATAACAAAGAATGAGATCATGTCTTTTGCAGGGACATGGATGAAGCTGGAGGCCACTATCCTTAGCAAACTAATGCAGGAACAGAAAACCGGACACCACATGTTCTCACTTATAAGTGGGAGCTGAATGGTGAGAACACATGGACACACAGAGGGGAACAACACACACTCAGAGGTGGAGGTTGGGAGGAGGGAGAGGATCAGGAAAAATAACTAATTGATACCAGGCTTAACACCTGGGTGAAGAAATAATCCGTACAACCAGCCCCCAAGATGCACGCTTACATATGTGTAGGTTTGTGAAAGGATACATCTTTCACATGTATACTTGAACTTAAAATAAAATGTAAAAAAAAGAAAAGAATCAGGGCATAGCATATGTGACCAGCTCTGGTTTTTTTATTAAGGTAATTTGCCTACAGGTAAAAAAAATTTATGATTTTATGAATAAAATTAAATTTTTACATGTAGGTAAATACACATAGGCAAATAAGTACCTATATGTAAAAATTAAATTTTATTCATAAAATCATGAAAGAAACTTTAAAGTTTTTGCTTGATAGAAAATAGTAGGGTGACTGATATTATCTTATAGGTGATTTAAAAATAACCAGTACAAAGAATTTTCAGTTTCAATTCAACAAATTTTAAAATAAATCTGGCTGGACACTGTGGCTCATGCCTATAATCCCAGCACTGCAGGAGAATTACTTGAGGCCAGGAGTTCAAGATCAGCCTGGGCAATATAGTGAGACTCTGTCTCTAAAAAAGTTATAAAAAAAAAAAAAAATTAGCCCGACGCACCTGCAGTCCTAGCTATGGGGGAGGCTGAGTGGGGAGGATCGCTTGAGCCCAGGAGTTCCAGGCTATAGTGAGCTATGATCACGCCACTGCACTCTGGCCTGGGTGACAGAGCAAGACCCTGTCTCTAAATAAATAAATAAATAAAAAGTTTAAAAAAGTAAATTTAACAGAAAATATATAATCTTTGAAAAACAAATCACATAAAAATTTTAAATTTAATAATTGATGATTCCATTTTTATGTTGAGCTAAATGTGCACAATAACAGAAAAGTATAATTTTTAGTTTAGTTTAGTTTAGTTTATAAGTGAATAAGGCAGGGAACTTTTGTGCCATTTTGTAATCTCACACTTCTGGAATTATACTGATGAGTATGAAAAGGAAAGAATTATACTGGTGATCCTGAGTAGCTATATTTATATTATCTATGAACTCTTTCAAGGCAGGGACAGTATTTTATTCATCTTTATTCATCACTGTGGTAAGCATCCAAGTGCTTACCATAATTCCAAGTACATATTAGATACTCAACACATTGATGTGAACAGAAACAACTGAGGAGAACTGGTATAAGTTAGAAATAACTTAGACAAAAGCCATAATATTCATATACTCACTGTTAACACTAATAAATAAATAAACAAAATGAATCTTAGAACCTTAACCTAATCATTAGAAATACTAGGCTTATAATTGGGGAGGTTTCTCTGAGACTCTTAAATGTAAGGAAATCTAGTTAGTGGGAATTAGTGTGAGTGAGAGCAATAGAAGATGCTCAGGTTTATAATAAACCTTCAGCATAAAACTCTATTACCTTATTTTTAATACATAGATTTTACCATTTTTTGAGAATTAAGCTGTGAGGAGGAAGCATGCATTTTTTAGAAGTTTTGAAAGTTGTAAAAATTTTTTTCACAACATACCCATTATGAAAAGTTGATTGTATTTTACTGTGTTTTTTGTTCCTCCTAAAACTACATTTCACAGTGTGCATATGATACCCTAGGAATGCTCACTTTGCCAAGTATTTGGAGAATTTGCTTGCTGACTTTACAGATCATGCTGGCATATATGTGCCAAAGGCTTAATGATTGGCATTTATTAGTGAGAAGCTTCAGCTTTCTATTGACTGAGTCTTTTCTGCTCCTGCTAGTGAAAGAAGAATGAATATACTGCTTGATGCAGACACCCATGGATTGGGGAAATAAATCTCATTTTGGCTAAATATGCCAATGATGAAACTGTCTCCTTCAAACACTGTCAGTTTACCGACTTTCATCCCAAGGCTTGTGGTAGACTACTCAGAGAAGGATGATTTTACAGTGGCAAAGAATGGGAACCCTGAGACCACAGAGTTCATCTTATCCCAGCAACAATCTTCTGGGCCATGAAGAGTTGTCTCCTTATCAGCAATGACGTTTTCTTATGTAATGCAGATATTTGCCTGATGGGTTCTGATAATAGCTGTCAAAATTTAGAGTTGACTCTTAAAAAAAAATATCGGATACTAATACGCTGAGGAAATGCATACTACCTAGACTGATGGCCAAAGTCAAACAATGCCAGAAATCATGAGCTCTAGTCTCAGATTCCTCACTGGTACAATAATGAGATACAACTGGCAATGCCCACTTCTCATTTAGCCCACTAAGTGTACTATAGATAGGTTAAAAACAAATTCTAATAAAAGTCAATTGCTTTTCTACATATCAGTATCGAACAATTAGAATATAACATTAAAAATGAAATACATTAGCAACAAAAAATGAAATACTTTTGTATATGTCTAGAAAACTATGTATAATATCTATATGATGAAAACTATAAAATTCTGGTGAAGTAAATCAAATACCTAAATAAACAGAAAGATATTTCATGTTCATGGATAGGAAGATTCAATATAGTTAAGACGTCACTTCCCAATTTAATCTATAATTTGATGCGATCTCAGTCAAAACCCCAGTAGTTAGGCTTTTTTTTTCTGGAAATTGACACACAGGTTCTAAGGTTTAAACAGAGAGGCAAAATACCTAGAATAGCCCACAAAATATTGAAAGAGAAGAACAAATTTGGAGGACTAACACCACCAAACTTCAAGGCTTACTATAAAGCTACAGTAATCAAGACAGTGTGATATCAGAAAAAGAATATACACATAGGTTAATGGAACACAATGAGAGCCCAGAAACAGACCAGCACTATCAGAGTCAACTGAACTTTCACTAAAGATCAAAGGTAGTACAATGGAGAAAAAGTAGACTTTCCATTAATTGGTGCTGGAACAACTGGCATCCATGAGCGAAAAAAAAAAAAATGAATCTAGACAGATTTTGGTCACACAAAAGTAGATTCATATGCAAAATGCCATACTACCAAACTCTTAGAAGATAACATGGGAGAAAACATAGGGCACCTTGGGTTTGGTGATGATTTTTTAGATACAACACCAAAAGCACAATCCATGAAAGAAAAAAGTTGGTAAGTTAGACTTCATTAAAATCTAAAAATTCTGTTCTGCAAAATATACTGTTAAGGGAATGAAAAGATAAGTCATAGATTAGAAGAAAATCTTTGCAACACATATCTGACAATGGACAGGTATTTAAGAGATGTAAAAAATTATTAAAACTCATTGATAAGAAAATAAACAGCCCAATTTCCAAACTGGGCAAAAGAGCTGAGCAGATACCACGTCTAGTAAGATATATAGATATCAACTAAGCATCTGAAATAATGCTCAAAATCATGTCATTAGGGAATTGCAAATTAAAACAGCAGTAAGATTCCACTACCTACCTATTGGAATGGATAAAATCCAAAACACTGACAACACCAAATGTTGAGGAGGATGGAGAGCAACAAGAACTCTCATTGCTGGTGAGAATGCAAACTGCTACAGGCATTTTGTTAGAAAGTTTGGCAGCTTCTTACAAAAGTAAGCGTACTTTTACCATATGATCCAGAAATCATGCTGTGTGGTATTTATCCAAATCAGTTGGAAACCTATATTCACATAAAAAACAGCACATGAATGTTTATATCAGCTTTATTCGTAATTGACAAAACTTGGAAGTAACCAAGATGCCTTTCAATAGATGAATGGAGAGACAAATTGTGGTACATCCTTAGAATGAAATATTATTTAGTGATAAAAGAAAATGAGCTATCAAGCTGTAAAAAGACATGGAGGAAACTTGCTAGCATCTTGCTAAGTGGATGAAGTCAATTTGAAAAGACTACATACTATATGATTCCAACTAAATGACATTTTGGAAAAGACAAAACTATGGAGACAGTAAAAACAACGGTGATTGCAAGAGGTTTGGGGTGGGAGGGAGAAAAACATAGGTGGAGCATAGAGAATTTTTAGGACCTTGAAACTCTTTTATATGATACCGTAATGGTGGCTACATGTCATTATATATTTGTCAAAACCCACTGAGTGCAGAGCTCAAAGAGTAAACACTAATGTAAGCTATGGATTTAATTTAATAATATTGTGTTAATATGGGTTAATCAATGGTAACAAATGTACCACAATAATACAGGATGTAAATAATAGGGGAAACTAGGGCTGGGGGAAGTGCTACATTGGAGTTCTTGGTACTGTCCAAACAATTTTTCTGTAAACCTAAAAATGCTCCAAAAACTAGTTCATTTATTTAAAAAATGACAAAATATAATTTTTAGTTGCTGTTTTTAAGAGCTCTTTTCCAAATAGAGCATAGAGATTTTCCTTAATCTGGCCAGGTGGAGCCTTATGTATTTGGTGTTACTGCAACATGAGCTTGGAATCTAGAACTATCCAGCTGAAAGTACCTTTGGAACTTGTGGCCCAGGGAAAACCTCTACTGTTTGTAGCTTTGATGAAGCCTACTTTCTTTGGGCTTAAAGTTAGATTATATGTCATTTGTCCGGGCACAGTGGCTCATGCCTGTAATCCCAGCATTTTGGGAGGCAGAGATGGGTGGATCACTTGGGCCCAGGAGTTCGAGAACAGCATGGGCAACGTGGCGAAACCCTGCCTCTACTAAAAATACAGGTGTGGTGGTGCATACCTGTAGTTCCAGCTACAGGGGTCTGAAGGAGAGGATTGCTTGAGCCCATGGGGTCAATGCTACAGTGTGCCCTGATGGTGCCACTGGACTCCAGCCTGGGTGACAGAGTGAGACCCGGACTCAAACAAACAAACAAAAAGGAGTAAAAGGATTCTATATCGGCTAATAGATCAATAAACATCATTGAATATGCTTCAAATAAATATGAGATCTAATTTTTGGGTTTTGGCAGTGACTGTACTATGACCAGCAGACATCAAAACATCCACTGATGCTTTTCCTGAATCCCCTATGCAAAATTACTTTTAACTTGTATTTTCATAAAACTTTGGATGTATAATTTAACATAGCATCTATGGGTATTTATGTATGTTTTTCTTGCAGCCTTGCACCAAGGCATATTTTATCTGAACCCTCACCTTCACATTTAGTAAACGTTTGTATTGGTGCTTTCTGAAAAAATTACCAAAAATATAGGGGATATAAACAACATAGATTTATTATCTTATTGTTTCGTGAATCAGAACCTGACAGGAGTCTCATCAGGCTAAATCTAGATTTCTGTTGGGCTTCCTTCCTTACTATGGGCTGTAAGAGAGACTCCCTTTCCTTAGTCATTGAGATTTTCAGCAGAATTCAGGTCCTCATGGTTGCAGGACTGAGGTTCCCCTTTCCTTGCAGGCTGTAAGCTGAGGGCCCTTCTTTACAATTGTTGACTGGTAACCGTCTTTAAGGCCAGCAAAGGCAGGTCCAGCCCTTTCCATCTTTGAGTCTCTCCTGCCTCTTTTCCCAAAGTATCCTCCCTGCCTGACACTTACTCCTTTCTCGTTCAGTTTTAAGGACCCATGTGACTGAACTGAGCCCACATAAATATTCCAGGATCATCTTCTTATCTTGAACTCTATAAACTGAATTCCATCTGCAAAATTATCTGTGCCATGTAAATGAACACATTCACAGATTTCAGGGATTAGGTTGTGGATGTATTTGTAGGCTATTATTCCTCTTACCACAGAATTTAATACCATTTAGTTTATTTTAAATTACTTTAGTCACCAAACAGAAGTAATTTTACAGAATTATATTTAGTAGTATGCCCTGGGCTTTTATTTCCTAGCCTACTTTTTCAACTTAAAGTAATATGTACCTTTTATGGGAAAAAATATAAAGCAAAATAAACTGCTTGTAATCCCATGACCTAGAGAAGCCAGTTAACATTTTTGATGTATTTTCTTCTAGACTTTTATTTATTTTTGTATTTATATAAATATATTTACATATTTTTCTTTTATAGACCTAGACTTACATAATTTTGAATCATGCTTTCCCACATAACATTGTATTGTAAACATTTCCCACAATATATTTTTTCAAATGTACTTTTTAAAGCTACTTAACATTGCATTTCAGAAATTGGAGTATACTTTATTTAAACATTATCATATATGGGGCCATTTAGGTTGTTTCCTGCACAGTGATGCACATAACTATGGGATTTTTTAAGTCCCATAAAAGTGTTTCATGTGGACTATATTGTTAAAAGTCGAAAGTTAGCTTTCTGCATCAGAGAAGTACTAAATGAGAATATAAAATATATTTAACTATCAAAATCATTTTAAGGCTCCATGTTTTACACAATAAGGGAACTAAAATACAAATAAATAACTTGGAAACTATAGTAATTTTGACAATAAAAATGTTATGCATGTAACATTTCAAGACCTTTTAAAGTCAATCAGGGGACAAAACCTATACTGTTTACCCAACAGAAAAATAAAAAGAGCACTTAACCCATTGCCTACAGAAGAAATACAAATAGCCAATAAACTTGAACAGTGCTTAATATGATAATTAAATCAAAAATTCCTTACTACTGTATTTCCATCATGCTATAAATGATGAATATGAGATAATATAAGGTGATGAAAAATGTAGAATCAGCAGACTCATAAATTGTTAGTAAATTAAATTCCTTTCTGATAAGAATGTAATAATATATTTTTTTAAATGTTCTGAATTTGGAGGGAAATGCTTTTAAAAATACAATTACAAAGAATACCTCTGTAGTTTCATAACAGTGCAATGAGGTTGGGAGTTTTCTAGATACTTAAATCACCTTTAGTGATGGCGTAGTGTGATGTGTGTCTCATAGAAGTCAGGGCCAGAAAAAAGTCTTGACTTTTCATTAGATTGATAATGAGATCCTGTCCTTGGAATCAGCCAAATTGTAAGGTTGAGGCACAGTCCTCCAGACTGCCAGCCTTTTACAAGACCTCTAGCTCCAACTGCAGAGAGTTAACGTCCAATTGCAAAGTGAGAGGAAAGGATGCACACAAGACCACCACCATTTCTCACACCAAGTGCAAATTCACGGCTTTCCCCAAACCACCCACAATCTTGATAATTTACTAGAAAGACTTTCAGAACTCTCTGAAAGCTATAATACTTGCAGTTACAGTTTATTACATGGAAAGGATACATTAAAATCAGTCAAGGAAAAAGATACATAGGGCAGAATCTGGGGATGTCCTAGATGTGGAGCTTCTGTTGTCCTCTGGACACCTTACCTTCCTGGAAACAATGGGTGACATATGCACGTACACCATCAACCTGGGAAGCTCTTCTGAACTTCAGAACTCAGAAGTTTTATTGGGGTTTTACTATGCGGTCATGATTGATTGATTAATATATCACATGATCTGAGGGGCTTATCACTTGGAAAATTCCAAGAGTTTAGAGGTTACCTCCCAGGAGCAAGTGGCAAAGGCTAGACTTCTCTTTGGGTAACACCAAATTCTCTACTACACCGTTATATTAGTTATTGTCAGTTGGTCTGTTGAATTTTATTTTCGTTTTGTGTATGATGCTAACGGAGCTCCAGATATATGAAGAAAAAACTGATTGTCCTGAATGAAGAAACAGAAAAATCCATAACTGTTCTTGGAGACTTTGGCACTCTTATCTCAGTAATCAATAGAGCAAGTAGACAGATTAACAAAAATACAGAATATTTCAAAAATGCTCTCAACAAACTTGGCCTAATTGAAAATTACAAATACTCCACCTAAAAACAGCAGAACACATGTTCTTTTATAGACACTTGGAGTATTGATCAAGAGAGATTATATTGTGGGCTATAAAACAACCTTCTACAAATTCAGAAGAATTAAAATCATACAAAGTCTGTCCTCTGACTATAGTAATTAAACTAGAAATCAATAACAGAAAGAAAGTCACTAAATATTTAAGATTTAAAATAAAACACACTTCCATATTTGGCATGGGTCAATAAGGAAGTCAAAATGGAAATTAGAAAATATTTTTAATTGTATAAAACATGAAGCAACAACATATCAACATTTCAGGATGTACCTAAAGAAGTGCTTAATCCCAGCACTTCAGGAGGCTGAGGCGGGCGGATCACCTGAGGTCAGGAGTTTGAGATCAGCCTGACCAACATGGAGAAACCCCATCTCTACTAAAAATACAAAATTAACCAGGGGTGGTGCCGCATGCCTGTAATCCCAGCTACTCGGGAGGCTGAGACAAGAGAATCGCTTGAACCCGGGAGGCGAAGGTTGCAGTGAGCCAAGATCGTGCCATTGCACTCCAACCTGGGCAACAAGAGCAAAACTCCATCTCAAAATACATAGGATTATACACTTATGTTAACGAAAGAACAAAGGTCTCTAATCAATAAAATAAGCTTCCATCTTTATAATGTAATAGCAAAAAAAAGACATATAGATCAATGAAATAAAATAGAAAATAGGTGTTCCAAAAATAACCTCATGCATATGTAGTTAATTTTTGACAAAGGTGACAAGATAATTCAATAGAAAAAGGAAATTGTTGTTTGTTGTTGTTGTTTTGAGACAGGATTTCACTTTGTCACCCCGGCTGAAATGCAGTGGTGCAGTATCAGCTCATTGCAGCCTCCAACTTCCTGGGCTCAAGCAATCCTCCCGCCTCAGCCCCCCGAGTAGCTGGGACTACAGGTACCTGCCACTGTACTTGGCTAATTTTTTGTAGAGACAGGGTTTCACCATGTTGCCAAGGCTGGTTGTGAACTTGTGAGCTTAAGAGATCCGCCTGCCTCAGCCTACCAAAGTGTTGAGATTACAAGCATGAGCCACTGTTCCCGGCCGAAAATCAAAATACTTTTTAACAAACAGAGCTTAACAATTTGAATATTTATATGAGAAACAATGAACATCAACCCATGTCCAACAAAATAAATAAAATTAAATGAATCATAGATCTAACAATAAAACCCAAAGTTATAAGACTTCTATAAGAAAAAATAGAAGATCATCTTTGTGACTTTGGGTCAGGCAAAATATTGTTAGATGCATAAAAACAAAAAACAAATAGGAAAATATTGATAAATTGTACTTCTTCGAAATTAAAAGCTTCTGGCTTTTAAAAGATACTTAATAAAATGAAAAGACCAGTGACATCCTATGAGAAAATATTCATAAAATCCATATCTGATAAATAACTAGCACCTGAAATTTATAAAGAACATTCACAACTTAATAAAAAACAATTTAATACAAAAATAGAGCAAAGATTTTAGAAAACGCTTTGTAAAAGAAGAGATAAAGATGAAAATAAGCAAATGAAAAGCTACTGAACAATGTCAGTCATTAGGAAAATGCAAGCTAAAACCAAAATGAGACACTGCTCTACATCTATTACAATGGTTTAAAGAAATGACAACACCAAGTGTGCTGCCAAGGACATGGGCAAATGGAGCTCCCCTACATTGTTGGTGGAAATGAAAAATAAATCAGCCACTTTAGAAAACACAATTTCCTAACATATGACCCAGCAATCTGCACCCCGCCCCACACTCCCCACCTGCAGTAGGGTTTTACTCATGAAAAACTAAAGCATATATCCCCAGGAATGGCTGTACATAATTTTTATCACAGTTTTAATCATAATTGCCAAAACTGGAAAAAACGAAACATCCATCTACTGGTGAACGGATAAACAAATTCTGGTACATCTACAGAACAGAACACTAGTCAGTAATATTAAGCAATGATCTCCTGATACATTCAATAATACAAAAGAATCTCAAAAGCATTACACTAAGTAAGAGAATATGTCTGCCAAAAGACACACACTCTCTAGTCATATTAATTCATAATAACAATAAGAGAGGGGAGTCTAAATGTTCATGAACAGTGGAAAAGATGACAAATCGCTATGCTATATTCACTTGAAGGAACATGATGCTAAGGACTGAATATTGGTGTCCCCCCAAAATTCATGTTGAAACTTAACTCCCAAGGGGACGGCATTAAGGGGCAAGGCCTTTGGAAGCTGATTAGGTCATGAGGGTTCTGACCTCATGGATGGTATTAGTGCCCTTATAGATGGGTGTGAAGGAGTGAATTTGTCCCTTTCACTCATTCTAACATATAGGAATGCAGCAAGAGGCACCATCTATAAATCAGACAGCAAGCTGTATCTGCTGGTGCCTTGATTTTGGTCTTCCCAGCTTCCAGAACTGTAAGAAATACTTTTTATTGTTTATAAATTACTCAGTCTAAGGTATTTTGTTACAGCAGCAGGAACAGACTAAGACACATAGAAACGAAACTACTAATATATATAATAATGTAGATGAATGTTAAAAACATCATGTCATGTGATGTTATGTGAAAGAAGCCAGAAACAAAAAAGTATATGCTGTATGATTTCATTTAGATGGAATCAGCAAAATTCTACTACCATGACAGAAGTTAGAATAAGGGGACTTGGCATGGTAGTTCTCCTGGATAATATTCTGAAGAATGTTTTCCAACTTTGTTCCATTCTCCTTGTCACTTTCAGGTACACCAATCAAATGTAGGTTTGGTCTTTTCACATAGTCTGATATTTCTTGGAGGCTTTCTTCATTCCCTTTCATTCTTTTTTCTCTAATCTTGTCTGCACCCTTTGTTTCATTAAGTTGATCTTCAATCTCTGATATCCTTTCTTCCCCTTGATCACATGTTCTCACTCATAAGTGGGAGTTGAACAATGAGAACACATGGACACAAGGAGGGGAACATCACACACTGGGACCTGTCAAGGGGTGGGGGTGGGCTAGGGGAGGGATAGCATTAGGAGAAATACCTAATGTAGATGACGGGTTGATGGGTGCAGCAAACAACCATGGCACGTGTATACCTATGTGACAAACTTGCACGTTCTGCATACGTATACCAGAACTTAAAGTATAATAGTAATTTAAAAATAGGTTTATGGCACAAAAAAGAAAAGAAGGGGAGTTGGTATACTTGAGAAAGGGTTTGAGAGAACTTCCCAGACTGATGAAAATGGTCTATATGTTGATCAAGGAAGTAGTAGTCTATACAGAGGCAAAAGCTCATTGAACTGTGCAATTAAGATTTCCTCGCTTTAATAAGTATAAATTTTATCTCATTTAAAAATCAATGTAGGCCAGGTGCGGTGCTGCATGCCTGCTTTGACAGCACTTAGGAAGGCCAAGGCAAAACGATTGCTTGAGCTCGGGAGTTCGAGACCAGTCTGGGGAACATAGCAGGACCTTGTCTCCACTGAAAATCAAAAGAATTAGCTGGGCAGGGTGGTACACACCTATAGGCCCAGCTACTTGGGAGATGGAGATTGGAGGATCACTTGAGCCTAGGAGATCAAGGCTGCAGTGAGCTTGATCACACCACTGCAATCCAGCCTTGGCGACAGAGCAACACCCTATCTCAAAAAATAATAATTAAAATAAATAAATAAATAAAGTAGAAAAATAAAAATAAGTAGAGAGCAACTTGGTGAAATTGCTCCTTCTAGAGCAGAGACAGGAAAACCGCAAGGTAATTGTGGAGCATCTTGTAATGACAGAAAATAAAGAAATGCTTGACAAACAAAACCTGGGACTGGGACAAGTCAAAGACACACAGCTATCAATCTGGGAAAGTTGCAAATGGCAAAAACTGGAGGAATTTGAACAAAACAGGTAATGCAGTGTGGGATTATAACCAATGTGAAATAAAGATACAAGAGTCAATGTTTATATAAATAAATGATTGAATAATTAAGTGAGGGAGAAAGGGCAAATTTTTCTTAATTTCAAATAACGCATGTAACATACTCCACTATTAAGTGAAGCTTAATTAAACCCCTTTCCCTTGAGTGTGGGTTGGATTTAGTGATTCTCCTACAAATAATAGAATATTAAAAGGGAAAAATAGTAATTTTAGAATGGAGAAACCTTTAGAACACTACTTTAACCAAGCGGTCAGTGTTAACGATGATAGCTAGAAGTCACATGAATATCTGATATAATTTGGGTTTAAAAATATCACCTAACGCAGTAATTCCATATCCCCTTTTCTGCTACTCACTTATCTATATTTTGGCTATTTTTTATTAGTCCAGACTGTCTATTAGCTTGGAAATTATATCCTTTTACCATTTCTTTTGGTAGTTGCCATAGAAATCACTTTTTAAAATCAAATATTAATTTTTTATTATCCTCATACAGGACAATACAAGAAACTTAAAATATTTTATCTTCATTTTTTCTTTTCCCTACTTCCAGAGTTTTATATCGTTGTTTTTGTATACTTTAATATTTATGTTTTAAAATCCATAAGATATTGTTAATTGTGTACTATAATCATTTATGTTTGCCCATGTTCTTATCATTTTGCTGCTACTTTTTGTTTCTTTCTACGTTTCTGAGATTCCATGTGTAATATTTTTCTTTCTACATGAATAATATCTTACACTATTTTTTGCTAGTTATAAGTTTTTTTCTCTCTCTCTGCTCCTTGACCTCATTTCACTCTATTAAGAAGCATTGGCTGGGTGCGATGGCTCATGCCTGTAATCCCAGCACTTCGGGAAGCCGAGGTGGGTGGATCACTTGAGGTCAGGAGTTTGAGACAAGCTCAGTCAACATGGTGAAACCCCATCTCTACTAAAAATACAAAAATTAGCTGTGCTTGGTAGTTCACGCCTGTACTCCGAGCTACTCAGTAGGCTGAGGCAGGAGAATCACTTGAACCCAGGAGCAGAGGTTGCAGTGAGCTGAGATCACGCCACTGCACTCCAGCCTGGGCAACAAGTGAGACTCAGTCCCAAAAAAAGAAACGTCTTTCTGTCATCTTCTTCATAGTTTCACTAGGTATGAAATTCTAGTTTTGCATTTATATTCTCTTAGCATTTTCAATATATACTTTTATAGTCTTCAGACTTTTATTGTTTCCTTTCAGAAATCAGTTGTCAATCTTACTCTTGCTTCTTCAGTGGTTATCTGTCTGTTTTCATTGGCTTCCTATATGATTTCTTCTTGGTGTTGATTTTTAGCAGTATTAACTTGTGTGTGATTTTTAAAAATCTAGGTGTTCATTTTTTTAAAAATCAGTGGCTTATCTCTCTTGAGCATCAACAAATTTAATCCCTTATTTCTTCAGCTATTTTTTCTGACCCATTGTTCTTTTCTGTTTCTGGAATTTTAACTCACACATTTTATAAGTTTTTTTTTTTTACAGTATCCTTAAATTCCTTATTCCCCTTTATTTTTCCAATATTTGGTTTTTTGTTCTTATTTTGTACATGTCCCTCTAAACAAACATCCAGTGCAATAATTCTCTTTTTAACTGTGTTTAATCTGCTGCTAAACCAATCAATTGAATGCTAATGCAACTCCTAACTTTTGTCTTCTTAAATTATTTTCAGCTCTTTATTTAAATTTTCCTCTATTTCTTTTATCTCCTTGAACATAGTAAATGTAGTTATTTTTAAACTATATGCTTCATAATGCCAATACCTAAAACATCTACAAGATTGTTTTTATTGCCAGTCATTTTGTGGTTTTTGAAAATCATACTGTAGTGTCTCATTATGTGCCAGTTCATTTTATATTGTGTATTGGACATTTGATCAAGTTCTAGGTTCTTGACCCCAATTTAGCCATTTGAAGAGTCCCCTGTCCTTGGACATAACAATTAATTATTCAAGGATGGTACATGAAGCAATTAGGACTAAACAGAATCTTTTCCAAATTTTTGTTTGTTTGTTTGTTTGTTTTTCCCCCAAGTGCATTAAAAAAGACTTTTATTTTTTCTAGTATGGTTGTTTGGTAGACTGGAATTTGCATCAGGTTTCTTAAAGCTATCTTGTCAACACATCAAGATGTTCTTTCTGAGAAAGCAAGCAAGCATAATTAATCAAAGTCAATAAACAGAGTAATAAAGTCATGATTATATCCTGTTAAATGAGCTTGAGAACTATATCTGTATTAGCCATTCCCACTCCCCATTTGCACAACTCAAGAAATTCCGTTTTTAAATTTAGATTATTTAAATGGGTTTTTTATCACAGTCATTTAAAGAAATACGAATTTGTTGAATCAAGTCAGGTACAAGGGAAATTAGATGATTGTAAAAGAGCTGAAGTAGTTTGTCTGGAGGCAGGAAGACAAAATAGAGGACTATTAATAAATAGCAAAGTTCTAATCTAACAACAATAGAAATGAAGGGAAATATAGGTTATGGATTTGAAAAAATATATTAGGAGAAACAGGTAATATGTTGTGTGTGGAAGCTTCCTAGTGATATTTATCTATTACGGCATCTCTGCAAGTTAAGGATGACACAATTTTCATGACTTTTATGTACTTTCTTAGTATCAGACTGTTACATAGCAAATACTGGTATGTTAACTCAAAATAATTAATTCTGGATAGATCATGTGTTAGCAATTTTACTTTTACTTCTTGTACATTGCTTTATCTGTATGATGAAATATGTGCATTGCTCCCTAAACAGAGAAACTTTCAACGTTCATCTCAGTGGATGTGACAACTTCATTTATCTTAATCTTTGCAAGCAATGGTATAAATATAATTTGCATTGTTCTACAGAAACTATTTCAGTTAAAAAAATAGGCAATCAGCTGCCTTCCTCTCTAGCTTAAGGTACGTGTGACCAGGGAGACCTTTCCAAAAGAAGGTTATAAAAGTACTTAGATAATAGATAAGGCTATCCTGCCCAAACTGGAATACATGCAAGGGGGAGATGAAAGACATCTTGCCAGAGCCTAATGTTTCTAGATAAACATTGCTGGTTGTGGATGATTTTAAAACACGTATCTGCTTTCCTGCGTTTCTTCTATTCACTATTATTGTTGAATCCAACTCTAAAATTGGCATCTGTGGCAGAGGAGCACCTTGTTCTCCATGAAGGGTTATCAAGGCCATAATATGCAGTTTTCCTTTTTCCAGAGTCTTAATTGTACTAGTAATCTCACACTTTACTTTGAATTGTGAGAAATCGGAAAAAAAAGAGCAACAAGAAGAGTGAGTTCGGTTGTGAAACATGGAATTGTTAGTCATAACTGCAACATTTCTCATCGGAAAATCTCTTTCCCAGCTATGGGAAAAATAAAGATTGCTTAGAAAAATTAGAAGGAATGAGACCCTTCTCTCTCATTCTCTCACATTTTTGTAGAGTAAAAGAGGCAAAGAACTCCCATGTCAGAATGAATCATCCGACTGGAATTCACACATAGCATATGATGAGGGGGCTACAGGCTACAAAATGCCAGATGCAAATGTTGAAGTTATAGCACGTTTCTGAAATGGCAACTTGAAGTCAGCCCCTTCACACTCACTCTTTCCAAACCCTGGTTTGTGTCTTGTCACCTATACTATAAACAAAGCAGTAGTATTCATAGAGAAAAATAGGGAGATGTGGAGACAAAGCCAGGGAACTGATTAAGAAAGAAAAGACAGAGAAATCCTGTGTGTTTGCAGCCAAGAATGAAAACCTTACAATTACGCACACTGAGATGTGGGAAGATTCCTCAAATCTTGTTAAAAAGAGTTAAGTCAAACATATTTCTATCAACACTGATTCTGAGACAGTTCCAAAGTCGTATGGTTGATTCTGCTGTGTTTCATCAATGATTGTGCTATATAGGCTGGAGGGAAAATTTGAAAGTTACATCTGGCAAGAATACAGCAAATCCCCAGGAGGTTTATATTAAGGTACCATTCAACTGGCAGGTGTCTTCACATTTGCATTGAGCAATACTTAACTGCAAGTGTTTTATGCTAAGAGAACATGCATGTAGATTCCAATACATGTTATAAATTGTATACTGCTTGGCAATTTCTTTCATTTTAGACATATTTTTTCTTATTAAAAATGTGATAAATATATAGGACAGAAAATTTGTAAAATGTAAATGCATACATACACTCACACAGAAAAATATGAAAGTCACCATAATGGTACTATCCATTGTTATATTATTTTTATTTTTATTTGTTTATATTTTTTGAGATGGAGTCTTGCTCTGTCACCCAGGCTGGAGTGCAGTGGCAGGATATTGGCTCATTGCAACTTCTGCCTCCCGTGTTCAAGTGATTCTCCTGCCTCAGCCTCCCGAGTAGCTGTGATTACAGGCGCCCACCACAATGCCCAGATAATTTTTGTATTTTTAGTAGAGGTAGGGTTTCACCATGTTGGTCAGGCTGGTCTCAAACTCCTGACCTCGGGTGATTCATTCACCTCGGCCTCCCAAAGTGCTGGGATTACAGGCATGAGCCACCGTGCCTGGCCCCATTGTTATATTTTGAAGAAATCAATCTATTAGTGATTTTTTTTTTTACCAAATTGGATTCATTATTGCAATATCCAAACTCAAGGTGTTTTAAAATATAATTGGGAGAAAGGTTGCCAAATGGAAAAATAAATGTGAATATACCTCTAAGAAGAGAGGGAAAGGAAGATATGTTTTCAACAGAAGCTATTTGTAAAATGGGGAAAAATTAATGAAAAGATTATAAGATAGCAGAAAGACGTTTGACATGATATGGTTAGCTTGTTTAATTCTTCATGAGAGTTTTAATAAATTTGTCTTCCCTTTATTTGAACTTACTTTTATTTTACATATTTAAAGCTTTTTTAGTTAAACTCAGTATTTAAAAGCCCCTAATTGGAACCTGCATTGCGGGTAGGAAAAAAAGGGATTTGAAAGATAGCATGAATCAACAATAGCAAGTAGTTGAGTTTGACTGAACAATGGGGCAGTGGTAGGAGTTTAAGCTGGAAAGGAGAGAACAGTGTATAATTAAAGGAGGGGCTTGAAAACCATGCTGAAAGTATAGTCAATACATACAAGCTGTTGAAGGTATGACACAAATGTGTTTGTTTTTTAAAGACATACTCGGAGTGTCAAGTGAATAGTGTACTAGAAGGTTGCAGCTAGTCACAGGGAGATTTGTTGCAATAGTCCAGACCCCGCTTCTCCAATGTACACAACACACATGTCTCAAAAATGTGGACCTGCTTTACAGCATCTATAGGGATGCAAGGTAGGAGACAGATAAGGAGGGAAATTCAATATTAAAATGAACATGGCTTGGTAACTGTTGAAAGATGGAGAGAAAGGAGAGGAAAAAGTCTTGGCAGACAATCACGTTCTGCCTTCATCCTGGCAAACAGTGATAAAAATCTCTCAGATAAAGCAACCAGAAGGAAAGGTTTTATATTAAGAAGAGTTCAGCTTTAGGTAAAATATTGGGATATTCGCAATGGCAAGCGGTCTTAAATACAGAATTGGATTTCTGGACAGTGGTTGTAAGGTACCAGACATTTGTAAGTTTTTTACATATTTTAACTCATTTAGTACTCAAAACAACCAAATTACACCCATTGTACAGATGAGAAAATTTCAAATAGAGAGATTAAGTGACTTTTCCATGGTTATTGCTGGCTAGGAAGTAATACAGCCACAAGATAAACCTGATAGTTTGAGTCCTGAGTCTGTGTTCTTAACCATTACACTATACTTGCTGCAAAAAATAAAAATAAAATGTAAAAAGTCATCATAATGATGACTCCAAGAAGTTGAAATCCTAGTAAAGAATAAAATAAAGGTTAGTAGAAAAAAGAAAAAGAAAAATGAAGAAGAGAGACAGAATCCACTGGAACATCAACAGATTAAAAAAAATAGGGAGGAGGAATCTAAGAAATAGGTGGTAAAAGAACAGGTCAAAGGTTGAAAGAAAAAAGCAAAGGGAAAGACCAAGGAGAATAACAAATGGATGAGAATTGGATAACAAGAGAGCTGTCAAATAAGACTGGCATTGAAAAGTCCCCAATGCATTTGGATCAGGAAGTTGGCTGCCACTTGGTCAGAGCAGTTTCCATGCATTAGTGCCATAGCTGGTCAAATTCAATGGGTTGAGAACTGACAGAGGACTGAGGAAATGTTGACAGTTTTCAAGAATTTTAACTATGAAGGGAAAGAAAATTTGTAATGATTTTTATGGTACCACAGGATTTTATTAACATCATTTAAAACGAATAGTCGTGGCACGGGGTAGTGGCTCACAGCTGTAATCCCACCCCTTTGGGAGGCCAAGGCGGGCGGATCATGAGGTCAAAAGTTCGAGACCAGCCTGGCCAACATGGTGAAACCCCATCTCTACTAAAAATACAAAAATTAGCTGGGTGTGGTGGTGCACGCCTGTAGTCCCAGCTTCTCGGTAGGCTGAAGCAGGAGACTCGCTTGAACCCAGGTAGCAGAGGTTGCAGTGAGCCGAGATCGCGCCACTGCACTCCAGCCTGGGCAACAGAATGAGACTCTGTCTCAAAAACAAAACAAAAAAACAAAAAACGAATAGTCGTAACCTTAGCATATTTCTAGGTTGGAAAGAAAAGAACTAGCAAAGAGGGGAATGTCTAGAATGAAGGAGAATGTACCTTCAACAAGACCAGAAGACATAGGTTCCAAAGAGGAAATGGAGCATCTGCTTTGGGCAAAGGTAGAAGTTCCTCTTTGGTAGGTATGACAGCAAGCAGTTAGAGTTCAATCCTGGAATCTCCTATTTTCTTTAAAAATCAGGAGATGAGGTTTCTTGCTACAAGAAAAGCGAGAAGGAAATGAAGATTTGAAGAGACTGATTGTATCCTTTTGCTAGGGGTGCCCAGATTGGATGGCTTAAAAAATAGAAATGTATTTTCTCACTATTCCGGAGGCTACAAGTCTGAGAAGAAGCTGTCAGTAGGGTTAGCCTCTCCTGGCTTGTAAATGGCTGCCTTCCCCCTGTGTCCTCACTTGGTCTTCCCTCTGTGTGTGTGTCTGTGTTCTCATCCCTTCTCATAACGATATCAGTTGTATTGGATTAGTACTCACCCTAATGACTTCATTTTAATTTAATTACCTCTTCAAAAGCCCTATCTCAAAATACAGTCACATTTTGAGGTATTGGGGTTTGGGACATCAACCTATTAATTTTGGAGGACACAATTTGGCCCATAACACTTAGAACTCTTTGGAATAATTGCTGTTAAGAAGGGAGAAATGACTCAGCACACATACGTGGGTACTTGAGTGGTATAGAATCTAGGTGGGTTTAAGAATCATGAATTCGTAGTGGGACAGGGAAGTCTGTTGGTAAGAAGGGATGAAGCAGGAAATTGAAGTGACCCGGTGAGATGGGTATGTCTATCAGGAGTCCTGGGTAGGCCAGACATTTAGAGGAAATGCACCTTATTAGCCAGGCTAAATATGGAAGTAAGTGAAGAAAGTTTGGATAGACTAGAAGAAACTCAAGAAATTAAGATACTGAAGAACCTTGATATTATGTTAAATGTAATAGAAATGGAAAATCTGGAAAGCTCTAAGGACCAGAGTCTGTGATTAGAGAATGGGCTAGTTAAGTTTTAATGGGGAGCGCAATTCCTGATAGCGATGAAGTCAAGGTTAAGGTCATCACATGGTGTCGATGGAATAGAGATAAATGTTATTGGAGTTGAGGTCAAGACCTATGAATCAGGATACTGACTGTGTCATTCTTATGGACATCGAAGTTGTCTAGGATAAAAGTGAAATGAGTGGTGGAAAGTGTATGACTCAAAGTTCTCTGTGACAAGCAAGGAGACATAAGAAGGCTAGTAGTTGACACCATTCTGCATTATCCTCAAAAAGAGAGGTCTTTGGGCCCCTGTAAAATCAGCATTAGCGTGAATCAAACTAGGGTAACTGCAGCCCCATGGATGCTGAATTTGACCAGCTAATTGTATCCACCTGGGGCCACCCCAAGAACTTGGCTATTTACTGCAGTCCTTGACATTTATTGTTTAAGAATTGGCCAGGTGTAACCTAATCTAGAGCTGTGGTATACTGGTGAGGAGCTTAGGCTGGGGAATAAGACTGTATACGTTCAAATCCAGCCACTATCATTTACAGGATACCTGACATAGGACAAGTCATTTAACCTTCTTGGGTCTCCATTTCCTTTTCTGAAAAATGAAAATAGTATTAGCTCAGTTCCTAGGGTTTAGAAGATTAAATGAGACAATTCATATAAAATGTAGAGATCAGTACTTGGTTTGCAATAACTACACAGCTCATTTTACCTATAATTATTTAAAAGCCATCTCAAAATTCTGTCTCTCTTTTAAACTGTGCATTCATTCACTCCAGTACCTGGGCTGCTCATCCCAAAACACCTAGTAACTGCTAGCACTTAACAGCATTTGTCAGATAAATTAATAAACAACTGAGATACATTTGTCAGTACTTGGATGGACAATATAATAATGACAGGGGAAGGTGGTTGTTGGTGATCTCCATTCACCTCTTCAGCCAAAAGTCTTATTCTTTAAGTCTTATTTTAAATGGGGTTTAATTTCTATGGGAAAAAAATTGCAGATATCCTTGAATTTGTTCATTTAAAATGATTCTTACATTTATTTATTATTATTATTATTATTATTATTATTATTATTATTATTATTATTGAGATGGAGTCTTGCTCTGTTGCCCAGGCTGGAGTGCAGTGGTGTAATCTCAGCTCACTGCAACCTCCGCCTCCTGGGTTCAAGCGATTCTCCTGCCTCAGCCTGCTGAGTTGCTGGGATTTCAGGCACAGGCCACCACACCCAGCTAATTTTTTGTATTTTTAGTAGAGATGGGGTTTCACCATGTTTGCCAGGATGGTCTCGATCTCCTGACCTCGTGATCTGCCCACCTTGGCCTCCCAAAGTGCTGGGATTTCAGGCGTCAGCCACTGAGCCCAGCCAATTCTTACATTTAGAAACTTTAGGCTCAGCCATGGTTATACATTTTATGGCTGTACTACTTTACTATCAAAAAAATATTCATTAGCAGCATCCATCATCTATTACTGTGATAAATTCTGAGGATACAATACATTTACTTCGTTAGTGTCTGTAGTTCAGCTAAGAGTCAGCTGATGTAGGTGGGGCTCAGCTGGGCTGCTCTGCTTCATGCATTGGATCCAGCTAGGCTTGGCTTTCCCCTCTTTTTATGGCTGGCACTCTGGTCTGCTCCATGTCTAATCCCTTTGGGGCTCAGGCAGAAGCAACCTGGAGAAAATTATTATGGTGAAAGGCAGAGGTGCAAGCAGGCAAGCCCAGTGGCACAAAAACATATCAATCCCTTGCTTGTGAACAACTTCTTAACTTTCAAGGAAGTCATGCAGCCAAGTCCAAAGTCAAGGGGTCGGGGAAGAGCATTCTGCTTCTGTAAGTGTAAGTGGTATGGCTATGGAGAAAGACGTAAGGAGAGGAGTTGGGACTAATCTTTGAGTGGATCCCAGGTACTTGGTGCTGAGTAACTCTTAGATCCTGGATTAGCAAAGAAATATCAGATAATATTCACTATAATACAAAAGAGTAAAACAATGCATTTTACAGCAATATTTAACCATGTTTGAAATGTTAAATAACTTTTAAATCAGAAATAACCAAAGGTGAAATGAATTGGACCTCTTGTGCCTGAAAACCCCATCCAGTGCTGAAATGCCAGGTTCTATGGTGGTCTACTTAACCTGCAGTAAATTCAGCATTCCCTTCCTCATTTATTCTACTGAATCCAGTTATCAGTGCAAATCTTGTTTGCAAGACGCACTATAAATGTGCAAGTAACATGTATAGTAAATCACCCCAAATTTATTTAGCATCCAACATGCTTTCTGAATTAAGGGAACAGATAGAAAATTTGAACAAGCTGGACACCCACTGACAAGGAAGTATTTCACTGTGGGAAGATGGACCCCAGACCCCAAAAGTGGCTATAACATTTACATGGGCATTTACTGTCTGACAAGAAAAGGCGTTCAGCTTCTTTGAGTTTCTTCATCCTTCAAATAGGAGCGAGCCATATCAAATGCTTTCTTGTAAGTCTGAGTTACAAATAAATACAAATATATTCATTTCCAAGTAAAATTATTACCAATACAATACAAATAAACATAAATAAACTGTTGTTGTTGTTATAACATGGAAATTATAATAATACCTCTCATACAAGATTGTGTGTAACGTTTATATATAACACAGTGAATAAGGACTCCAGCATATAGTGGGTGCACAAAAAGAATTGGTTTCTTTTGGCAGCCTTTCCTTTAAATACACAACTGAAAAACTGAAGCAGATGTGCCCTGTCTGAAAGCTACATTTTTTCCTCCTAATTATTCAGAGAAAAGGAAATTCCCTTTTTATACATTTATGCCTTTCCAAGTACAAATTGGCAAAAACATATTCTCAAAAAACTATGCATTTTTTGCACTTTAAAAGGCAAAAGACCTACAACTGGACTTCTTACTTCTTCCCTTGGGGAGACAAATTCTGATGATATTTTTTTCCTTGTTTTCAGAAATGGGAAGATTTATGGTGAAGTGGCATGAACTGGCCCCTGGGATTCTAACCAGGCCCTGGGGAGTGTGTGGGGGTACAGAGGGGGCAGAATTTCTGCTCTGACCCAGAGGACAAGTCAGAGCGGTGACTTCTGGTGTCCTTTGAACTGGGACATCCTGAAGTCACTGGGTTGATGAATTTTGAGACAAGCTCGTTCGACGTTACCATAGGGGATCTGTCTATTGTTTTTAAGCAAGGAATTAAAAATTGGCTATATTTTGTAAAAGTTCTTAAGATAGTCAACAGCCATTTCTCTTCTTTTAAAAAGATAGCTGAATTCTCGGTCACAAGAAAGTAAAATAATAACAAGACTGATTAACGGAACACCTGCCTTTTTTAAGTCATGACGTGTTTATTATAAAGTAGGTATGAGTTTCCTCATATTTAAATGGAAGATATAAAACTCAGAATGGTTAAGCAGCTGCATGCTTCAAATCAATCTCTAGGTGCATAATTACAAGATCTGGGACTTAAACCTCATTCAGTGGATTACAGAGTGAATCCTTTTTCTACAGGACCTCACTGTGGCTGGTAGGTGGAATGCACTCTATACATGTTCATGAAGCAAGTGGCAAAATGAAACAAAATAAATTTGCATGAAAAGGGCAATGATATCTCTATCTTGTACTAGACTATCAAATACAAAAAGGATCTTTCTGAATGTCCGTTTCTTCTTAGTTGTAATGGGGATCCTTACCTTATACTGAGGCTTGGAGACCTAATTTGTGTAATGTATGGGAAGAGCTAGCACAATTCCTGGCATGTGGTATCCAGATAATCAGGATGATGATTGTGATGGTTAATTTTAGATGTCAATTTGCCTTAGTTAAGGGGTACTCAGATAGCTGGTAAAACATTATTTCTGGATATGTCTGTGAATTTCTAGAAGTGATTGGCATTTGAATCAATGGACTGAGTCAGGAAGATTCACCCTCATTCAATATGAATATGCACTATCCTATCCATTGAGGGGCACAATAGAATAGAAAGAATAAAGCGAATTTGTTCTCTCTCCTGGAGCTGGGACATCCTTCTTCTGCTCCCCTTGGACATCAGGACTCCAGGTTCTTGGGCCTTCACACTCAAGAACTTATACCAGCAGCTCCCCAGGGTCTTAGGCCTTCAGTCTCAGACTGAGAGTTACAGCACTGGCTTCCCTGGTTCTGAAGTTTTTGTATTCAGACTGAATTAAACCACTGGCTTTGCCGGTTCTGCAGCTTGAAGACAGCCGGCCATGGGACTTCTCAGCTTCCATAACCGTATTAGCCAATTCCAATACCAAATCTATTTTGACATATCCATCTATCTATCTATCTATCTATCTATCTATCTATCTATCTATCTATCTATCTACCTATCTATCTATCTATATCTATCTTTCATTCATCCATCCTATTGGTTCTGTTTCTCTGGAGAACCCTAATATAATGATGCTGTGGACCTGGATGATGATGATGATGGTGATGGCATAAACATTTGTTTGCATAGAAGTGATTTCTGCAATTCCAAGTTTGGATTAGACTCAACTGTTTGACAGGCTTTACATAAGTGAACTGATAAATTAGAATGGGTGGTAGGGGAGACAAGGTTGCCACTCGATTTTGTTGAATTACTCAGTTCATTGTTTCTGTTCTCTGCTTCATGAGAACTGTGCATATTCATGATGCCTAGACCAGCAACCTCACCAACAGGTGGAGAAATTCAGTTAATTGGGCATACAAGCTCTAAAATCATACTGGGAGCCAGCTTTATTGCCCAGGGTTTCCAGCCCAAGGCTGGAGAGGGCAAATACTAAGGTGACCTGGATCACTTGGGGGTATTACAAAGTCCTTCTTTCAGGGGTCCCCTGGCTATTTTAATTTTTTTTAATGAAGTGTATACAGGCCTCCACAAACCTATGCCCCAATTATTTTATGTATGTATTTTTTAAAGAAATGGATTAAGCAGCTGCTTAACCATTCAAGCATATGGCCTGAATCATGTTTTATAGTTATTATATTAGAATTTGGAAATATATACGTGTTCACACAGTAGTATCAGAACAACTAAAATATGTATATCAAGTATTATTGTATGGAAAGTTGCTAAGCTCAAATGAATCATTGTGTTTGAGTTCTGGCTTAAATCACTCTAGGCTGTTATTGAAATGGAAAATATTCTCTCAAAAATATATATATTAGTATTTTTAGTTGAAAAATAAGGAGAAAATTTTCTTTGGAAATAAATTAAATGAAGTAATTAACTTATCTTCTGTAATAGAGAAATTAGGTGGCATTGTCTTCTGATTACTCCAAAATAAATTGTTACCAGCAGTAACTAGTGAAATGGGATGATATGTTACAAATTTTTCTTTGTATACTTTCTACTTTTCTGTTAGATATACATATGTGGAAGGTCTATTTTCTTAAATGGCCATTTTCTGTCATCCATGTTATGAAAATTCTGATTGTCCATACACCAAAAGTAACTTTTGTATCCACTTCAAAACTTACTTGAAATAGAGTGGAGAGTACTTCTTAGAACTAATTTTTTAAACATCATCATTTTAGAGATTTCCCTGGAATTACACATTAATCCCCCAACTTGCAATATTCAGTGGAGGCTGATGGGTATAAATAGTAATGGGAAAAACTCTCAGATCTTTGGAAGACTTCAAATTTCTCTTGGGAATCAAGTCTGTTGGAACTTACGTATGCTATCTCAATTTTTCCATTTTTCAGGCTGCCATATATCAGAAATTTATACGAACTTAAAAAAATTATAATCTCATTCATTCTATTGCTGGGAATAGCTGTCATTTATTTAGTACCTACTATGCGCCAGGCCCCATGTGTTTTCTCATTGAAGCCTCACAAAAATCCAACAGAAAAATCTCACTATCTCCATTTAACAATTGAGTTAGTTTAAGCTAGATGGGGATAAAAAATTTACAGGAGGATTCAAAGCTTGGATGGTTTGACTACTGGATTTTGCCCATTCCATTTTCTGTATAAGCTTAGATAACTGGATGTCTGACAAGCTGTAAGATTATCGTCTTTCTTCCCTTTCTATATACCACAAAAAGTTCACCAAAGATCACACAATCCAGTTAAGCACGATATTAGATCAAAATGGTGTCCCTCTTACTGAGTGGTCTGATTATCTACCCACCTAATTGAGGTCAATTCTAGGTAGGATTGGATGGTTTGTACCCATAATCTCTGTAGAAAGAAGCATAATGTTGATGAAACACACCTATGGCCAGGTCAGGTAATTTATATCAAGAAGAACAGATTCTGAGAGGAATTAAGAATTTATTCCTTGTTCTCAAATATTTTCTCCCTTCTGCTCCTTCTATAGCTGACTACTGATACAGTTCTCAGAAACCGTTCTCCACTCTATTTCATGTTAGTTCTGAAATGGACACAAAAGCTATCTTTGGTGTATGGACAGTCACAGTTTTCATAGTATAAGTAGTAGAAAGCGGCCATTTATGAAAATAAAATCCTTAAATATATCTGGCAGAAGAGTAGAATGTGTGCAAAGAAAACAAAACTCAGGCTCAGCTGGGGATGATCACCGTGCTCTGTGCCCCGACTTCTCAACCCTGGATGCCCCTGACATAGTTCTCAGTTGTGATGGATTCTCTGTGTACTGACTCACTAGGCTGGAATTCAGCCTTCTCTTGAAAAATAAAATCAGGGATTATAAATAAGAAATTTGCACAGCAGTGAACATGCAAGAGAATACTCATTTAATAAGTGCCAACATTTAGTTTTCTAATAGGCCTAGGAAACAACAACCCAGTGGCCAGTTACCCTTTGATTCACTTGCCTCCAATGGTTCCGATAACAAGGATGTGATCAAACAGCCAGCAGCTGATGAGAAGTGATGGCTTGTGGATCTGTTTGTCCACATACCTATTGATATATTATCTTCAGCAAGGTGCACATCCTGACTACTGGTGGTATAGGACTACCAGGTCACCAAATTGGAAACTAACATTATGTAAAAGATTGTATCAAAACAAGGACATTTTTACATTTCCTCATCATATGTTTTTCAAATTAGTGGGTCTGAGGGGATTTCAAGGAGCAGTATTTGATTTACTTAAAGAACTTTCTTGGTTGTAGACATTGTACACTCAAAAATTAAACCAGCTGTGGCCAGACACGGAAGCTCATGCCTGTAATCCCAGCAGTCTGGGAGGCTGAGGTGCAAGGATCATTTAAGCCCAGGATTTTGAGACCAGCCTGGGCAACACAGTGAGATCCCCTCTCTATTATTAAAAATAAATAAATAAATAAACAAAATTAAACCAGCTGATTACTATCAACTTCATAACTGCAAGGGTCAAAATTTACTGTGAGGAAAGGAAAGCTCTCAATGAAAACATTTGCCAATGCTAATTGGATAAGCATCCTGAGAAGTTAGTATCTGCATAGTGAATTACCCAGGTATATAAATACATCTGTTTAACTCTTAAAGATGAAACTTCTATAATTGATTACAAAGTACCTCAGTGAAAACGCATTATTTAATTGAGATAAATAACTTGATCACCTGTAGTTAACTGATCTAGTCCTGAAGTTGATATTCCTGAATACAAAAGTATTTTCTTTTTTGTGGGGAGAAGGGAGACACCTATAATATCGAGAGTCTGGAAATGTCATTTTCTTGTTCTCTGTTTATCACATAATACATGATTATGGTAAGCAATTTGCCCTCTTTGAATTTTAGTTTCTGATCTGTAAAATAGGTCTGAAATGGTACTAAATGGAAGATAAGAAAATATGGATTATAATGCCAATGTAACTGGCAACTCCTATTATGAGTAGATATACTTTTTAAAAAAACTATTAACTTTGGTTCTTAAAATTTTTATTTTTTATTTTTTAGAGATGAGATCTCACTATGTTGCCTAGACTGGTTTTGAACTCCTGAGCTCAAGCAACCCTCCTTGTCCCAAAGCGCTGGGATTACAGGCATGAGCTACCAACCCTGGCCCGAAATACATCTTTTAACTACCCTTTGCATTATCTTTTTCATCTGTAAAATTTAGTTTGTGGTGGGATTGGAGTTCAATGGTTCTGAGCCTGGAATCTGTGGACACTGAGAAAAAGATTAAGAATATCCTTGAATTCACCACCTAAACCCAGATATGCTATGTCAAAATGGTGGCTGATTGTGTCTGCAAACATTTTCTTCTGGGAAAAATATCCCTTGCTTTCATCAAGCTCTCAAAGGAATCTGTGTCCTACAAAATGTGTAGACCCACATGACTAAACATCTCTGTAATTTGTTTTCTCACTAATGCCATTTGATTCTGTGAATGCTAAGTAGTAAGCTCTTCGGATATGGCATTTAAAGGTTGCCATCATTTGTTTCTCTTTCACAGTGTTTTGAAAATGAGCTAATAATTATTTTTAGGTTTTCTTAACCCAAATTCTCTAACAACTAAAGGGACTATGGAATAAGCATCTTTGGGATCTGTGGATCCCTGATAACAGATGTAAAATACTGTGTTTGTGCTTGTTCAAAGAAAATCTATAGCTTTCATCACAGTCTCATATTCACAATTTTATAAAGATCAAGAACCAAGTATTTTTACTAAAAATGAGTGATCAACTAACATTAACAAAGCATTTGACTTTGTTTCTTGATTGGCTATTTTAACTTGTCAGCAAATATGCTGGATCTTAAACAGAGAGACTCACTGTAAACTGAGTTGATAAATGTAAATGTTTAGAAATTCAAATGCTTTCAGCTTTCTTCATTTTTTTTCTTTTTCTCCTCATACTTTCCATGTTTTTATTAGTCAAAGTTTTAGTGAGTACAACCATTGGTCAAATATTTTGAATATTTTATAGTCTCTCCTCCTCAAATAATTATTTCTTACACTCGAAATTATTTTGTTGTTGAAAACAATTTAGCATTGTTAATGAAAAACCTTAAAAATCCCCGTACACTTTGGCCAAATAATTACAATTTTAGGTGTCTATCATATGGAATATTTAAATTATAGATAGAAGAGATGTTATTTAAAATTCTTTTCCTTGTAACATAATTAATGAAATCAAATAACAAAGATACATGTATTGATTAAATAAATTACAGTGTATCCATGTAATGCTATATCATGCAGCAATTAAAATGAAGTATGTTCAGGGGCTTATGTTGCAATAGTGAGAAACATATTAGGAAACAAGTCTTTATAGTTTGTATGAGAAAAGCTAATAGGGTTATCTGCAGGTAGTGGGATAAAGAGTAACTCATTGTCTTTATAATTTTCTATCTTTACACATTTCTGCAATGATAATATGTTGATATAAATCTATTTAGGTTTATTTCTTACATTTTAAATGCTAACATAATCCACATTCTTACAATGATAAGTTAATGTTATTTATATATTGTTATGTTGTTCTATACATTAATACAGAAATGTAGGAGTAAAGATATTTATTTCAGTCACTCCGATGTTCAGCGCCTCTATATGTTTAAGCGATGTTGAAATGATTCACATATTTCTAAGTCAGTTTCTAATTGTCCTGGCTAAGTTCTAAGCTTACTTGATGATAGGATTTTTTCTTTTCTTTTTTCTTTTGTTTCTTAGGCAAAATAAGGTTCTGGTATTGCTTATTTTTCTCAAATAGACCACAAATATTCTACATGATTTTAAATATACATCTTGAGGAGGGAAAAACAAATGCATTTATTTAACCTTACCCTGAGATGGCAGGAAGGCCAAAAATGTTATGACTTACCAATTTCCATAAATATATTCTGCTTCAGAACCACCTTGAACGTCAAGTCTGACCAGAAAATATCCTTCTAAAGTTGAATTGTTAAAAAAATAGCTGGTTCAGTTTTGCAGTCTTGTGGGACAAATATAGATAGTAGAAGGCCACAGTCAAACTTGTGGCCTCATCTGAGCTATGTACAACTCAAAATTCTTTAGTCACTTTTGCTAAACTCAAGCTCTCTTGAATTATCAACAGTAACTTATTGGCCTTGGACCATCATAGGCTCGTGCTGTGAAATTTTGAAAGCCATTATCATATGCACAGTATTTAGGGGGAAATGAAATCCTGCCTTTGTGATCATACCACAGAGGGCAATGGCAAACACATGCAGCCTGATGAAGCACACATTTTGTGGATCTAGTATTTTATTCCTTTGCAGTTGCTACCTCAGATAATAGAATATTTCTTTGTGTTGTCACTGGGGCATTTTCATTTCTCAGTGGCTATTTCATGCCATCCTGAGCATTTAGCCTAACACCAATACCAGAATGTCAGACTAGGAATGTCTTCCTATCACTGAACATAACCGTTTGAGATCTGTTTGAGCTTAGGACAGGAGAGGGCAGCTGGGAGGCATTTTGGTCAAAGAGCAAAATGACACATTTCTGAACTGGAATGAAAGATTGGATCTTTGTTCATGATTTCTTCCTGGGAGAAAAAAGGAAATACCAACTAATTGCCACAACTAATTAAAAACGAAGCTGATGGACTGCTCCCCCACACTGAATTTACAGGGCAGTGATAATTCCAGTTAACTGTAAACACGCTTTTAAAAACCCAGTTCCTCTGTTCAAAAGGCTTGCGGGGCTGAGTATCAAAAACTTCCTGATATATAAGTACCAAATATACTGTTGCAATAAAATTCTTGCACTAGGTTAACTACACAATTAGCTAATAACATTGGCTGACACAATCCATGCAAATCACTGGCAGGCTGAATTTTGGCCTGTGCACAAAGGTTTTATTGAACACATGCTGCCAATGAAACGTGCCTTGCTTATTCATGACCAGGAAGCCATGCCCTATATGTGTATATATCCCCATGGTTTTCTGCAATCTTTCAGATAACTGTCTCACAGATCATGAAGACACACATTTTCACTCTGTTTTTTTTTTCAGCCAGATTTTGTTTGCCCCCTATTTGTTGAATAAAAACAACATCAAAACTTACTTCATTTTGCTGTGTTAAAGCTGTGTATCCTGAACTTGTCAGCTTCTCTAAATGCTTCTGTAATCTCACACCACAAATAGGTTGGGGTCACCACCTCTCCACTACATCAGGAACTGTAGTGTGACACAAGTGTAAACAGTGGTTTCAAAGAGCAGCAGAACAAATGCATCTTGAACTTCCTGTGTGATTGTCCCTCTAGAAGTGGAGCTACGGAGGAAGGCATGTGCAGAAGCATGGAAGATGATATTTTGCTAGACGAATTTTTAAAATTTATTTTGATTTCATAGTTTTAAAATGTATATTAGGTATGTTTTATAATATCCCTATATATAACTTACAAGTAAAGACATGTAGGTAATATTTAGAAAACACTTACTGATGGGGCTCAATCAAAAAGTTTAGAGGGCTGGGTGCAGTGGCTCATGCCTGTAATGCCAGCACTTTGGGAGGCCGAGGTGGGTGGATCATGAGGTCAAGTGTTCGAGACCAGCCTGGCCAAGATGGTGAAACCCTGTCTTTACTAAAAAAAAATACAAAAATTAGCCAGGCGTGGTGACACACGCCTGTAATCCTAGCTACTCGGGAGGCTGAGGCAGGAGAATCACTTGAACTCAGAAGGTGGAGGTTGCAGTGAGCCAACATCGTGCCATTGCATTCCAGCCTGGGCAACAAGAGTGAAACTCTGTCTAAAAAAAAATGGGATGAGAATTTCAAATGGTTTTATTTTCCTATCTCAATCTATAGGTATCACTATTACAAAGTTATATCTCTTAATTTGTAACTGAAGGTGTTCCAATGAGAATTTCTTCAGAACAGCACTGTGGCTGGCACTTGCCAGGAACTTCACATTGCCTTTCCTTAGAAGAAGTACTACTCATAACTACTGCGGTCCAGAATTATCTTATCAGGCAGAAGAGCTGGTGGCATGGAGTCCAGCAGAGAGCAGCAGTAATCTCCTCACCAGGCATGCTGTCTGCTTTAGGGAGACACAGCAACAGCCAACATGTGGATGTCCAAGAAAGGGAATGGAGCTTGTGATCTTCCAGAGTCTGGCTGGAGAGTTCCTGAAGGTACAGGCGAAAGCATGGCGTTTGGGCTATAGGTCCTGGAGATCCATCCACGCACAGGGCTTCTCCAAAGTTCATGGTAGAAGGTCAATCAATGCCTGGTTTGGATGAAATGAGGATACAGAATACTGAGGCAAGGGCCCTGGCTGAAGATAGAAACCCAGTTGGGAGTAGGGTATGGGCTAAATGTTAGGGTTCTTCTCTTCAACATCCACTCATGCATGCGGAAGTATATGGAGAGATTCCAGGCCCCACACTAAGCACAGAAGTAGGGGGCAACAGCAAACAGGATCCCTCTTATCTCAAGGTTAACCTCTTAAAGGAACGTCAAGAATAAATAAAATCATCATGTCAATCAACTGAGAAAGAAGTGAGGTAATTCTGTAGGAAAATGTAATAAAAGAACAAGACCCATGACTTTTTGTTAGGGAAGGTACCGCCCAATGCTATCATTTTAACATCATGACATTTGCAAAATAATACAACACCAGCTATTCAAAATTGTGACCCTAAGTCATGGTTCCATGTATTCTGTGATTACATAATAATCATGTTTATTTTTCATGTGTGAGAAAATAGATATAAAAACAAGAAAGGTCACAAGAACCATTTAGGGAACTAATTCAATATTACTTATTCAACAAATTGAATATACTTCAACATTGAAAAACAGATACATTTATTACATTTATTCTTCTCAGGAAGCTTATCTATAGTGAGATGGAGACAAAGCAAATAAACAATATGATTCTAAATTGTGATGAGACCCCTAAGAACATAAAGAAGGGTGGTATTGATGAGTAGACCTGGAGAGCCAGAGGCTACTTTCAATTTGATGATCAGGAAGTGCCTCTCTATGGAAGTCATATTTGACCTAGGACCCAAGAGATAAGACGGACCGAGGCATCCAAGTATTAGGGGAACAATATTCTAAGTAGGGCAAGAACAAGAGCAAATGACCACAACATCCTTCAGGCAGAAATAATCTTGGCTGAAGAATAGGAATCTACATGATCTGTAATCCTCTTCTGTGTCATAGGTCTTGCCCACCACCACCCTTTCTTTCCTATGTTTGGAGGTAAGACAAAAGGTCAGAGAGATACTGACATCAATGCTGAAATAATATCAGCCACCAACCTAGGACATCTTATAGTCCCAGGAAGCAGGGGTATGCTTGGTCTACTAGTGGGAACATTACTGAACCTGTAAGAGTGGGAGATCAACTGGTTTTGGTACTGGAGAGATAGAGAGCTAAGAAAACAACTCATGCTGAAAGTTGTTCTGAACAGTTGGAAGAGCCATCAGTGAAGAACATTACTGTAGCCTGGACATCATGTCTAGTATGAATGGGTAGAAGTCGCAACAAGAGTGTGTTTAGAAACTGCCCCTTCCAACAGAGAACAACCCAATGAGGGCATACAGCCAACCTGAGGGAAGAATAAGGTAAGTGATTCAAGGTGAATGTGCTGATGAAGGTACTCTGATAAATAAGGGGCAAGAGTTGGACCACATGAAATTGTGCTTTCAGTTTTGAAAAACCCCCAATTTATTCCAGCATTTGCTACCTCCACTTGAGTAATTCCAAAGGATACTGCATCCATCACTATGAGAAATGCTGGGTTTTGATAACTGAAGAAGGATTGCTGATTTCTTCAAAGTACAAAGCTGTGAAACCCCAAGGGTTATATTTATCCCTTTCATATCTCTGCTGACAAGCAACACTGGCTGTGTAGAAATAGTTTAAAATGTTCACATTGAGAAAATTCCCTGAGTGATAAGCTTCACATACACTATTCAACGGAATGTCGTTTTCTCCCAATTCCTCCCTTCCCCAACCTCTTACTAATTTGCCATTAATATCTGATCCTTCCCCTTTTCTTTTTTTCATTTCCTTCGATCTTACCCTACTGCACAAATTTGTAGGGAGAGATAACATCTTTGAATTCTAGATGGCCCTGTTATTTCTCCGTATGTACATGTGTGCATGGTGTACATGGACACGTAGACCTTGGAATCAGAGAGACAAATTCAAATCCAGACTGGGCCACATAAGCATTAGAATTGAATTTACTACTCAATTTTTCTGATTTCCAGTTTCCTTTCAAATAAAACAGTGAAAATGATACTCTCTCCAGGCTTCTGGGGGGACAGATAAATTATCTATTTAAAAGGGCTAACATGAACCAACACTCAACAACAAAACAAGATATTCTAAGGCTTTGGCTGTGTTATATATCTTACAACTAAAGGAGATGTCTAATTTAAAACTTTACATAAATTGGAGGTTTTATTCTCTCTTACTTTTTCACGTTCCGTGGGGTCTAACAACCACATACATGCCGAGCTTTTGTAGTCTCACAGTGCCAAGAATCTGAGAAGTTGCTCTCCTTAGGTATGTTTTTCCAGAGCTTTGGATTTTGTAGACAAATAAGGCTCAGCACAAAATGAAATCTGTGATTCCGGGAATATACAAAAATAGAACATTCTACTACTCTGTGTCATTCAAAATCTTTGCTTATTAATTGTGCAGTTTTTACACTCAATCCTAATTGTTCTGGAATAAAAAGATGTAATTGTGACAGAGATGGACCCCAGATGGAAATTTGCTGACTCGCAGGGGCCCAACTTAAAAATTGTTTTCTAGGGAGGGAAGAGATGTTAGTACTCATATTCAGGCAAATAAACTTTCTCCAAATGTTGAAAACCTATTTTTAGAACCTCACTTATCCAATGAGAAGGAAGTGATCACACCGACTTCCTCTTACAATTTATAATAAATGAATGGCTATCTGTACATCTATTTATTTGCATCTATATCCAAACTCCTTTCCCTTCAAAAACGCATTGGCCACAGGCAAAACTATATAAATCCAGATTAGTCTGTGGTTGGGGGATGGCCCTAGGGAGAAAGCTGAATAGGCTGCAATTTAATTTGCTTACATTGAATGAGGATACTTAGCCTCATGACAAATACGAAAGTAAGTAAAATATCAAATGTAAAGCATAGATCACAACTTTGGGGGCACAGTGCAGTGGAAAGAATATGGTATTGGAGTTCTTAGTCCTGCATTTGAATTATTGATGGGCTGCTCTGCCATTTGATAGCTGAGCAAGCTACATCATCTCTCTATGCCTCAGCTTTCCCATTTTCAAAATGGAAGAATGATAATACCACCACTATGGGAGAGGGGGAGAGTGGCTCATAAAAGATGGCTGTAGGTCCCTGTCACTTGGAATGTGCCATGTGACTGAAGCCCCTCCAGAAAGACACTCCTGCCTGGAAATGCCAAACATCTTAGGACAGGCAGCTGGCTGACATGGTTAGAGATGATTGGGGGAAGCTGCTGCTGAGTGAGGTGTTCAGAGCTCCGAGGCATAAATCCTGTATTCTGAGGACACCACTGGTAGAGGTAATCCCTAGGGGGCCCTTTCCCTGACAGTGTCTTGGCTGTGCCTGGCTTCTTTTGTTCCTTTCTGAGCTCAAGTTTGACACCCTTCCCCTTGTATCTGTGACAAATAAATGCCTTTTCAGTAAGCTCCTTTCCACTAGAGTTAACTAACATCAATTTCTGTTACTTGAAATCGAGAACCCTGACTGGTAGTTACAGGTCTACCATTTATTGAATATTGACGGTTTTCCAGGCTGTGTTCTAAGTGCTTTAAAATGTCATGTGTTAATGACCTTGTGAGAAGACATCATTATCACCACCTTTGTCAGATGAGGAAGTTAGAACTCAGAGCTGTTGAACAACTTGAATGATGACAAAGGTAAAAAGTGGTAGAGCAAGCCTAGAATCTAGAAATCTGATTCCAAAATCTATGCTCTTATCCATACTGTGTCCTTCCCATCACTGTGTCGGTAGAATTATCTGTGAGTCACGAAATACAAAATAGTGGAATAGAGATTTGATGCCAGAACTGTCCAAGACCAAATCCCATGACTTTTTTCTTTCTATAACAAAGGTCAGCAAGAGAGTTCTGGGTCTTATGAGGTCACAAAAAAAGACTCACAAATTGAATCCTAAATGCTTCTGATTAGAACGTATAAGAATTACATGTTTGAAATTCATTCTGCAAATAATCATATACATTACAGATCTACTTATTCACTCTGAGAAGTAATAATTACAATGATTTGATTTAATGCGAAAAACTATAAATTATAACATGATATATTCTCCAGGACATTATAAGAAACGTCAAGATTCCTATCAGTAGTTGTTCTTAATAAGCTGAAGTTCTTTTGCAGCTCATGTGGATGAAATAGCATTAGGAAACAAGGTCCTCAGTTCTCCTGTGAGGCGGTGGAATAAAATGATCTTTCGACTCCCCTCCAGCACTGATGTTTGAGTTGTCTACATGAGTATCACTGTCTTAGTTTCAGTCTGACCAGCCCAAGATCACAGTTTTCTCAATTTTAGGGGATGCATTTCCAATTAAAAATGCAATTGGGAGGACCAGGAGAAAACCACAGGTCCTGAGGAAATAAATTAATTCAGAATCTGCACTCAGCAGCACCCATTGATTATTTCCACCAGGGAAGAGACAAATTTCATTTTGTTCTCTGTTATCCCCAGTACCTATAACAACCCTTTGTACATAGTAGGTGGTCAGTAACTAAAATGAGTATCCAATGAATGAATTGATAAAGTTTTATTTTTCCTTCTTGTCTTTCAGGCTTAAGCCATGTACTAAAACCTCTCTTTTTATTCTTTCTTTCGTTGACCCCAAGGGAGTATTCAAATCATCTGTTGAGAGTATTCTCAAGCATTTTCATAGGAGAGAGAAAGAAAAAAAAATTAATGTATTGGAGAGCATGGTGCACCCAGCTTAGGGTGAGGAATGTAATAACCTAAATTTCTAAAAGAGTCATCCTTCATTCATCATGCATTTCTTTAACAGGTGTCTTTCGAGAGTTTATTATGTGCCAGGACTGTGCTGTATTCTAGGGGTGCAGATGGAACTAAACAAGAACCAGAGGGCCTGTCCTCTTGCTTAAACTTAGTTTAGGCAACAAGTACTGAGCCAGTAATCTCACAAATGAATGATAATGATGCAATGTGATAAGTTCCTCGAAGCAAAAGGAAAGGGTAGAATAGGAGATTACAAATGATAACTCGTATAGGTTGAAGAGAAGATTTCTCTGGGGGTGCACAATTAGAACTAAGGCCTGAAGGATGAGTTTGAGCTCTTCAGGGAAAGAGGCCAAGAGAGAACATTCCTGGTAGAAAGTGAAGAATGTGCAAAGGACCTGGAGTGGAAAAGTAAGGATCCCAGTGAATGCCAGGAGGCTGAAGTGTACAGAGGGACAAGGTGAATGGGCCAGGTTGCTGTAAATGTAGCCAGAAATAAGGGTCTCCAAGATTATGTGGACTTGCTTCATTAATTCATTCATTCATTCATCCATGTACTTACTAGCAGTAATTTATCTACTATCAAATATGTAAAAATTACATAAACCAAGGAACACTTATTTATGTTGGAAACCTTTAAAATAATAAGAACTATATGGTTTCCATTTCTTAGATGTGTTGTGAAATTGAGCAGTGTATATTTACAAACTGGAGGAAAACGTTTTCAGATCCCATCTGAGGAGACTGGAACCAAAAGAATTTCATCATTAGGTCTTTGTGTTCTCCAGAGTGGCTAAGCCTTAAATACTGAAGGGAGAAAAATGCTGTTCCTTTCTGTGTGTGACTGAACTCTCCACATACCTCTGTCTCACTTATAAATATCACAGGCAGCCACCGAGTTGCTGCCTGGTTGAATGATCCCCTTTACAAGCCTCTTTCTGGGTTTCTGAGTAAAGGTTTCCCTTATTAATTTTACTAGCCAGCATTCACTTAGCATTTGCATTAAGGCATAATTGACAGGCAGGGTGACACCCGCCTGAGAGAGAGCCATAAATCAAAAATAATTTCCAAAATTGGCTGAGGGGCCGAAGTGTTGAATAGGCAAATACAGGTAAAAATCTCTTTATTAGGGCTGACAGGGACAGCAAATGTCAGCGAAGTGTTTCCTAATGTACCAGGCGAGATTAATTTTGGGGCCCTTCCTGAGCTGATGCTACCTTGTGTTCCCCTAACAAGTCTATCGCCCAGGGTTCCCTAGGAGGGGAGAGGAGGGGCTGTAATTGAAGAAAGAACTAACTCCTGAAAGGCTGGGAACTCAGTTTCCTTAGCATTCCTTTGCTCCTGGAAAATCAGTCTTCTGCCTTAGACTCTATTTGCATTTTGCATCTTTAGTGGAAAAGAGCTATAAGTCAAGACCCAAAGAAGTTGGCAAGATAATGAAGCCAAACAAGATGTCCAAGAGGAAATGATCTACTGCACGGAAGCTAAGGAAAACTTTCATGAAAAATGGGGATTTGGGAAGGTGGAAATGAAAATGTGTATAGTTTCTTCCATTAAAAAATAATAATAGTATTAATTAAGGTCACTTTTTGGGAAACAAGAATAATGCCATTTTCCCTACTAGTTCAGTTTTATGGAGATTCGGGCATAAATTTTCACCAATCCAGCTCCACAGGCCTCTATTAAAAGGATAATGCTCGGTCACTTTGTAAACTGTGTAAACAGATACCACCGTTTTTTTAAGCACGATCCTTTTTTTTTGCTCCAAATATCTATTTAAAGATGTTTTCCAAGTTAGAGTTGACAACAGCAAGATGAAAAAATAGAAAGCGGGATGAAAATTATATGCCGGGAAAAATTACACACCAGCACATTCTTAAAAGTCTACACAGCAGGAAAATATTAATCCCATCCTGATAGATTCTTCTCCTAACAGTTTGTAAAGGAGATAAGGCTACAGAATTTAATACATAGATGACATTGAGAAGGCTTATTTTTAGAAACTTAAGGAATGAAACTATTTACTAGCTAGCACTAGGAATGTAGTAACTTTTGAGAGCTGCTTCATGGGGCAAGCAAAAATATCCAGATAAGAGAATGCTGAACAGCTGCTATAATAGACGTCAATGCTATGCCAGACACTGTGCTAGGTCCCCTGCATATAGAACCTTCACAAAACCTGCAATGCAGCCATTTGCATTAAATTCAGCACAAGTAACAGAAGCTCAAAATAATAGTGATTAATTTAATATGTAGAGGTGGGCAGCCCCGAATTGCCATGGTAGCTTTGCTCCTCCAAGTCTTGCCAGATTAGAAGGCTTTAATCTGTTTATTCCACTCCCCATAGGCTGTGGTCCTCTGCCTCCTAGTCCAAGATGGTGGGTAGAGCTCTAGCATCTTATGCACATTCTAAGCATCAAGATAGAGGAAAAGATGAAGAGGAAGGCAAGACGTCTGTCATCTTTCTTTCCAGAAAGTTTGGGAAGTCACTACATGACAATTTACATCTCATTCATCTGATTTAATGGCAAGAGAGTCTGGACATTGTAGCTTTTATTCTGGGCAGCCATGTGCCCGGCTAAAACCAGGGGTTCTCTTTCTATAGTAGAAGGCAAGAATGAACATTGGAAGATAATTTGCAGACTCTTGCAAAGTATTATTTTCCCCATTTTGCAGGTTAGGAAACAGAATCTCAAGGAGGTAAAATAACATTTCCTAAGTTTTAAAAAATATAGTAAGTAATGCTAAAGCCTGCTGCATTCTTTTCATTTTGCCATAAGGCATAAAAAGGATAAGAACCAACCCAATTAAATTTTTTACACGTTGTCAATTAAATTCAGTCCAATCCAACTAATTCTAAAAACTCCTATCTTGTGCTTACCATAAGTCAGAAATTATTTTAGGCGTAAGGGCACTGTGCTGGTTAGGAGACGATTTACGGAACATAAATATGGATGAAAATATAGATATTTTTTAGTATGTGTATAGATGACAATGTAGATGAAAACATAGATACAGGCAAAAATCAGAGGCTGATTCATGGGAAACTGATAAAGCTTAAGCCTTAGGACCTCTCGCTTGTTTAAGCTTTAGAAAGCCCAGAGAGGGGCCCCAGCATGTGTTTGCATCTGATTTTGCAAACTTTGCGAAAGATATGTTAAATGTAATGAGTTAAGACTTTTGTTGCTTTCCTCTGTGATTGTGCCCTTTTCACATTTTTTCTTATGTAAAGAACACACTGGAATATCCTCAGCATTTTGAAGATATCGTAGAAGATTCCTCGGGAATTCATTTAGTCTGGTTTAGTCTGGCTTTATGGGATAAAGTCATATGGTTCACTGTTACTTCTATGCCTGGTTAATTTATTGTTAGCAATCTCAGGGCAGGAATGGCTTCAAGTATGCTCTTATAAGTAACCAAAAGTTGCGAACCACATCAATACATTGGAAAAATTTCTATATTTGGGGATTTGAAATAAAACATTCATGTTGGAAAAGCTATGAATGATGCTTCACTTCCCTTGGAGGCAAACTCCTTGCTAATGAGTGATGTCAAAGAATATTTCACTCCTCCAGAAAAACTGAAATTCCCTGTAATCTCATGGCTCATAAATGAAAAGAAATGAGAAAAATTTCCCTAAGTTTGACAATAATTCTAAACTTTAATATGAAATTGCTAATCATGCAAGTTGGGGAGTTTAAAAATATATTTTAAATATTCAATAATGTAAAAACACTATTTTTCACCACATTGAAAAGAAAAACTAAATTATTTTTTAAGCTTCTCCATAGAAAGAGATGTAAAATTGTCATATGAAGAGGCACTAAAGTGTTCTAGAGATGACAGACTCCTAACTTGAAATTTGTTATGGTAATTTTTGTTTGTGTTTTTTGTGGCATTTAACTTTATAAGTATACAGTTTGTTGTGTCTTATTTTCTCATTAAAAATAAATATTTTACTTCATATCTGATGTTATATTATTTTTTAAGAAGACTCCCCAAATTGTTGAAGCTTCAAGTTTAACAAAACTTGTCCACTTATGGGTATAATTAACGATGAGTCAGAACGAGACTGTCATGGCTTTTGATGACTTCAAGTGAGATGGGGATTTGCACATTTTGAGTAGACAGAACAAGGATAAATTGCTTTGCTTGGGAAATTGAAGGCAATATCAAGAGAAGAAAAGACTGAAGGTTGAAAAACTGAGTTACAGAGATGAGATGAGGAAAACCTGGGTTCTTTGAGATTGAAGAAGGAAAAAAAGATTTGGGAAGAGATCATTAGAAGGGAGATTGTATTTAATTTCAAAATGTAGAAAAGGTAAATCTCAAAGATGCATGTATTTGGAAATGATTATATATGGTACTTGTATTCGTCCATTTGCATGCTGCTGACAAAGGCAAACCCAAGACTGGGCAATTTACAAAAAAAAAAAAAAAAAAAAAAAAAAAAAAAAAAAAAAAGAGGTTTAATTGGACTTACAGTTCCATGTGGCTGAGGAAGCCTCACAATCATGGTGGAAGGCCAGGAAGAGCAAGTCATGTCTTACATGGATGGCAGCAGGGAATGAGAGAGACCTTGTGCAGGGGAATTCCTCTTTTTAAAACCATCATATCTCATGAGACTTATTCACTATCATGAGAACAGCAAGGGAAAGACTTGCCCCCATGATTCAGTTACCTCACACCTGGTCCCTCCTACAACAGGTGGGAATGCAAGATGAGATTTGGGTGGGGACAGAGCCAAACCATATCATTCCTCCCCTGTTGCCTCCCAAATCTCACATCCTCACATTTCAAAACCAATCATGCCTTCCCAGCAAACAGTCCCCCAAAGTCTTAACTCATTTTAGCATTAACTCAGAAGTCCACAGGGCAAAGTCTCAATGGAGACAAGGCAAGTCGCTTCCCCCTATGACCTGTAAAATTAAAAGGAGGTTAGTTGTTTTATGGATACAGTGGGGGTACAGGCATTGGGTAAATACAGCCATTCCCAATGGGATAAATTGGCCAAAACAAAGGCACTACTGGCCCCACACAAGTCTGAAATCCAGCGGGGCAGTCAAATCTTAAAGCTCCCAAATTATCTCCTTTGACTCCACGTCTCACATCCAGGTCATGCTGATGCAAGAGATGGGTTCCCATTGTCTTAGACAGCTCGGTCCCTGTGGCTTTGAGGGCACAGCCTCCCTTCCAGCTGCTTTCACAGTGTCTGCAGCTTTTCCAGGCACACAATGCAAGCTGTCAGTGGATCTAGCATTCTGGGGTCTGGAGGACAGTGGCCCTCTTCCCATGGCTCCACTAGGCAGTGCCCCAGTAGGAACTCTGCGTGGGGGCTCCAACCCCACATTTCCCTTCCACACTGCCCTAGCAGATGTTCTCCATGAAAGTCCTGCCCTGCAGCAAACTTCTGTCTGGACATCCAGGAATTTCCATACATCTTCTGAAATCTAGGCAGAGGTTCCCAAACCTCAAGTCTTCACTTCTGTGCACTCACTGGCTCAACACAACATGGAAGCTGCTAAGGCTTGAGGCTTGAACCCTCAAGCCATGGCCCGAGCTCTATTTTGGCCCTTTCAGCCATGGCTGGAGCAGCTGGGATGCAGGGCACCAAGTCCCTAGGCTGCACACAGTACAGGGACACTGGGCCCGGCCCATGAAACCACTTTTTCCTCCTAGATCTTTGCGCCTGTATGAGAGAAGCTGCCATGAAGACCTCTGATATGACCTGAAGACATTTTCCCCATTGTCTTTGGGATTAGCATTGGGATCCTCATTACTTTTGCAGATTTCTGCAGCCGGCTTGTATTTCTTCTCAGAAAATGGGATTTTCTTTTCTATTGCCTTGTCGGGCTGCAACTTTTCTGAACTTTTATGTTCTGTTTCCCTTTTAAAACTGAATGCTTTTAACAGCACCCAAGTCTGCTCTTGAATGCTTTGCTGCTTAGAAATGTCTTCCATCAGATACCCTAAATCATCTCTCTCTAGTTCAGAGTTCCACAAGTCTCTAGGGCAGAGGCAAAATGCCACCAGTCTCTTTGCTAAAATGTAACAAGAGTCACCTTTCCTCCAGTTTCCAACAAGTTCCTCATCTCATCTGAGACCACCTCAGCCTGGACCTTATTGTTCATATCACTATCAGCATTTCTGTCAAAATGTTTTGTCAAAACCCATGGAATGTCAAAGCCATTCAACAAATCTCTAGGAAGTTCCAAACTTTCCCACATTTTCCTCTCTTCTTCTGAGCCCTGCAAACTGTTCCAACCTCTGCTTTTTACCCAGTTCCAAAGTCGCTTTCACATTTTCGGATATCTTTTCAGTAACGTCCCACTCTACTGGTACCAATTTACTGTATTAGTTACTTCTCATGCTGCTGATAAAAACTTACCTGAGACTGGGCAATTTACAAAAGAAAACGGTTTAATTGGACTTACAGTTCTGTGTGGCTGGGGAAGCCTCAAAATCGTGTCAGAAGGCAAGGAAGAGCAAGTCACATCTTACATGGATGGCAGCAGGCAAAGAGAGAGCTTGTGCAGGGGAATTCCTCTTTTTCAAACCATCAGATCTCATGAGACTTACTCACAATCATGAGAACAGCAAGGGAAAGACTTGCCCCCATGATTCAATTACCTCCCACCTGGTCCCTCCCACAGCAGGTGGGAATTCAAGATGAGACTTGGGTGGGGACACAGCCAAACCATATTGGTACTATTTAGTGATTTCATGAGTTGTTACAATAACTAGAAAATGTTTTCTAATTTAAAGTACATTTTGATGATGTAAAAATGAAAGGAAATGAAAGTTAAAAACATCTGGTCAACACACCTATTAGAAGGACCAAAATCTAAAACACTGATAACACCAAACGCTAGTGAGGATGTAGAGCAACAAAAACCTGCCTTTATTTCTGGTGGAAATGCAAAATTGTACAGCTCCTTTGGAAGACACTTTTACGGTTTCCTACAAAACTAAACATACTGTTACCATATGATTCAGCAATTGTAATCCTTCATATTTACTCAAATGAATGGAAAACTTATGTCAAAGAAAAAAACTTGCACAGAGATGTTTATAACAGCTTTATTCATAATTACCAGAACTTGAAAATGTCCTTCAAGAGGTGGATGGATAAATAAATCTTGGCACATCTAAACAATGGAATACTATTCAGTGCTAAAAGAAATGAACTATCAAGGGATGGAAAGACATGGAGGAAGCTTAAGTGCATATTACTAAGTGAAAAAAGTCAATGTGAAAGGGGTACAGACTGTACAATTCCAAGTTCACGACATTGTGGAAAAGGCGAAACTATGGAGACAGTAGAAGGATCAGTGGTTGCTAGAGGCTGGGAGGAGGGCTAGATGAATAAGCCTAGCACAGTGGATTTTTAGAGTGATAAAATTAGTCAGTATGATACTAAAGTGGTGGATGCATGTCATTGTACATTTGTCAAAACCCATAGAATGTACCTAACCAAGAGTGAGCCCTAATTTCAACTGTGGACTTTGGGTAATAGTGATGTGTTAATGTAGGTTCATGAATTGAAACAAATATACCACCAGTGTTAGGGTTCTCTAGAGGGACAGAACTAATAGGATAGATAGATAGATATAGATATATACATATATACACACACATACTAAATAACCTCCCATATATACACATATACATACATATATGTGTGTGTATATACACATACATATATAATAAACTCCCATATATGTATGTGTGTATATATGTGTATAGAGTATCCTTATGTACGTATTTATGTATAGAGTATCCTTTTCTACTTTAAACTCCCATATACATATATATGTGTGTGTGTGTGTGTGTGTGTGTGTGTGTGGGAGTTTATTAAGTAGTGTTAACTCACACGAGCATAAGATCCCACAATAGGCCATCTGAAAGTTGAGGAGCAAGGAAGCCAGTCTGAGTCCCAAAGCTGAAGAACTTTGAGTCTGATGTTCGAGGGCAGGAAGCACCCAGCACAGGAGAAAGATGTAGGCTGGGAGGCTAAACCAGTCTAGTCTTTTAACATTCTTCTGCCTCCTTTTTATTCAGGCTGAGCTGGCAGCTGATTAGATTGTACCCACACAGATGAAGAGTGGGTCTGCCTTTCTCAGCCCATTGACTCAAATGTTAATCTCCTTTGGCAACACTCTTACAGACACACCTAGGATCAATAATTTGCATCTTTTAATCCAATCAAATTGACACTCAGTATTAACCATCACACCTGCAAAATGCAGGATGGAGGTAGCAGGGGAGGTTGTATGTATGGAAGGGCAAGTGGGAGGTGAAAAAGAGAAGAAAGATCTGGAAAAAAAACAAAAAGTAACTTTGCCTCTAATTAAAAAAAAAACCAACTTGAGGAATGATTTACATGCAATAAAATGTACATTCTTTAAATGTAGACTTACATAATTTTTAACAAGTGTTTCTATCTGTGTATCCACCACTCCAGTCACGACACAGAATATATTCATCCCCACAGAAGTTCCCTGGGACCCATCCTAGTCAATTTCCTCCACCACTCAGAGATAATCAGTAGATATTTGTCACCATAGCTTAATTTTACTTCTTGAGTTTCTAATGAACATATCATACTCTATATATTCCTTTGTTTAGTATCCTTCACTGAGCATAATGCATATGATTTTTATATGTTCCTATAATAGTAATTCATTATTTTTTATTGTGGATAGTATGTCATTTTATGAATAACTACAATTTATCAATTCTCTTTTTGATGGGCATTAATTAGGTCTCCCACCTCCCAAGTTTGGCTACTCTAAAAAAAGCTACTATGAACATCCATATATATATGATTTTGTTTTCTTAAGTTATCTAGGAAAATTTGTTCACGAAGTGTATATATGTTTAATTCACTTTGTTAAACAGTTTTCAAGGTTTCCAAATGTACCATTTTACACCCCTACCAGCAATGTATGAGAGCTCCAGTTGTTCCTCATCTTCACCAACTCTTGATGTTGTCAAGCTTTTTAATTTTAGCCATTCTGGTGAAGTGATATCTCATTATGATTTTAATTTCCGTTTCCCTGATGGTTAATGAGTTTGAGATATTTTTACATAAATATTAGCTACATATATGCTTTCATCTGTGAAGTGTGAAGTGAATATATTCTCGCTGTTTCTAGCTTGCCCTTTAATTTAGTTTTTTTTAAGATTTTTTTTGAAGCACACACATTTTTGGTTTTAATGAAGTCTAATTAATGAACTCCAATTTATATATACATTTTAGTTGTTAATAATGTTGTTTCTTATCTAAGAAATGCTTGCCTACATCAAGGTCACAAACATCCTTTCCTATTTTGTTTTCTAGACGTTTTAAAGTTGTAACATTTCTATTTAGGCCCGTTATCCATCCTAAATTATAATAATTTTTATGTTTCATGTGAGGTTTTGAACAAGATTTATTTATTTTTCAGTGTATGTGCAATTGCTCTAGCACATTTTGTTGTATAGAGTATCCTTTTCTACTTTAAATGATCTTCGCAAGTTGGTAGTAAATTAGCTGATTGTATAAATGTGGATCTATATTCTCTGTTCTGGATTGTCTAATCTGTTCCATTGACCTACATGTTTTTTTTTTTTTGTTTTTTTTTTTTTTTTTTTTGCTGAGACAGGATCTCACTCTGTTGCCCAGGCTGGAGTGCAATGTCATGATCAGGACTCACTGCAACCTCAACCATATTGGCTCAGATGATCCTCCCTCCTCAACCTGCCAAGTACAGGCACATGCCACCACTCCTGGCTAAGTTTTGTATTTTTTATAGAGATGAGGGTTTGTCATGTTGCCCAGGCTGGTCTCAAATTCTCGGGCTCAATTGATCCACCAGCCTTGGCCTCCCAGAGTACTGGGATTACAGATGTGGGTCACAATGCCGGGTTGTTTTAATTTTTGTTATATCAGTATACTAAGTCTTGAGATTAAGTTATAAAATTGGACAAAATTTTCTTCATTTTTAAAATATTTTGGCTTTGCATTTTAATAGAAATTTTAGAATTAGCTTGATAACAGTTATTTTTGAATTCTGTGGGACATTAATTCACATTGCATTGCATGTATACTTTAAGTTGGAAGAAATCTGTCATGTTAAAAATATTGCATCATCCTATCTGTTGACATGAGATATGTCTCTATCTTTATTTAGTTATATCAGTAGATTTATCATTAAGTTTATTTACATCTTTTTTAATTCTCTGCAATATTTTATAGTTTTCACTTATACAGATATTGTGCATCTTTTGTCAAATTTACTCCTAAATATTTTGGTTTCTTTTGAAACTATTATACGTAGCAGCATCTTAACATTTTACTTCCCAATTATTTGTTACTGTTATATAGAAAAATAATTAATTTTTATATACTGACCTTGTATATTATAATTTTATATACTGACCTTGTATATTCTTTCTCTAATTAATTATACATATTGTTTGTTGGGGGAGAGGATAGTTTCCTTAGGATTCCTTATGGAAAACGCTTGTTTTTTGTGAATAATGATAGCTTTACTTTTTAAAAAAATCTATATGCCATTTATTTTTTTGTTACAGGTGAATTTTTAGAAAAAATAAAATAAAAGTGATGAAATAAAAATTTTCTTATCTTGTTTCTGATCTTAGATGGAAACACTAAACACTAAGTGAAATTTTTTTGTAGCTATCTTGATTATTTTGTAGTATCTTGATTGAGAATACTCCTATTTTTCTGAGAGTTTTTATCATAAATGGGCAAAAATTTGGTTTTTGTCAAATAATGTTTTCTGTCTCTCTTATGATAATCATGTTGTTTTCACTTTTATTTCATTAATGTGGTGAATTTAATTTATGAATGTTGAACCAACCTTGCATTCCTGGGACAAATCATGTGTGGACATAATATATTATCATTTTTATATATTGGTTTATTTTATTTCCTAATATTCTGGAGTTAGGGTTATGTTAAACTCACATATCAAATTAGTGTGTTTTTTTTCTTTCCTATTGTATGAAAGATATTATGTGATATTGGTATTTACTCTCTTTTAAATATTTCAAAGTGCTCACCATTAAAGTCATATGGGCCTGCTGAGAGGATTTTTGTTTAGTTGGTTGGTTGGTTGGTTTTCAGGATAGGAGGAACGAGATATATATATATATATATATATATATATATATATATAGAGAGAGAGAGAGAGAGAGAGAGAGAGAGATTTTAATTTTATATTTAACATTTTAATGTAGAGAGGTGTTATTATATTAACTGAATATTTGTATCCTCCCCAAAGTTTACACATTGAAGCCCTAATCCCTAGGGTGACTATCTTTAGAGATGGCACCCCCTAAGTTAAATGAGGTCAGAAAGGTGGGCCCTGACCCCATAGGATTATAAGAAGAGAAACTAGAGAGCTCTTTAACCTCCCATCTATCCCCCATATACACACACACATGCTGGAGAAAAGTCCATGTGAGGACACAGCAAGAAACTAGTCATCTAAGAACGAAGAAGAGAGCCCTCACCATAAACAAAATTGGTACCTCAAAATATTAAAAATGGAATGACCATATAATCCAGCAATTCTACTTCTGGGTGTATATCTAATGGAAATAAAACTACTACTTCAAAGAGGTATCCACATTCCTATAGTCGCATTATTTACAATAGGTAAGATATGGAAACAACGTAAGTGCCCATGAACAGATGAATAGATAAGAATACATAATAAGTATACACAATTAGCTCATGGTATCCTCAGGTTCTGCATCTACAAATTCAATCAACAACAGATCAAAATAATAAAATAATATGGCAATAAAAATAATACAAATAAAAATGCAGTAGGACTATTATTTGCATAGCATTTACATTGTATTAGGTATTATGAGTAATGTAAAGATGATATAGTATATATGAGAATGTGCATAGGTTTATATCCAAATACCTACATCATTTTATGTAAAGGACTTGTGCATTTGTGGATTTTGGTATCTTCAGGGAGTTCTAGAACCAATCTTCTGCTGATACCAAGGAATAACTTGGTATCAGCAGACAAACACAAACACATGCCACATAAATAATATGATACACACACACACACACACACACACACACACACACACAGTAAAATATTATTCAGCCTTAAAAAGGAAAAAAAATCTTCCATTATGACAACTCAGATGAATCTGGAGAACGTTATGCTAAGTGATATACGCCAGACACAGAAAACAAATACTGCATGACCTTTTTTATGTGAGGAATCTAAAAAAAGTTAAATTTATAATAACAGAGAGTAGAAAGGTGGTTGGAGCTGGGGAATAGGGAAAAGCGAGATGTTAGTAAAAGGGTACAAACATTAGTATAAAGATAAATAAGTTCTGGGAAACTAATGTACAGCATGTGACTATCCATAATAGATAATCATAACGTATTGTGTAGTTAAAATTTGTTAAGAGGCCAGATGCAGTGGCTTACGCCTGTAATCCCAGCACTTTGGGAAGCCAAGGCAGCCAGATCACCTGATGTCAGGAGTTCGAGATCAGCCTGGCCAACATGCTCTGTCACCCAGGCTGGAGTGTAGTGGCACAATCTTGGCTCACTGCAATCTCTGCCTCCCGGGTTCAAATGATTCTCCTGCCTCAGCCTCCTGAGTAGCTGAGATTACAGGCACCCACCAACACACCTGGCTAATTTTTATGTTTTTAGTAGAGACAGGGTTTCACCGTGTTGGCCAAGTTGGTCTCAAACTCCTGACATCAAGTGATCTGTCTGCCTTGGCCTCCCAAAAATGCTTGGATTACAGGCTCCATGGTATATTTTTTCCCATTAAAATTTTTTTTCAATCTACATGTTGTTTTATATTGAAAGTGCGTCTCTCTTACAAAGGATATATCTCTGAGTCTTTAAAAAACATTCATTCTGAAAATCCTCAAATTTTTACATGGAATCTGTTTCACCCATTTACATTTAATTTACTTACCTATACATATGTAAGTATAATATTTTGCTACTGGTTTCTTCTTTGTTCTATTTTTCTGTTGTGTTTTCTTTTTTCCTCTTGTTTCCTTTTGAGGTCGATAGAGTAATTTTCAATATTCCATTCTATCTCATCTACTGCCTTTTTAACTATATCTCTTTGCATTATTACTTTGGTGGTTGCTCTAGAGATTACAGTGTAGTGTACATTTCAATTTATCACAGTCTTTCTTGACTTAGCTTAATACTATTCTGTATCCAATGAAATAACCTTATAATAGTATAATTTCATTTACATTTTCTCCCACCTTTTGTGCTATTTTATTACACCATTTACTTATGCATATTATAAGCCCCATAATACTTTATGATTTTTTTCTTTAACCAATCTTTTGAATAACTTTTGACTTTTAAAAGTTTAAGAAAACAAAGAAAGCAGTCTATGTTTACCATTTCCTTGAGGCCCAGAGGCCTATGAAACCACAGACAGTGAAGCTGTGTGATGGTGTGATCCCAGTGAGATATCAGGACACAGAGATTCTGACAACCCTGGGACTGTGAGGCTGTGAAATCTTCCTCCCTCTACTCCCAGCCTCTGCGTAATCATCTAAATTCCCCTTTAAGTGGCTTCGCTGAGAGGATTCTCTTTGCCTTTGGGGCTCCCGCAGATCCACTGCCAAGGCATCCCATGAATTCATCAGAATGTCTGGCTTGTTTCTTCTAGTCTAAGCACAGACTGTTCTTTTCTGACAGCTTTGCTCATCAGCCCACCTGTCCCCAACTTTTCGCAACTGACCACTGGCTTTGAATGTGTCCTGTATTTTTTACTTACTTAGAAAAGGCTTGTCTTTCTGAAGTATAGTTCTTTTGAATTTCTTTGTGTCCACAGATTCTGATGGCATTAAAGAAAAGTAAGATTTTTGTGTTGTTGTTCAACTGGTGAGATATTTCATTGGAAATTAAAGTGTTCATTTCCTTCTATATCCCAAGAGAAAGGCTCTAGTATTCTCCTTCCTTCCTTCCTTCCTTCCTTCCTTCCCTCCTTCCTCCCTTCCTTCCTTCCTTCCATCCTTGCTTCTTTCCTTGGTCCTTCCTTCCTTTCTTTATTTTCCTTCTTTCCTTCCTTCCTTCCTTCTTTCCTTGGTCCTTCCTTTCCTTCCTTCCTTCCTTCCTTCCTTTCCTTCCTTTCTTCCTTCCTATATATTTATTTCCCACACCCCATCTTTCCATAGTCCAAAGTCTACCAATCCTCTAAAGACAACTTTAAGATTCTTCCCTCTGTCAGATTGTTTCTCACAAATACACGCACATGCCCAGCTCAGATGACCTTCTTCCTCTTCTGACATGGTCTCATTCACTCCTGTGGCATTTCAAAGACTGTGTGGTTAGTTGTTCTTTTCTGTATGCAATACATGCATATTAAGAGCTTCTGTCTAACAAGAGTCCTTCCTTGAATGTAAGGACTATAACTTTTGCTTGTTGGTGTTGTTTTATTTTTAAAATTTCATCACAGCTCAAAAACCAGTAGAGTGGCCACCAGTGAGTTTATTGGAAGATAATAGTGAACATAATGATGACAACAATTTTCTTCTTTGAAATGGTAGAAAATAAGAGATAGGAAGTTGTCTTTTCCACATAATCAATCTTCTTTGGTACAATAAATGTAATGAAGCTCTCTCCAAATACACATACACTTACTGTGTATACAGTATGTTAACATAAACATCAGTATCTATAAACATAAAGTCAGGATGTCAGACTCTGCCAAACATAAATATACTCAAATGTATTGATAACCTTATGTGCTATGACCATTTGTTTTATTCTGTGTTGGGCCCAAAGGTTTAGTATAGGCTTTAAGAATTTACAGATTATGGTAAATAAGAGCATTCAGTTATCATGAAAGAACCGAATTAAATTCAAGTAACTTAATCATCATTGTAAGACACACTAAGAAAATTTTCGGTGATGAGAAATTCAAGAAAATATTTAAAACAGAGTTCAATATGTCTTCCTCTGAAAGCAAATCTCTGCTTCTCAGATGTCCCTCCTTTTAGTATCTGTTAAATTGTCATGATTGTTCTTCCACTTCAGAACTACCATGAACATATTTTTTTGTGAGAATGGATGTTCATGAGTGATGACTACAAACTAGAACAATAACTTATATTTCTAAAATGTACAATTATATAAGCATTATTTGAGAAATGTAAAGCATCATTTGTGTAGAAAGAGTACCTAAAGAAAAATTATATAGAAATGCTGAGTAAAAATTATTTATCACAACACAGGGGGCAGCATGCAGAGAAAATGGCTTCAGTCAACCCACAGGCGAGGTTACGGCCTAGGATGGGCACTGTGGCAAGGTTTCTGACAGAATTTATTATCCAGGCTTCTGCTGATTACTTTTCATGTCCTGAATACAAGTCTTTTTAAACCACCTTAAGGTGGAGTGGTCTCAGATCTCGGCTCTGACCCTGCAGATTCACCAGACTCTGTTTCTGCTCATCCCCTCCTGTAGTCCCGTTTCCCCAGCTCTGTTTGGTCCCCATAGAGGCTGCCTTATGTCACCATTCCCTCACCTCTATCTCTCTCCCTTTGGATCTCCAGGTCAACAAGAGCCAAGAGAAAAATAATTCATAAGTAACTTAAAGAAGCCAACTGTCTTAATTAATTTGGCTTACAGTGTCTTCTTCTGAAGAAGGTTAAAGAACTTTAATTAGGGTTTTGCAAATCAATCTCCCAAAATTAATTCACCTCACTTAAAATAAATAAAAGTCATATTTGTTGTGTTTGTCTTCCGATTATATTGTGCAATAATGCATAAGGACAATTATTCATAATTGTGTCTCCAGCACCTCACACAAGTCATGGCTAAATACTGGCTAAATTAACCAGGAGAAAAAGGAGAAGGCAAGAACTTTTTGATAAATCAATTATAAATTAACAACTTGGACTTAAAATTGCTTTAGTCTGAATTCTAGAGCAAATAAATCATGTATTTTAATTCAAAACATTTCCTGATGGTTTTGGAAGCCTATCACTCAACTTTTCACAAACCTTTTCCGATCTTGGTTGAATCTCTCAGTGAGTTGTCTTGGCTCATATGGGAATTATCCTGTGCTCTTTAAATACAAATCTGCAGGAATTATGTGGACTGAATACTAACTGGTATTCTGGGATGCCAAAATACATTTGTCTCTAGAAATTTTCTCCTTAGGGGCTGCCAGATGTTTTCTTCCTCTACAGGAATTTATTTTCATCCATAGACCCTGTCAGAGGGGGTAACTTAGTCATCCATGTGTGTTCTCGGAAACACAAAGCCCAATTCAAACTGGTTAAATGATCACAGAAATGTCTAGAAGTGGGTAGGCTTCAAAGTTAGCCAGACTGAATTCTCCAATGATGTTATTAAGCACTTAGTTTTCCTCTTACCTTTCTGCTCAGATTTCTGTAGAATCAGCTCTATCCATGATTTCAAAATGGCAGTCAGCAACTCTGGAAGAAACATACTTTTTCTTTTACCCTGAGAAAAAGGCAGAGAGAATACTGCATTTGAATTGATTCAAAAGCAAGAGAGAGGTTAAGAAGTGAAAGAGTATGAGTAAATCTTTTGAGGAGTTTGCTGTAATGGGAAAAGAGAAACCCAGTGGTAATTGCAGGAAGATATGAGGCCAAGGAGAAATAAAAGAGGGAGTTAGATATTACAATTATGATGATAATGATAATAATTTTTCCAGTGGGTTGGGAAAGAAATAAAAACGTGTTTGAGCATGATTTCCTATCTATTCACTATTAGTGTCTCTTTTTCTGTGAACTACCTGTTCTTTGCCTATTTTAGTTAGTTGTCTTCATTCACTCTTGATACTAAATATTTTTTATACATATTATCATTTTTTTCCAAAATTGTCACTTGTTTTTAGTTGGTATTTTTCTGAAGAAAAAGTTGAAGGATGAAATCAAATGGTTATTCTCACAGAGGATTTAAACCTCGTCTAAACCCAATAAAATTTTTAAAAATATTCTAATGCTAAAATTTAGGATTGCAACATGTAGTGCAAAATACCATTCTAATAATATCTTATGTCTTGGAACACTTAAAAATAGCTACGATTTGTCAAGGTTATAACTAGTGCCAGGCATTGTGCTTAAAAGCTGTATGCATTATCTTATTTAATTCTTACAGTCCTGTGAATGAAACATTGTGACCTCAAGTTTACAGATGAAGACAATAAACTTCAGAGAGTTCAAGTATATCACTCAAGGTTAGTCATTAATAACTAGGAATAATGAATAATCATGAATAATCTTGAACTATCCTTCTTCCTATGCCTGTACTTGCCATTCAGTTCATTCCATTTGTTCTTGCCATGTAAGGATTTGTTCAGTTTCTTCTACTGATTACTGTGTTTCTTTTTCCCCTTCCTTTCTTCCTCCTTCATTTTTTTTTCTATAAATCTTGGTTTAAATAAAGTCAGTTTTTGTAGTTAGCATCTGAGAGAGGAAAAGTCAAAAGAAAAGTGTTGGCACATGACATTGTAAACTCAGTCCAGATTTGAACCCTGGTCTAATTCCAGACCACTACTCTAAACCCTTGAAGTGTGACTTCCAAAATCAATGATCATTAGAGTTTAATCTGACCTTGGAAGTCTTCCACTGTTACTTCCTTAAGAAGCAGTATAGGATGGTTATTAAAAGTTTGGAGTTCAATCCTGTCTGTGTCATTTATTAGCGATTTTCTTGGCTTTATAGTTTATATCCATAAGATACAAAGAATATAATCAACCTCAAAGGATGACTGATTATTGGGATAGATGAGATGGTACAGATAGCAGTGCCTGGCATTTAGTAAGTACTCAGCAATTACCAGCTGTTATTTTTTTCTTCCCAGCTGATACCCAGATCTCTTTGTCTGTGGGTCTAAGTGATTACCTACAGTTAAGATAAGTATTTCCTGTTAAAGGGAATGCATTGTCTGCTATAATGGTCCATTTTATCTTTGGAAAGTTCCAGTTATTTGAACCTTCTTCCAAACAGACAGCTAAAAGTTGCCCTTCTCAAAATAATTGTTAACAATCCTTTTTAGGATGGCATACAACAGACAACCAACATTTTGAAGATTATTATTATATTTATTTAAGTTGTCTTCTAACCAAGAAAAAAATTTACAATGGTTATCTTCTGTGTGCCCAAGCTCATCAATGACCCCCAAAGTTCTGAATAGAACCCTCTTCTACAAGTGAGACTGGAAGAGCCCACAGATAGGCAGGATTATACTCCTCCTTCCTCTGGGTCATCTTTATTTGGCCAAGTCCCTTTTGCTTACTTATATAGTTATCCAGCTGACACATACACTACTTAGAAGTCAAATCATGCTATTTTTGTGCAACTGAGGTTTTGAACCCAGATGTAGAATTTATATTTGGCCAACAAACTCAGGCATCTGTAGTAAGTGACTATTTCCAAGATGTTATAATTTCCCTATTCTTACAATACAATTAATTCCTCAAAAATAATCAGAAATAAGTTTATGAACTGGCATTTCATAATTGAGACAATAAAAGTATTTCTTAATAGCTTTTTGAAAAGGATTTTAATTCCAACTATTTCTTTAAGGATCATCAATGTTCAGATACTACATATAAAAAGATATCATCATTTGATTATATCTACACACTCAAGTTTCAGAAAACAGCTTGATTTTACTTCTTATTTCTTCCTATTAGGCCAATGAGTAATCTTGGACTATCCTTCTTCCTATGCCTGTGCTTGCCATTCAATTCATTCCATTTGGTATTGCCATGTAAGGATTTGCTCAATTTCTTCTTTTGATTACTATCTTTTCACTTTTCCCCCTTCCTTCCTTCCTTCCTTCCTTCCTTCCTTCCTTCCTCCTTCCCTCCTTCCCTCCCCCCTTCCTTCCATCCATCCTTCCTTTCCTTCCTTCTTTTTCTTCTTCCTTCATTTTTTTCTCTAAATCTTTGTTTAAGTAAAGTCAGTTTTTATAGTTATATGGGACAATAAGCATCTGAGAGAGGAAAACTCAAAGAAAGGTGCCGGCATATGACATTGTAAACTCGGCCCAAGCCACTGCCTAAATAGATTAAAACTCACCCTCTTGACACCAGTTAACAATAAGCTATATTTCCTAATCTTCTTATTACTTTTTAAAATATTTACATCCCATTCCTTTCCTACCAAATATAGTTTTAGATGCTCACAATAAAAGAATAATGCAATCAGACTGAACCATTGTTGTCAAGTAAAAATAAAATCAAGGAATGGAAAAGGAAGTTATTCAAAGATACACATACCAATGGCACCAATAACATTAATGACTGCCTTTCCTTCTTTCTCAAACATCTCCACTTAGCATACTGGAATTCTCATTTTATGACCAGAAAATTCTTTATCTTCTGTTTTTCAGAAAATTCTCTTCTTTCCTTCACTTTCTTCAGTTATTCCCAAATGAGCATGCACATTAAGCTCATGGGGAGAGATTGAAAAAAATGCTAATGTCCTGCAGTTTCCATCCACCCAATTAAGTCAGGTTTTGTAGAAACAGAACGGATCTTGAGGACACTGTCCCCTCTGCATTCTCTTAAAAAAAAAAAAGATTTTTTTTTTTCTCATTTTCAAATTCTTCAGTGGCAGAATTGTGGTCACTCTTCTTTTTACCATCATCCCTCCAGGCTCTTCTAAAATTTCCGGAACTGACTCTTCACCCTCTCCTTTTTTTTTTTTTTTTTTTTCCTACAGATATCCTGACCTTGCACCCTAATTCACTAAAAATTTTGGAACCTGGATTATAATTTCACTTTCCACATCCCTACTATCATTATAATTCTAGAAAATTCAGTGTGGTCAATACAAGACCAGGTTCTGGAACCTCTGTTTCAGCCCACCTCTATCATTGCTAATTGTGTTGCCATGGGAAAATTATTTAAGCTCTCTTTGCTATAAAGTAGAGATGATACTAGGAGTAGCAGCCTTAAATGCTAGGAATCAAAGAGTACAGATAAAACTCTTAGAACACTGATGCATAGTAAACACCTTATATGTGCTACTTAGTATTCCTGGCAATTTTTATATCCATGAGAATGAACCCATCTAGCTCCAAAGGTTCTTAGTTTCTTGATCTCTTAATCGCCAGTTCACCTTTTCCTCTAATTTGTCACGGTTGGCTAATCCCAGGGTCACACCCTAAGCCTCAGTATCAGCAGGTCCTGTTCCACCTCCTAAATCTCAAATTCAAAAATCTTGCTCTCCAAACACAAATTGTGTTTTTCCAGTTGACTTTGCTCAGCAACCTCCAGCACTATAATTTTCCCATATCCCTAAGACCTCTGTTTCAGTGATCTTGCACTATTGATCTATCAACTCTTCTTGTTTTATTTTATCTTGCATTCCATGGCCTTCAAGTGTGATCGTCTCCTTGCAAATATCACTGTTTCCCTCTCTCCTGTCTCCTATTCTCTCAGTCAGGTAGTAGAATCTCCGTTCTAGGTAAACCAACCAGGAAGCCCCTTTTTCTTTCTTTCAACCCCTTTAAGGAGATTTTCCTGGAGGAAATTTCACACATAGCTTGAATGGCTGCCAGTTAAGTACACAATCACGAAATTCAGCCAGGCACTGGGCACTGCTCAGGCCTTCTCTGCATGTATCTGGCTCTTCCTCTTCTCTGAATGATTACTTCATTTCTTTCCTTTCTCCTTAAAACTCCTACCTTGCTGGGTGTGGTGGCTCGTGCCTGTAATCCCAGTACTTTGGGAGGCTGAGGCAGGCGGATCACTTGAGGTCAGGAGTTCAAGACCAGCATGGCCAAAATGATGAAACTCCCTCTTTACTAAAAATACAAAAACTAAGCTGGATGTGGCTTAGTTTTGGTGGGCGCCTGTAATCCCAGCTACTCGTGAGGCTGAGGCAGGAGAATGGCTTGAACCAGGGAGGCAGAGCTTACAGTAAGCTGAAATCGCTCCACTGCACTCCACTCTGGGAGACAGAGGAAGACTTAGTCTCAAAAAAAAAAAAACAAACAACTTCCTACCTCTGTTCATCCTGACTCTTAGTTGATGGCCTCACCTCACACTTCATTGAGGAAACATTCTCGTTTTCTGGGCATTCTCTCACCTACCAACAAGCGAGTGCAATTTATGCCTGTCTTCACTCATGCTTTTCTTCTCCTCTCCTATTATGAAGTGTGGGTGAGTGTGGGGGCTGTGTCTATGCCTACGAAAGACAAATTATTCTCCTAGTAGCAAGAGCTTCTCTTCTGATTATCACTCTTCTGTCCTACCTCTACAATTTCTCCCTCTTTATTTAATCATTTCCATCAGCATAAAAAGTTTCTTCATTTTCCCCATCTTAAAAAATAAAGCCTTGCATTGATGTCTCCCTTTTAGTTACTGCTTCTCTCTGCACGTCCTCATGGTCAATCTTGAAATAATTTTTCATTTCTATCGTCTCCACTTTTTTACCTTCCATTCTCTCATTGGTGTGTTTTGTGTACATTCAGTGTTCAGTGTGTACATGTTACTGGATGCAAGTATTCAACACGTATTGCTTGTCAGGTACTGCAGAAAGAGGCTTGTATGAATCTAATTTAACTCCACTACAACCTGATATGGTAGGAACCACATTTATCCACATTTTCCGAATAGGAACCCCCAGATTTAGAAAGTCAGGTAAATTGTCCGAAGTTACGTAATTAGTGGCAAAATCAGGCCTCAGCCCAATATTTGCTTAACTCTAAAGGCATATTCTTAAGTGCTTTTTTATTAAGTTTGTTCTTAATCCTCCTGCCAGCTTAAAACATCTACCGTCAAAGCCAAAAGATGGATATAGCAGACGTTAGCTCTTGGAAAGCTCCTGGTAATGGGAGGGACAAAAGTACATGGCCTTTTCCTTTCTAAGGCTCTCAATTTGGTGAAATAAATTTATATGGAGCATGAAATAAATTGTGTCTAAGCCTCAGTATAACTTTATGTTCAAACATTCTCTGTTGTGCCTGTAAATTTCTGTAGATAAGTGGTGAGAAAAAGATTTGCTGTCCTTGAAACTTGGAAGAAGATACAGAATAATCATCTTAAAAATGCCCAATCTAATCTTTGTTTTCCTGAAAAATAAGGCATAGTGTAGAAATAAAAAGGAAAACTTAAATACCCTTATACATAGAAAGTAGTTGGTTAATTGTATTTTTATAAAAAATACTATCCCCATATTTGTTTTTCATAGCCACCACATTTGTTGCTATGGGTTATTCAGTGCATACCATGCTTTGCTTGGCCTGTTACCATCAACGTCCTATCTGAATTATCATCCCTTCACTAATCAATTACCTCTTACTTTTCACAAATATAGATCTAATCATATTACTTCCCGGCCAGAAACCTCCCCTATTTCTCTAGCTGTTATAAGATACAATATAGTTTTCTATAAACAGCATATGAAGTGTTTACTGAGCTAGTTTCCAACAAATCTTCCATTCATATCTCCCTTCACTTAACACCTTTTTTTTCCTTCTTTCTCATTCTGGTCATATATATCACGTAACCTGTAGATAATAGTTGCAAGTTTTTAATCCAATCTATCATTATCAAACTTTATAAATATGTGGGCATGTATTCTTGGATACGTTTTGCAAGCTCTCTAAGCTTTAGAAATATTCTCCGCTATAAAATTGGAATAATAATAATATTATTTACCTTGAGGGATTCTGTGAGCATTCGACATTTATTGGACCATACATATTTTCATACCTACACACATACACATATATTTACTATCCATATGCATCCAAACATATTTACAGAAGGCATATGCCCATTAAGGGACCTATAAAAAATAGCAGCAACTCTTATTAATTTTGTCACAGAAATCATTTCCTTTCTTGTAATTAGTGCGTCACAATACTCATCACTGTATATCTCCTCCATAAAGCTTGTCACATGTCCCCTCTGGATCTTCCCAGCTCTTCCTATTTATGGCCGTGATAAGGCATTTTCTCCTTGGTTGTGACTGCTAGCTTATGTAACTAACTGTCCCACTAACATAGCCAGAATCTGATCCCCGGAAGGAAAGTGGCAAGAGTGTTTCCCTCGATCAGATTCGCAGAGTGCTTACACTAAAGAGTTTTACGTTCCTCAAAGTCATCAGGAAAAGTGTGAATTAGCTGGCCCTGGAGCACCTGAGACAGACAAGCTGTCTACTCTTGCTCAGCTTTCTGTAAAAACAGGAAAACTGCCTTGTGGAAAGGTGAGTGTCCCCCTCTCCAGGAAGCCCTCTGTCTGCATGCCACCCTCCTTCATTTTGCCACACCCTGAGCTGCTTTTCTCCTGAGCTCCTCCACTTGTGTGTATTTCTCATTAAGACCCTCTCTCTCCCTCTCTCTCCCTCTCTCTCCCTCTCTCTCCCTCTCTCTCCTTCTCTCACTCTGCCTCCTTTTCTTTTTTTTTTTTCCTTTTTTATATTCCTCCACCCCCCCACTCTTTCTGTCAGTCTTGTCCGTTTCTATACCATTTCCATGGTAAGGTGTTCCCTGTCTCCTGTCCAGCCTGCGCTGGTCTGGCCACCTCCCTCTGCTCACTCACGGTCTCTTGCTAGTAGTGGTCTAAGGATGATGATCTAATTTAGAATTCTATGCTTTAGAAAAGAAACAGGATCGCTGGGTGTGGTGGTGCACACCTGCAGTCCCAGCTACTCAGGAAGCTGAGGCATGAGAATCACTTGAACCTGGGAAGCAGAGGCTGCAGTGAGCCAAGATCACACTGCTGCACTCCAGCCTGGGTGACAGAGCAAGATTCTGTCTCAAAAAAAAAAAAAAAAAAACGAGAAAGAAAATTAAAAAAAAAAAAGAAACGGTAAGAAAAGAGTACAATTTTTTTTCTCTCCCAGCACATCATAATTATAGCAAGTTATTTCTGTTAATCAGCTCACAGAACACAAACAAGTGGTTCAGGAGAGGCAAGGTGCGTTTGGCCATGAAAGGCCAGGGTTCACAAGGTATCCAGAGAGGGCTTTGTCAGGTCACACCATCAGACACATAACAGGGCAATTTCTCTTTCTTAGCCTTAACCCTCAGCTGGGAGTTAGTGTAGGGAAGGCCTTGCTCTTCACAAACACTCCAGGATAAGGCGATAAGAAGATTACAAGTAAAGCCTCTCTTTAGCTATTCCACATCTCCTGTCAGACAGAGCAAGTTAAATTACAGTGCAGGCCACAAATGCATTGATCATCCACTAGGCTTGTACTACCCAGGATTTTAAAGATCCATGCCAAGGATAAGTGACGTCATCCAGCAAAGTTTATTTTAGCAAGGAGGGTAAGCCAAGTGCAAGGAGGTGAGGTTCTGGGAGACGGCCCTAACTCTCCAATGCTGAGTTCAATTCATATGTAATCTTCATCAGTGAATATTTCCTTACAGCCCATGAGAGGTGTTGAGAGAACACATGGATGATACAGCCTGTGCTCTGAAATGACTTACATATGTCTCTCTCAGCCTCCAGCCCCTCCCTCATCTTATAAATCCAGTCTCAAAACACAGAATACATCCCTAAAAATGGCATATTTCCTACTTAGAATTACTTTGTAAGTGTTCATGATGAAGCATGGCCTAAGTCATATGAAATTTTAGATCCTCTATTCTTTATGCATAAAATGTAAAGTTTCTCTGTTCGGACACAATGTTCTCTTATAATAAGCTTCAGTTATCCCCTTTCAGCCCATAAAACACATCGTGTACTTTAACAAAGATATAAAATTCTTTAAATGATTTTGATAGTCCATTCATACAAAGAAGATAGGCCTTTTTGAGGCTATAACAAGAAAAAAAAAGATAAATCATTAGAAACACTTAAAAATTCTGTACATGACTCTCTTCTTTATTAAAAAGACCCATTGTAAATTGGAAAGTTCCGAAGTCTTTGTGGTGAGGGAGAATGAATTATAATGACATCACTGGGTCGTGAACTAGGCCCACTGGCTACTTTCCAGAATGAAATTGACTAGGAGAGATCAGATGAGCCCATTCGTAGCACAAGACATCTGGGAGGCAGCCAGGGAATCGAGGTTCAAGCCCCCTATTTAGGACACACTTCCTCTTCCTCTTCATCATCAAATACGATCGTGATTTCCCAGGCAAGGCAGCTAGCATAGCAATGCATTTCAATTCATATTCTAAAGAACACCCAAAAAGTTCTTTGTACTCATTCCTCAGTGAAAGACCTCATGAAAAATATTAACATGTCAACATCTGGCTGACACCTTTGGTACATTTTCATCATGTTGCTGATGGGAAGCATTTTGCCTTCAAATAAGCATAATTTGCCAGTCTTTTCCATCTCCTTTTTTGTCTCTCTCCCAGAGTAATAAATGGTGTCTGAAGCCCAAGAGAAACTCATTTCTGTTAACAGATCATTTGTAAACCTTTAAGGGCAGCTAGTGAGAAAGGGGCATTTTTTTTCTTCTGTCTTAACTTTCCTGGTTGTCTTTCTAAATGCAAAATGACACCTCATTCAACGCTTTCTGGTGTCATCTTAATCTCCCTTATTTTACACTTTCTACCTTTTTGATATTTGCTATAGACTGCATGGAGGCTTTTTACCTAATACTGTAATACCTATTATCTGAGGCATTTAGGTATATAGGCTCTTGCCAGCTAAGAATAATGCAGATCAATTGGATGTCAGCAGCCCAATAAAGTCAGATAGTTTATATATATATATATATATATATATTTTTTTTTCAGGGCGGAAAAAAAAGCTATTTCCCCACCTGACCTTACAGCCAGCACATTTCAATATTAATATATTTTATGCATGCATATGATAACGTTTTACTTTCCTTATGGTTCTGTGGGGAAGTCTCACTTCCCTCTGCAGAGGATTATTACCTATTCTGAGGGATTATGATTATAGATACTTACTAAGACAAGAATAATTGACCATAAAAAACCTTTTATATTCCCACAATTATTTTTGCATTGACTAAAAGTGTCAAGAAAATCTGATTTTATTAGCAGGCCTCTAATTTTGCCTTCATTTAATTTTTTATCTGGCTTTCTCCCCCCAATATGTTTTTAGTCTGAGATATCTGGCAGTTGTACAAAAGAACAATTTGTTACAGAACCTTTACCGAATGGAAGTTCTATAATCCAAGCATAACATGAAGCATCAAATAAAATAAAAATGTATGAGATCAGTAAAGGGGGCATGCTCCAAGGTAAGGAACCGATCTAGAGCCTAGAAAAAAAGAAGTTTAAATCAAAATGTGACTGCTCGGCTATGAAGTAAGTCTGTGGAACAAAGGGTCAAATGCAGTTTTGACCTTTCATTCCCCTCCACCCACCAATAGGTCAGATCCCGTCAGCACTGAGCCTATTTCCAGTAAGGAGCAAGAAGCAGAGCTATGTGTATTAAGAAGCAGTGTGGAAAACTCTAGAGGACACTTGAGGGGAAGAAGGAGAAAATACACTTGGTCTTCCGGAAGTAGGGATGGAGTGGGCAGAAGAAGTAGAAGTGACACGGTACCCATTTGACCCTTGAAAACAAAACCAGCTCTGGTAACCTCATTTGCTTCTTTCCCCGCCTCTGTCCCTCAAATATTAGAAACAAGACAAATCCAAGATCACAAATGGATATTGTGGTTAAAGGCATGACTGCAACTGGAAAGAACTCAGGCTAAAACAAGGAGGAAAAGTGTTCCACTTCTACTACTAATTGATAGAGGATTGTTGGCAACTCCCTTCTGGCACCAACATTCTGTTGATTCTAAACGTATTCCCTTTTCAGATGACAGATGATGCAGTGGAAAGGAGAAGTGGGAGTCATATAGTATCCATTTGGCCCCTGCAAACAAAACACATCCTGGTTAGCTCCTGTATATACATAGTGGGTCTTAACTTTTCAGATTTCCCTGAAATCAACAATGAGAACCTACAAAAAGGAAGAATCACTGGAACCTTATAGTCTGTCTCAAGACACCAATGAGGCACCTACAGGCGGGCCCAGTCATCTTCCCCAAGTGATGTGAATGGAGATCGGTGGCCATTGATCACCCATTCTCAGCTTCATATCTTATTTCTTGTCTACCAACAGAGGGTATCATGGTGAAGAAACTCTCTCAGCTCTTTGAGGAATGCATGTTCATGGGAAGAGACTAATTCCTGTTCATTCCAAAGTTAACGGAGGGCCAGAATGAGGACTTCAAGAAAATAACATGTAGAGCTTGGGGGCCCCTTTGACAAAGGGAAACTGACTTCTTGCTCTCCCTCTAGATGCATGCTGGAGCCAAGAAGCTGCAGCACATTTCAGTGTTGCCATGACAGAGAAGAGGATCGTGATGAGGGGGAGTTTTGCAAGACTTGACATGTGCTTATTTGAGTTTCTAAGTGAAGTGTCCATTAAGACTGTGCCCAAGATTGGTCAAAAGAGGACATCAGACATAAGAAGTCTACTGGGAAGCCAGTCAGATTGCCCTATGAGGGTGGGGCTGCTGGGGCTGTGGTGTGAAATGTACCTGGGAAGATGATGGAGGAATCTTTTCTCTTTACCCTCCAGTGGTTTCCTTGGCCCTCAGAGTGTGCAAAGAGGACTCGGTGGTTCTTATGTTTCCACCTGAGAAAGTAGGGAGATTAAATGGGTCAGAAGGCTGCTAGGCTAATCCGGAGGGGGATAAAAACTTCTGGAGATGTCAAAGGAATGTGCAGATCTTCAGAAAAAGGTGTAGGTGGTTAAGCTCCACCAACTCAGGGAGAAAGCCTACATCATGAGTGATAGTTGCTGAAGAGAATCAGTGAAGCCAAAGACTCTGCCCCAACCTGACCCAGCAATTTAGATAAATCCTTCTTCTTTCTCCCTTGTGCTTGACATCCTCCCTTCAACACTAGAAGGTCATTCAAGGACAGGGGAAGCCAAATGTGCTTTCAATTCTTCCTGGTCTCAGTCAGACCAGGAGCGCCAGAAGAGCTTGACCAAGAACAGGGAGAAGAATGAGATGGTAGAGGAAAACTCTTTTCTCCCTTTTCTAACCCAAGCAGCTAGGGTCTAGTCTTTTCTAGAAGCCATTGGTGGAAAGGAGTAGAAGAAATTTAAAACCAATACGAGACGTTAATTTAAAAATAGGCTAAATTTAGTTTTATATCTGTGAGGGACTGGAAAGCTGTAGGATAGTGCCAAGGTATTTTTTTTTTTAATGTGAAACGGGATTCCGACATAACATGGTTGAAGGTCAGGAATGGAAAATGAAATAAAATCACAATCAACAAAATCGAACCTGTTTTGTTTCATATCCAATTTTAACTTACTCAATAAACCAGTTACAGGTTTAAGAGTTTAACTACCCTACCTGCCAATCTAACCAAAATAACTGCCTTCTGAACTGTTCAATAATTTAATATAAGCAACAGGAATATATAATTAGGTTGTTAAGGGATTATTTGCTGTATAACTAGTTGTTGATGGTTACAAAGCAAAGTGTGACTGCTTTGTCAATTTCAGTTATGTACTTGGGAAGAAAGTCCCTTGCTTCCATACAACCTTATTTATTTAGGAGCACTCATTGTCATTTCTTGCAGGTCCTTCCAATTGTCAGGTTTCATTTAAGAGGGACAATTGTAAGAACAACCTATAAATAAACACACATCACTGGTTTCATCCTCAAAATAGATAAGGAATCATACCTTGCATTATGCATTCTGCTAAGTCTTTTTTGGTACCTCAGGGAATAAAATGATAACTTGACAATTTTATCATATACAGTCATGGGCTGCATAACATCATTTCAGTCAACAATGGATTGCATAAACAACAGTGGTCATATAAGATTATAAGATTAGATTTTTACTGTACCTTTTCTGTGTTTAGATATGTTTAGATACACAAATACTTACCATTGTGTTACAATTGCATACGGTGCTGTACATGTTTATAGCCTAGGAGAAAAGGCCATACCATACAGCCTAGGTGTGTAGTCAGCTATGCCATCTACATTTGTGTAAGGACGTTCTATGATGTTCACACATCGACAAAATAGCCAACGATATGCTTCTCAGAATATATCCCTGACGTTAAGTGATGTATGATGATTTAATTGAAGGAAAGATAAACATGAGATAGATACTTCAGGGTAATTAGCAGAAGTTTGCTGTGGTCAGCAAATTCACCAGGCCATTTTCAAAACTCCAAGATATTTGGTGGAGTATAAACATGATCACCATCATAACCAAACAAGAAGCTGTCCACTTAGGTGTCTCTAAGCAATGAATTCACTGGTGTCAATTTGTTGACACTCATTTATCACATATTTCCTATTGAACACAAACCCTGAGGTCATAACCAGGAGCTACTTACATCTCCACTTCCTACCAAACCCAAGGAGGGGTCTAATTGCCTTGGCCTGTGGTCTCTGGCACCCACACCAACCTTGATTCTGAACATGAAGGCATATTTGGTTTTCCTAGTCTTTGACTTATATCAATTCAGTATTCCAAAAGAAGATCCTGCTCTTACCTACGGCACGCTAGATCTGTAGTCCTTTAGAACATTTCCTTCTCATTATTTTACCTGTATTCTTGACCCCTTCTGTCCCTAAACCATAGCCTCAAGAATGGACCATAACTAAATATGGTAAATTGCTATGGTTTTCACGGCAGAGCAGTGGATCAGTAAGAAATGTTCCTAATATCTCAAATAACCTGAAATTAATTCACTCATACAGTCATCAAATCCTGCTTCAGTTGGTCTCAATGAATAAAATACTAGTGTTTGGATACCACCTTATTTACTTCTCCCTCATCCTAGAAAACTATCGCCTGATAATGCCCATAGGTACATAGAAGATACCATACACTTATAACCAGCAGGTTTTTAAAACTTAAACAGGAATAGGGAGCCTAGAGTCCTATACTTGGGCTTTAGAGTTGGACAGATTGAGCTCTAAATCCTAGTTCTACCAATTTTCTTTTCTTTTCTTATTTTATTATTATTATTATTTTTGAGATGGAGTTTCTCTCTTGTTGCCCAGGCTGCAGTGTAATGGCGTGATCTCGGCTTACTGCAACCTCCGCCTCCCAGGTTCAAGTGATTCTCCTGTCTCAGCCTCCTGAGTAGCTGGGATTACAGGCACCCACCACTATGCCTGGCTAATTTTTGGTATTTTTTTAGTAGAGATGGGGTTTTGCCATGTTGGCCAGGCTGGTCTTGAACTCCTGACCTCAGGTGATCTACCTGCCTCGGCTTCCCAAAGTGCTGGAATTACAGGCGTGAGCCACCGCACCCGGCCTAGTTCTTCCAATTTTCAATGTGTGGACTTGGGCAAGTCACTTAAACTCTCTGCACTTTGTTTATAAAATGGGAGCAATAATGTCTTCCTGATTGGGTCGTTTCAAGGATTAATGAAATGGAATAAAGAATACATGCCTAGATTCCACAGCAACATCGTTTTTGGTCTGAATTCAGGGTCCCTCACTTACCAGGTGTGATCTGCGGGCAAGTAACAAATATTTAACTTCTCTCTCCTCCAATTTATCATCTATTAAATGAGAATGCTAATAGTAACCATGTCATTGAATTACTTTGAGTGTTAATTCAGTTAGTATTGACAAAGTGTTTACAAAGTGCCTGGCCATGGTAAATGTTCAATAAATGTAAGCCGTTGTAAATGATATTATTGTAATATAGTATCGCTTATATTACTACCCATAATAACCAAGATCATGAGGTGAATATTAACAGTCTTCTTGGCAGATTTGACTTGAAATCAACTACAGTCCACTGATTGAAGGGTGTTAAACCCAAAGGCTGAGGGACAAAGTGTCTAATGTGACCCCCTAAATGGGGACACTTTGGGAACCTTTAAAATGAATAAATCGTATTATAAATAAATAAATAAATATATATATATATATATATATATATATATATAAAGTTGAAGGTACTACAGGTAATACCAGGATTAAAGGATAAAACAGTCTCTTGTTTCTCTAGTGGTATAATGAAAGTAAAATATGTACAAAAATATCTCCAATGCAAAGCAGGAAGTAGTAAATGTCAAAGACATCCACAGATGTGGTACAATTAAAGTGCTAAGGCGGTAGAGGGTTTCCTGTATAAGGAACCAGAAAGGGTTCTGCAGAGGAAGTGGCATTTCTTGACAACTTCTAGCTTCTGTTAAAGGCCCTTCTGCTGACCACTAACCCTCTCCTCATTACCACAGGGTAAGAGTTACCCCATGCCAAGAATGCTCACTTTCCTTCCCCTGCTTGGTGAGCAAGTGCTCATCTTGTAAGACCTCATCAAGGGTTACTTCCCTGATCCCCTTTCTCCAATAAATTCGGCCCTCCTTTATTTGGGAACACATGACTTTGTACCAACGTCTCTCTCTCTTGATCTTGTAATTCATGTTAGCTTTTCTGTAGTTTTCACTGGACTGTGATTTCTGTAAGGGCGTGGACAATGCTTTGAATTCTCAGTGCCAAGAGATTTAAAATTTTTTGGAGTGAATGAACTCTGCTTTTTACAATGAAGAAATCTAAAGAAAAGAAAAAAAATTATTGCTCTCAGTGAGCAGAAGCGTGGAAGAAAGGGAGGGGGAAAGAGCTAGTTGTTTGCGATTGGCTGATGCTGTGTAATCTGATTTAATTGTCAGGATCCAAAGATTTTTAGTTGGCATTCCTATCTCCTTTTACCCTGTGGATGCTGAGATTGAGAGAAATTAAAGGCCTTGTCTAAAGCCACAGAGCTGTGAAACTGAGTAACTGGGATTTAAGCCCAGGTGGTTTCCTTCACTGCGTGATGCTCCCAAATGGAGAAATCCATCATTATGATGTTACTAGGCTGTAAAAAAGAAAACAGCCACTTGGACACAGTCTAAAGAGTCTTTTCTACCTCCCCTCAGGACCACCATGGAGTCTGATCTTTTTAATAAAATAAAATAAAATAAAATTTGCCTACCTGGAGAACGGGTAATCGATTCCTGAGGGAAGAAAACCAGTGTTTCTCTCTTTCTTATTCTGTCCCCTCTTCCTCAATCTCTCCTTCAACCTCTCTGCCTCCACTCCTCTCTCTGATATGGAAGAGTTTAACTTCCTAAAGTCATGACGATAATTGAGTCAAACCTCTGCTAGGATGTTGGTTTATCCCCTCAGGAGTCTGACCTGAGCTTCAGTTCGTAGGATAACATACAATTTAAATTTTGATTTAAATTTCCTATATAATGGGAAATAAGCCAAGCTGAAATTTTGTTTAAAAAATTGTTTTTTCAGGAAAAATCAGAGATAAATGATTTATAAGATAAAATAGACATTATTTATAATTAAGAAAAACTAGAAATAACGTCAACATTCAATAATAGAAGTTTAATAAACTATGGTAACTTATAGGATGCAATATTCTATATTTATTTAAAATGTTTCCAAAGAATATAGAAGAAATGGAGTATGGTTGTGATATATTACTAATTCAGACATCAAAATACAAAGAAAGCAAAATTTTAATTTTATAAAGCTAATATATACATAAATGTGTATATATTTGGAGAAAAATTATGAAAAGATTGGAAGATGATACACTAGAACATTAACAATGGCTAGTTCTGGTTGATTTTAGCTGGTGATTCTATAGTTTTCTAATTTTCTACAATTAACATGGAATACTTTTGCAATCAGAAAATAATTTCAGGTTTGACAAATGCTTGTTAAGCAGGTGGAATCTCATCTTGAAATTCTTCCTAGAAAAAAAATTTTTTTTTGCTGCTTCATCCCAACCATTGTTTCCAGGAAGGAAGCTCTGTTATCCTGAAGCTTATGTTTATTCACACTGCCTCACTCTTGCTCATGTCAGTCTGCATTCTAAAAAACATTCTGATACAGTTCAGTGCACCGAAAAGAATGTAAGCTTCAGAATCAGGCAAATCTGAGCTTGAGTCCATCTTTCCATATTTCTTAGCTGTGCAATCTTTGGAAAACTGTATATTCTTTGAGTTTCAGCTTCCTCATCTAATGAGAACAGAATGGGACAGCATTGGCAGAAGCCACAGAGGCCCTCAGATACAATGTAATAGTAGTCATCAACACAGGTCATTAGGTTCTCTTGCCTCTCCTTCTGTGTACCCATCCAAATTTACTCATCCTTAAGGTCTGACTCACATTTTAGTTCCTCTACAAAGTCTCCCATTACTCTCTCTGCCAAATTATGAAGTCTTCAATTTTTAAGAATGCTTTCTGTAGAACTCACTTAGCGCTCATACATAGCTTCATAAATTTAGTGAGTCCATTGGTATGTCCCCAACTAGAAGGGACAGGGGCATATCATCCACACATGGCATCCATCTCCTTCATTTATTATAAGCTTTTAATCAGCAGCTAATGATGGGGAGTTGAATCTTTTGCAGATGAGTTTTGAATGTTAAAGTACATTTTTGAATCAGAATGTAGAGGAGTAAAAACCAAAGTCTGCAATCACATTCCCTCTTCATTCACCTGGAGCAGGCTGAAAATCTGTCAGTGGCCTGTGGGTGGTACTGGTGACTAGATCTGAATTGTCAAGATAGAAGGTCACCATCCCAAGAGACAGGAGTGCTCAAAAAGCCATGGAATGGTCCTGATTCTTGTCAAACTGTGCAAAAGTGCTAAGAACATAAATTGGTGAGTACATTTGATAAGGTGAAGCAAAGTGGACGGGTCCTGCAGCTATAATTTCTTCTCCCTTGCAAGTCCGTCAGTCAAGTAGATTACTAGGAAACTAGGTTTCTATGGAATAGAAGCAGGGAAAGAGAGAGAAGGGAAGATATACCCAATCACACCTCTCTCAGTTGTATTTCTATTAGTATCCTCATTCTAAAATTATTGACATGCCACATCTAATGACCAAGTCTGAAGCTTTCAGGCCAAAAGGTATCAAATGCCTAAAATGTCATTATTTTACTTCTGAGAAGCCACTAGCTCTTTTATTCTCATACACTTGCTTATCTTGAAGTGGTGAACCACATAAATAAATATATTTTGATATTTGATCTTTTAAAACTAGACACTTAGCAATATATCTTTAATATAGCATTTTTTTCTCATAGCTTCTTTCAAGATCTTTTTCTTTAAATTAAGAAAAACATAAACTATCCTATGTATCCCTTCCTGGTGGTGTCTAGAATATACTAGGAATAAATACATAGGTAGGAATTATGGGTTAGGCTGTGGGTTGAGATCTGCTTTTTAAAAAATTTTGAAATAAGAAATCCACTAAACAATGCATGGAAGAATTTTTTTTGTTGTTACATTGTTCTCATGAATGAAAGTTTCATTGTTTGGCTTCAGCCAATTTTTTAAGAAACTTACAAATGATGATGAAGGCAAGCTTTTAAAAAACACCTTTGGTCATAAATATAAATAAGATTTTCATGCCAGAGAGTAATTGGTGCTTTGTTCATCATTTGAATAGCAAAGGAGGGAGGTTTGTTAGCTCTTTCTCATTTAATTCTATTGACCTGCCAAAATTTTACAGAACTTAGTAACATCCATTATTTCTTTTTTACATATAGTTATTGCTATCCCTTTTATGAGATCTTACTTTGTGTCATCTCACGTTCTTCCTTCCTTTTCTTTATTTGCATGTCATAAAAATGCTGAATTTGTACAACTTTCAGGTAATTATTTTTATGAGCTCACAGAAGGTTATCTTCAATGCTATCACAAAGCCTTCCAGTGGTCAATGAATCATGCAGATTATTTCATGATCCCTTGTCCAAGATTGCTACAGAGGCATAGGTCTCTTCATGAAAACACTTTTAAAAATTGGGAGCAAAAGATATTCTTTTAACATTAGTTGTTCTTTTTTCCTAAATACAAGCAGTAACCATATTGCAAAATATTTGAAAAGTAGGAAAAAAGCACAAAGAATTAATTCCACCATCTCCATAAATGTTGTTAACATTTTAATTCATATCTTTCTATTATATAAAATATATACACACATAAATGTACAGTTTGTACTCTGATTTATTCCAACTTGCATTAGAAAGGGAACGTTTTCTTTTGTCACCAAATAGTTTTCAAAATCATTTACCAATTATTTGTATAGTCATTGACTGAATAAACAGTCATTTAAAGTTCTATTGCCTTTTTAGACTATCTTGGATTTTACCTGAAAACAAAATATCTATTTTTAAAATAGAAAGACATGATTTTGTGCAGTTTAATTTGGTCCGGTTATGCACATTCTCCCCTAATGCCTGAGTCACACATAATTAAGACTCTCTGCTAAATTCAATGAGTTTAAAAAGTTTAATGAGCCTTTTCTCCAATAACAAAAGATAAGATTCAAATGAAAGAAAAACACCTTTATTCACGTGAGATGATAGTTACATGGTAACAGCAGCTGTCACTACACAGAGAGAGCCAAGAAGGGCCCTTGGTTCTGTAAAATCTGATTCACATGTGTGGACTGGAACTTCTGAATTCTAGAGCAAGAGTGAGCAAACTGGGACCGGAGAAGCAAATTCAGCCCATGGTTGCTTTGGTATCACCTGTGAGACATGAATGAATTTTACACTTGGAAATGTTTGGTTAAAGAAAAAAAATCCTAAGAATATTATTTTGTGACACATGAAAATTATATGAAATTCATATTTCAAAGTTTTCTTAGAGCCCGATCAACACTTATTTTTGTTTACAGATTGTCAATGGCTCCTTTGTCACACTAGAACAGCGGAGTTGAGTGGATGTGAAGAAAGTGGTATAGCCCACAAAGGATAGAATATTTACCCTCTGGTCTTTTACAGAAAAAGTTTGCTGACCCCTGCTCTATGTAATGAGGTTCTGAGTAGGATAGCAATAGAAAAGTCTATGCTCATTTTCTTTCAGCTCTCAATCCAAATCCCCTTCCTGTTTTCAGCAGGATTATTTGTGCCCATGAGGGAAACACGAAGGATTGTCAGTATTCATTTGCTATCAGAACTGCCTTTGAACTTCAGGGAAGCCGCCATCTTGTTTTAGTTCACTCCTCTAAAGCACAGTGTCTGCAACATGAAACACTAGTAAGTTCTTTAAACTTCTTGTTATCTTGAGACAGGGCAAGACCTTTACCCAATTTATTTAGTTATGGAGGAGGAGGATGAAAGATTGGGTCCTAAGTGTTATTCAATGGCATGACATGGTTTTCCCTGGAAGGCAGCCAGAACTGATGCTTATGAGGTGTTTGTCTGATGAACTGTACCCCTGTGACACTAAGCAGAGCCCGGAGGAGGTGGCAGTCCATCTTTGTAACTCAGGTTTGATTTACAAATCAGAAGAATGTGCAGAGCCCATGGAAACCAGACCCACCCCTAAGACAGTCTAACAAGGAAATAATGACCCCTGCTTATGAATAACCACTTGGAAGGTGGGATGATTTGGACTGTTGTTGAAGTACATTGTAACATTTTCATGAAAGCAAAATAGAGCCCAGGCAACTGCTGACTGCTTTAGTAACTGGAAGTCTGGAAAACAATTATTAGCCAGTTTTTGTGGGTTACAGAGAATCCATCTAATTAAAGGAAGCCGTGTAGTGAATGTATGGAAACTTCTAACACAGCTAACATAAACAGAAAAAAAAAGTTGGAAGGAAGAAAATACTGTGTCAAAATGTCTCCAGGATTAAATTCCAACTTCAGAAAAATAAGATGAACCCATATATTTGACAATGAAATTCTCTTATAACAGAATGTCATAATTTCAGAAAATTAGATTTACCATGAGCTATAATACTTCTTGCTATTCTACTCAACTTCAGTTTTACATCCTCTGTACAATTTCGTGAGACTCTAAGAACTGATTTTAATTTTGCTCAGAAAAATTCTATGTCTACAGAATTCTGTAGAGTGTTTGTCAGTGTTTATAAAAAGTAAAAATGTGGTCATCTGGGGTCAGTATAAAATATAATGCATGTACAAAAACATGATTGTCTTATTTGTGTTAATGCATTAATTTTAAGTAATGTTTTATTTTTTCCAATTAAAAAGCAATATGTTTATTAAAGAAAATTTTAAGGCCGGGCACGGTGGCTCATGCCTCTAATCCCAGCACTTTGGTAGGCCAAGGTGGGCGGATCACCTGAGGTCAGGAGTTCCAGACCAGCCTGACCAACATGGAGAAACCCCATCTCTAGTAAAAATACAAAATTAGCCAGGCGTGGTGGCGCATGCCTATAATCCCAGCTACTAGGGAGGCTGAGGCAGGAGGATCCCTTGAACCAGGGAAGTGGAGGTTGTGATGAGCCGAGATCATGCCATTACACTCCAGCCTGGGCAACAACAGCGAAAGTCCGTCTCAAAAAAAAAAAAAAAAAAAAAAAAGAAAATTTTGAAAATAGGGAAATTGAATGAAACGAAAGTAACCTCCATAATCCCTCCACTCTAACACAACATTACTTGAGGATTTTTCTTTCAGTCTTTCGCTTTGATATTTTCTTCACAGTGTGACTCTACTCAAAGTTAATTGTAGCTGCTTGGTTTTTTGTGGTTGTTGTTTTTCTGTTTTTGTTTTTGTTCTTGTTTTTGAGACAGAGTCTCTCTCTGTTGCCCAGGCTGGAGTGCAGTAGCATGATCTCTGCTCACTGCAGCCTCTGCCTCCTAGGTTCAAGTGATTCTCCTGCCTCAGCCTCCCAAGAAGCTGTGACTACAGGCATGTGCCACCATGCCTGGCTAATTTTTGTATTTTTAGTGGAGACGGGGTTTCGCCATGTTGGCCAGGCTGGTTTTGAACTCCTGACCTCAGGTGATCTACCTCAGGTGACCTCAGCCTCCCAAAGTGCTGGGATTACAGGCTATGAGCCACTGTGCCTGGCCTGCTTGCTTTTTAAATTAACTATATTACATAATTTTCAGGTAAGACACAGTTATCCAGAAAGAGCCCTAGAGATGGATAAGGAACCTGTTGGAATGCTCTGATATTAAGAAAAAAAAAATTAAATTCAAAACCAAAAACAAGTCACAAGGTAAGGAAAACTTTTGTCACTTTCTTTTATATCTCATGACTTCTTTTTTAGCCATCATTTTATGGCCTGGGAGAAGACCCAAATAAAAGGGAAGGCAGAAGGCTGGGTTGGGGGTTGGGGGGAAGGAAAGAAAAGTTAAAAAAAAAAAAAACCCAAGGAAAAAAAAAGCCAGAATTGAAAAGAAAATACATTTCAAAAATACATCTGGTCCTGCTGAGAGTAACAGCATTCGTGTAAACGTGTAGACAAGTCCCTAAGCTGATTTTTTTTTAAAGTCCACGTCTTTGATATGTATTGCATTCATTCCATAGTACACACACTTGAAATTCAGTAAAGAAAAACAGATCGAGATCACAATTCATTTTTGAGAGTACAACAAGTCTTTTAACTTAATTTTGCATTTTGCTTTTCATTCCAATATTGGCAAATTAGATGTAGACAGAGGGCTGACACAAGACTGTTGTGGCCACTGGTGAGCAGTGAGAAAGATGTCTCCGTCAATGACTTCTTCCCAAGCCGGCTGATGGGTAGCACAGGAAGGCTGTGACCTGTCTCGGAAGCAGTCTAGCCCAGCACAAAAATCACAGGCTTTGAAGCCAAAAGGGAATATTTGTTTCTGATGCTTGACCCTCTCCAATTTGTTACAGTGTCCACAAGAAGTTTTTTCCTGGAAGTCTTTTTTTCAGAGAAATCTATGTACCACGGCTGTGTTCAAACATGATACAGAGACCCCAAATGCCACTTGCTTGCTGTCTTCCTGGGAACAGGATGAGGATGTAATCTGAGCTTTTTAGGGTCTATCTCTACATTGCAACATCATAACACTGAAGTGTAGATTTATAGCTGCTTTATGTATATTTTCTTACTCCCAAAGCCCCCCTTTTTACAGATACATACACAACATGTCATGTAGAAAAATATAAATTGTTGACCGTACAGGCACTTTCTTCCTTTTTAAACCTTTCCAAAGGTCTTTTTGTTAAATACACCCAGATGCCGTTTGACAGATGAGGGGCTAATTGCTCTGTGAATTACCTCTATCGATTCCTGTTTCATGTTGAGCCAAACAAACAAAAGATATTAATGCTTTGAAAAAAATGAATGATGACCTTTCTCTGCAAACACAGCTTGCGGTCTCTGATTATTGGTGATTCCAGAGAGCAGCGGTCAATCGCAATAGCTGTAACGCTATGATCACTATAATAAGCTTGCCTGACCTTCTCTGCCATGTTAAGTGGTTTAAATTTATTTGCCCAACAACAGAAGAGCTTTCACTTAAAGTCACAGAACATTCAATTCAATTTAAAGATGTAGTGTCTTCTTTCCTCTTCTTCCCCTTCCGTATCTTTCCCTACTTGATACACCTACATGTCAAATTTACTAATTGTTTTATCATTCTAAATTAGCCTGATACCTGAAAAGCAAATTCCTTCAGTTCTTAAAGATTCCAATTGCCATTTTCTCTTTTGATTTGTTGTTTCTTGCTCTAAGACATTTGAAACACTTTGTTTTTTTCTCTGTTTAAGTTTTGTCCATGATTCAGGTTTAATGTGTGCTGCATAAAAAGTCAAGAATCCATGAGCTGGGTAGTGCTAAGCACCCCCAGCTTGGGAACCAGGGGTATGGTTCCATTTTTGTCCTTAATTAATGGGACCTTGAACCAATATATATATTTTTTTCCTCAGAGCATTTCCTTCCAACTTGGTAAATGAGGGGAAAACTGCCAGGTGATCTACCTCAGAGCCTCTTTCCAACTGGAACATGCTTATGTTTCAGATCTCTCTATTTAAAGCATAGTTTCATATAGATGGCAGAGTTATAACTTGGCAGCTAAGATAAAGTGATGATAGGACCTTTAAGGACTTCCTAACTGTTTCTCAACGAAGTTTTATGATGGTGAAAATGTGCAAACCACAAATGACTAAAGCCTTAAATGGTTAGGAAGTGGATGCACCCCCACCCCCACCCATAGTTTAAATGGAAATCTCTTGAAAAGGGTACCCCTGACACTCCCACCAATTTCCTGGTAAGAGGCACGCCAAAAATACCAAGGAAGTAGTTTCCCTTAGAATACTTTAGTTCCTGTGCTATAGGATCAAAGCAGGAAGTGAAGAGAAAAACACCACAAATAATCAAAAGACTTCCTGCCTTAGTTTGACATTCTCAAGCAGTTAGGTCTGAATTCACATAGGATGCTGGGTATCCCTAAGGTGACTTTTCTTAGACATTGTCTCTAGTTTCTACTTAAGACAGTGCCCAATAGTACTGCCAAGCCATCCCTTGACCATACTTGACTTGGCTATGTTAAGTACCATGTTGAGTTAAAAAAAAATGCAAAGCATGGTTCCTGCTTGTGTCAGGCGCCTTGCTGCGGCCTCAAAGCACCAGGCTGCTTCTCAGCACGAGGATATTTGCAAATGTGATTGTGCTTTCTCTGCGAAGAATGCCCTTCTACTCTTTTTCTCTTCAAAATCCAATGTTAGTGCCTTCCTAATCCCTATTCACTCTTTAAAATTTCACGTGGCATTATCCCTCTTCCAGAATGCCTCTTATACCATCCTATTAAGGATTCACCATAGCACCCAAGGCACACTTTTATCTCAGCACTTTGCGCATCTATTTTATTGACTGCTCCATTTTTCTGTTTTCCCTGGAAATTTGCACTTTGTATCTCAGGCCTCTGCCACGGAACTTGGGGCTTAGGAAGTGTCCAACTGATGTTTGAAAATTAATAAATGAATGAAAGAATAAATCTTATTGTGACTGCTATATAACAAACCATTCCAAAAGGTAGTGGCTTTAGACAGCTAGGGTTTATGATCACTCATGCATCCGGAGATCAGTTAGGACATAGTTGATCATAGCTAAGCTTGGCTGGGATGGCTCAGCTGATTCTGTTCTCTATGTTCTTCATCTTCCCCTTGGGACAAACAGTGCTGCCCAGGTATGTTCTCATGGCTAAGCATAAGCATAAGAAAGAAAGCAATACCATGCAATGCCTCTTAGGGCATGCTCTCATTTCTACCTTATTCTTTTGGCCACAGCAAGTCATATGGGTAACCCTAAGTCAGGGGATAAGCTCATATACTTATCTCCTTAAGTCACATGTGAAAATCACACATCATAGGCCATAGATACAAGGAGAGATAAAAAATTGGTCACAATAATAAAACCAAACCTATCAAAAAGAAAATGCTAACAACCATGTTAAGAACAGAAAATTTGAATACTAACAGAGCCATTTGACCAATCTCAAGTATTAACGACTCTATCTTCATGTCACCAACATATAACCCAGCCACTTTAATGGCACATGTGTCCCATAAATATTTACCAGATTGTGTTAGATCATAGGAAGTAAATAGAGAAATCACAATTGGACGCATCCTGGTAAATTTAATTTTATGCTTTTTAGAAAGAAAATACTCATGGCAGGCACATGCAAGTGTTATGGACACAAAATGAAAAGCTAAATGATAAATGTTTATCTTGTATGCATGAAGATACTTTGACTTCTGTTTACATATGTCACCGTGGAAGCTGGTTTAAAAACATTTAAGTCCCCCTAGTAGTTCCACATCCAACGACTCCCTTTCTCCTGGACACCTTCTTATTTTCCTTATAACAAGTTTGGAGAAAGGTCAGGTAGGCATTGCTGGCAAGTCTTCTTTTCAGAGTTTCTGCTCAATCACAGAGCTGATGTTCAATCTCCGAAGTCGAGGCGTTGATTTACCAGGAAGAACATAGTTAACTTAAAAGCAGAAAAAGCCCCGGTGGTAATCAAGCCCTGTGAATTCCTGGCCCTCTTCCCCGGAGGCCCAGTGGGGCCCACTCAACGGGCCAACCCCACACCATGCATACTGGATTGGTGGTCCTCTTATCATAGAAAATTCCGCCAGTGTGGCCAAAACATACAAAAGGAAGCACACAAGAAAAAATGTGAATATAATATGCAGGCCCTGGATTGAGTTTTATGAAAAGAAAAAAAAAAGAGGGGAATTTTTCTTAGTTCTTTTTCATAGTTCATAGGATAAGAAATAACAAGACAGATTGCTTATCAAATGTGAGTAGTTTTACTATTTTTTGTGGCAAATTAGACACTAAAAGGGCAGGTTTAAAGTCTGTCCTAATTTTGCCTTATAATCAGATAATTTAAATTTGACTATAAATAGAATCATACATTTTCCCACGATCTGCCTTTCATTTCACACAGAAAGAGTTGTATTATGTATTGAAAACATACAAATCCAGGCATTCTCAAAACTTCTTTCTTTTTTGACTTTAGCTTGTGATAATACAGTATGGTATCGGAATCCTGCCCTATGGCTACAAAACATTAAATTTCTTGAGGCAAAAAGATGCTTGTCGTTCTCGTTTAATCTACCAGAATTTCAGAATCTTGTACTTCCAATTTCAGAAGAAGTAAAAGATGAGAATGTGCTGTCCTCTCTTGCCTGGCCTGGCCCAGTCTCCCTGATTTGTTTCAATATACAGAGACTTCCCTATATAAGCCACCTCCAACTCCAGCATTTGCATTTTTCCACCTTTCTGCTTGTTTATAGTTCCCCTCCATTTTCTTCCAGGAAAAAGTGTGCAAACAACAAATGCATGTTCTGATCTTATTTGAGCAACAAAATCTTGACAGCGTTCTCACCACCATCAGGAAAAAATTCCTTCCATGAACCTAACCCTAGAAAATGCAAAAATTATTGACAAATGTAATGCAGTGGTCAACTTCTTATCTGTAGCCTACAAAACATTAGACATTAGTTTGTTGATGGGAATTAATACGGCCCAAAGTCCTCATTCATTCTTGACAGTTCTATCATATTACTCCATAAGATGCTAAGATATTAGTTGCTGGAGGTGGGGGCAGGGGAGAGAGAATTGATAGAGATGGGAAACTAAGCTGCTCTGCAAATATTCACAGCTGCAGCTTTCTGTAATCATGCTCCTCTTTCCAGTTTCCAGTGGACTTTGAAAAGACAAATTCATAAGAGTTATTTAGCCATAAAAGGGAATCAACTCCTAAGCCCGGCTTCCTGAAGACCTCAGAAACTGAATTACCACAGCACTCCCTAAGGTCCAGAACACAGATTTTTGTTCCCCTCCCACATCCCTATCCCAAAGAAAAGAGTTTTCCCACTAGCTAAAATAATTAAAAACATTCTCAGAATAGAACACAAAATGTTTCTGGTTTGAATACGAGCCTATTTTCAGGAAAAAAAAAATCAATGTATTGCATATTTACAGTTTGATATTACAACAGCAGTGAAACTATCCGTTTGAGGACTTAATTGCATATAAAAATAAATAAATAAAATGTGCAAGGGTAGTGTGTTCTTTCTTGATGTTGTTCTGCCTACCTTTTTGATTTGTTAACTAACTTCAGGGGAGAATCCTTAAAAGGAGGAATACACCAGCCCATATAAAGTCGCTGGTTATCTCTGAACTGGAACTTAGTTTTTTAAATCCTGTCTAGGTAAATTACCTTTCCAGTGCAGGGTATTTCCTTTTAGGAGATTCCTCAGAAAGAGCCTCCAGGGAACTGACTAACTTTTTAATGGTTCACTCAGATTAAGAGGAAGGAAATGTGAACTCCTTTGGGGGCAGGAGGCACCACTCTAGGCTGTCTGCATCCTGTAATTCTTCCCAAGTCCGTGAATCATACTTTTAAGACTCCTTTTCAAGGGCATTTGTCTTCCTTTAAGAGAAGGCCAAAGCAGAAAAGACGAGTTTTAAAATAGGTCTCAATCAAGCTTTAGCCATAACAACAATTGCATGATTCTCTCGCTGACTACCCAGGAAAGGTTGCACTGGATCCCTTACCTGCATGCCTCCCCTCACCTTGCACAATACTCTTCCCTTCTTTAGTTTCAGAATCAAAATGACATTTGATATCATCTCAGCATCTCTGAGCTACAATTCTGTACAACTCTTCCCTTTATAGCCAGCCGCTGACAGTGATTTCACTTATGCCAATGGCATTGGAAGAACTGAGCAGCGATATTTTTCAAAATCATCTTAGATAGAAATCTGGCTTTGAAAACAATGTCTTTACTTAATAAAATATCTACTATGTAGACAATTACAGACTATTTTTATACCTTTTCCACAAAGGTATGAACATTTCTGAGAATAAATTTGTCAGTGAATAAAGTTTATCAGAGTTTGAAGCGTTTAGATCCTTGCAACTTCTGTAGAAGTATGAAGTCACAGGAGCACATTTCTAAAAGGCTGCTATGTTACAATACCAGTTACTCAACCAATAACTTGTATTTATTGAGTATCCATTAAGTGGTGATTTCTATTATTTTCAAGCTCCTACAAAGAGTGGAAAAAGCCAGGCATGGTGGCTCACACCTGTAATCCCCACACTTTGGGAGGCTGAGGCAGGAGGATGGCTTGAACCCAGGGGTTCCAGACTAGCTTGAGCAACATGGCAAGACCCCTGTCTCTTATTAAAAAAAAAAAAAGAAAAAAGAGTGGAACAACCCCGTCACAATGTGCAAAAGGACAAATGTATAATGAAATGGAATATCCACAGAAAGTACGCCAAGAATGAACACTAACGTAAACTGTGGACTTTGGGTGGTGATGATGTGTCACTGTAGGTTCGTCAGTTGTAACAAAGGCACCTGTCTGGTGGAAGATGGAAGGAAGTCACTGCATGTGAGAATGTGAGGGTATATGAGGCCCGGCATGGTGGCTCATGCCTGTCATCCCAGCACTTTGGGAGGCCGAGAAGGATAGATCACCTGAAGTCAGGAGTTTGAGACCAGCCTGGCCAACATGGTGAAACCCTGTCTCTACTAAAAATACAAAAATTAGCTGGGTGTGGTGGTTCACACCTGTAATCCCAGCTACTCAGGCGGCTGAGGCAGGAGAATCACTTGAACCTGGGATGTGGAGGTTAGAGTAAGCTGAGATCATGCCAGTGCACTCCAGACTGGGTGACAGAGTGAGACCCTGTCTCAAAAAAAAAAAAAGGGGGTATATGGGGAATCTTTGTTCCTTCCTCTCAATTCTACTGTAAGACTAAAACTGCTCTAAAAGAATAAAGTCTTTAAAAAAGTATTCAAAGTGAATGGAATCACACAAGATGAATTTAGATTATATTTAAATTAACAGGATTCTTAGAGTTGGTTTGAACAGTTCAGTTGCAATTCCTTAATCTAAAAGTCTCTACACAACATTTATTTTTGACCTAAGTTGATTTCATTTGTAGCAAAATGTGACCCACACCTATGTGGACGATGCAGTCTTTATTTATCCCAGTTGGTGTGTATTCATATGTGTTGTTGCATACATATTAATGGATGCCACCCTAGGTTCCCTGATGATGGCAGATAGTATTTGGCTTTGTGGCCAAGATGTCTTCCAAAATCATAACGGTTCTGAATTACAGGACACATCTCATCCCAAGAGTTTTGGATATGAGATTGCAGACAAAAATACACTGAAAGAGAGAAAATAAGTAAGGAAGAAAATAATAGAAAACAGTTGCTTTCTGTTATACTTTCTCTGATTTCTTGAGAGCTCCTAGTCTTAGATTTCTATGCAGGTCCCCCTTATTATAATTGTCCATTTTTTAATTGAAATTTGTTTTCAGTACTAAAGTGCAAAAAAAACCTAGAAATGTAATTGTGATTTCTACTTAGGTGGACCTCAAAGGTTTTGTATCGATGCCCGTAGTCTGCATTTTGTTTCTATAAGTCTATTTCAACAGAGTACTCAGAAATAGATCTTTCTTTCCTCTCATTCTGTGTAGAAATGTCAGAAATGTGAGGCTAAGGATTTAAAGCATAAATTAGGGATTTGTTGATGAAAAGAAAGAAAGGAGGAAAGGATTGAAAGAAAGAAGAAAGAAGGAAAGAAAGGATGGAAGGAAGGGAGAAAGGAAAAAGAGAAGAAAATAAGAGAAAGGAAAAACGAAACTTTAGCCTGTAGAATCTACATTAAAATGTTTCTCAGTGCTTAAGACATCTTGAAAGAAAAGATGTCAAAGGCAAATTCTAATATTCTAAAACTGCAATCCAATTGCATAAAAGCATAAATTTACATCTAAATCATTTGGAAGAAAATATTTACATATCCTATATTTTTGTTTAGAGCTGATCTCCATAAAATCTCTTATATTATACAGATCCATATTACAGAGATTATATATACAAATATTTTATTGCTTCTGTATGAAACCTGATTTGTTGGGGGATATAAACTATGGCCTTCTCAGGTATCACTGCTGCTTGATTGTTCTGAGTATTGGCTTTCTGACAGGGATTGGAATGAAGCCATTTTTATTAATTTAGTTATTTTTGCTGGTATCAAAGGCCGTCTATCATGTTAATGATGTATCGGTCTGCGGTCCCACCGAACAATAATTACAGAATGTTCCTAATAGTAAATCATTTGTCACAATCACAGCTCGGTACAACAACCTTTTGTTGAGCAGGGGAAGACATTATCTGAATAGCAATACACCTTTATGCGAACCGGTGAGAGGTCTTACACGGACCAGTCCGGCAAATACCTGGGAGTTCCACGTCTGAACTGTCCGTCCCCACATTGCAACTTGGGGATGTGCACTGTGATCTGCTGAATTTTCTCCAGTGTTAGGCTATCTAACACAATGAAAACAACACGTTTTGTCCAGGGAAGAACAGATAAGGTTTCACAAGAAACTGCTCTGAAAAAGAGAAGAAACCAAATGATCGAAAAAATGGAAAACATTAAAGGTTTTTACTTCCATTTCCCCCTTCAGCAAGAATTGGGGACAGAAAGGATATAATACTCAAAAAGAAAAATTGAGGTTAACAAAAAGGCATTGCTATCTAAATTACATGAAAGCTCCATCATCAGAATGACGTAACAGTCAAGTTCTTCTTTGTAAAGATTCACAGACTGCTTTCAGTTATTTTCGAGCACTATTTGTAAATCATAAGAGCCAATATTTTTGGAGTATTTGTATGTGCAGGGAAACTTTTCAAAATAGACTTAATTTCTTTTAGAACAGTTTTAGGTTCACAACAAAATTGAGTAGAAGGGACAGAGATTTCTCATACAGCTCCTGCCCCCCCACAGCTGCCCCACCACCCCTGCTCCACCCAGCCCCCTCCCCCTTGTTATAATTGATAAGCCTACACTGACACACCATTGTCACCCCAGGTCCACAGTTTACATCAGGAAATCTCTTAAGGACTTAATGTGCATTAATTCTTTTCATAGTTTCAAAAACATTGATATTAGTTCCATTTTAGAGATAAGGGAACTGAGGCAGAGAAGAGTTAAGTCGCATCAGGGTGATTTCTGAGATTTGGCCAATTTCAAACCCTAACCCGGTTGATTAACTACTTCTCATTACTGAAGTACCCCAATGAAATAAATCAACAGCATTTGTTGGGTACCCATACGTTTGTTGAGATTTTGGTGAGATGATGTCAATCATGCTAGTTCGGCAAGAATATCCCCATTTCATGGACAAAGTAACCCAATTTCAGAGGAGGAAAAGCTAGGATTTCCATACTGGTCCATGACATGGAGCCTGCAACATTATCACATGGCCTCTGTCCCCATATTCCCGTGTTCTGAAGGAAAAGCTGCCCAGTTAATGAGTAATTGTGCCATGCATGGCTTGAATGGCTGTGTTTTTTATAACAATGATACTCAAACTTGAGGTCCATGGATTTTATAAAATCACAGAAACAACTAACTTCACTTGAAGGGTATGTACTTCTATTTTTTATTTTCTACACAAGTGAATTCCTGATTAGACATTTTATTGAGACAGAAATGAGTGTATATAAAGGAAGAAATTCTAAAATATTTGTTCATTAAGCCCAGTGACTTGAAAATAACCTCAAGATCAATTAAAATATAGGAAGTAGAGGGAGCCATAAGTTGTGGTATGAGTTTAAAAGACCACATCACAGAAAAGAAAAAGATTTTTTTTAAAGTATCAACAATAGAAATTGTTCTAGAAGTTTATGCGCAGGAAAATTGGGAAGCCCATGCTTCCCAATTTTCTTTGTGTTTTAAAAAGCCATGCATACAGCTCTTGCTCTTTGATTTTCCCAAAATGAATCTGGAAGCCTCGAATTAGCATTAAATGGAATAATTTGTAAGTGCCCCCTCCCCTCAGACACTTACCCTTTCTTTTATTGTCTAGAATTTTGTTGGAGGTATCCTTGGACTCCAACAGGCAAGTCTAACTTGCTTTTCTAGTGTCATACCCAAAATACCAATTAAGTTGAATAGGGAAATGAATATACTTATAAATTTTTGACAGCCACTGACGGCGATAAGGCAGTCCTTGGCCATAACTTGAAATCAGTTATCAGGGGATACCAGAGGAACAGAAAGTTGTTTTTGCCAAGCCCTTGCAGCCTCCTTTCCTCACATTGGCCAGATGGCCTGGAGGTGGCACTTGCAGCTGCTTCTGGAAGGAACCTGCTGCAAACACACAGGCATCCTTGACACTGCCACCGCACTTGCATTCCAAAGGGAAGAAGTCCTGTTTGGAAAAGAAAAAAAAAAAAAAAATCAAATGGCTACCTCTTGCCCCAACCTCGCTGTCCCCTACCCCTATGTTCTGTCCAAAAGAAAAATCCCTCAGCCGCAATGGTTGTTTTTATTAAATTCTCCTCAATAAAAAGCTCAGGCAGGATTTATTAGGTACTCAGGGCGGACGTTTAGTATTTCGCCAGTTATTAAGTGAAAATCAATAGAAAGCAAAGAAAATGGAAGTCACTGCACTGTTAGCGCACTGTTGTCGCCCAGATATTATGTCGGCTGTCTTGTAGATTCATGACAGACGAAAGAGGCCGGGAGAGAACTTTCTGCTTACATTGCACGAGCCAAAGTGGGGTTATTCATTAGAGCAGGCAGCCGGCCAGATGGATTTCCAGTTCAGTTTTACCATTTATCTTTAAAACGCCTGTATCGAGTGAGAAAGAACACTGATATTATGTGATATCAATGGCAGGTTTATGTATCTAAATCAGGATTTATTGTTATTTTGTTCCAAAGACCTTTTTTTCTCAAGAAATACCATTTCACTGGAAGAAAATAATAGCTAAAACCTTGTCAAAGATAACCTTTCATGCTGTCCGTGCAGCACTAGCTGTAAAACAAATAGAACCCAGGATATAAATAGTTTTAACCACATCCTTACAAATCATTTCTTCTGAATCTGTTTTCCCCATTTCAATATATATATATTTTTAATGCCACATACATGATTTTGGGTCATTCAATGTTTTCTTTGCCTGTAGTTTAGCTCTAAATAATGTCAGCAATTATTTTAATTCCATCTAAAAGCTTTAGCTGTTTTGTGTTCTTCTGTGGAATGCCACATTTCTCAAAAGCGTTCTTTGGAAAAAGCAAAGAGATCTGCTGTTTTTTTTTTCTTCCCTGCCTTAGAATGAGCTTTAGAGTCAAAAACACCCATCATCTTTTTTCAACTACTTCAGGGTCTTCAAAAGCTAGGACATGTTTTCTTTTCACTTGAATTCACATTTTTGGTAGCGTCCGGGTTTTCCGATTCCCTCTCATCTAAAGGACAGATTACAGGAGACCTGGGCAGATCCAATCTCCAGTCAATCCTGCTAAGTAACAAAGGTGGCCAAATACCAGGATGAACCATTGTATCCACTTTATAAACAGCTCTCAAGAAAATACAGTCAATATATTTGTAAAATGTCATTAGTGACACTTTGTGATTAGGAGAAAAATTATACCTGGGTTTTGACTGAAGCGGTTGCCAATAAAGAAATGTGAATGTATTTTTAAGCTACCTTATTTTTACTTTTTCTATCCTTTGGGTTTGGGAAAAGAGAAGATACATTTAGGTTTATATGGATCAATATTAGATAGTAGCCAGACAAGGTTATTTAAAGACCAATATACATTTATGCATTTCTTTTCTTTTTTTTTTTTTTGAGACAGAGTCTCGCTCCTTTGCCCAGGCTGGAGTGCAGTGGTGTGATCTCAGCTCACTGCAACCTCTGCCTCCTGGGTTCAAGCGATTCTCCTGCCTCAGCCTCCCGAGTAGCTGGGACTACAGGCGCCCGCCACCACGCCCAGCTAATTTTTTGCATTTTTAGTACAGACGGAGTTTCACTGTGTTAGCCAGGATAGTCTCGATCTCCTGACCTCGTGATCTGCCTGCCTCAGCCTCCCAAAGTACTGGGATTATAGGCGTGAGCCACCGCATCTGGCCAATATGCACTATTAAGTGTCACCGACTTAGAAAAATTATCTAAAAACCAACTGAAAGCTTTTTGCTACCATTGGACAAAAGTGCTATTATATTGAAAAGTAAGAAAATAAAAGTAAAAGATAGATTATAAAATAGTTGTTCCTTAATAGTCTTCTTTATCTAACTAACTAAATTCCTCAAACATATTGAAGAGCTCAATTATACCAGGAATCCCTTCTTGTAGTTTTCTATTTAGCAGTTTTTCGCTTTTTAAAACTGCATTGACAATCCAAAGGGAACTTTCCTTTAGGATGGCGCCCTCCAATAAAACACAGAAAGTTCTTTATAATTCTCACTTTTTAAGAAAAACTATTCTAAAACCCTGTATAAATTTTGCATGTGTGTTTGGACCTGTTGATCAGGAGGCAATAGAGAATAGTGGTTAAGAAAATGGGCTCTGAAATTAGATTACATAAGTTCAAATCACAGTCTGTCACTCCCTGGCAGTATGATTTGGGGAAATTATTATAGCACTATGCCTCAGCTTTCTCATCTGCATAAAAAAGACAATAACCTTATAGATTTCTTGCCAAGAATACAGGGGTCAGTATAGGTAAAGTTCATAGACTATCACTTGCTCGATGTTAAGTCCTCAAAGCATTAGGTAGCTATTACTTTGAGTATACAAAATCCAGAACACCAACTCATCCATGCTGATGCTTTGATTTTCCAAGAAAATGGAATATAGTCCCACAGAGATTCAATTAACCCTCCATTTTCATATTTACTAATGTATTTGGACCCTGCAGAAAGATACAGTCTTAAGCTTCAGCTGTAATGAGAATCTCACTTAAACCAAAATTTTGTATTAAATGAATTTGCCTTAAAAAAGTCTCTTTTTTTGGGATCAACATTCAATCTGAAACACTAAAAATAGTCTATAGGCAAAAACCACATTATTGATTTATTAATAGCTGTACTGATACAATAGTCATGAGGCTTAATGTCTGATTGGGGACCTATTTATAGACATCTTAATTTGTTGAAAACAATGTCTAGCTATTTCGTTCTAACAAATAACATTAGCAACACACGCAGTTATGAAGAAAGAAATGATATTGCTAATTAATACGACTTGAGCAGTGAGAAAACTAAGACATTAATGCCAAAGAAAATCAAAGTTGATGACTTGGATTCATTGCCCATATGCATCATGTCACTTGAATAGTTGCCAAGCCTGTGTCTTACTTTGACTTTATAGTATCAGCCCACTAGCCTTTTATCTTGCTTACCCTCTCTACACATCAGGTTTCTTACTTGTAGAGGCAGTATAATACGCCTTCTTTATTCACCCTACAGTTGAGGACTGAAGGAGAAAGCGTAAAACACTTATTAAAAGAAAACGATACTTTTTACAGTCAGACTGGTGGGAAAATCAGTACAATTAATAAAACAGTGATGTTAGGAAAGAGTGACTACTGTCTGCTTTATTGCCTATTCATACGTACGCCTACATTTGTTCAACAAAAGTTGTTTGAACGCCAAAGACATGGAGGTTCAGAGCCTAAGTTGGCCCCAGCTGCCTAGCCCCACCCTTCCCTCTCCCTCTGGGTGTCTGTAAGTGGTTTAACCTCTCTGTGCTTCAGATTCTTTGTTTGCAATATTGCGATAACAATAGCAGCCAGTTATGTACTAAAGGAGATAAATAGTACCTACTTATGTATTAAGTAAGATCATACATATAAAGTGCTTACAATAGCACCTAATAAACACTCCATTATGGTTTCACTATTATTTGCTTTCCAAGTGCACAATATAATGCTGATCAATTCAGAAGACAAGACCCTGACCTCATGAGCTGATCAGAAAATCGGCCTCATCTTAGATCAGAAAATTCAGATAAACATATAGGCAATTTTTATAGGGTGGGATATTAAAAAATGACATCCCAACTCTCATTGAAGGAATGAGATGGAGGTAGAAAAGACTTCCTTGTGGAAGTGATAGCTAAGCTGAAAAATTAAAGATGAAGTCAGAAGGTAGAAAAGGTGGCTATAAACCTGAGGTGTTTAATGAAACCCCCTGCTATAAATGAATGGCCTACAGCTGCACTTCCCGATATGGTGGCCACAGCCACATACAGCTATGGAGGGCTTGAAACGTACCTAATGCATGAGAGGAACTAAATTATGTTCGTTCATTTTAATTTTTTTTTCAAATTTAAATTTAAATAGCCACACGAGCCTAGTGGCTAAAGCACTGGGCAACTCAGCTCTAGACAGAGGGAAAAACACATGCAAAGGTCTAGAGATAAGAGAATTCTTCTATTCTGAAGACCTGATATTTTGAAAAACAGTAGATTCTTGAAGGATGTGACTTCTGGAAATCAGCAGAGGCGATGCATGGTTTACTGCAAAGTTCACGCATTCACTGAAGCTATGGAAAACCACTGAATGATAATAAGAAGGAGAGTGATACAATCAGTTTTGAAATTTAGTAAGATCTCTCCAGCCATAGTTATAATAGTAGCTAGAATTAGTAACACTTTATAGTTTACACACTTTTTGGATAACCTGACCTCTCTTAATATTCAAATCCCCTGTATGAGGTAAGTCTATACTTCCTTTTCTATATCTTATTCATTGTGTCTCCAATCAGCAGCCTATGCTCTTGCCCATATCCCTTAGAAGACAGACCTGATAAAAGGAAAACATTTGCATGATATCAGTGCGCAGACTCATTCATTCCGATGTTCATAAATTAATCTGGAAAACAGCAGCAGTTACTTCCAAAGAAATGTTTAAGAATCATTTTCCTCAGTGTGACCTGACTGTAAAAGTACAAATGCATTCAGTCGTGGTCCCATGGGCCGTCCCCCACTCCCAGCACATTAGTTAACTCCTCTTGCTGTTGCCGGCGAGAGCCTGAGCTGCTCCGTGCGCACAGAGTGATGAGGGATGAGCCTGCCTCACCCGGGTTCCTGCGGACTTCCCCTCACTCCCACATCTGTATCCCTCCTTGCCTCGCAGACAAGTTGAAAAGAGAACCCGGACTAGGCAGGGGTATCCACTGCAATATGCTGACGGTCTGGCTGCTGACCTGAATCTCCATGTCAGGTCTGAGTAGATAAAAGGTGGCATTTTTGTAAGTGGGGATGAGGAAGGAGCACGGCCACTCTGCCCTGGAGTCAGCGCTTCTTACCAACACGTGCACTCACCTGCAACATTAACCCAGCGATTCTCTTAGTAAGAAATTTTCAAAAACAAAAATATGCTAACGTTTGATTTGATTACATCAAGTTATTTTTTCTCTCTTTTTAAAAGGAAGATTATTAATAAAATCACACTTCCTTAAAAGAAAAAAAAAACAGGGACTGTCAATGCTGCACTAATTTGATTACACACTGGCACTGTAAGACACTAATGTAAATATTCTGGTGAGTAGGCATAAGACGCTTGAAGTAATTACTTAAGGACTCCCTTTCAAACAATCGCTCCCTTTTTTTATTAAATGCCTTTTAACATTAGCACTTTCTTCCTGACAAATTAAATGAAATTTCATTACTCTCCCTGACTTAATGGCATTAGGCTCCCGCCTAGGTGTGAGTTAACCCTCCCAGGACAGCTGACAACGGCTCCCACACTCCGTCAAAATGGCACTGTCCTAACTCACAAGAGAAAAGAAGCCTGGAAGAATCCTTTGTGTTTTTACCAGAGCTTCCGGAATCCTTCATTTCTTTGATGTTTTTTCAGCTGTGATCCTTGCAAAAATCTAAGAAACCAGTGGTATTGTTGTTTTCCAGTGTTCTTGAGTTCACCGCCAAAAAAAAAAAAAAAAAAAAAAGAAAGAGTATCTTTCACTGAGACTCTAATAGTGACAACAAGGATAACAATAACGGCAAACAGTTATACAGTACTTCTTAAATATCTTCTAAGCAATTTAGCTCTTTTAACTCATTTAAACCCCAACAAAACACTATAAGGTAAATACTGTTAATTCCTACTCTCAAAATAAGGAAATTAAAGTACAACATGGTTGAGCAATTTACCCAAGGTCACATAGTTAAAAAGCAACAGAGCTAGGATTCAACCCAATCAGCCAGCTATTGTCAGACACTTTTATACATATAATTATTGAATCTTCAGCCCTGGATTGACATAGACTTATTTCCATATTCCTTTTTACATTTGTGCAAATCAAGATTCGGACATGTTAAACGACAAGTTCTAGATCATGCAGTTTGTGCCACCCAGGAACTTGTCACCAGCCATGTCTTCTTGACAAATGAGCTTCGAAATTAAGTTTCCAAAGGATGGTCTCTGAAAAATGGTGTTTCTATACCCCCTTCATTACACTTATTAAGAAAAAAAGCTAATGACTTACTTTTAAAAGAAAAAAAAGGAAATAGAGATTACTGTAAGATTGAATTTATTTCTAATACTTTAGGAATTAAATTATAAAGTGACAAGAAAAATTACAGAATAATTGCTCAGGAACTGTGGGTCTGAGGTCCTCGTCCTACAAATCTCAGTATGAACTAAAAACAAATATGTGCTAATTTTTGTTAAGAGAACAGTTGAGAAAACCTTCACAAAGTGAACACTGCAAGAGTCGTTCTGTTTTTAGATAGAACTTGTGCCTGGGAGTATGCCAGAGAGACACTCCCAAGATACGTGTAACACTGATAAGAATGGCATGAGTGAGTTCCCTAAATTGTGTCCCTGGCATTTTTTATTTAGCTATCTTTTTTGGGATACATGGTCATATTTTCTACCCACCAAGTTTTACCTCTAATATTTTTAAAGTCTACTAATTTTTTTTCTTGTTTAGACCTAACTTTCTTTCTTACTCTTATTTTGGACTTAATTTTATTCCATCTTCCAGGGTTACAATACATTTAGAGGTCTGAACAACACAGAAGCATAATGAGAGAACATTCTATCTGGTCAACTTTGAATTTCTGCAGACAGGGCCAACTTTTAATGAGAATACATTTTTATTTTACTTCCCTTCTCTCTATCTGACCCAGTGATACTTCTCTTTGGCTGAAATTGTTTTCTCTACATAATCCTTTTTCCTGTCTGTGTCACCAGTAGCTGGGACTTCCCGATGTCATGTTCCATCTTACCAAAAGGGTGTCCTTTCTAAGACCTCAGGCCATGTGGAAGAAAAATAATCAGCTCAAAGTTCAGAAGACAAATGTTACAAGGGGGAATTTTTTTTCTCCCCTTGGTTGTTCTTAAACATATGTAGCTTTAAGGATCAGTATGTCAGTGTTTTGAAAGAAGCAAAGACTGAATTTATTTTGGTGGAGCTATCAGATTCTGAGGAGCTGGACCATTTGTTTTCCTCTTGTGAGGTCCAGGTAAAAGTTCATTCCCTCCATGGCCTGGTGCTTCTGACAAACAAAAATCAAGGACCCAAAATAAGTATTTTATCTAAAAAATGTGAACTATCCCAAAACAAACATGAAAAAGCACAGCTGCCAAATTCCACAAGTAAAAAGAGTTGGAGGTTGAGACAGCCCACGATCTCGCTGGGGAGTAATGGGTAAAGTTTGGCCAGCTGCCCTTAAGGCCTTGAGGGACACTCAATCCAATTGCTGTGTCTTAGCGGATGTGAATTTCAAGGTTACACCTGGGTGTTCAAGGGCAGGGCCAAGTGTAATCGGCACTTAGATCATAGATTAATCTTATTTGCCATCTATTAGGTTTGATTCCTTTTCCCTCTCTCCCTCCCTAAAGCCAGGATTATTGTGATAGTTTAAGATAATGGATTCTAACGGAAGAAAGGTCACGCAGGCATGGAGATTTGGAACCTTAAGATAATATGATTAATCTAAAAGCTTCTTTCTCCAAGGGGAGGGCCGCACTTTTCATATGTCTAATTGAGAGAAGAGAGCTGAAAGACCGAGAAAGAGCAACAGCAGAGGAGTGTAAAGGAACTGAGTCCTTGTCAACAACTGCAATTAATTATCATTGTCAGGATGATCTTTCATTAGTTTTCACACTAATAAGATAGATCTGCCTCATGCCTGAGGCTGATAAAACCTTATTGGCAATGTTGATAAGAATATGTCAGTATGGAGAGCGATTCATGGACATCTTTATTTTATTTTTCTAATTTTCCAAAACTAAATGACTAGCTGGATATTGCCAAAAGTGACTACATCTAGGTTCTTAAGGCTATGAAATGCAGCAAAAGTCCTTAGCAAAGCAGCATGATTGGCATAATCTAAACAACAGGTAAATGTTAACCATTGTTATAAATGCTATCAATACGTAAGTGCATATTATGTAACCTAAACAATAGGCAAATGTTGACCATTGTTATAAATGCTATAAAAATAAGTATATACATATTATATATTTTAAGGTATGTAGTCTAATCTTATCCCTTTCAGGTAGTTCAAGATAACCCTAACTAACCAACTTGGAGAGATCCATAGAAGGAAATTAAGAGTAATATTTATTTGTTTATTAATCATGATGCATCAAGATTCGAGGCTTCTGATAAGAAATCATTAGACTTGGTCCACTTGCAAGAAAATTAGAAATTAAATGCAAATATGGGTTCTCTACTATCATTTTTTTTCTTTTTTCTAGGACAGAAACTGTTTTACTCTTTATTTATTGTAACTGCCAAAATACATTCATCATTGTGGCTCACTGTGATTTTGGGGTTACTTAAAATGAATAGAAATATGTATCCCCTTGCTTGAAATATATACATGTATATTTCTTTTCTTATATACATACATATAGTAAAGCCACTTTCATTACATTTAACTTGCTCTATTGTCCTCATGCTGTTAGATTGTTTAAGGCAAACAACAGAGAAGAGGGATGGACCTCCGGGGTGGCCAGTTTGCTTCCAAATGCTCAAATGTGTGGCCTTGGGGAGAGAAAACTGGTATTTTTATCTGTAATGTATAATTTTTCTAAATAAGATTCTTCCTTTTAACAAATAGAACTTTCTTGGTTTATTCCCTCAGTAAAAAAGAGGGCAACATGTTTTTTTTCTTTAACCAAGATGACAGAATAGGAGAGGAGACCATTCCTGAATGTGCAGGACCCAGTGCAAGGGCTAAAGAGTGGCAATACAATTAGAATGTGAGATATGCCTGTTTAATATAATCTGTGAGGTAGTAATATATGCCAATCATCATTCAGTGAGATTCTCAAGACTCTGAACAGTATAAAAGCTATACGAAATAATTAGTTCTCAGTAAGAACCATGTAGCCTAGCATGAAAACCAGCTGCATCATGAGTGGAAACGCCTGTGTTCAAATCAGACTAACATGCAGTTGCTTCAAGATGAAGTTCAGATAAGGTAGAGCAAATTGATGCTGAGCACGTGCAAAAATAAAACACATTCCTCTGGGTAAAACTGGATTTTTTGGAAATTTCAAGCTTTCCACTAAATAATGCTTTAATTCATTGACTTCCCAACTTGAAAATATACTAGTCAGTCATAAATTCATTCTGTAACCCAAAGAAGTGAAAAAAATATTTGTAGATTCTGGGACAGACTATTATTTTCCCATGCTCTAAAACCAAATTTTTATTGAGTTTTAAAAGTCTACTTTTTAACATGTGTAAAAATGGAGCATTTGGGAGTATAAGAAGACAAAATATGGGGATTCACATGCTGACCCTTAGTTTCTGGCCGGTTGTTACAAGTGGTTGAGATTGAAATGTTCTGGACCAGTGTATAATATCAGCTCTTAAATGTTTTGTTTAATTTCAAAGTTTGATAATGGCAAAAAAAAAACAACAAATATTATGTTCTGGAATCTCATTCTGCTCTTCAGAACAACCACCATAAAACACACCAAAGCAAAAACAAAACAAATACTGGTTTTGCCCATTCAGTTTATTCTGAGCTGGAAAGTTCCAGGAAGGCTGGCTGGGCCCCTGTCTGTCATATTCCTTTCTATCCTAATCTCATTCCCACATTCTGATTTTTCCTATCCACAGAACGAGGTGTTGGCATTCAGCAACCCCCATACATCAAAGCTTTACCTAATATATGATGTGTTTATTCTTCCCAGCCACAGGGCATATCACTCTCAAATGACTGACAACAACTCTAAAATGAAGTGAGCCCGAAGTGGGTTCTAATAGTTATGGGAAGCCTCTCTAGTCAAACATAAAGCAAATTAATGTGAGCCCCCTCCTGCACCTTCATTCTGGAAATGTCATAAAGTAATAAGCATGGAGACCCTCACAATGTCAAGGACTGGATTTCAATAGATTTACATATTAAAGGCACAGGACACATTTCGTTAGCACTAACATCAAACTTGTAAGTTTCTAAATTATAAGTTCTTTATTTTAAAAATCAGTTCTTATTGTGGGCTGAATGCACAGAAGAGTAATGATATAAATGCAATTGTACATCTATTTCACCCATCATAGTTTAATTTTAAAGGGCAAATTAAGCAAAGACTTAGAAACAACTTGTACGGCTATGAATTACCCATATTTCTATGGTGTCACATTGTGTTTGTGTGTATGTATGTGTATCTCAAGACTGGTGTAGAGAAACAAATGAGTGAAGGAAATAGAGAAAGGAACAGTACGTATTGACAACAAATTTTTAGTGAATTCTGATTTTACCTCACTCCAACAGTGCCGGGGAAAATGCTCAAGAGGAATGTTGTTGATAGACTCCATTGTTGTTTTGCCGTAGGAGACTTACAAAAGCAAACTCGACATTTTTTTCAATCTTTGAACCTGTAATATCCTAAAATATCAGGTCTAAAAATGTATCACAAAGCCATCTACTCTGTGACTAGATGACTGGAGAAGAGATAAGCCTTTGTGTCCCTGATCATCAGGTTGCTTGGGTAAATTCCTTTGTTCTCTGGTTGTGTTCGAGATGACTTTCCTACCATGTCAGTCATCAGACTAACCAAGTAAGTTACCAGTATGCCAAGTGAACACAAGACATGTATATGCACATTTATACACGTTTTCTGTTTCTCTCTCTCACGTGTGTGCAGGCACACACACACACACACGTTTTGCTTATTTCCTCTGGAAGCAATAAAAAACAACTCAGCACTGTGCATAAAATTGGGAATATACATGAGCACACAAGAAGATTTCGTCTTGTTTTTTAGTTGCTGCCAGGATGTCCTAGAAGAATTATTTCTTTCACATTTCAAGTCAGTTTATGAATAAAGTGCAAGGTAAGCTTTCTTCTGAGTGAATATAAGGCAATTTACCTCTTATCGAAGAAACCGAGTAAGGTTTTCAAACCCTGCTAACTTTAAGGAGGGAAAAGAGCTATGGAACATACATTGTTTAAAAAAATAATTTAACAGCTTATACCCAGATGGTTTCATTAGTTGGATTTTTTTCTTTTTTCTTTTTTTTTTTTCTGTTCACTCAGAGCTATAGCCCTAGTATTAAGCAAATTTTAAAAAATGCAATTTCTAAGAAAACTTTTCAAAACCTAAAGACAAACAATTGCATCAAAATATGAAAGCAAAACAGAACTACACTTGGGATAGAATATAGTTTATTAAAGTATAACTCATATTTTCCTAATTTTTCTTCTTTAATATTGTGAGCTTTACTAGTAAAATTAAAAATTTATAACATTATTGTTTGTGAAATTTAAAGGAAATCATTCTTTCCTTTCTGATGTTTCGAGAAACTAAAAAATGTACTATTACTTAAGTGTGTTACTTGTGAGAGAGAGTGTGTGTGTGTGTGAGTGTGTGTGTATGTTTGACCAAGCAATCATTTGATTCACTGAACCCAAATACATTCTTTCTTGTGTGGGATGATAATTCAACATCTTGCTAATTACAGGGCAGAGTACAGACCAGAAAAGACACTCTTTAAATAGTGTATTCTATAAAGTCAGTTCTAAATTTTTTATCTAGTCCCCTTCCATGTGCTATAATAAGCAAACTTTTCTATTGTGACTTGAGTTACATTTTTTGTGTTTTCATTAATTTTATTAATTTTGTTTTTATTTCAGAGGGCATTTCTGCTCTTAAATAAGAACTCATGTAAAAAGAGCTTTCATTTAAATTCTTAATAAAAACTTGGCTTCACAAAGGAAACGTGTTAAATGTTTATGCCTTTCAAACAAAAATCATCTTGTCTTCTTTGTGAATAATCTTAAAAATTTAGAACACCGTGAAGGCAAAAGAAACAAAATCTTTTCAATATGCCAATTTGTTTAATGCTGCACTACTGAAGCTGCACTCCAGTGATATCGTATGATATTCATGGACATTCTAAGGTGTTGAGTTATATACCTATAGTTCCAAAATGTTCCAATTAGGTGAAATTCTAGAATCAATATTAGAAAAGAAGCTGGTAACATCTCACTTATTCATAGAAATAAAAGCCTGGAGCTGCACACTGCAGATCCTTACAAGTCAAAAGATCTTTCTCCCTTCAAAGCCAGCAAGAGGAAGAATGATCAAAATCCAAAACGACCTTCTATAAAGGAGAAAACACATGCATATGTTATAAAACATCTTTTTTTAATACATTTTAAACTGAAATATATCTAAAAATGTAATCAGCAAGTGCAGGTGAGTGTGTGCATTATATGGGGGGCAGCCACGGGTTTTCTGAGGGGAGGATTATAAATATCATTAATTCTATGAACACACAAATAAAAGATTAGCTCTTAATAAAAAGATACAACATTTTAAGTGTGTATCTCTTTTTAATCAGTCACTCTTTGCAAGTAAGGCTTTATTATTTCTGAGTTCTTGACAGGCACTTGAAAAAAGGTCACATAATAAACTGTGCTTATTTCTCATTGCAGAAAAACAATAAGTCATCTCTGCATCCATTATTTACAAAATTGTCTTCATTTTTCTTCACCTGCTGTGTTTTCAGCAATAAAGATAAATAATATTATAAAACCAGCCTAGATATTTTCAGAGTGATCCAGAATTTGACAATGAGCTAGTCTTCTGGAGTTGAGGAGAGTAAAAGAATTAGGAAGAATTTGCTATCCAAATTGTTTACCAAAATATATTAAAGGTTATTTTTCACAGAAAGATCCATCTGGAACAACAAATATATATATTGGAAAAAATGTTTTAAATAAATGTAAAGTGATGCACTAAAATTTTATTATACCATTTCCTTTCAAAGAAATTATATTTTCGTAGGTAAATAAACACAAAGTACTTTCTTTTCCAACTCTTTTTTTTCTCTCTTCACTGCTCTATCATTAATAATTTCTGGCCTGAGCAGAAGTCCCTGTTGCATAGCAAAGAAATATTTTTAAATGTCTTAGCAAAGAAAATAAAGTATCTAAATGTGTTTCCTTACAATTAAAATAGCTTAGCAATTAAGAGCCTGTGTTCAAGGGTCAGACTGCAAACCCATGCTCTGACTCATGTATGCACTGAACTGGTTGAGTTTCTCTGTGCCTCGGTGGTCTTATCCAAGCAAAGTGGTGGTGATGTGGTATTTAATGTCTGGTTAAGTAAATGGCCCAAGACCACGTAACAAACAACTTGAAGCTGGGATTTGAACATAGACAATTTAGATTTAACATCTGTGCCCTTAACCAACAGAATCTAGCACATGCTGGGCCCATTAAGGCCCCTTAAAGAGCTTTCAGAAGACAACCTGGTACGATGGCCCTGCCTTGTGTCACTATTTTATTCGGCAGTTCCAGCCTGGTTCTGTCACATTGTCTCATCACAAAATTGGATTGCACAGAACTCAAATGGAGAGGACGTTCAAACTCAGGAATGTGGAGCACTCATCATCTGCTGTGGTCAAAGAGACAATCTGTGAAGAAAGTGAACAAGGCAGATGGAGATAAATTCAAAAACAGAGATCCGAAAGGCTGCTAAGAGAGAAAGGAACAGGAATCTCCCAGTTCCTGAGAGCCTCCCAGGCTTTCTCCCTCGATGTTTGTGAGTTTTCCTGACAGCTTTACGCTCTTGGTCCATAGGAAAAATTTGTGACCTGGATATATGTGTGTATGCGTGTGTGTGTTTGAAGAAAGGTCATGAGATTTATGTCAATTTAAGTTAGTTTCTATTCTTTATACAAATGAAATGTCTTAAAACATATTGGTAATACTTTGCTATTTTAATTTAACTTTGGTGCTTTTTTTTTTCTTGTTTGATAACTTTCTAACAAACATTGCAAAACCCTAGCATTTTCTCGACTCTTCTTTCAGATCCATTATTCCCCAGCTCAAGAACACACCAACCCCAAGTCCTCTCTCACCCTCCTTTTTGGGCTCCAGCATCTCTGCCTTTGCTCAGCTCTTTCAAACACCTACATTGCCTGCTCCCAGAGCTTCCAGTTAGTCTCCTACTCAAGTTCAAACTCAATAGTCCCTCCTCTGCAACGTCTTCCAAATCATTCAGGAGGAATTGATAATTTTCTTATTTGTACTCACACTGCATTTTATATATTGCCTTATACTATATTATGTTTTTGTTAGTGGTTAAATTGTTTCCCTCCCAAGGTCAGAGACTGGGCAGTCTGTGTACTATTTGTCCTTTTAACCCGATTACTTAGGTTGGTGTCTGGGACATAATAAGTGCTCAAAAACATCAAAATATGTTTCTGTATGACAGAACTCAGCAGTATCACTGGGAGTTCATTTATGTGTATGTGAGATTTTGTGAACTCTCTATATAAATGAAGTATGCTATTTTGAAGTAGCATATATATGTTAAGAACTATATATGGCATATGGTGTTCAACATAATCAGCAAATATAGTATTTATTGAAAATGGAGGGATACATTTTTAAAAAGTTTTCTGATAACAATAAGACAGATTAGGGTTTTCTGCTCTTTTTCTAATAAAACTAAAAAATTAAAAACATAGAGTCTGAAAAAATTAACTTTTTGAATTAGACTTACTTATTCAAATTGGAAGATTGTTTCATTATTCATACTATTAAGAAATATATATATATTTGTATGTGTGCATGCATACAAAGATTTTAAAATGTGAAGTATACATTATTTTCTTCAGTTCAGCCAAAAATGTTTTTACAAATTTACCTCCAATTCTTATTTTATTATTCTGAACCCTCTACATTTGGCAGCATATTATTGTTATTTTTAATCAGTGTATAAACATCCCAGCAAGAAAGTCTTTCTTGTTAAAGAGATATTAATCAAAAGATACAACTTTTTCATTACACAGAAGGAATAAGTTCAAGAGAGCTATTGTGCAACATGGTGACTATAGCTAATAATAATATTATTGTATTTTTGAAAAAATGGAAAAAAGACTTGTGGGTGAATTGAATAATCATATATTTGGGGAAACTTAGACTTTGTAGACTTGTAGATTCTGGCATGAATAAAAAATAAATTATCTGGTAAAAAGCAAAAGAAACTCTTTCTCCATTAGCCCTTTTTCTATCTGCCTAGAGTAACACTGAGTATTCCGGTACTAGCAGCCAGGAGGCCTAGCGTTGGCCCATGAACTCACTTATGAATAGTCATTTAATGTGTTGCTTCTTCAGTTTATAGCAAGGGCCTTCTCTGACGTCTTCTCTACTTCAGTCTGAAGGTTGTTGTGGAAATAAAAATAGGATAATGTGCATGCTAGTGCTTTGAAAAGTATAAAGTATGATATAAATGTAAGATGTTATTGTTAAAGGGGGTTTAAAACGACAGCATAAAAAGACTTGTTATAAAAATAAAATAAAAGTGACTCTAGTCACTTATTTTTATGAGGCACTTTTCTCTCTTTGGAAAAATATAATTTACTAATTCAAGAGAGAGCTATTAATTTCTAAGTCCTTCACAGCCATTAAAGCAGGCATGATGACTTCAATTCAGTGTACAAATGGAGTGGGCATACTGCAGGGGAATGGTACTCTCAGGTTACATATAAATGGAATTAAATTAAATTAATGAAAAGAGAAGAAAAGCATGTGTAGATAAATAACTAACTCATCTCCTAAGAGGCTCAATGTCTGAACTAAGACATGAGTTAAAATATATTAAATTTCTCACATCTCCTTCCCGGACTCCCTCAAATATCATTTAGAAATTATTTCTAAAATACTAAATATTGATAAAAATAATATCTGTATGAGACCTCTCACCCTATTATGTGTAAAATTGTCATTGGGTTTTAAGTTGAATGGAGTGTGGTATGCTTCCGATGCACCTACATTGATGTATCAATGAGGAAACCCAATAACTTTGATGGTGTTTCCAAAACCCACTGTGCAAATCACACAATCTCAGAAAGTCATCTTGGTAAATGGTGAAAAACTGAACACATGGCAATAGGTACTTCTAATTAGATGAGGATATTATTTATACTTTGATGTTAGAATATTCTATTAAACTGCTTTGAATTTTTTATAATTTTCAAAATATGATGCCAGACTGAACATGTGGAGAGTAAGAAATGGAAAGTGATTCTCTTAAGGGCATCCTCATTTGGTTGTTTTATTTATCATGTGATGCTTAGTGATATTTTGGTCCTAGCAACAAATCCCACTGGGTTAGAGAAAAGGGAGATATCTGAGTGATCATGGGAACATTTGTGGACCTCTCTGTGACTCAGTTTCCTTAGGAGACAAATAGGGATGATGATATTCAATTTTCAAGATCTCTGTAATGCTTGAAAGAGTTAATGTTTGTAAACTGAACTATACAATGTCTCAAATGTAGCTTTTGTTCCCATGTCACGATGTTGTGTAAATACATGTTAAATGGCAGATTCTAGCTGGGGGAGTATTTTTGGCATGCCACAGGACTCTCTAGACACAGTTATCTCTGTTAATATTTTTATCGATAACATAGGAAGATAAAGAACACATTGAGTTTGCCGATGCATGAAGTTAAATGATATTAAAAATTCAATAGCTGAATTGATATCCAAAATGAATGAAGTCTAAGAAGAGGAAATTTCAAAGTGTAAGGCCTTGTAGTTGGATTTTTGAAATCCAAATTCTGAAAAATAGGTTGGGAAAAATATGGTTTAGCAATAGTAAGTATATCTATATGTCTATCTATCATTTTTTCTATAGGTAAAAGAGAAAAATGCCTTATGAGTTAAATTAAAAGTAAAAATTTAAGTCTTCAGACAGATGAAATTATACAAATGGTACCATTTTTTCAGGACTCAACAAAGGATTATATCTGAAATACTCCCACTGGACTACAAAGTGATTAGGCAAAACTGGAAATATCTTGTACAGCTCTGAGTACCAGTTTTTGGTAGGAAGAGAGATAAACTAGAACATTAGAAAAGAGGAAGGAGAACATTAGTAACAATCACTATTAATTATGTATCAGATCTGTGTTAAGCATTTGTTACAGATTATTTTATTCCTCCTTTACATCTGCCCACCATGGAATATATCATATTTACCCTCAGCCTTGGAGAAGACTCAAGGGAAAGGCAGATGAACACCATCCTAAACATGAAGGCCTGTAAAGGTCAATGGGATAAAGCTGCAGGTGGGCTTCTATTAAATATAAACTAGCCAGTCATAGGTCAGAGAGAGAGAAAAAAGAGACAGAAATATTCCAGGAGGAAGTGGGGAGAGATTGAGCACTGGATCTGCAGCATAATTTAAAGACTCTCAGATTGGGCTATGGCATCAAACAGCTGTCTGTTTATTGTAGTGTATTTAGATGTACTAGGAACTTTCTCTTATTGCCATGACATGTTGATAACCAGCACCATTAGTGGATACTGATATTACCTCTAACTTCTGCTGTGACATCAGCTGGCATTAAGTTCACCTTGTCTTTTCTGAAGATAAATCTAACTTCCTGAAATGGATAACTTTCAGCTATCTTTCACATAATCTGCCTCTAATATCTACTGAAAACAATCTCTAAGCAAAAGTTGCTGCATACAGTCTTAGAAATCATTTAAAAAACAAAAATGAGTAAGCCTTTACCTTCCCATCAACTTCATGTACCCTTAGTTGCTCATGTCTGTTTTATCCCTAATATCTTTTATTACAGAAATATAGACATTCCCTTTAATAAAAACGTGGAGGCACATCAACAGGAAAGCCTGTCAGTCTCAAATTGCTTAGACTGAGCCTGAGTAAAATCTATTGATTTCATTTTCAAATCTGAACACCCTTTCAAACTATTATAACTTGTTTTTGTTTTATTTGATTTAATGTGTTGGCTATTCCACCAATATTTCTAAGATTTTCAGCAATCTGGCAATCTGAAAATGCATATAAAGAACAAAATGGTAGACTAAGGCTTGCCAAACTTTTATTCTTCAAAAAGAATTATTTTTAAAAAATGCGGAAACTAAACCAACATTTTCAGAGCTCTGGAAAACAATAAAATGTTTATAGCAAATAAGTGAACACTCAATCAAGAAAAACCCATCTTAAAAGAATAGAAAAATTTTGTGGCATTCGAAATCACCCTCCTCCTGCCTCTCCCGGGCATGACAGTGGTCTTCAGTTTGAGATAGCAGCAGCCTGGTTTCCAGTTCCTTCCCTTCAATTAGAGGAAGCAGAGCAGACCTTATCTGAAAATTACTGTGCCCATCTCTTTTAACCTGCCTGGTAAATGCACGAAGGATTGACACAAAGTGCTCATCTTTGTTTTGTCTAATTCACAACTCAGGTGGAAAAGTGGCAGATACTGCTCATAAAATGTGCAAGGTGACTACAGACCTGCAGCCACCTGGGCCAAGAGTTTATAGGTAGAACATACAATAGACCAACTAAACTCTGGAGAAGAAACCAGGCTGAGGCTCTTTGGAAAATTAGGACATTCAGAAGCAGCCACATTTACAGGGACGTTTAGAAGGCCAAGGACCTGTTCAGGTAGATGCATGCTCAAAAAAATCCTGTGAAAACCTTACTCTTTCACCTCAGGCTGATGTCTAGGCTCAGAATAGGCCTTTGTTAAAGTGTTGGCTCTTCCAGAACAGAACCAGTTTGCAAAGACTGGGAAAGCTCCTGAAATTGAAGAAAATTTTATCAAAATATAAGCTGAACACAAGCCAAAAGAGCAGAGACTTCCATCATCACATGCCACAAGGAATACCCTTTGCAAAAATAATTTGGAAAATTCTCAAAACAAATAGACCATTATAGCTTTCAACCATTAAAAACAAATAAACAAAGCAGGGAAAATCCTGAGGAGAAGGAGATTTTGTCATAGAGTTACCACAGTATAATAATCAAATTTCTAATTTTCAACAACAAAATTCATAAGATATACAAAGAAATACAAAAACTTGGCCCATTCCAAGAAGCAAAATTAACTGACAGAAATCATCTTCTAGGAAGTCCAGACACTGAAATTACTAGACAAATGTTTAAAACAATTGTCTACAATATGTTCAAAGAGTTAAAGGAAGGCATGGGCAAGGGTAATAAAATAAATTTAAAAAAGGGAATATGAACAAAATGAGAATGTCAACAAAAAGATAGAACATATTGTTTTAAAGAAACAAAAAATCTGGAGCTGAACATTTCAATAGTTGAAATTTAAAAATTTACTACAGAAGTACAATAGCAGATTTGAACAGGAAGAGAAAGAACTTGTGAGTCTGAAAAGAGAAAAACTAAAATTATTGTGTCTTAGGAGCAGAAAGACAAAGAAATCAAGAAAAGTAAACAGAACTTAATGGACTTGTAAGACACCCACAAGCTGATCAACATGTGCATTTTGGGATTCTGAGAAGGGGAAGAGAGAAATAAAAGAACAAAAAAAAAGATTATTTGAAGAAATAATGGCTGAATATTTCTCAAACTTTATAAAATTAATGAATCTACAAATCTAAGGATTTCAATAAACTCCAAGTAGCTAAACTTCATAAGCCCACATAGAGATACATTATAATCAAACTTGTAAAAGACAAAGAATCTTGAAAGCAGCAAGAGAGATGTGACTCCTCCACATACCAGATCCAGAAAATCTGTCCTTCAAGATTTGGGGAGAAATCAAGATATTCCATAATATGCTAAATCTGTGAGAGTTTACTGCTACTAGACCTGCCCTACAAGAAATGCCAAAGGGAGTCTTTAAGGTTGAAATTTTAAAAAGCTACACAGTAACTCAAAGCTTCATGAACATAGAGTGATCTCCAATAAATGTAAATATAACGTGTGGAGAAACAGAAAAAGGAGCCACTGTTATAGTAATTTTCATTTGTAATTGTACTTTGTATTTACTATAAGATTTAAAAGACAAATATGTTAATTATTATAAATCAATGTTATTGGTCACATAATGCATAAAGATATACTTTGTGACATCAGAAACATAAAAGAGAGCAGAAAGAGTAAAGTTGTAGAGTTACTACTTGCAATAATAGTTAATTTGGCATTAGTTGAAATGAGAGTGTAATAATTTTAAGATGTTATATATAATCCCCAGGGTAACTGCAAATGAAATATCTATAGTCTATATGCAAAAGAAAATGAGAAGAGAAGCAAAACATGTCATTACACACACAAAATTTCAACGGAACACAAAATAAGCCAGTAATGGAGGAAATTATGGCAAATAACGAAAAGGCAAAAATCTTCCATTATTAGGAATTACCTTAAATATAAATGGGTTAAACTATCCAATCAAAAGGCAGAGATAGGTAAAATGGATAACAACACAATTAAACAAACCGTTATCCAACTCTATGCTGCCTACAAAATACTCACTTTAGACCTAAAGGGATAAATAGGATAAAATTGGAAGAATGAAAAAACACACTTCACATAAATAGTAACCAGAGGAGAGCCGAGGGGGCGATACTATCAGATAAAATAGATTTTAAGTCAGAAACTATTCTAAGAGACAAAGAAGAAAATCATATACTGATAAAATGATAAGGTAATATGAAGACACCAATTGTAAATATATATGCACCAAATAACAGAGCCCCAACATCTATCAGGCAAACATTGGTAGAACTGTAAGGAGAAATAGTTCTACAACAATAGCTGGAGACTTCTATACTTCACTTTCAATAACTGTCCTCTTCCCTACTGCCGATCATGTAAATCTACCTACGTTTTCATCCTTATCCATCCCTTGTTCTTCCCGTTATCATGGGGAAATGCTCTCTCTCATCACATATGTGTGAATTTTCCAGTTCTCCTTCTGTTATTTTTAGCTTCATTCCATAGTGATTAAAAAAATGTTGTATAATTTCAGTCTTTTAAAATTGATTAACACTTGTTTTGTAGCCTAAGATATGCTCTACACTGGGGACTATTCCATATGTACTTGAGAAAAATATGTATTCTGCTCTTGTTGGGTAGAGTGTTCTATATTTGTCTGTTAAATCTAATTTGTTTATAGTGTTGTTCAAGTTCTCTTTTCTGTTATGCATCACTAGTATAAAATACAATAAAATAAAAATTCAATTTAATTCCACATCCCCTGCCAGATCCCCATTCTTTCAAACTCAATTCTTGAAAGACTAGGGATGGAAGATGTATGTGGATTTGCAGGATTGGCAGTGGGGCAAAGATAACATTTATTTGTGAAGCTTACTGTTCTGAGAAGGAGGATATGATGTCATCTACTTTAGATGAGAAGGAAGTTAAAGTGTTGTATGTGTTAGAGGAAAGAGGGAAAAGTCTTCAAGAGTTGTTAAGTTTGAAGGTAAGATTTGGCTAGTTTTGATGGTAATTGGAGTTTAGAAGCTGTTGTTTTGATTTTAGTAAGCCAGAACTCAATCTAATGTGCTTTAGGTTTCCAAACATTATTTAGAGGCCATTCTCCTAGATGAACTGTGGGACCCTACTCAATTTATGTTTTATTATTTATTTATTACATAAACTCAGATGCTTATAAAACACTTTAGGCAGTTTAAACTGTCAATTTTATTTATTTTAATTGCCTATTTCTATAAAAGCCTAAGGTCAAATGTAAAAAATAAGACAGGTTTAAAACAGCATAAAGAATATACAAATATATGTTTCACATATCTGGAATCATTTAATTAATTAATATATTTAGCTAGGGGCTTCCTGGCAAACAAAGCAAAAGGGATACACATTGAAATATAGATTTTATATCATATAAAGGAAATCTCCTGGGAAAAAATAATTTTTCTGGTACTAAACTTCTAGCACAAACAGTGTCATATAGATCTTCATCTATGGGACATTAAGTGATATGATGGGCAATGTCTTCAACTCTGACCTTCTGAAAATACAGAACATTCTTCGAAAGGTCTTGTAATACCTTCCTATGAAGGCTGAGAATATAATGTTAAATCTCAACTCAAAGAAGACATTGCTTTGAAAAATTAAGATTTTATTGCCCTGGTAGTTGTGGTTTGATGATTTACTTTAATCTGAAGATAAAACTTTGGGTTCTTAGAGGGGAGGAGAGATGACTAATTTGTGCCTCCATCCACCACGCTGAAATATTTTCTGTCTTTAGCCGGTCTTTGGCAGGAATGAATGTAAGATAAATTTCTCGTTGAATATTCAGACAGGAGTCTACAAATGTTAGATAGTCTTCCAGCTCACTAAATGCATTCTTCAGTTGTGCTTCCTGCACTATTCATTCACGGGATTGAAATTTTATTACTATTTTTATCAGTATTATAATCAATACTATTTTTATAATCATAATTTTATTTCTGAACTCTTTAATTGCCTTTGTAGTGGACTGCCTAGCTTCTTACATCTCTTTTAGGGTTTTAACTGTGGTATTTATTTATGTATTTATTTATGAGACAGAGTCTCTCTCAGTCGCCCAGGCTGGAGTGCAGTGGTGTGATCTCGGGTCACTGAAACCTCCGCCTCCTCAGTTCAAGCAATTCTCCTGCCTCAGCCTCCTGAGTAGCTGGGACTACAGGCGTGCGCCACCACGCCCCGGGTTATTTTTGCATTTTAGTAGAGACAGGGTTTCACCATGTTGCCCCGGCTGGTCTCACATGCCTGACCTCAGGTGATCAACTGGCCTCAGCCTCCCAAAGTGCTGGGATTACAGGCGTGAGCCACTGCACCTGGCCAACTGTGCTTATTTTAATATATTGATCTGTTTGCTCTGTTTCCCAAAGTTGTGGAGATAGGTATCTTTCTTGTCTTTGTCCAATTGTGTGTGTTTCTTGTTCATATGCACTAGTTTATGCATCTAATTACAGAGGCCTTCCTCAGTGATGAAGAGAAAATACCTTTTAAGTATGAAAGCTTTATTTCCAGCCTGGGTGTTACCGTACTGTTTCCTGATCCCTTCAGAAAGTTTAGAGTTGTAAAGGGCTTGGTGGCCTAGACCCTCCAGATATGGCATCCGAAGTGTCATCCCATAGAGTACCCTTTCTGCTATCTCTCTTTGGAGCACCCCAGGACATAATTCTACCTTCCATAAAAGTTCTCTCCTGATAGATTTCTGGCTCTTGTCCCCTTCTTAAGTCCAATTTAACATGCCTTCCATCTTTAAGGTATATATTTTAAATTTCTGATTCAATATGAATTTCTTTTTTCTCAGGTAAAATAAGTTTAACAATAAATTGCTGTAATCACTAGGTATTTGAGGCAGGGGACGAGGAGGACATTGCCAGATATGTTACATCTGTCATCTTGTTTAAATTCTTGATGGTTTCTGTGGGGTTGAGACTATTAAAGAAATAAACACTTAATTAAATGGCTCCATGAAAAGGTACTTCTGATGAGTAGAAGTCCCAAAATCTGATTTTAAACATGACCAGATTTTACATACAGAATAATATAAAGGATTTACTCTATTGATTCATGAAGCTGAAAATGAACAAACCTAACATTTAAATTATGATTTTCTGTAGCTGAGACCTCTTTTTCATAGCTCATTGAGTATTTTGTAGAGTATAACTGCCTGCACAGAAAATACTCATTCACTGATTTTTATATGGATCTTTTTATTTAGAAAAATAGTTGTCAACTGCTTTTACATTCAAACATTCTGAAAATTAAGTTTTATTTTTCAGATAATCTAAATTATTTTTATCTTCTACGGTACTTCTCATAACAATAATGCTTACAGTAATTTAAGAGAGATTTTACATTTGTAAACTGTAAAATGCTGTTAAGAGATGACACGCTGTTTTTGTTTCACAGCCTGCAATCTCAAAATTTGATAAAGTGGTTGTTTGATCAATACCTGAGCTTAAGAAAAAAATAGACAAATACTTTTCTTTCACAGATAATATGGAAATGCTTATTGAAGGCATCAGTAGTTTTCAAGCATTTCCAATAGCCTGTGGGTCACCACCTCCACAGTATGAAACAAGAAGCAATAGTGTTACTGTTTGTGTCCACGATTCCCGGGATAAGTGACTTAGTTGCGTTCATTTTTGCCTCTTGAATCTTTCTCTACTAAGTCCATGTGAAACACACAAACATTCACATGCACATTAAGAAAAATGATGTCAATCACTTTCATGCTTTTCCGTTTCTTTTATTTCTTGGTACAAAGGATCACAACCTAAATGTGGATTATTCATAAGACAGATATCATGTTAAACAGGAATGTATGCTTTCAATATGAATAATGGTCTCTAAAGAATAAAAAAAGTGCCTGCTTTCAAACACAGGTGACCTAGTGAGCACTTTCTAAATGACTAGGGGAACTCAGTTTTTTCTTCTGGAAAATGGAATTGATAATATTAAATATTTGGTGAAGGGCTATTTGGATGTGGAACCGCATAAATTATATTCATGATATTGGTATCTGATAATTGCATTTCCAATAGGAATTACAATTAAGACTCTTGCAATATGACATACTTTTGATCATTTTAATTTCCTTTGTGATTGCAGAGAATGATAATTCTTTGGGGGACTTGACTCCAATTTTCACATTACAAAAGAAAAGTTTGGATAATGGAATAATGCAGAGATGAAGGAAGTCTTGATCTCCAATCGCTTATTTCCCCCTTTTCCATTTCTGCAGTGGGGATGCCACCTGTGTTCTGCTCATTATAAAACTTTTAGCAAGAGGCTAATGAAATGCAAAGCTTTCTATAAGACCAGCACCAGCCTGCCTATCAAATCGTCTGAAATATTTATTTGCCCTCTTGAATAATTGATAGGGGCATCAGCTCTCCCGGTCAATTGATTTATTAAGGGACTGTTTGGAATTAAACAGCTTAAAGATATTAGATTTAGCAGTGATCTTGCTTGTTAGCATATTCATTTACCTACAGGAGCTCCCATTAGATATTGTTAATACATGACGTCTCTAGTCACGGCCTGTATCTCCTCAAATTGCATTAACGCCAGGCTGTTTAGCCACAGAATAACAGGTTTGATTGAGTGCTTGGGTTTGGTGTAATTAGATTTTCCTAGAAGAGGGGGGACTACTTTAATGCCATATGCATTAAACTAGATATGTCATCAGCATTACTGTAATTGGTGAACAGGAACGCTGGAGACCTGGCTGTATGTGAATGTTTGTGTTTATGGCTCACCCGTCCATTCTCATAGATGGCACATAATAGCTATGCTTACTTACATATGCATGATCCTGAGGGGGAAAAAAACCTGACCTCTTTAATAAGCATCTCTTTTGAAAAAGGTGGAAAATTCTATCCTGAGTAATGGGATCAATTTTTCGTCTGTTAAAACTGCCAATTATTTCTCTTACTGAAAAGGTCATGTGGCTGGTTAATCAATGATGAAAATAGTATGGGAATATATGTGGGTATATTCATGTGTTTGATTTGCATTTCACTCTAAGACTATCTGCTTCGGTTTCCAATTGTTATCCTGATTGGGGGCCACAAACACACCAGCAGAGCTCTCTTTCCCCAGTGTTTTCTCTAAGGAATTACACCTTCTTATTAACAGAGATGCATAGAGAAAATGAAATCATTTCTGGTCACTTTTCCCTTTTGGAGCTAATTCAGTATGTGCAAAGAAGCACTAACTTTGCACATTCAGGAACAATGTATCCCCCTATAGCAACCTGTGTAGTGGGAGAACGTGGGAGTGTGAATGAAACTAGCGTTAGACCAATTGAAAGGTAAGCCAATTTTTCTTTCCTATTTCCATGTTCATTTACTGTCTGTCTTCCCCAGGCTGTAAGAGCCCTTTGGATTACATCCCAAGTATCCACAACTTAAACAGGGAGGCACACTTGGAACTTACCTTTCTCTTTCTGTGAATCGCCTTTTCTACATTAAAGTTATGAAAATATAATATGTTTGGCCGGGCTTGGTGGCTCATGCCTGTAATCCCAGCACTTTGGAGGCCAAAGTGGGAGGATCACTTGAGGTCAGGAGTTCGAGACCAGCCTGGCCAACATGGTGAAACTCCATCTCTATTAAAAATACAAAAATTAGCCAGGTGTGGTGGTGGGCACCTGTAATCCCAGTTACTAGGGAGGCTAAGGCAGGAGAATCACTTGAACCCTGGAGGTGCAGGTTGCAGTGAGCCGAGATCACACTACTAAATGCCAGCCTGGAGATATATATATATATATAGAGAGAGAGAGACAGAGAGAGAGAGAGAGAAAACTTATATGTATATAGATATATATATATAGAAAGCTTATATATACACATATATATTATGTGTACGTATGTTTATATATGTATATACACGTGTGTGTGTGTTTGTGTGTATATATATATATATATATGCCTTCTTCCGCAGTTCCTTAAGACCTTGATTGCACACAAAAAAATGAAAAGATTATTTCATTTTATGTTACATATATATCAATAAGTAATAATAAAACTTATAGGTAACCTTGCTATCCACAAGGCAGGGACCCATAGGTTGTCCCATTTATGGTGACGTTTGGTTAAAGACTACATTTGGTTAAAGACTCTGAGGTCTACATTTGGTTAAAGACTCAGGCTCCGGGAGATCAAGCTACCTCTCTGAGTTCACAAAGCTAATAAAAGCAGAATCAAAATTTGAATCATTTTAATGTCCATGCCCTTCCCACTATAACATGCTGCCTACTTAATGACATTGACAGTGATCAGGCATTTTTTTTTTGAAGCTGACTTCTTAATGTAAAGGAGGAGCCTAGATTGGTTTAATTTTGGTGATCAGATAGGCTAATTTAAATGGCCATCACCTTGGCAGATGTGTAAGATTGATTTTTAGGGTAAGGAGGAGTTTAGGGAAGGGATAATCACAGTTCTCCTGACTGATGTCTGATACTTGAGGGAGATGGTGAAAGGGGAATTAGAAAGCTTAGTAAGTGACTTGGTGTCCTTTAAATTCTGTATAGGTGACTTTGACTCTCTTAACACCGCAAGTACTTTCCTGGGGTTGAAGAGCAGCGGCAGCTCCAATGCTTATATAGAAGGGGATTAAGGTAGCAATCATTGGAAGAAACCTTGTTTAAAACTATGTCTATATAGCCAACACCACACTTTTACTAGGGTTGGGGACCCGTGCAGATTATATGGCAGAGTTTAAAGTACTGCCCCAACCCCCACTTCTGATCATACCCATCTGATGAGAGAGGAAGAAGGCTGGCAAAAAAGCAAGAGTTACCTGAAATTTAATTCCACTGACAAGTTGCAGGACTGACACGATCCTTCTTGGCTGTAAACAAAATTAGTGTAAAGATATGTATGAAAGAAGTCTCCTCTAAATTTGAGATGACTTTCTAGATCTCCAAATGAACGTCTCATAGCAAAATGATTCCTCAATTTTTAGAAAAGCTTATGAACAATGAGTTACATCAGTGATTACCCATGAGTAAAGGTGAAATTAAATGGGAGTAAAGAGGTGTTTGAAACTATTTTATTCCATCAAATTACCACATTAGGATAGTTTCAATATTATTTGTCATTTCTCAAACAGATTCATAATGGGACACATTTTCCCTAATAATAGCTGTGTATTGGGTTTGTCTGTGAATATAAAGGCTAATGAAAATGCCACTTCCTTGAAAGGGAGTTTGTTGGAAATTAGAACTTAGCATTGACATAAACTCACTTCTCTAACTGAAAAAAAATACACATATACATGCTTATTTATATATATCTAATACTATATAATATATAAAATAACAGATAGCTAGCTACATACTATAATTGGATGTAAGGGAAAGTGACGACTCTCAGTGATGAGACTATAAACTGGTTCCCAGATTTGGATAAAAAAGAGAGCCATGAATTAGCTTGGCACAGTAGCACCAGCTACTAGGGAGGCTGAGGCAGGATGATCCACTGAGCACAAGATTTTTGAGGCTGTAAGTTCTATGATTGTGTCTGTAAATAGCCACAGCATTCCAGGTTGGTCAACATAGTGAGACCACATTTCTAAAAAACAATAAATAAACAAATAAAAATTAAAAGGGCAGCCATGAATTATTCTGTGTTGTTGGAAATTGTTCATGGCCTCATAAGGGGGATAATTTTCAAAATAGCATTTGTTTGGGACAATCTTGCAAGGTTTATCTTAATTGAATTTGAAAATACTTTTTAAAATTCCCTAGAAAGGTTACTGTTCTATATGAGGCACAACCAGAGCAAGTTTCTGTTCAGTATAGTTCTTGGCCACCTGCAAGTCCTAGGTGCAGGCTTGGGGACGGTCAGGATAGGTATGTGTGCTGTGCTGTCTTGGGGCAGGGCAAGGTGGATACCAGCCCTGCCTCATTCCTGCAGCATTAGGGTGCACTCAGAATGCAAATTGGCAGGTGCCAATTCAGATACCTAGCACATCCTGAAAGGGAGGTTGCAATCTGTAGGGAGTGGGCTGCTCTCCCTGTGTTAGAGTTCAGCCCTTGGGTAGGGGGTGTCTGGGTCCTTGTCGAAGTCCCACATTTTAATTTTTCACTGGGCCCTGCAAATTAAGTAGCCAGTCCTGCCCAGACACACTCACACAAAGGCTCATCACGATGACCACTGTCAAACATTAACCAGAATCACCACCTCAAGACACTTCAATAATTTTGAATGCTCTTACCACCACTCCCATAACAAATGCAAACACAATTTAGACTGAGAAATAATAAACCTTATAATGGGTTAGTGATTTGCCTACGTTTACAGAATTTTCTTAATACATTCGTTGTTAAGAGGGAAACAATTAAATGCTAGTCAAAATCCCTGGAGATAGTGAGCTGGCAAATAAGTTAAACACCTTTCCAGGGCTCAGTTTCCTAAAAACAGCAGCTAGTGAAAAACAACTCAATTTATCGTTGGAGAAACTGTCAAAATCTGTGCCCCCACGAAATCTCCTGTTGAAATGTAATCCCCTGTGTGGGAGGTGACCAAAGCGGAGATTCTTAATGGCCATCAGAGTTTTTGATACCTCTGTGAATATTATTTATTACTGTCATTTCTACTACTATTATTACATTCTGCATTTGAAAAAAAATGAGGGTCCATGGATTAATTTCTGTCCCCACTGCCCACGTGACCCCTGAGTATGGTTGTATATCCATAACTACACTTACACTCTTCCTTTTCTCTTTCTTCTTCATCTTGGGCTTTTCCCCCAAGTCTTTATTTCCTCTTCCCTTTGCCATGTCTAGTTTCCAGCACCCAGTGTCATCTATGAACACTCTGTAGCATTGCTGCAGGGACCACACTTGGTGAAGATGCCCTGTGCCCCTGTGTTAGGCCATTCTTCATTGCTATAAAGAAATACCTGAAGCTGTGTAATTTATAAAGGAAAGATATTTAATTGGCTCACAGTTCTCCAGGCTATACAGGAAGCATGGTGCTGGAATCCTCTTGGTTTCTGGTGAAGCCTCAGGAAACTTAACAGCCATGGCAGGAGGGAAGCGAGGAACAGACATCCCACATGGCCAGACCAGGAGCATGAGTGAAGGGGGCATATGTCACACACTTTTAAACAACCAGATCTCCCGTGAACTCACTCCTCATCAAGAGGCTGGCTCCTTAAGCCATTCATGAGAGACCTGCCCCCATGATCCAAACACTTCCCTCAGGCCCCACCTCCAACAGAGGGGATTACATTTCAACAGGAGATTTGGCAGGGGCACGGATTTTGAGTTTCTCCAAGGATAAATTGAGTTGTTTTTTACTAGCTGCTGTTTTTAGAGATGTTTGGGAAATAATCCATACAATATTTGGGGAGTTCCTCTGAGGACTACCATCTATGTATGTGTGGACATTAAGTCTTTGAGGGTTGGTGTTTTTTCCTTTTGATTAAAATGTCCTGCTTGGACTCCTCTTCATTCACTTTGAATCATTCCATTTTGAACCAGGACCGAGCTGGGTGGGCTAAGGCTACATGTAGTTTTGTCCCGGGGCCTGACAGGGTGCTGCTCAGGAGTCCGCTAGCCCACACAGTCCATACTTCTGATTCACAGTCAGCCTGGGAGTTGCTGCCAGCCCTAGATCCCCATCTGTGGAGTTCATTGGTTTTTTTCCTTCCCTGATGTGTGACCCTGCACTCAGAAGACCTCATTCTCTTGTTTCTGACCATTTCTCCAAGTTTGTCTGAGTCTTTTTGAATTATACTCCTGTATTCTAGAGTTCCGGTCAGCCTTCTCTGCTGGGTTCAAAGCACAGCCACAATGAGTCCACAATGAGTACTCTCCATGTAAACACATTTTCATGGTGAAAGCTACAACATATTTTAAATTATTATGGTTATAGCATTATAAAAACATTAAAAGCATGAAATTATGTAATTGTATTTACATATGAAATCTGTCTATATCTATACATAGGAAGATCCAAGGGTACATATGTATGTATACTTGTGCATGTGGGATTTATTCTTCTGACTCAGGAAAGCAATTTGATGAAGTGACATGTTTCTGCTAAACAGCACACATCAAGACACGTTATGCTGCTTCTGTTTATCCCACCTACTGGAAGGATTTAGATTATATTCTGCACATTACTGAATCAGACAAATAAGGAGTAGATGTTGAATTGAACAACTTACTGCTTACATTCATTGCTTGATGTTTTATTTAGAAAGGCAATTCTCACTGAAAGTCCAAAAAAAAAGTGAGAGAAATGAATATCCAAAAATATTCATTTCATTTTCTCGGGAAAACAGCATCTCCCCTTCAAGGAACATGAATTGTTCTCTCTCCTTAACTCTTCAGCCAGCTCCCTCTGGATCTCAACTTTGGCTCTATTGCTTGGTTTTTCTTTCCTTCTTTTTTTTTTTTTTCTTTCCTGTGTGTGCGTGTGTGCAGGGAGGAGAAGCCATGTGTCTGAGGTGGCAACAGCAGTCGCGGAGCCAGCGCCTTAATCACTGTTTACTGATTTAGTCCATTTTACTAGCAGGCAGTGCTTTTCCAGAGAGCTGTTTTCCTGGCGGGGTGCAACGACTGCTTTCAGGGGCAAAAGTATGTGTCTCGAAGCTGTCTGGCTCACTCTCCCTGGCACTCACTGGCTTGCCACCCCTGGCAGGGCCGCTGCACCCAGGCAATGGGCCGGCGTGTCCGCCTCTGCCTCTGACGGTGCTCATCTGGAGGTAGTGTTAATGAGAGCTGGAGGAAAGCAGGAGGCAGGGCATAGAGGACCCACCGGGGCGTCCAAACAATACCTATGGCAGGCAGAGCCAGCGCGTTTCACACTGCGCCTCTGCTCCCGTGGTGAACAGAATTGAAAATGACAGATCGAGGATTTTGCCTTCCCCTCTGATAGGCTTTTTTGTTTGGTTTGTTTACACCGCTTTGGGGTTGGGTGGCTGCTATTGTTGTTGCTGTCTTTCCTCTCTGCTTTTTCCTTACAATTGTGTACTTGTTACACTTAAAATGGTGGCTTAGAGATGAACAAGAAAAAGGGCCAGTTAGGAATTGCTCATGTTTCTTGAATAGTTTATTTGTCACTTTTAATAATCCCCATCTTTCCTCTCCCATTTGTCATGGTCAGCACCTGAACTCCTCCAGTGACTGGCAAATTCAGAGAATCGTAGAGGGTGGGCTGACCTGTGAAACTAGGTTTGCAGGACAAAAGAAAAGTGGGTGACGTGAGTGTTGGAAAAACTCTGTGGGTATCAGTGTAAGTGTGTGAACATCAAAGGTGTCGTATGGCTCTTCTAGGTAACTACTCCGAGGACCAATCAAATGGCTCTAATGCATCCCCATTGGCATATCTCATCTTAGAGTCCGTTCAGGGCAAGAGGATCATTCATCAGACATGAGGGTTTTCACTGGTCCCAGGCCTGAGAAAATTCAAGGGCATGGCTGTAAGCTCGCGGTGGGAGCCAGGGCTTTGTCTAAAGGGAAACTTGCCAGCAACATGAGTTGCTGATATCACGATAATCCCCAAAATAACAAACTCCTTTCCCTCTCACGCTTCTTACTCTTCTGCTGTCCAGTCCAGATGTGTTGGAGGGTGATTTCCCATCTCGTGCTTTCTGTACTGTTTTTAATTGAAGGAGTTATGTGTGCATCCCAAATAAAATGTTCAACATTAGATTGAAAAACCATCATTATAACCACTGCAGTCAGCAGTAGTGACTGCCATGAGATGCCAGGTGCTTTGAAACATCCTATACTGGCATCCTCATTCTCCTACAGTCCAGGCTACCCTCCTGCCCGACCATCCACTGAAACTCTCAGTGGTATCCAGTGCGCCATCATCGTCCTCTTCCTGTCACCTGCAGGATCTACCAGAGACTCAGTGCAGTTGATCCATTTCTCCTTTCCAACACTCTCCTTTTCCATTTAATAATTATTCCAGTAATCTCCCAGTCTCCCATAAACTCACAGGACTCAGTGAGATTGGGGAATAATGTCAATGTCCATGGAGCATCTTGAAAACATTCATGGCAAACTGTGCTTGCTATCTTAAAACACTCTCTACACACTTCAAGCATCAGTTTAAGAAAGTGTGCTGCTTTGAATTCAGTAGTATTTATCAGGGCCTATGCTAGGGAAAGATTCCTTTCCAACCTCAATAAAAAGCCCTCTGATTTCTATATGATCATCATTATTAATATTAATAATAATGCAAATAAAGTGTCCCTAATGCCTTTATAAGTAGCCATCAAATGATGACATTTCTAAGGACTAAGATTTGGAAAATCAGAGAAATGTCTGGTAAAGTGAAGTCTCCAGTTTTGCTTTTAACCCTACTTGTCACTGTCCTTACCTATGTGAAAAGGAATTGATTTCATGTGTGTTGATACTATGCACAGTTGACAATGCCCCACGTGTACATAGTCAGAACCTTTAGTGGCACAGAGACAGATGCAGAACCGCATTTTCTGCTGTCTGCAATTGTGCAGGTAAGGGACACCACAAAAAGGACTCTGCCCTGCCTGGGACATTGTTACAGAGATTAGCATCTTTGCTGGAAAATTCAGAGCAATGTGGATCTAAAACAAACTATAAACATATCTCAGAAGTAGACACTTTCTCTAAGTGAAGCATAGCAGTAGCGTGTGACACTGGTCTGGATGTTTGCAGAAGGACTGTTATCCTAAGAATGCTCTAGTCTTCACACATCTCAACAACATCGTCTCAAGTTCAAAGTTGTTATTTTCTCTCTTTCAACTCAAAGTAGATAATATTTGAAATGAGGGAGAGTGAGAGAGAGAAATGAAGTGAGAAAAAGAAAGAAGGAGAGATCACCTTTAAGGCTTTTCTTTTCTCTTTCTTTCAAATGACACAATAGAATTTTTTTTTCCTAAAGTTGTATTAGGGATTCACTTAAGCAGAAATGAACTGTAATATGCAAATAGTTCTAATTGGACTGCTAATAGAGCGTGTCTCTGTTGTTTTTTTGTAGGGAGTTTTATGCCTATGTAATCAGTGCAGACAGCCGTTAAGTAAATGAAGAGGCAACTAACAATGTCAGAAAAGAGACCGGGCGGTTCCGGCTGACACTACCCTAATCTTCCAGGACCCATTAAATGGTAGTTTCAACGCATTACCTACCATAACATCCTTGAATATCACTGATTTTATTTGCAGTATCAAACATTCCATTTCATGCCCCATTAACAGTGGGAGCCTGGGCTTTTTGACGCAGCTAAACATTTTACTAACTACCTGGACTAAGTAACCAATTAACTTTTGGAGACAATACGGCCAATTAAGCGCGAAAAGGTAAGGCTGTCATCCCCCACGAAAATTGAATTTCCTTTTCCTGATGGCACTTATTGTCGCCGTTCAATTGTTAATGGAGATTCGGTCCCTATTGAAGTATGAAGGCAAAGTGGAATGGAAAAGTTCAGAGGACTTGGTTCCTAAAGAGTAGGTCACAAAGTGTCCCAACTGGCCACTAATTCAGTTAACTTTTCTTCATGCCAGATTACTTATTGGACGCGACTGGAACAGGGCTCTAATACGACATTCTGTGATAGTACATTGCACAATCTGGTAGCTTGCGAGGAACCCATAGGCCCAGGGCAGTAGTTTGGGACCTTGTATGGGAGGTTTAGGAACAACAACAACAAAAAAGTTATCCATTTTTAGTTTTGTTCTTGTTTTTTTGACAGCAGAAATATCAGTGTCCGACAAGATATTGCCCTGGTTTTCACTGGCTTGGACTCTTCAGAGAGAAAAACAAATCCATGTATAGAGAGGTGGGCTCCAAATTAACCCCCTGTGGTTTGGGAAGTTATTTTCTAAATGGCAGACAAGGTCTCGGGTGGTGATTCTGCTATGTGGATTTGACTCCAGTTGACTGGAATGGAGCACAAGTAATGAACTTGGATATCACATTTTTGAAAGCTTGAGGCAAATTTTATCCCTTTGGTAGAAGTCTTTCATCTTTGAAGGTACAGAAGAAAATTTGTCCCGGAGGGCATCTTCCACAGCCTTGTATAAGTGAGAAACATGAAGCTTATATAGAGTCAGAAACTAAACACTGAACTCAGATTTATCTATCTGTAAAAAAAAAAAAAAAAAAAAAAACCACATCAAACAGCTTTGTGAAAATGCAACTGTTCTAAATGGGAAGAGAAATCAAGAATTTTGAAAAATAGGTAAAGAATAGACTTCCAATGATGATCATTTGAATCTGACTTTAATACAAAAATGTTAATGCTTACATATTCAATGTTGTCAAATTATTCCTAGAGCAATACAATTGTTTAACATTTATTTAAAACCTGCTCACATACACTTAAAATCTGATTTGGGCCTGAAAACTCATAAGTAAAGCAGTGATCTAAGTTGTGCTTGAAATTATTAATTTCCTGTATTGTTTAATGGTAGAGGTATTTGATCCCCACAGAACAGCTGTGGAATTGCCATGGGAAAAAAATTCATGTATTCCATTGCTATGTTAGTATTCTTGGTTCATAACTTTTTTATGTTGTTTCTGCCAGATTCTGTGATGATGGAAAGCAGGAACAAAAAGAATTAATATTATATACTTTCAGGTTTAGATATTCTTTGAAGAATTTGATAAGGATTGTTACTTCCAAAGAAGATTTGAATAAGAAATAGATCTATATTAATATGGACCAATTAATAACATTGAAATTTCCTTTTGAAATTTTCCTTGGATTTTAATATCTTTTCTCAAGAGACACAATTTTCTTTATAGAAGTGATTGCTGTGGGCTATTTATTTTAGCCATTTTCCCATGGCAGTGGATGATTTAAAAATGATTACAATAGTTTGAACTTCCTGTTATTGAAGATAGAGGAGTAAAGCCAGATCTCAAATGCTTCCCACTCCCACCCCCTGACATCCCTACAAGAGAATAATGAAAACAAACAAGCAATAACAAAACTACATCAGCAGTACTCAAACTGTGGAAAGGGCTGGTGGCCAGAAGCTTCCAATCATCCACATCACCAAGCAAAGATGGCAGGAGATATTGTAGGAAGCGCCGAGCCAGGAGATGCTGCAAAGCCTTAGGGTCAGCTGAGGTGGGCAGAGAGGCGTGTAGTGTAGACAGACCCACATGCAGTTCCTCCCAGCCTTTTGCACAATCAGGGGAGAAGCCAAAAGTCTTTTGCCACTTGAGTTAATAGAAGTGAAAATGAAGAGGAAAGTAAACAATCAATGCTATCGATGGTACAAAGTTTCCAGGGGCCCACACTATACCTCCTACTAGAGTCAAGTAGGTTCCTGAGAAGCCAATCTTGACATTAGACATTTAACAAGAGGAAAGGGCAGATACTAGTTTCAGTCACTGAGGTTGCATCAAATCCTCAGGCTACAGAAAATTCATTTCTCAAGTGTGGCTCCTAGAAGGGGACATAGGAGGGGAGAAAGGAAAGTAACTGATTACATGGAAAAACAAAACAAAACAAAAATCCAGATCAATCAGTCAATCTATAAACAGTTTAGAAAACAAATCATGGGTTGTTTTAATCATCAGGGGTGAGTAGATCTTCCTAATAAACACAAAATTCACATACTAGAAAATGTTAGATATATGTGACTAAAAATATTCTGGATAACAAGTACACACTGTAATGTTTAGAAGTCTAAGGAGAGTCAATCCAGGGAAAAAATAATTCATCTTTTCACAAAGGTCTATTATTTTAACTAATAAAAGCTCAAACAAATCAATAAAAAAGATAGAAAACTAGCAACTTACAAAGAAGTAGATACAAATGGCCAATAAATCTATTTAGATTCTCAGTTTTACTCAGAATTTTTTAAATTGCAAATTAAAATAACAGCAGGTTACCATTTTTTATCTCTCTGATGAAACGAATGCTAAGGTTGGTTTCTCCCCAGTGCTGAAGTGGGTGGAGCCAGGCTGCCACTTCCTATAAACTTTCTGGGTAGCAATTTACTGATGCATCCCCATATTTAAAAAGAGTACTTTACTAGGAGTGCTGTAAGTTACACAAACAGAAACACACAGCTATGCATATATATACATATACATATATTTAACTTTCATATATAATTTATATATGTGTTATATATATTATATTCATATCAACTTTATATATATAAGACACACATAAATTATATATATATATATATTTTACAAAAGCATTAAACATAATTTTGGCAATAACCAAAGTATCTGTCGATAAAGGGGTGTTATAATAAAGTCCACTGAATAGAAAGATTGCTAGATACATTAAATAAAAAAATAAAGTGCACAATGATGTGCTTTTCTGAAAAGAAAGTTTGCTAGATATGTTAAATTAAAAAAAATCAAGTGCAACAGGATTGTTTTCTGATGTGTATGTAATATTTTTCATTATGTATATATTTAGATATATACACACATTTTTTCATATATACACAAATTTTTCATATATATTTATTTCCACTATTATAAATAATATAAACAAATATATCTATATCTCCATGTGTTTTGCATAATCTAATACATTCATGAATGTTTAGGGCCTCTGGAATAAATCATAAGAAATTATGTATGCTAGTTGCATTTAGAGTTTGGTGGGGGTTGTTATAAAAAAAGGATGTTACTTTTTACTTTGGATATTCTGAGTTTTTAAGTTATGCATATGTATTATTTTATACTATAAATTAATATCCACATTGTTAATAAGAGGACTCAGTTTCTGGGCACATTTTGCTTATTTGACTGTTTTCCTCTTGATATTTTTCACTAGAAACAAGCAAAATTACTTTTAAAATGTTTTTTTCTTGCTCCCTATGTGATTGTAGAAAATTTGGAAAACAGGCTTTTCCTATCCGGATGAACAGAGATAATTTGTGTCGATGGATGTTCTGTGAAGGCCTATTGTGTCGAGCAGCGTATTAAAACATAAACATGGCTCTTCCCCCAAGAAACTTACATTTCAGTAAGGGGTATGTATATTCCAGTGAAGTGTACAAACAATAATAAAAGGTGTGTTTAATGATCCTTTAAGGGCACTTAAGAGATTTCTATGACAAGATATAAATGAAATGCCTCATTGTGTTTGGACTTGAATTAATATTTAGCTTCTTGAAATAATATTTTCTGACTAATAAACTAATATAGGGCTCATTTACTAAACTTAGAAAAAATGCAGACAAGTCAAAAAATTCCCAGTTTGAACAGTTTTATATCTTGCTTTTGCAGTGAACATTTAAAAAAGGAAATTAGGTAAATAGCATTCAATGAAGGCTCAGAACTAATATGACTACTACAATTATATCATTTTTGAGACATTGTGTCATGAGCATTTCTTTATGGCAATACATTATCTTTGAAAGCATAACACATATGATTCAGTGATGCAATATAACTTATTTGAACAGTTCATGCTTGTTGGGCAATCATTTTGAACTTTATTTTTTCTCATACATATTTTTAGCTGTGACTTGTATAGGCTCTTTAATGACACCTTATGTATATATTGCCATCCTAATGAAGCTGTACCTTTTCTGAGAAGGGAAATTATGAGATGGTGGTGGCCATATGGTGGAACTGAAAGAGGCAATTCAATCACAGGCCCCCAGTTACAGTCCATACACTACCTTTGGCTTCCCAAAGAAACCTCCTCCACTTGGGACATTCTGAATCTCTTGAGTATACATTCAGGTAGGAAAAGCTGCATTATAAAAATAATGGAAGAACATGCTTTGAAACCTGAATGCATTAAATCATTAGTTGGATTTTTGTTTGTTTGTTTGTTTGTCTTAAGGCAGTTTGGACTGGCAACCATGCGCAAAGAGGAGAAGAGATACGAGTTTGCAGGGCCATTCCAGAAATGAGTAGTTATATAGGCATACAGTGGCATGGGCTTGAAGTGAAGTGAACACCGTAGGCATAAAAAGACAGTGAGAGCTGTGAGTAGATCTTCCTAATAAACACAAAATTCACATACTAGAAAATGTTAGATATATGTGACTAAAAATATTCTGGATAACAAGTACACACTGTAATGTTTAGAAGTCTAAGGAGAGTCAATCCAGGGAAAAAATAATTCATCTTTTCACAAAGTTCTATTATTTTAACTAATAAAAGCTCAAACAAATCAATAAAAAAGAAAACTAGCAATTTACAAAGAAGTAGATACAAATGGCCAATAAATATATTTAGATTCTCAGTTTTACTCAGAATTTTTTAAATTGCAAATTAAAATAACAGGAGGTGGGATCTGTGATTGGCTGGATTGGTCCTAAAGCACAGGGCATGAAGGAAAAGAACTAATGGGACTCCTAAGTGTTAGTGCTGCAAGATGATCTTAACAAATAGGGATAAATGAGAAGGGTAAGAGAAGTTAAGAAAGCATTTAATGACAAATGTGAAGTCACCAATTATTCAGATAAGTTGAGTTACAATTTGGTGTAAGAGGCAGGTGAGTCTCTTAAACATTTTCAGCATCCAAGGAAAATAAATATGACCATTGCAATTGAAGAAACTAGAGGGAGCCCAGGTCTGGCACCCCAGATGCCTGGCAGCAGACTTCTAATCTCCGTCCAGAGAAAGATGACTGGGCTTACCACAAGTCAATACCTGTGGACAAAGATAGAAAAGAGTCTATATGAATGAAGAGAGCTGTGAATGTACTGAAAATTGAGTGAGTCAAGGTCTTTACAGTGAAGTATAGATTACAAGATCCCTCAAAGTTCTAAATATGGGGTTAAGGTTATAGAACCATAGAAAAATGGGGGACTTGGAAGGGGAGGTTTAGACATTTTTCTGGTATGAGATTGAATTCGTTCAAACTCACTTAGATTGTAATAATGAGGTTCATTTAAGACCTAGGACTTGCTGAAATAATATGGTTAAAGCCATGAGACATTAAGATTGTACTTGCCATAACAGAACCCGTTTGGGTTATTATTAATCTAATCTCATAAGTGCACATAATACCTAAGCAAGCAAACCAAAGCTTTGAATTCAGTTTACACTAATAGTAAGAATATCTCATGGGCTTTTCACCAGGATTCTCTGTACCATTAAGCAATTACTAGTGGCTAGAACACTACTAGCCCACATGTCGCTATTTCTGGTTAGGGGATTTTCTTGCCTGCCTGACTAAATCTTCCAATTAAGTGCACTGGTAGTACATTCATTTCAGTTCTTCACTTACAATGCACAGTGGAAAGTATTGTTACTTCAAGTAAACAGCTTTAGGAGCTGTTGAACCACACACATCATTGCTGGTTTTTAGTCTTCCCGCCAGTGGTAGGATATCATTGTGTAACAAGCAAAGGTGAGGCCTGGAGACAAAGACAGTCTTTTTTATTGATATAGCAACATCTTTGTCAACAAAGTTACTATATCCAATGACATTTTCTTTTTTTTTTCTGCGTCTGTTAGTTTCAACTACAGAGTTATATTTAAATTTGCTCTGTTTAAAGTTTGGAATTTAAAGCCCAAGGAAGGTCAAAGTAGCATAAAGTCTCTCCTACAGTGTTCATCAGAAATCAATTAAAATTTATTTTATTTTTTAAATAAATTATTATAATTAACATTTATGACAGTTCTAAATAAAATCACATGGTAATAATAATTTATTATATTATGTATATGGATTTTTTAAAAAACAAGATAGATTCATGCCTAAAAATTAATACATTTAGGGTGGAACCAAGTCTGGAATCAGTTTTAATTATTTACAGTAAAGTTTTTTTCATGATGATATATAAGATCAATGTACAACCTTTTTGTAAATCTTATAAACCAGGAGAGAATGACTATCTCTGAAACACAGTGCAGTGATTAAGCATGGAGGCTATTAAAATAATAATTTCTGAATTCATACCATAATTCTAGCTTCAACTAGCTTTGATTAAATTTACTTATCTTGTCAATGCCTCAGATTTAGCTGTTAAAAAAAAAGCAATAATAGTACTTACCACACACAGTTATTGTGAGAATTAAATGAAATCCTGAATTATAGAACATACCATATTAGTTTAATCATTTATAACCAAGTGCATGTTTTTGAACCCTAGGGACTATAGTAATGGTACAAGATAATGAACACATAAATATTCCAGAGGATTTAGATAAAATCATAGATAATGGTAGCTCCTCCTCTTTTTTTTTTTTAACTGGAGTCAAGGATATATGGGCTATATTTATAGATTTTCATGATATAATCACAGAACTTACTAGAGTCCCTGAGAAAGTTCCTCATGATGGTACAACCTGAAGTGGACAATGAATTTGAAGCCTGATTGATAAGACAAAAGTACCTCAGTTACTGTAGAAAGATTTACTAATCAAAATGTGAATTGGATGGGTACATAATCCATTTATAAGTGAAAACATCCTCCTGGTCCCCACCTCTGTACAACTCGTAGAATGTTAGATGTCTTCAAAACTCTCTTATAAATGGATGGTAATATTTTTCTCTGTCTGATGTTTAACTTGATAATTTAAGAATAGTAGGAGTGTCAGAGTCAAATTTGTGGTATTTTCAGCTTTTTGATAATGTAAGTGCTATCCTACTTGTAAAATATCAAATACAGGCCAGGTGCAGTGGCTCACACCTGTAATCCCAACACTTTGGGAGGCCAAGGTGGGCAGATCACAAGGTCAGGAGTTTGAGACCAGCCTAACCAACATGGTGAAACAGCCTCTCTACTAAAATATACAAAAATTTGCCAGGTGTGGTGGCATGTGTCTGTAATCCCAGCTACTCAGGAGGCTGAGGCAGGAGAATTGCTTGAACTCAGGAGGCAGAGGTTGCAGTGAGCCAAGGTCGTGCCACTGCACTCCAGCCTGGGCAACAGAGCAAGATTCCATCTCAAAAAAAATATATATATATAAATATAATACTAATTTTTCATTGTTGCACACACAAATCCTCCAGAATTCCATATTAGACTCCCCCTTTCTCTATTACTTTAGGCATGCATAAGGTCCCAGGGTCTCACTGGGGTGGGGCAGGCACAGGTAGAAAAACTAAGGAACAAAAATTCTTGAGCAGCCTGACAATTTTTTAGAGTTAGCTAACTATTCCGACACACCAAACTAATGCAATTAACTCAAACTTTTGCTCTTTCTTTTCCTAGGGAGACATTAGTATTACACAGTGCAATTGGAGGCTTTCCTTCCGTTCTGCAACTTTTTTTTTCTTCGTTTAATCTTTAACTTTAAAAAAGAAACACCAAATTTTTTTTAGTCTTGCTCTTCGAAGCCAAGAGTGATGTTCAGTGGTAAAAGTTGTGGGGGCTTAATAAGAGAAACACTATCTCCCATTATGAAATTTTATAACTGTTTCTTTGTACTTATTTCCCAAACTAAAAGCCTTACTCTTTCACTTAGAGCCTGGCCAAAATGGAAAACTGCAAGGTTCAAATCCTGGAGTGCAGAAGAAGCATTAGGCATTGACCCTGTGGCTTCCTAATAGATCCGCAAAGTGCTTTGTTCCTGGAAATCATCCGATGAGTAGTTCAGTGCTATTGTATATCTTGTTAGAGCAGCCGAAGTGCCACAAAATGAACTAAAATCTCCCTGCAGAGTTGCTGTATCATATGCTGAGAACATTCGGAACTTTCAACAAATTCATGTTACGATCCTGGGTAGCCATGGTTAAATCTGTACAGGGGTTAAATGAGAAATATGAGCCTGCTGTTAAGTGTCTTCTGAGAGTGACAAAGCTCTGGCCATAAGGGATGGGAGAGGAGGGATTTCTTCTCAGCCTTCCAGCCCTTTCCAGCTGTATCACAGACAGGAGACATAATGCAAAGGGGCTCAGACATTGACTTCCTGGATCTTTGCGGCCCCAGGCATTGACCCCCTCTACCTGGCTTTTCCTACGCTGTAAAATGAGGATCCTCCTATATTATGGAGTTTATTGTGACAACTAAATAGCTGAGAAGAAGGACATCTCATTTGTTTTAACTATGCAGTTTCCTGTCTATCTATCTATCTATCCCATCAATCTATCAATCAATCTATCAATCTGTCTATCCCTATCTATCTATCCATCTATCTATCTATATCTGTCTATATCTATCTAACATTTATCTATCATCTATTCATCTATCAGCTATCTTCTGTCTATCAATATTTCAATCAATCTCTCTATCCCTATCAATTAATCTATCTACCTACCTATCAACTATCCATCTATCTCTATCATCTATCATCTATTCATCTATCATTTATCATCTGTCAATCCATCTTCCTACTATCTATCAAAAGCAACACATTTTCTTCCTGACTTTAAAAATATTTAAGTGGGCCGGGAGGATGGCTCACGCCTGTAATCCCAGCACTTTGGGAGGCCTAGGCGGGCGGATCACGAGGTCAGGAGATGGAGACCATCCTGGCTAACATGGTGAAACCCCGTCTCTACTAAAAATACAAAAAAAAAAAAAAATTAACCAGGCGTGGTGGAGGGCGCCTGTAGTCCCAGCTACTCGGGAGACTGAGGCAGGAGAATGGGGAGAACCCGGGAGGCGGAGCTTGCAGTGAGCCGAGATCATGCCACTGCACTCCAGCCTGGGCGACAGAGCAAGACTCCATCTCAAAAGAAACAAAAACAAAAACGTAAGTGATACTCTGTCCACTCTTTTGATTGAGGAGGTCTGATTTTCAGGCTTTGGATTTTATTATGTCTTCAATATAATAATTGTTCCATGTATCTCTCCTAAATTGCCATTTGAAAAACTGCTTTTCTGAAGTTTAAAGTGCACATTTTGATACATCTTGACACATATATACACCCATGAAATCATCACCACAATCAGGATAGTAGATCTATCCATTACCGCCAAGGTTTACTTGCACTCCTTTGAACTTTCTCCCCACTCCTCACCCCCTGCCTATCCCCAATCCTTAAGCAATCACTGATTTGCTTTCTGTCACTATCAGTTAATTTGAATTTTTCAGAAATGTATATAAATAAAATCATTCGACGTGTATGCTCTTTTTCTGTTCACCCGGTACAATTTGAGATTTAGCCATGTTTTTGCATGTGTCAATAGTTTATTTTTTTGTTGCTCAGTACTAATCCATTTTATGGATACAGAGAAATGTATTAATGCAATCCCATATTAATAGGCATTTGGGTTGTTTCCAGGTTTGGGCTGTTACAAATAAAGCTGCTATGAACATTTTTGTGCAAGTCTTTTTATGAGTATATTCCTTTATTTCTTTTGGGTAAATACCTAGAAGTGGGATGGGTGTATCACATGGTACGTAAATATTTAAATTTTTAAGAGAATGCCAAACTGTTTTTCAAAGTAATTGCACCATTTTATATTCCCACCAGGAATATATGAGAATTCCAGTTCCTCTACATACTCACAGACATATTGTATGGTCAGTTTCCCCACCTTCTCCCTGTCTCACCTCATTTCAGACATTTGAATAGGTATTAAATGGTATTTTATTGTGATTTAAATGTCATTTCCCTAATGACTAATCAAATATACTTATCCGTTTATTTGCTATCTGTATACTTTTTTGAAGTATTTGTTAAACTCTTTTGCACATTTTTAATGAGTTACATTCTTATGAAGATTGAAAACCCTTCATACAGTCTAGATGCAAGTCCTTTGTTTTGCCAGTATTCTTTTTCCAATCTGAGAAAGGGAGAGAGAAAGAGAGAGAAATCTTTGTGGCCTTGAAGATTTCTAAGGAATAATAAAAAAAAAATCATGATCTTTAAATGAAAAAAAATTTTAACTTAAAACATGTGTTCTTCAAAATACACTGGCTACAGATCTGTCCTCTCCTCTCCTCTCCTTCTTCTCCTCTCCTCTGCCTCTTCCCCCTCCTCCTCCCCTCTCCTCTCTTTTCTAATGCCTCCTGGCATCTCTGGCCTACTTAGGAACATTACTTGCCCCAGAGTTTCTGATACAAAAAATTTCCCCTCTTGACCTCATGCAGTATTCCATTAAAACAACAGTTGCTGCCTACTTATTGGGCTTTCCTGAAAACAGAGGCTCTCACAGTCTCCAAGCCTGTGACTGTATTCCAAGTTTCCCACCATGCTTTTAGTCATGAAAACTGCACTCCACAAGCTCAGCACAGCTACAGTCTTCCCTAAGACAGGATGGAGCCAAACTCAGGACCCCTGGCATATTCTGCCTGCAGGAATGGGTAGCTTTGTCTATCCTCAGACTTGTGGTACATGCCAGAGTGTCCAGGTCACCGCTCTTACAGAGCCCTTGGCTACCTGGAAGCCCTTGGGATTCCCCAAGTGAACAGTAATGGGAGTTCGTAGACTGTGTGGATGGCACTGCTGACCATCCTACATGGTAGAGCTCAGTGACACGTTGCTGTTTTTCATCCCTTAGCCAGGATATCCCTGGTAAAGGACAGGGCCCAAGGAACAGACTTGGCCAAGCTTCAGGCAGTCATCTTAGCCCTGGATGCCCTGGCCAACAAATGATCTCATCTTCACATTGATTAGAAACTATTGGGCCATTATGTAGAAATAGTCCCATTCAGGTAAAAAATCTGGAAATTTCTTGCCTCACGGATACCCAAAATATAACTCAAAAGCATGTCTGCGTATATACTATGGTCATAGTAAAAGTTCTTATCAGCACACTTTATCCTTTTTGGAGTTAAAAACATTACTCATAATAAACAAGACACATTTTATTTTTCAAAATACTTAAGCTGGGTTCTTGGAGGAAGCATTCAATAGAACTTTCATGTCCCTAATATTTCCCACACAGCCCATTTATCTGAGAGATATCATGGTCTCCTCACAACCTCCTTTTCAAATTACTGTCTGATAGATCAATTACCAAATGAACCTCTATGCTGCCCCAAGCCTTAACTTGGCTTTGTAAGTGTTCACTCTTACCACCATCCCATAAGGGCTAGAGGCCACATTGAGGTACATGCTGTCTTGGGACCCATTAATTATAGATTGTCCCATAGGCCAGATAGCCACTCATCTGATATGAGACCAATTTCAAATTAAACTTCCACCAATAAACAAAAACCAAAGCCATATGAAGTGCAGCTGCACCCCATTCTGTTGACTGTTTGTCTTATTACAACTGTTCTGAGTGCCTTAATTTGTTTACAACTGGGAGGCCCAAATCCTCCAAATAAGCCATTGTTTCAACCAAGCACAGAAAATGCTGAGACTCACCTCAACCTGAGTGGGTATCCACTTGAGAAAGGGTATCTCAAGCTCTACATTCCAGATGGCGTCACCCTGATCCAGAAGCTCACTGCTAGAGATGCCGTAATGTCAGATTACACGGCCCCAACCAACAACCCTACCAATGGAGATGGCTTCACTTCCTGCACCAGAGATGACTTCACCTCAACGGTAAAATCTCCACCTCTGTGATACCAGTCAACTGCCTCTTGAAAGGCACCAACTGGACATAGGAGAGTTCTGCTTTTCTTCCTTTAACTTAGACATTCTATTATGTTTCTGAACTTGCTGTCTGCTCAGTCTATGATCCTGGCATACTGCTTGCTCTCTGCCAAGCATACACACTACACTCCCATGCCTAAAGAGAAATCTGGTAGAGGTTACTACTATCTGTGCCATTCTAAAAAATAACATAGATTATTGCTTTCCCCAGAAGTTACTTGCCTTATATCAGTCAATTTCTTGACCCTTAAGGAGAGGAGTAGTGCCTTCTCCGACTACACTCCTCCATTGTGAACTCCCGCCTTGCGTCGCCAGCCATTTACCATTCATTCCCTTGGATTGCACACAAATGTCGCTAATCTTTATTAAATTAGGAGTTCATACCCTCCAACAACATAACTGATGGGCCTGTCACCTTGATCTTAGCATATTTCTAACACGTTTTACAGCTCCATCAAAATATTTTTAGAGACTCCCCAAAATTTCAGCTCTATTTTCCTGGATAATGCTGTAAAAATGGGAAACTTAGCTATGGGCTGAACGACAAGGACTCTTTGTACTTCTACTTGTATTCCTTTAATCTGTTGTCAGAATTTCAGAGGACCAACTGTATTATTCATGTTTTTTATTTTCTATATTTTATGTTGTTTTGACATCCTCAGGGGTCCTTGCTGGCTGGGGAGAGAATGTACCACCCAGGGCTAGCAGATTCCTAGAGAAGGGAAACAACCTGTCAGTGAGCCTGCCTTTTATATACAAACTACAGAATCCAGAATCAATACCACAGTCACCTTCTTCCTCTAACTCTCGCACATCAGGCCAATAGTTCTCCTACCCTATATCAACCCAGGGTCAGGTACCAGACAACCTGGGGCAACCCGTAGTTCCCAAAGCCTACTAGAATTATTCAAGCTGGCCAATCTTAAACTGTTTACTCTGCCATGCCCTGCCTTTCCTGCAGAATATACCGTAAGACTGTGGCCTATGGCTTTTCTGCCTCCTGACAAACACTAGTGCTTACCCCTGTGAGTTAATTCTGGAGTGTTTCTATTGCTATATCTTAAAATCCATTAATTGTTTTCTCTACGATATCTATTCTGCTGTCAATCCCACTGCTATGGGCTGAATATTTTTCTTTCCCCTCAAAATTGTATGTTGAAACCATAACCTTTAATGTGTTCTTTCTAATCCAATAAGATGGTATTTAAAGGTAGGGCCTTTGGGAGGTAATTAGGTTTCAAGTCACAAAGGTAGAGTCCTCAGGATGGGATTAGTGGCCTTATAAGAAAAGACCAGAGGGTTAGCTCCTTCTCTCTTCCATGTGAGGATACAGCAAGATGATAGATGTCTGCAAACCAGGGAGATCCTTCACTAGATACCAAATCTTTTGGCTTCTCAGTCTCTAGATTCTCAGTCTCTAGAACTGTGAGAAACAAATGTTTGTTGTTTAAGTCTCCCAGTCTATGGTAATTTGTTATAGTAGACTGCACTGACTAATATACCCACCCAGTGTATATTTTATCTTAGACATTGTAAAATTGTTCCTTAGAATTTAGATTTGATTCATTTTTATATCTCCATGTTTCTACTTACCATCTGAACATATGGAATACAGTATAATTGTTTTAATGTCTATGTCTGCCAATTCTAAAATCTGTGTTAGTTTTTGGCTGGTTTTAATTGATTGCTTTTTCTCATGATGATAGTTTATGTTTTTCTGCTTCTTTGCATTCCTGGTAATTTTTGATTAGATGCCAGACATTGTGAATTTTACCTTGTTGGGTGTTGAGTCATTTTGTGTCACTATAAATATTCTTGAGCTCCATTTTGGGATGCAGTTAAGTTACTCAGAAATAGTTTTTTTTGTTTTGTGTGTGTGTGTGTGTGTGTGTGTGTGTGTGTGGGTGTCTTGCTTTTAATATTAGTCAGGCAAGGCTAGAGCAGTGTCTAGAGCCAATTATCCCCCACTAATGCCCCCTTTAAATACTCTATTCAACAATTTCTTTTTTTTTTTTTTTTTGAGACGGAGTCTCGCTCTGTCACCCAGGCTGGAGTGCAGTGGCTTGATCTCAGCTCACTGCAAGCTCCGCCTCCTGGGTTCACACCATTCTCCTGCCTCAGCCTCCTGAGTAGCTGGGACTACAGGCGCCTGCCACCATGCCTGGCTAATTTTTTGTATTTTTAGTAGAGATGGGGTTTCATTGTGTTAGCCAGGATGGTCTCGATCTCCTGACCTCATGATCCGTCCTCCTGGGCCTCCCAAAGTGCTGGGATTACAGGTGTGAGCTACCACGTCTGGCCAACAATTTCTAAATTATGAAATTTTCCAACCTGGCAATAAGGGACAGACACTCTTCTCAATCCTATTCAAACACCGGGTACTGTTTCTTCTGGTCCTTTTTGGTAGTTCCTGTCCTGGATTTGAGTGGCTTCCTCACACACATGCACTGAAGAAGAGTCCTCTGTAGATCTCTGGCATTCCCTCTTGCTTCAGCTCTCTACGGCTCTTGCCAAATTACTCTCTCTGGACGTTCATCTCTGTCTCAGCTCAGGAAGTTGGCCATGGTCGGCCTGGCTTATGCCCACTGTGCCACAGCCAAGAAATTCTCTCAAGAAAGTAAAGTGAGGCAGTCACAGGACTTACCCTCTTTGTTGCTTGTCTCTTACTAATTACGGTGCTTCATTGTCTCACATCCGATAGCGTAAAAAACATTGTTTTTGCTTATTTTATCTAATTTTTCTGAATTTCTTTTCCAAGCAAGAAGGTAAATCTGTTTCCTGTTACTCTCTCTTACCTTCCTTCTAACATAACTCATAACAATATTTCTATTTAAATATTATTACCCAATTTATTTTCTTTCCTTGGCTTTAATTATGTCATAACCTTCTTTTATAAAATCCCATCAAATACAATAGTCTGTCTTTAATTTCCATGTGTTTGAACCGATTTACTTTTTTCTCCTCCATTTGTCTCTTTAACTTATAGAATAAAATTATTTTTTAATAATTTTAATTTATTTTTAATACATTTATTTAAATTTAAATTTTATTTAATTTAAAATTATTTTTTACTTGTCTAACTCTAATTCTCCACTTTTCTTATTACTTACCCAACTGGCAAGTTAATACATCAGTTAAGGCAATCCCCTTCTCCTTTATTCCCTGTGTGTATACACAAACTAAGATAAATATGTTTGTACTCAATTCGAAGTTAGGTGATCAGCCATCAATACTACTGATTCTACTCTGTACATTACATTAGTCCAGAGGATGGCTAGCATATAGATACCATTTTCTAGGAACTTAGAATCAAACAAGGAGCTTAGAATCAAACATAATAGCTATGATAAAATATAATTTTTTTGTCACTACTATAGTAACTACTTAGATGCATGAAGTGGGAAAGTTACTTTTAAAGTGGAAAATTGCTGGAATTAAAGGAGATAAGAAGAGTACCTAGTAGATTAATCAAATAAATAATGGCACATCCATAAAGGGGGATATTTCTGAGATTAAAAATGATATTACAGAAAAAAATTTCATGACATGGAGAAGTATTCATGATGTGTGAAGCAAAAATTCAATCGAATTGTTTATATGATGTAATTAATATGTAGTGATATGCCACTAGCACAAGAAATTCTGAAAGAAATGCCACATGTTCAATGTTAATGTTGGCTGATGTTTAACTCTCGATAGCGAATTCACAGATTGCATTTCCTTTATTCTCATGTGTTTTCTCAATTTTAAGAAATGTGAGAAAATTATTTTTTATTTTGTAATTAAAAATATTTTTAAGTTAAAATTGCCTAGCACAGAATCTGCCACTAAGTAAGCATCATTTAATTTTGGTCATTTTCATCTCTTTTATATCTCTTTCCTTCTACTCTATATATTGTTGCTTTATTACATGATGCCTTTATTTTTAAGTGTTTCTTATGTATACATCTTAAGTAACTAGCAAGATTATAAACTACTGGAGGACAGGGTCATAGTATTCTTACTATTCTTGATTTTAATTAGTGTAGTACTGAACTTCACAAAGAGATTAAATATATCTACACACACACACTATATCTATCTCTATATCTATCTATCTATCTATCTATATGTATATGTGTATCTATATCTATATCTATATATATGTAGAGAGAGAGAGAGAGAGAGAGAGAGAGAGAGAGAGAAATTATTTGGAGAACTTTTTCTTATTTTGTCCTTAAATTATTTTACATTAGGTATTAAGAAAAATCCAACAAGAAACAGGATTTTCTTCCATATTCTGTAAGCTTTGTAGAGATGGAAAAATTTCTACTGATTCCTTTTCTAAACTTTTCGGAAACTTGCCACATTTCAGAAACTTGCAAGAACCTCCCAAATGGGAGTGAATTACTTTTGCTTCTATGTGAATATTTTTTTACTTATAATATTAGTTATAAATACTTATTTTTCCTTACTTTTCTATACGAGTCATTAGACTTAGGTGTGAAGTCATCCTAGGGACAAGGCTTTTAAAAATCTATTGACAAGATTCCACTTCCGCCTGCCCTAATCCAGATGAAGGAAGTGAGAACACAGGAGGAACTTGCCACTTCATGAGACAATTTCATTCTGCAGCCTAAACTCGTTACTAACGTCTGTAACCCTTAATTAATTAAAATGACTCCAGCCGTGGGATTCTGTGGTGAAGAGGTTCCTCATAGTTACATGTATTCAACCTGAAATTCAGTTAAATCTGAAAGATGCTTAAACACACATCAATGAATAAAAAATGAAAACCTTGTTGAATTCACTCAGTCATTGGCCCCTTTGTCTCCTGTATCTCGTTTCTTCCTTTGGGATTTGACAATTTTCTCTCCTAAATAAAACTTTAAAAATACATTTGTTAAGTACATTTAAAGAAGGTGTCAAATGTTGATGAATTTTTGTCCTAAGATAATTCTTTTTTTTTTTTTTTGAGACGGAGTCTTGCTCTGTCACCAGGCTGGAGGGCAGTGGCGTGATCTCGGCTCACTGTAACCTCCGCCTCCCAGGTTCAAGCAATCCCCCTGCCTCAGCCTCCTGAGTAGCTGGTACTACAGGCACCCACCACCACACCCAGCTAATTTTTGTACTTTTCGTAGAGACAGGGTTTCACCATGTTGACCAGGATCGTCTCAATCTCTTGACCTTGTGATCTGCCCACCTCGATCTCCCAAAGTGCTGGTATTACAGGCATGAGCCACCACTCCCGGCTGAGATAATTTTTCAGTTAAAAAATTCTAAAGTGCCCTTCCAGTTTATTTCATCAAAATGACATCATTTAGAACAATATCACGCTAGTCTGATAAATGTGGCTATTGAGAGGAGCAACCATATCACTGATACGAGATTCTTGCTTAAGTAGTGCAGTTCACTAAAGAATAAACCCATTTGTATCTAGCTCCTGATGATCTAGATCATCAGCACCTCTAGAACTTAGACAAGATCTAGTGCAACAAAAGTTAACGAGGTAGCTTTAGCCTTTGAAATCTACCACAGCATCTGAAAAGAAGTGACTAGTATTTAAAGATGGAGGCAATACCACAGTAGTATTTTGATATATCTTTGGTAAGTTCTCATCCATCGCCTCTTGAATTTTTATTCCCTCATCCATAGCTGTGGTTGAGGCACCTGTTAACTTATGCTAGTCTCCTGGCTTCCTTCTCCTTCAGGACTTCCACTGCTTTCCCCCTGATTAATCTTCCTAAAACTTCGCTCACTTCATCCTCAATAAACATTTAGTGCTTTGGGATAAAGTCTGGTGAATTTAACCATCATTTAAGGTTTTCTCTCATCTTTTTCAATCTTTAATTTATACCCAACACTTCTCATTCCAATCAATTTGATTAACTGTCTCCTCAAAAGACTTCACACAAATATTCCACAAGTGCCTAAAATCATCTAGAAACCATGCTGAGTCCTGGAATTGTATACTCTAGGTGGGAAAAATGTCCTCAACTTCAAGGAACTTAAAAAGTAAAGTAATGGAGAGGTAAATCAGCAGATTGTTTCAGCACAAGATGATAGGTTAGTTCTGTGACTGAGGTATATATGAAGCCTGCAGTTATAGATAGGACAAATAAGTAAGATTTGGCAGTGGCAGCACAAATAAAATCTCTGGTGAGATTTTGTCATTTTGCTCAATCAATGAAAGCAGTTATAACAAGTACATGAAGATGGATGTAAACCCTTAATAATGTAATGGGGAATGACAGTAATGGGGAAAAGAGCAGTGTAGACAAAACAAAGTTCTATATTCTTGAATTCAATAAGAAAAGTGACTTCTTACATTTTCCACTATGATCTCCAGTGAACATGCAAAATAGGTGAGGCTTAATGATCTTTTTCTTAACATGAAGAAATAGAGTAGTTGAGGTTTGACCAAGGCTACCCGGTTTTGTACACGTATAGCTAAATAGGCTTCACACTCAAATCTTCCTGCTACGAACGCATTATTTTTCCATCATACCAGTAGATGCAATTGGAGACACTTGATTGGACAGTGGCAGCTGTAGATTTCCAAGATTTAGTGGTTATACTTTTATTAACGTTTAGTTCAATCCACATTTGAGATGCAAAATAAAAGATATGCTGGATTTAAGTATTAAGATTTATATCATTGATTGAATATAGATAATTAGTATGATCTTGATTTGAGACATAGATTTGGTTGCCTAGAATGATAATCTGGATATAAACATTGATTGTATCACTGAGTTTTGGATCTTATCTATGTGTATACATCTACCTGTATGTATTTCATAATGCTCAGTGGACAGTACAGCTGTGTCCCATTTTATTCAGTCTCTACTATGCAGTTTTATTAGACAACTGAACAGAAGCTAAAGCCTTTAGTAGTGGCAGCTTTCCCCAAAGTCCTCCTGCACAAATGGAGTCAAAGCAAGGTACACGTTGCAGGCAGTGTTAGTACCATTCAGTGTCTGAGCTGCTCAGAAGGAGCGACACTGTGGAAGGGAACTGGCAACAAGATACCTGGAAAACCTGGAAGAGCAGCCAGATGCCTCTAAAAGTTCTGAGTGGGTTTTTTTTTTTAATTTCTCCTTTAATCCAAATAATCTTCATGGATTATACATAATAAAGTGAATAAATATAATGAAAAGAAGATGATCAATATATTTCACCCATCCATTCTGATACTAGCAACAATTGGAATGGTTTAAATAATTTTATTAAAATTATAAGTTAATATAACAGTGTTACAGAAACTTTAAGAGAAATCAAGAAAAATTGTTCATTATACAATTAACCTACCAACACACTTATTATTCATTTGTGTTTATTACCTCATATTTTCTTATCATAGGCATATGTATTTTATAATTGTAATCATACTGTATCGACAATTTCATATTATGCTTTTTTCACATTTAATTATATGAAAGTACTTTTACAAGATACTAAAGTGTTTTCATAATTACATATTTAAACAGCTGTATGGTGCTCAGTTAATTCTTTTCATTTTGCTAAGTTTAGGATTGTAGGCTATAGTTTTTGTTTTTATCACTTTTTTGGTTTTGAAAATCATAATGTCTTGTTTTACAGTTTCTATCCAAATTCATGGGTATTTCTTCAGGATAGACCCTCAGAAATGTATCTGCTTTGCCAAAGGGTATAAATATTCTACAAATGTTTTAAATATGTGCTGCCAAAATGATACCTAAAAAGAGTTGTTGGTTTATAATGTATACATATGTATGTGTTTATTTACTTATAGTACAGATGTTTTACAGCATAATCTCCTTCAAATTAAAATTCAAACCATTATTAAAAGCTAAATCACAATAAGTAGCAAAGATAGAGAAGAAAAGGAAAGAGTTATAGGTGCAAGAAGACACAATAAAACAAACAAAAAAAGATACAGTGAAAAGCAAGGAAATTATCAAAGATAATAGAATCACAGTAGTGATTCTATCAAAAGAACTCAAGGATTTGTCCTGAAGAGGCCAAAGACAATTTGCAAATTAATAAAAGAAGTACAAAGTGGTTGTTCTGTCCTTCCCTGGACCAAGATCTAATCCAGGACCACTCACGTATCCTTGTAACCTCTGATAATTTTGAAGAGTCCTAATCGATGGTTGCATGACTTATTTTTAAAATTTAAAAAATGTTGATTAAGAATTCTCTAGGGAATTTAGAATTTAGTGTACAAAAGTCACTTTAGAAATTTGAAAATGCAGGTCCAGGCAATAGCTCTTTGGTAAAACAAGAGTTTTTTATTGCTCTGAGATAAACATCATTGGTTGTCTATTTAGACTGCTCTGCCATTTAACCTAATCTGCATATGGCTTTATGATGTTGCATCTTATAATGAATAATTATGCCTAAATGCATGACATCAAAATGTCATCTCCTAAGGAACCCAAATTGCTCTGACCTTGTCCTAGTGGCATTGGAGACAGGGACAGTAGTCCTGGTGTTGAGATCGTTCCAGGTGTCCCACTCTGTGCTGTGCTGCTAGCCGAAACACCGGGATTCCAGAGTGATTCTGAGGACTATAGGACATGCAGCGCTGGCCTCTGATAATGTGTGTAAATTAGTATGTACCAGAATAAGCCAAGGGTCTTATGAAAACACAAATTGTTGGATCCCATGCCCAAGGATTCTGATTCAGTAGATCTGTGATGACCTAGAAAGCTTGCTGGGGAGAGTATAGATCCCTGAAGTGATGGTCCAGCCGTTTGTACTCACTTGTGCAAAGCCTTCCATGCAAGAATTGGCATTTCTAACAAGATCCCAGGAAATGCCAGTGCTGTGGTCTGGGGATCACAGTCTAAGAAACAACAATGGAGAGGAACAAACAGAGCCTCTAAATCAAATGAGCCTGAGCTCAAATCCTTATTCTGCCTCTTACAACTTACATAATTTGGCTTTCCAATTTCTGTGTGTGAAGAGGAGATCCTAGTACATACTTTGTTGAGAATATTATGAAGCGTCAATGGAATGAAGTTTCTAAATCTCATGGCTCTCTGAAAGCAACTGGTGCGTCTACCTGGCAGCCAACCTGGGGCTGTGGTGGGCATGGCCTGCTGAATTTGGTATGAAATCTGAATATTTGGCATGATCTCAGGTCATCATCTAAGTTCGATTCCTGTTTCCAAAACATAGCCCAGAAATAGTCCAGAAAAATTAACTCACTTATACCAAGCTACAGGGCCACCTCAGCTCATTCCAGGGCCTTATCTCCAGAAACTCAGCTAATATTTCTGTTTCTAGGGGCCTCTCGAGGGTCCTAGAATACTCCAATGATGCAGAGGCCTGAGCTGAAGCTCAAGGATCCCACATGGACACTGGCAGGGCCACTAATTGAGCAGAGGCGAACTGACATTTGACCCACGCATTACAATCAAAGATAAGCACTGGCCAAGTCTTTCCTTACCGTTTGATATTGAAACCAACTGCAATGAAACCGGTGTCTCTCCTACGTGCTTTCCGTGTCTTCCAGCTCGTCTTAGAGTTTTAGGTCCAATCGTGCCTTTCTATTTTTTTAAATGTTGTTGAATTATCCACTAAGCTCAAACAATAACATGTTTGCAATAACATAACATCCTTCTCCACTTTCAAAAACCTCCTCATACCCACCTGTTCTTCAAAGCACTTCCTCTTGCAGTAATCGCCTAACCCTCTGTGTATGACTGCCCTGCATCCGTCCCCATTGTTTTGGTCTGTGCAGTCCTATGTCTTTCATCCGGAAGTTCCCCATTGAGAGCTTTTGTTGTTTGGACACATTATAATACCTCTTACATAGCTTGGGGCACATTGCTTCTGTGGACAATAACAGTGATCTTAATAAGGACCAACAGTAAATAACAAACACAACAATAGATACAATATCATGTGACAACTCAGATCACAAAATTGGTCTTGCAACCAGAGTCCTTCGGGACTGGTCCAAACCACTTTGTGAGAAATGGCAGCGGTGGGCTGTCTGCAGGCTTTTAATCCGGCCTGCACCGGAGGTCTCCGACCTATCCGTGATGTGGCAGAAACGCTTGGCTCTGCCGAAGACAAATGCAAGGCCGCACTCTGTGTTAGGAAACGCTCTGGGCTCGGTGCTATAAATAATAATAAAGATAAATAATAAAAAAAGTGAAATGTTTTAAATGAAAGGTGATGCACTGTGAACTTAACACACTGACCCTCTAGCCTTTCTGTTAACAAGGTAATCTGATTGCCATCGATTTTTTTCACCTCTGTTACTAAGAAGGTGATGAAATGGTGTCTATACAGATGTATTGAATCAGATACTAAACAAAGAGCAACATAAAGAACAAGTATCAGCAACCTTGCTTTCAGCCTGCTGATTATGACATTACTGAAAAGACAAAGTCTGGGTGACTTAAAAAACAAAGCAGCAGGGAGGGGTGTGCAGGTAAAAAGAAAGAATGCAGGTAAGTTTCTTCCCAGTACTTTCATGTTCATTTCAGAAGAATTTCACAAGGAGCCTTTTATTTGCTCCATAGCTTTAAAAGGGGCCATTTGTACTTCTGCAGTTTACTGATAGGCATTCTAGTGTGATCTAATTAACTACTTTTATTATGCCATGGAGAAAATAGCATGGTGGAGATGAGTCACTAATGCACATGTTTTTGTGGTATAGACAGTGGCAGGGCATTGTGCAGAAAGACGTGTTTATTGGTCTACTGGGGCTTTCCAAGTAGCCCCCATGAGTGAGGTAAGACCTTAAATTATTCTGAAAGGAAGGCCACACTTCTGACCTGTCAAAGAACTTTCTAGATGGTTTGTGATGAATGATTAGGAAAGCCGTTTTGAAATGTATGATAAAGATGGAATTAACCTATGAATACTGACTTTGTGGACTGTGCCGGATTAATTTTCTAATCTCAAATATTTCCAGGTTTTATTGTTTATTTCCTTTTCATTAGCCCAGTTGCTAAAAGGCCATGGTAAAGATATGTATGCCTAAGCAATTTTCTTATCTTTGAGCCTGTGCTTTTGCCTAAATACGGACGCCTCAGTTGTCTTATGACCTTTGATGACACATGCTTCTATGGCAATATCTCATCATGGCATTTTCTCAAGGGCAGTGCTCCAACTCTTCTGCCTTGCCCCACATTGGCAGCCATTACTAATTGACTGTGAAAGGGGAAAACAAAATAGTGTGAAGAGATCTCTTTTTGGAAACTTCAGTGCAGTTTGGGGAAGGTAGTCAACTAGAGTGAAACAAGCTCGACAGTGTTATTCATATGATGTATCTGAAACAATGTAAGAAAACTTGTAAAGGAAACAACTAGTCACCACAATCGATGACTATAATTTCAACGTAAGCATCGAATGAATCAAAAACGAATCAGAATTAGGATTAATTCTGAGGTTTGCTAAGTATAAATTATTTATTCAAATTCAGAAGTGAGAAAATGGCAACACTGACATTTTTGACGAAACCTGTACTGTTTGAACAAATGTGATGAATGGTTAGGAAAGCTGTTTTGAAATGTATGATAAAGATGGAATTAGCCTTTCCATAGAACTTTGTTTCTTCCCCAAGACCTAGACACCTGCAGTTCCATCAAGGAGGTGATCATAAAGGAAGCTTAGTGTATTATGCACACCATAATACACCATTCTCTTCAGCCTCTGTCAGGTAAGAGTCTTGTACAAATCAAGCCTAACAATATGAAGAAATATAGAAAGAGGTATAAGACGTCAGAAGTCAATGAACAAGGGAGTGAGTGCCAATAATTATAGGGTTTCTTCGCAGGTGACAGAAATGTACTAAAACTGATTATTTTACAATTGTGTGAATATCTTAAAAACCATGGTGTTGTACACCTTAAGTGGGTAAATTATATGTCATGTAAGTTACATCTCAAATAAAAACATTATTTTAAAAAAGAAGAAATAAGGGGAAATTGGAGAAATTCTTAAAAATAGATATTCTCTAAAGTCAGGTTAGAAGCAAGAAAACCTTACATTTGACACACACATGAAAAAAATGACAAAAACACTGCCGTTACTCAAAATGAACACAAGTGCGCACATTACTGACTGAGGTCGAGGGAGGTGAAGTGGAGGAAGTTTTTTGGGAGACCAGTGGTTCTCAGTCTTAAGCATACCTCAGAATCACTGAAGGATTTGTAAAGGGAATTGCTATAACCTACTCTCAGAGTCTTGCATCTGTATTTGTAGCAACTTCTCAGGTGTGATCAAAGCTGATGGTAGTAGAACAATCTTTGCAGGATCTGCAAATTTTAAGGCTCTTGTCAGAGGAAATATCTTTGAGGTCCATTAATGTGATGCAAGTTGAAACTGTATAGGTTTGGTAAAAAATGTCAGTGTTGTCATTTTCTCACTTCTGAACTTGAATAAATAATTTATACTTAGCAAATCTCAGTGTACTCACCTGCAAAATGCAAGTAATGCTTTCCATGTAGATTAAATGAGATAACTTACATAAAGCCTGGCACTCTAATCCTAGTAAGTGCATAATACACTAAGCGTCCATTATGATCACCTCCTTGATGGAACTGCCGGTGTCTAGGTCTTGGGGAAGAAACAAAGTTCTGTGAAAAGAACCAATACTAGTGGATTGGTACACAATTCAGAAGATGATGACTCATTTCACAAGTATTAATAAAAATTATTTCCTTGGCCAGAGCTTTCCCTGGAAAACTGAGAGTGGCCACGGGAATCCAAAGGTCATGGATCCCCAGTAATTATTAGTAGGCTAAATATAGCTGGGGTTAATTGTTGTATTGTACTTAAAACTTATTACACTAATGACATTAGTGGTAACACATGTGCTTTTATTTCTCAAGGGACATTTTTAACCATCTTGATCACTTGAGCCCAGGAGTTTGAAACCAGCCTGGACAACATATGGAGACTCCATCTCTACAAATAATAATAATAATAATAATAATAATAATAATAATAATTAGCCTGGTGTGGTGTTGCACACCCGTGGTCACAGCTACTCAGGAGGCTGAGATGGGAGGATCACTTGAGCCTAGAGGTCAAGACTGCAGTGAGCTGTGATTGTGCCACTGCACTCCAGCCTGAATGACAGATCAAGACCCTGTCTCAAAAAAAAAAAAAAAAGAGGAAGAAGAAGAATGTTTAAGCCAATTATACCACGAGTGAAATGGAGAAGACAAGATGTAAAATGTATTTGGAATAAGATCACAACTATCAAGAAAGATGGAATAGGCTTGGATTCCTGCCCCTATCACTAACCAGGAGTGTGACTTAGAACCAATGGTTCACAACTGGGGCTTGATTTTGCTGCACAGGGGACAGTTGAAAATGTCTAAAGACATTCTTGATGGTCACAACTAAGGTGGGAGTGCCACTGGCATTTAATGGGCTAGAGGTCTTGCTAAATTTCTTACAATGCACAGGACACTCCCCACAACACGGAATTACTTAGCCAAAATAGCAGCAGTGCTGAGCCTTAAACAAATTCTGTAACTCCTCTAAATAAAGGATTTTTTTTCTAATCTAAACATCGAAAATAGCAAAACCTACAGAATACAATTGATGAGGAACTCAGTGGCATCATTCATATAGGAAACCTAGTTTGGCTTTTAGTCAATTCCCTAAGTTATTTAATTTTTTTTTTTTTTTTTTTTTTGAGATGAAGTCTCACTCTGTCACCCAGGCTTAAGTGCAATGGCGTGATCTCGGCTCACTGCAACCTCTGCCTCCCAGGTTCAAGCAATTCTCCTGCCTCAGCCTCCTGAGTAGCTGGGATTACAAGCACCCACCACCACACCCGGCTAATTTTTTGTATTTTTAGTAGAGACGGGGTTTCACCATGTTGCCCAGGCTGGTCTCAAACTCCTGAACTCAGGTGATTCACCCGTTTCAGCCTCCGAAAGTGCTGGGATTACAGGCGTGAGCCACTGTGCCCGATCGTTGGTTAATATCATTTATCTATTAGTACTTATTACCATTTTTAGAAATAGGAAAACGAATGGCAGCAGCTAAGTTACTTTTAGCCTTCTTTCAATTTTTTAATGCTTTCCCAAATTTCTCCAATGAACATGATGAATTGTATAAAGGAAAAATATTTAAAATGTTATTTTTTTAAAAACACTGTTTTGAAGTTAATAAATACAATTTAATTTTTCTTTTTACTAACAGGGTGGTATATTTGAGGTGTCATAAAATAAGGCAAACTTAGTGGTTTTTATTTTCATTTGGAAATTATTCAGATGTCACAACATACCCAGTGAAGACTGCTAGCACCCCAAACCCAACTAAAATTATTGATTTTTGAGTTAAACTTTGAGAGAATGAAGGGTCTGGGCATGACAAACAGCTACTTTGAGGCACCGTTTTATGAAAGATTATCCTTATTCTGAGAATAGCAATTGGTTAATAGTTCCAAAAAAAGTAATGGTCATTTCATTGAGGGCTTACAATGGCCTAGGGGCCTGTCCTGAAGCGAAAGTAAAATAGGGCTGCGGCTGCTGCTTCTTTACGTTTTCCTCCTCTTCCTCCTCCTCCTTCTCCTCCTCCTCCTTTTTGCCTTCTTCTTCTTCTTCTTCTTCTTCTTCTTCTTCTTCTGCTTCTGCTTCTGCTTCTGCTTCTACTTCTTGTTTTGTTCTTCTTCTCAACAGAAAGGAAAAAAAAAATCTTTGAAGGATTAACTTCGATGCCACAGAGTCTAATTGTTACTAAGAATGCAATATAGGTTGGGCATGGTGGCTCATGCCTTCAATCCCAGCATTTTGGGAGGCTGAGGTGGGCGGATCACCTGAGGTCAGGAGTTCGAGGCCATCTTAACCAACGTGGAGAAACCCTGTCTCTACTAAAAACAAAAAATTAGCTGGGGGTGGTGGAACATCCTGTAATCCTTGCTACTCGGGAGGCTGAGGCAGGAGAATCGCTTGAACCTGGGAGGCAGAGGTTGCAGTGAGCAGAGATCATGCCATTGCACTCCAGCCTGACCAACAAGAGTGAAACTCCATCTAAAAAAAAAATGAAATATAAACATAAGCCTCTGTATTAGTCCGTTTTCACACTGCTGATAAAGGCATACCCAAGACTGTGCAATTTACAAAAGAAAGATGTTTAATGGACTTACAGTTCTACATGGCTGGGGAGGCCTCACAATCATGGTGGAAGGCAAGGAGGAGTAAGTCATATGTTTCATGGATGGCAGCAGGCAAAGAGAGAGAGAGCTTGTGCAGGAAAACTCCCATTTTAAAAACCATCAGATCTTGTGAGACTTATTCACTATCATGAACAGCATAGGAAAGGCCTGCCCCAAGATTCAATTACCTTCCACTGGGTCCCTCCCACAACATATGGAAATTCAAGATGAGATTTGGGTGGGGACAGAGCCAAACCATGTCATTATGCCTCTGGCCCCTTTCAAATCTCATGTCCTCACATTTCAAAACCAATCATGCATTCTCAACAGTCCCCCAAAGTCTTAACTCATTTCAGCATTAACTCAGAAGTCCACAGTCCAAAGTCTCATTGGAGACAAGGCAAGTTGCTTCCACCTATAAGCCTAAAAATCAAAAGCAATTAGTTACTTCCTAGACGCAATGGGGGTACAGGCATTGGATAAATACAGGCATTCCAAATGGGAGAAACTGGCCAAAAAAAGGACTTCCGGCCCCACACAAGGCTGAAATCCAGCAGGGCAGTCAAATCTTAAAGCTCCAGAATAATTTCCTTTGACACCATGTCTCATATCCAGGTCATGCTGATGTAAGAGGGGGGTTCTCATGGTCTTGAGCAGCTCTACCCTGTGGCTTTGCAGGGTACAGCCTCCCTCCCAGGTGCTTTCATGGGCTGACATTGAGTGCCTGTGGCTTTTACAGGCACATGGTGCAAGCTGTCAGTGGATCTACCATTCTGGTGTCTGGAGAACGGTGGCCCTCTTCTCACAGCTCCATTAGGCTGTGCTCCAGTAGGGACACTGTGTGGGGACTCTGACCCCACATTTCCCTTCTCCACTGCCCTAGAGGAGGTTCTCCATGAGAGCCCTGCCCCTGCAACAAACTTCTGCCTGGACATCAGGTGTTTCTGTACATCTTCTGAAATCTAGGCGGAGGTTCCCAAACCTCCAATTTTTGACTTCTGTGCACTCATAGGCTTAACAGATGGAAGCTGCCAAGGCTTAGGGCTTCCATCCACTGAAGCCACAGTCTGAGCTGTACCTTCCCCCTTTTAGTCATGGCTGGAGTGGCTTGGATGCAAGATACCAAGTCTCTAGGCTGCACATTGAACAGGGACCTTGGACCCAACCCACTTAACCAGTTTTTCCTCTTGGGCCTCCAGGCCTGTGATGGGAGGGACTGCCATGAAGACCTCTGACATGCCCTGGAGACATTTTCCCCATTGTCATTGGGATTAACATTGGGGTCTTTTTGACTTATGCAAATTCCTACAACCAGCTTGAATTTCTCCTCAGAAAATGGAATTTTCTTTTTTCTATTGCATTGTCAGGCTGTACATTTTCTGAACTTTTATGCTCTGTCTCTCTTTTAAAACTGAGTGCCTTTAACAGCACCCAAGTCACCTCTTGAATGCTTTGCTGCTTAGAAATTTCTTCTGCCAGATACCCTAAATCATCTCTCTCAAGTTCAAAGTTCCACAAATCTCTAGGGCAGGGGCAAAATGCTGCCAGTCTTTGCTAAAACATAACAAGAGTCATCTTTGCTCCAGTTTCCAATAAGCTCCTCATCTCATCTGAGACCACCTCAGCCTGGACCTTATTGTTCATATCACTATCAGTATTTTTATGAAAGCCACTTAATAACTCTTCAGGAAGTTCCAAATGTTCCTACATTTTCCTGTCTTCTTCTGAGCCCTCCAAACAGTTCCAACCTCTGCCTTTTACCCTGTTCCAAAGTTGCTTCCACATTTTCAGGTATTTTTTCAGCAACACCCCACTCAACTGGTACCAATTTACTGTATTAGTCTATGTTCATGCTGCTTATAAAGACATACGAAAGATGGCACAATTTACAAAAGAAAGAGGTTTAGTGGACTTACAGTTCTACATGGCTGGGGAGGCCTCACAATCATGGTAGAAGGCAAGGAGGAGTAAGTCACATGTTTCATGGATGGCAAGAAGCAAAGAGAGAGAGGGCTTGTGCAGGAACACTCCCATTTTTAAAACCATCAGATCTTGTGAGACTTATTCACTATTAGGAGAATAGCATGGGAAAGACCTGCCCCATTATTCAATTACCTCCCACCAGGTCCCTTCCACAACACGTGGGAATTCAAGATGAGATTTGGGTGGGGACACAGCCAAACCATAGCAGCCGCTGTCATAGTCCATTTCTGCTCCTATAATACATTACCACACACTGGGCAATTTGTAAGTAATAGAAACTGAATTCTCACAGTTCTGAAGGCTGGGATGTCCAAAATCTATGTGCTAGGAGGTTCCATGTCTGGTGAGGGGTCACTCTCTACTTCCAAGCTAGAACCTTAAATGCTGACAGGTGAAAGAGTGAAAATGGCCTAGGGAGCTCCCTTTAACCTGTTTTATAAGGTCACTAATCCCAGAGCCTCATGACTTAATCACCTCTCAAAGGCCTCATCTCTTAATATGATCACAATGCCAATTAAGTTTCAACACATGAATTCAGGGGGCCCATTCGGCCCTCAGCAACCTCCACTTGCCCAGTTGCTGTGCTGTTGCTGAAGCTCCATGAGGTCATTGGGAAGCAGCTGTGCCTAGGATTTGGGCTATGAAATAACACCTCTGATAAGTCAGTGCAAGCCCTGGAAAACAGGTAGGCAGAGTGACAGAAAGGTCTGAGAATTATCTCAAGGAAAGAATGACTCAAATATAAACCCATGGGCTTGTTTGGCAGGTATAAGAAATAAGCAAGTGTGCACTAGACCAGACTCTCCTCTCTCTCTCTTCTCTTTCTCCTCAATTCCTACAAAATTGTGCATACCTTCTATGTATCTTTTTTTCATTATTTTATCCCCTATGTTTGCAAATATTTCTAAGTAACAACTATATTGAGGGAAAAAAAATCAAGCCTTCTAATCATTCACTCAGTCTGCTTTTGAAGCTGCCATCTTAATTTTATCCTCAGATTCGCCACATGTACCAAAGGCTTCCTCTTCCTTAGCATAGATTTAAACTCTTACCAGATAAAAATCAAAAGGAAGATTGCCAAAGCCAGTGGCCTTTCCTCAGTCCTCACCCCCTCTGATTTCTCAGTAATATACCACACTATTGCCTATACCCTGCCTCATTATATTTTTCATCAGAATTTCATAGTAGACCACCGTTCTATTGTTCAATTACCTGGTAGAATTACCTCTCTATGTCCTTTGGTGGAAATTCTTGATTGTGTCATTTTGACTTTCTATAACTTTTATTGTTGTGTCTTGGCAATTTATGTAACATTTGATTTATATGATGAGACACCCAATCTATATCTATAGTCCTGGTTGTTCCATATTTCTAATTTGTACCTAGGGATTTTACTCTTTAAGGCCATACTTTCCTTTACTTGCCAATACCTGCTAACCATCATTCTCTAATTCTCTGTGCTATGGTTTTTCTAAAACATCTCTAGGTCTTCTCTCTCTCTCTCTTTTTTTTATTTTTATTTTTTTGAGACAGAGTCTCTCTCTGTTGCCCAGGCTGGAGCGGCACCATCTGGACTCACTGCAACCTCCACCTCACGGGTTGAAGTGATTCTCTTGCCTCAGCCTCCCCAGCAGCTGGGATTACAGGCACTCACCACCATACCTGGCTAATCTTTGTATTTTTAGTAGAGAAGGGGTTTCACTATGTTGGCCAGGTTGGTCTCGAACTCCTGACCTCGTGATTCGCCTGCCTCGGCCTCCCAACGTGCTGGGGAATTACAGGCATGAGCCACCGCACCCAGCCTGTTCTCTTTTTCAGTCTCCACAAAGAAGTAGTGTTTGTTCTTTCCATAATTATTTATCAAGTCTGCCTTCTTCTCTGTATTTTTTTCTGCTTTTTATCTTCTATACTCTTCTCTTGTGCATCCATAGTAATCTCCTAAGTGATCTGCTGCCTCCAATCTCACTCCTGTCAATCAAATGTATAAACTGCTGTTTGAGGAAGAAAACAGCTTCATGTTATGTTGCATAAGAAACAAGTCCAGAATCTCATACCTTAAAATAACGAAGGCATATTTCTTATGTAAGCAGCATGTACTTAGCAGGCTTACAGCTGGGCTCTGCTCATCTTAGTCAATCAGGAACCCCAGTAGATGAAGCACCCACCATCTTAAACATTGTCAGTTGCTGTGAATGAGAGAAAAGCAGGCACTGTTGGGTCTTGCATTGGCAACTGAAAGCTCCAGTATGGAACTTCCATGAATCAGTTTCACTCACAACTCATTGGCTCAAACTGACCATATGAATCCTTTAAGCTAATGCCAGGAAGGGCAATATTGCTGTGTGCCCAAGAGACAAGGCTGGAGATATCTGGTAAACCCGGTAAATGATTCTTCCACCCTACATACTCTACATCCATCTGTGGCTTTCTCAGAATATCAAAAGAATAGATCATATAGCCAATAAGGCACAGATGCCGTGACACTTTTTTAGGGTGGATGATTCCACATAGGAGTGAATGTTCAAAATTAGCCTCTTAGGGATCAGAATTGAGATGTTGACCTCATTAGATCTAACCATATCACTATGGCTAATCAGAATACTGATATAGTTTTCTGATAGGGGCTTAATAAACAAATATCTCATTAGTAAAATAAGAACTCGAAGGTGAGGGTTATCATGTAAGAAATATTATAATATCTTTTTACAAGAATATCTTAGGTAACAATTTAAATTAATCTATAGAGTATCTTTGTATATTTCTAATATACGTTTACTACATAATAATTACTCCCTCATTTATAATCAACTTTAGGCATGTACACTCTCATTCTCACTAAAATGTTGGTTCATGAAGCTTGTCCTGTTTACCTTTGTATTCCTAGCAAATATTACAGCGCCCGGCACATAGCAGTTACTTTCTTTTGCTTAATGTTAAATAAATCTGTTAGGGACATTAAAGAATAAGCCGACACAATACATTAAATATTGATGTTTTTATTTAATTATTTATTTATTTTTGGAGACAGAGGCTGGAGTGCAGTGGCACGATCTCGGCTCACTGCAACCTCTGCCTCCTGGGTTCAAGCAATTCTCATGTCTCCACCTCCTGAGTAGCTGGAATTACAGGTGCCTGCCACCATGCCCGGCTAATTGTTAGTAGACATGGGGTTTCGCCATGTTGCCCAGGCTGGTCTTGAACTGCTGAGCTCAGGCTATCTGCCCACCTCGGCCTCCCAAAGTGCTAGGATTACAGGTGTGGGTCACCACGCCCGGCGGAAATGTTAGTGTATTAAACATTACATTTTTAAAGACATACACACAAGCATATATTCATACCCCTACAACAAATGGGTCTGTGCAAAGAGAATAGAAGTATGTGCTGTTAGTTTTCCTAAATTTCAATTTTAGAATAACAAAAACAATTTTTTCATGAAGTTTTATTTTAATATTTTATTACTTCTCATCAACATTTTTTATCGACCAACAAGAAAGTTGGATCATGAGAAAACACCAAATTGGTGTAGAGCAAAAAGAGAAGCAATAATTGATTTGAAATCTGCAATTAGTTCCCAGGAGAAACGTACCTACATCTATATATGTGTATATATATATGTACATGTACACATATTCACACACATTCCTTGGCATCCATGGTTCTAATTGGCTACTGAAAAAGATGATGATAAAATATGAAAATATAACTATGATGTAAAATTTATTTTTCTAAAAATGTAAATTAGGAAGACAGGTGAGAAAATAGAGAAACATAAAATATTTTCACATTTATTTTCAAGAACATCACTTTCTTTTACATAAGTGTTTTATGCCTACATGTATTCTTATGTTATTTTTTCTGTATTAGTTATAGAAAAGATGGGAAGAAATATTCAAAATTATTTATTCTCTTGGCATTTTAAAGTGGACAAAAACCTAGCAAATACCACAAAGTTCAAGAGAAATGGTGCTTGTGGGAGTTTCAGATCACTTTGCTAAGCTAATTAAGCCTGATATTTTGGACCAAGCTAAAGTACTTGAACTTTGGGGTGGTTATTCACACCGAAACTTCAGCCTCATGGAAGTGCCTTACTAAATATTAGTGTTAGAAACTGCAATGTCTTATGGTGGCATTTGATAGAGCAGCTCTGGAAAAATGCCAGTCTAAACTGGGAAAAGCTTTTGATTATTTTTTTTAAGTAAATAAAACCCCAGAATGGATTTTCTTTCCAAGATGTGTTTTTGTTTTATCACAATGACCTTTCTAAGAAAAGATGAAGCCAGCCTCAGGTAAAAAGAAATGGCCACATTTCATCTACAGTTAGCCTCCGTGACCTCTGAACTTGGTTTTTCTATCTGAACCTCTTTTCATGCACCATTTCTCCTGGTGTCTGATAAGGGACACTCAAGTGCTTGAGCAAGGCCAGACTGGAACTTTGACTTTCATAAAATAACCAGTAAACAAATTCTGTCCCTCTTTAATTGGTGATGTTATTCCTCTATATATTTTTTTCCAACACCACAGGAGGTTGATAAACTGCAGAATTCGGGACAGGAAAATGGAGCCATTAAATCAGGCTCATTACCAGTTGGAGATCCCCAGTTCTTATCTATGTTATGTTATACAAGTATGTGTATATATGTGTGTGTGTGTATATATATATATATATATATATATATATATATATATACACACACATACATGTATGTATGCACATACTCACATACACACAACCACACACTTCTGTGTGTTTACACACACGAGTGATATCATCTCATCTTTTTTTCCCCCTATCTCTAACACAAAAGTCAAGGGGTTTGGGAGCATGCACAAAAAAAGAGATTTCTAAGAGAGCAGGCGATTGGGCCAGGGTCATTCGAAAGGGTAATTATTGTTAAATGTCAGGTTAACTCTGAAGGCCTCAGCTCATCCAACTGAGAGCAGATTAGCCCAGATGGAGACATTTTCAACACGGTGCTGTCTGGCCAATCACAGACAGCTGGGATTAGCCAAATACCTTCTCTCATCTGCTTGCTCACAGAAAGGTCAGTTTCTGCTCATTGCTTCTCTTTTAAGATGTGTTTTTTTTTTTCCTTATTTATGGCAGCCGTGTGCAGGAAATCAGGTCTCTTTTATCAGTGAATTAAATATTCAACATCTATAACCCACTTTTTGAGAGTCAACTTCATTCACTTTCAAGACCACTTTTATCTTTCTTTAAGTGCTGAGGGTATACTGGGCGCATGTGCACCGTGCATATTTTACCCCCAGCCCTCCCACCAGGCTGGAGGTCTGCCTGTCATGTTTTGCGTAGTTTTGAAAGCTTACTTGTTTCATTTCATGCATTTTCTTCTTTAAGGGCGGCGGTTTATGTTTCCTATCGTTTTCTTCATTAAAAGAAGAGGGGAAAATGAAACTAACCCTGGAGTGCTCTAAAAGATAATCTGTTTTTATGTATAGCTCTATCCCCCCCAAGCAACGTAAATGAGCACATGCATAAAAATCAGTGACAAAATGAACAGTAAGGGGAACAAAAATCATGGACTTGTGATTCTTCAGACTGTGTGTGTGTGCCTATAGGTGTGTGCTTACACACACAAACACACATACCCATACACTGTAAATTATCCAGAGGAGGTACGTCAATATTTGCTGAATATAATAATTCACAGTTTGTAAATGAATATGTGTGTGTTCTTAGGATAAATATGTCATACCATTTCTATATGCCTCTTAAAATGTAGTTATTTTCCCATTTTAGAATGCAATCAATGTGAGACACTAGAACATACCCTCTGAAGAGTTTATCATAAAAGCTGAATAAGGACCTTGTGAGGAAACCCTCGTCTTGCTATTAATATGAACCTGTTTTCATTATTCTGCTTCAATCCTGCAATGTTTAATTCACTCCTGCTCCACCTCCTCCCACTGTTTTTATGAAAGTGAAGGTATTTTGGAAACTAAGATAAAAATGATAGCTAAAACAAAGTCTTTTCTCTAGAAAATTTACTGCAGTTTTATAAAACAGTTGCTTTGAACAAATATTAGAATAAGACACATGGGGCAATCATTAATCATAATTATTTCCTTTTAAGAATAGGTGCTATGGTTAAGCTTCATTAACCATTTATTCTGTGGTAATAAACAAGGAAATATTTTTAAACCTCTAGAACCTAGCACCCAGATCTTGGTTTTTAATATCATTCTCCAATAAAAAGAATCAGGTTTCCTTGGAGAAATGGCTATTTCAAGGACTAGGGCACACACAAGATCAGCCTGTAGTGCTAGAAAGAAAGGAAATACAACCCACATTGATGGAGGCACGTGAAAGGGGCACAGAAGCCAACTGATAGAGAGACCAACAGCCAAAGCTGAAATAATTTGTGAAATGAAATAAAGTAACACTGGATTAGAACTCAAAGCATAAGATAAATACCCATGACTCTACTGATATAAATAAACCAATAGGAGAGAATAGACCAATCTCCCATGAAGAAGAATGTATGTAGATACATCACCCTCAGGAGGGGGAGCGTACGCGTATGTGTGCATAGCAACTTCCTTTCATAAGTGTAGTATAAACATGGTGGAAAATCAGCAACTTTACAGTGAAGAAGCTTGACAAACTGTAGCCCTGTGAACAAGGTTAACATTAGCAGTGCTAAGTTATATTGACAGTACATATCCTTGATACAATATGATGAGGATGGCAATTTACATCTGTGTTCTTCCTACCAAATTCACACAACCCCACTTTAATGATGAGAAAAAGAACCCAAAACAAAACATTAGAAAAATCCCAACTGAGGATAATTCTACAAAATATTTGACCAGTATTCCTAAAAACTGTCAGGGTCATCAAAAGCAAGGGAAGCGGAGAAGTTGGCCTAATTCAAAGGAGCCCGTGGAAAAATGATGGTTAAGTGTAAGTGGAACCCTAGAACACAACAAGAACATTAGGAAAAAACTGGGGAAACCTGAATAAAGTACAGACTTTAGTTAATAATAATGTCTCAGTGTTGGTTCATTGACTATGACAGATGTACTTATATACATAGTCATTCATATAAGACGATAATAATAGGGAAACTGGGAATGAAATGCATGGGAACTTTATGCAGTAGTTCTTAATTCTGTAAGTCTAAAACTGTTAGGAAATCAAACAATTATTAAGTGAAATCTAGTTTAATATCCTGAAAAATGAATTCAAATCACATCACATGCTTATATTTCCAGTACTTTCAAAATACATAAATATTCACATTGCATTGGAAGGAAACAAATTATTAGGTTCCTTGAAATAAAAATGGAGGGTTGAAGAGCTATCCTGAGATTTCAAAGGAGGAAATAAAGCAAAGCTTTTAAAAATATCAAATCATAAATCTCTTCATCGATAAACGGACTCAAGCTCCAAACAATGTGTTTCCTCAGAAATGTTGATTCCAGCTAATACAATCCACTCTCACCGGGCTCCCATGAATTGAGTTTCCCTCCTCCACTCCACTCTGGGTTTGAACCTGAAGTTTTACCTCCATGGGGCTTCAGTCCAAAAGGCTAGACCTAGGAAATGCAGAAGGAGTTAATATTGCACAAACATTCCCGTTAAATGCGGCCTTTTAAACGTTGGCACTAATAGTACAAAATACATAATGCCAGGAGACCATATAGATAATGCAGAAACATGCCAATAAACATAAGAAGGGATCTCAATTATCAAAGTAGTACAGGTAAAAGCACTTTAGATTTAGAGGACATTAATATCTCAATGCTTTATTTTATTTTATTTTATTTTATTTATTTTTTGAGATGAAATCTTGCTCTTGTTGCCCAGGTTGGAGTGCAATGGCACGATCTCAGCTCACTGCAACCTCCACCTCCTAGGCTCAAGGGATTCTTCTGACTCAACCTCCTGAGTAGCTGGGATTACGGGCACCTGCCACCATGCCTGGCTAATATTTGTATTCTTAGTAGAGATGGGGTTTCACCACGTTGGTCAGTCTGGTCTCGAACTTCTGTCCTCAGGTGATCTGCCTGCCTTGGCCTCCCAAAGTGCTGGGATTATAGGCATAAGCCACCGCACCTGGCCTATCTCAATGCTTTACACATTTATGGGTATACATAACTTTCATGACAAATTTCAACAAATTATTTCTCATTTCATTAATTTGAGTTGTGCTTCCAATTGTTATACTTGCTTAATTACTAAGTGTATATTTTCTATGGACTCCACATTTTCTAAATATCTTCAGGTAGCTTTTTCTCACGAGTTGTCAAATGTGAATAAATGCTAATGTCCCTAAGACAAATTTACTTCTAACTCTAAATTGTAGTGGATATAATGGTCCTTTCGGTTACCTTTAGTTTTCAGACCTAAAAATGCATTTGGCTGTTTTTGATTTTTTTTGGAAGGGGATGAGGTTCCTTGCCAAATTAACATACAGAAATTAAAGCACATATAACCATGATGTTACAAAACTTGAGGTCTTTAAGACCTTTATCTTAATGGCATTTGAGTAACAGTAGAAATTCAAAATCTCAGAATAGGAGTTTACTTGGACAATGTCTGTAAGAGAGCTGGGTAGGAGGTTCACAAAAGAAATAGAAAATTCCTGAGTTTGCCCATTGCTCTTTTGTAGCAAAAGAAAACCACAGAGAAATATCTTTTAAGGCAATAAAAGGAAGGTGTCTTCTAGTAGAGACATATTTCAATTGTTATTGTTTTCTGAACTGACTGGGTGATGCCAGATAATAATGGTGATATTTTTGACAGTGTCTTATTTATGTGTCTCTGAGTTTGTGTATGAGTGTGGGTAAGTGTAGGTACTGCACAAGTCAGAGTAACATTTAAGGTTAATATGGTTGAAATGAATTTGTTTACTCCCCAGTTGCATTGATTTCTAGATTCCTGTAAAATGACTAAATTGTTCACCCATTACAGAGCTTATTTACAGAGGAAGCCGGATATAAATGAAAAAAAAAAAAAAAAGAGGATTACAAAAATAAGAATCTGAAGGAAGAATTGAGGTCAGTTTTGTTTTTTGAACCTCTCAAATTTTGCTGAAAGTTGTTGAGTAAAATTTACATTAATTTATTGGAGAAATAATTTAATATATAAAAGTATTCAAGCAGTTAGCCTTTCTAATGCTAATCTGTATATCGATGGAGTTGAATTCACTTAATATGGGAGTCGAATTTCTGCAAGACTTTGCTTAAGATTGTATTGGTTTGCAATCTGAGCTTAAAGTAATCATCTGTAAAACTAAAAGGCAGTGGAAACTGACTGGCTTTGACTGGCATAGCTATGCTATTATTTTGATTTCAGAAATTCATATGAAGACTAATTTATGTAAGTGCTTGAAGCAGCCTGATGGGTCCCAGAGCAAACCGTGCATCTAACCCCACAGATTTACTGAACACACACTATACAGCAAACCACTTACAGCAGCCGTCCCTAACCTTTTTGGCACCAGGAATGGTTTCATGGAAGACAATTTTTCCATGGACGAGGAGGGGAAAAGGTTTTCTGGATGAAACTCTTCCACCTTAGATCATCAGGCAGTCGATGGAGCAGGCAGCCTAGATCCCTGGCATGTGCAGTTCACAATAGGGTTCTATGAGAATCCAATGCGCTGCTGCTGATCGGACAGGAGGCGGAGCTCGGGTGGTAATGCCCGCTGGCACGCTGCTCACCTCCTGCTGCGCGGCCTGGTTCCTATTGGTCTTTGGTACTGATCAATGGCCCAGGGGTTTGGGACCCCTGACTTATAGGTATTGAAAAAATAGAAAAATTCATTTTGCCTCCAAGAGACTTAAAGCATGTTCTGTGTTTTTGCGCCATTCATAAAACTTGCCATTTATGCATTAATTGCTTAATTAATCATGTCATACTTGCCCATCTCTGTAGGTTATATGCTCCCAGATAGCAAACTTCATTCTATCCTTATCTCCAGTCCTAGCAGTGTCTAGCACATAGTAAATATTTCAAAAGTAGTTGCCTGAATTAGAAGAAGAATAAGTGAATGGGAGACTGCTGGTTGCAAACACAATATATGTTCTCCCTTTTTTCTTTGCTATTGAAATCTTGCACAGTAGTTCACTGGAAATACATTTCCTAGCCTTTCTTCTAGCTTCTAGTTGGTTGAGGAGCTTCTGGGAATCTTCCCTTTGCTCCTTTTTGCCCTGCCAGTCCTGGTTCTTGCTTCCAGTTTGATGATTTAGCAACCTACCTGGCACTCCACAGATACCCGGGAGCTGGATATGAAAGCCAAGTTCTATGGATGATGAAACAAAAAGACGAGTCACAGGACCCTGACAGTACCAGAGAGCCCCCAACCAACAGGGAAGGGCCTCTTTCCAGACTTCTCTAGAATAATAGACAAATAAGCTTCTCTCTTATTTAAACTACTACTATTTTCTGTCTCTGTTACCAGTAGCTCACCACCAATTCTTCTAGTTCATTCAGACCACTGTAAGTTTCTATTGCCAATAACTAGATATGTGTGGCAGATAAATTAATCCAAGTAAGAATAGTGTGTTATACCGTTCACAATAGCAAAGACATGGAATCAACCCAAATGCCCATCAATGATAGACTGGATAAAGAAAATGTGATACATATAACCATGGAATATTATGCAGCCATAAGAAGCAATGAGATCATGTCCTTTGCAGGGACGTGGATGAAGTTGAAAGCCATTATTCTCAGCGAACTAATGCAAGAACAGAAAACCAAATACCATATGTCCTCACTCATAAGTGTGAGCTGAACCATGAGAACACATGGACACAGGGAGCACAACAACACACACTAGGGCCTGTGGAGCAGGGCAAGGAGAGCATCAGGAAAAATAGCTAGTGCATGCTGGGCTCAATACGTAGGTGATGGGTTGATAGGTGCAGCAAACAACCATGGCACATGTTTACTTACGTAACAAACCTGCACAGGTACCCTGGAACTTAAAAAAAAAAAAAAGGATAGTATGTAATAGTGTATTATTTATTTCCCCCACTGTTAAAGACCTTTTCTGCTTGGGTTCAATCAGTGGTTTTCAACTGGGAGTAATATGCCCCCAGCCCCCCAGGATACCTGGCAATGTCTGGAGATGTGTGGTTATCACAACTGTCATCGAATGGGTCTCTAACCAGACATGCTACTAATGTCTTACAGTGCATAGGACAGAGCCCTACCACAAAAAAAATCCTCTGAACCAAAATGTTACTAGTGCCGGGATTTAGAAACCCTGGGTGAAATCTCGTGGCAACTTATTTGTTGCCTACACAGTTCATTTAACCATTAACTTTTAATTTTTTGTTAATTGTAAGTCTTTGTTGACTTTGTCTACATGGAAAATGTAGATTTTTCTCCTCAAATCATGAAATAATGTTTACTAAATAAAGGTATATTTTACTTTGGGTGATTAGATGGGGGGTGGGGATAACAGGCAAAGTACTGGCAGATGAATTCTCTTACATAAAAATAGTGATATGAGGAAACACAGCAAAGCGCCAAATAATTTAAATGGATCAATGGTACACGAACCCAACAGTTGAGAAAACCGTGTTGCAGAGTGAACTAAAGATGATTATGCAGCTTAGAAAACTTTTGATTGGAAATGAAGCTATAGTTGAATTGGAAATTGGCATATTGGAGTAATAGCTCCTCTATGGGAAAGTGAGTGAAGCTGAAAAAAGTTCTTGTAAGAAACCCCATCTATAAGACTTCCTCATTTTCCCCTTCGATCCAATGATGGAAAAGAGAAACAAAAAAAGGGAAGGAAGGAAGGAAAGAAACGAAGGAGGGAGGGAGGAAGGAATGACAGAAAGAAGAAAGGAAGGAAGGGAGGGAAAGAAGGAAGAAACAATTATCTGGTATTAAAAAGTAACCGAACCTATGAGTAATAATACAAACCAAAATTAAACTAAATAAGAAAAAAATACACAAAACCAACTTCAAGTACAGAGTGACTCTGTACTTTCCGGCAAAATAAAACCTCACCTAGCATTAAACAGTTAATATTTATAGGTAAGTTTATAATCATTGCTATCAGCAGAAAATGCCAAGATAATCCAATTGCCATCACTTTAACCAAAGCCTATGTCCTAAACCTTGTAATTTTCTGCTGTCATGCTCAGCCACTTTCAACACATTTAAATTAGAAAGGACTATGCTAATTTTGCTTCATAGCCAGGGTAATTGTTGTAAGACATAATTATCTTTTTTTTCCCCCAGTCGTTTTATTCTCCAGTTTTGTTTAAATTCAGTCTCAGTTACCTCATGTCCTTTTAAGCCTGAGCCACCTCCGGCCCCCACCCTGCTGGAAATACTCCTTTCATCTTCTTTAGCTATAAAGAGCTTAGATGTCCTTTTCCAATAGCTATGTTATTCTTCTGTGATCTTCCTGAGGAATAGTGTGTGAGTCTAAGTTGGTGAGTTAACTCTATATTTAATTTTAAAAGGCTGCCCTTTATTTTTCTTATATTAATGCTTAACATACCGCAGAATTGACTTAAGAAAAAGTGAATGGATGACAGTTGAAACATTTGAAAAGAGATATGGGAAGTGGGGCGGGATTATTGCTGCTTTAAAATACTTGGAAGTTAGAAGAGATTTCTATAGCTTCAGTGGACTAAACTGGGCAAATGAGTGGAATGAGCAGGGAGGAATATTTTGTCTCCAAATAAGAAAAGAATTCCAGCCGCTGAAGCTGGAGTGGGATTCCTTATGAAGCAGTGAAGTTCAGCACTAGCAATATTAACCCTCTGGTTAGGGACTGCCAAACTTAGAGGGAAAAGAGACTGGCAAGCTTCCTGCTTTGTATAGGCCAAGAATAAGGAACTGTGCAAAAGTAAGGTTGATATTGATTAGATAGAACCAAAACTGATCAAAGGGGAAAATAGATTCGTAAGGACTAAATAATATTTTACCGGTCGATGGGTGGTGTATTAGTAAGGGTTCTCTACAGGGACAGAGCTAACAGGATAGATGTATATATTAGGGAAAGTTTATTAAGGAGAATTGACTCACACCATCTCAAGATGAAGTCCCACAATAGGCCATCAGCAAGCTGAGGAGCAAGGAAGCCAGTCCGAGTCCCAAAACCTCAAAAGTAGAGTAGGCCACAGTGCAGGCTTCAGTCTGTGGCCGAAGGCCTGAGAGCCCCTTGCAAACCACTGGTTAAGTCCCAGAGTCCAAAAGCTGAAGAACTTGGAGTCTGATGTTCAAGGGCAGGAAGCATCCAGCACGGGAGAAAGATGGAGGTGAGAAGACTCAGCAAGTTGGCTTCACCTACCTTCTTCTGCCTGCTTTATTCTAGCAGTGCTGGCAACTGATTAGATGGTGCCCACTCAGATTGAAGGTGGGTCTGCCTCTCCCAGCCCACTGACTCAAATGTTAATCTCTTAGGCAACACCCTCACAGACACACCCAGGAACAATACTTTGAATCCTTCATTCCTATCAAGTTGACACTTAATATTAACCATCACAGGTGGGTATCTTCTGTTTTAGCACTGGATCTAAGAGAAGAGATGAGTCTTTAAATGCTCAATCATCTATGAAATCTATACCAGATAAATTCACCTCTATTTTTCCAGTGACTGCCTTCAAATTCTTTCTAGTGATCTGCAGTGTCCCTAGCCTAAAACATCCTAAGCTACCTGTCTCCTGACAAGTAAGCCACCCTCAACCCCATCAGGAAGAAGAGTGTCATTGTTTGCATTGCTTTAAGATCCTGAACAGGTTGACTTGTGGCATGTCATAAGCTTATCATTTACTTTAATGTTTAAAATAATCACCTGGGCGCAGTGGCTCACGCCTGTAATCACAGCACTTTGGGAGCCAAGGCGGTTGGATCACCTGAGGTCAGGAATTCCAGACCAGCCTGGCCAACATGGCGAAACCCCGTCTCTACTAAAAATACAAAAAAATTAGCCAAGCGTGGGGGCAGGCACCTGTAATCCCAGCTACTTGGGAGGCTGAGGCAGGAGAATTGCTTGAACCAAGGAGGCGGAGGTTGCAGTGAGCCGAGATCGTGCCCCCGCACTCCAGCCTGTGCGACAGAGTGAGACTCTCTCAAAAAAATAAAATAAAAACCACCACATTTTGAGCCTAATCATGAGGAGTCCAAGTCCGTGTTAAGTTTCCTGCTATTTATAGATCCAGCATCAAGGCGAACATGCACATGGCATTACTGCTGAGAGCCCCTGCTCCTCGGTGAGCTTTGCCCCTCCCTCTAGTGTTCGTTTGAATGCTGCCGGAGTTTGAGTTGGAGTAAAGGGTACAAATGCAAGGACAGAGAGCCACTGATTAGTCATTGAAGCCCCGAATCAATCCCTGGATGGCTCTGAACATGCCAACATATGCCGTTTGTTGTCTCATGGTATTAAGAGAGACCCGGACAAAGAGGGAATTCAGCTCAGTCTGGAGATCTCAGAAGGTTCTTGTCTTTGCAAAACACATTTAAAAATGTGTTCAAGTTAAGTTCCACAACCTAAAATCATGTTCAGTATACATATGCAGCCAGCAAGCACACATGGACTTTCACATGCATTTATTTAAGGCCATGTACATTATTAGCTTAGTATTTAGATAAACACATTGTAGTTAATGTATTTTTTTAAAAGTGGAAGCATTTTCTGGATCTCTTGAAATTAGTACTTTATCCCTGTGGTTATTGGCAAATAGGATGCAGGCATAAACTTGGGGAACTGACTTGGAAAAGAGAAAATCTGCTGTTTTTCAGACTGTTATTAAAGGCCCTGGCAAGTTACTCTTCCTCTGCTGCTATACCTCAGTTTCCTCACCTGTATAATGGGGGTGAAACCATTGCTTTCTACCTCTCAAGAGTGTCTTGAAGATTTATGAGACCAGTTTCCTAAAGCGTCGTGAACTTCTTGAGAAAAGATACTGTGAAAAATAAAGCGTCATTTTTCATTTTGTTCTGGGACAGGACCCTTGAGGGGGACCCTGAAAAAGAACAAATAGAGTCATTCTTATGGGAGACAAGAGAGAAATGTTCTCTTCTGAAATCTCAAATTCAGCAGAAAACAAGATTGCTGAAGACCCTGGTGAAGTTTTGTCTTTAAAACACTCTTTGTATGCACTTTCCCCTGTGTTTGACATCCTGGTTTGTTATAATATCAACTCTATAGGTAACAGAGCACATGCTGTGTGTGTGTGTGTACATGTGTGTGTGTGTGTGTGTGTGTGTGTAAAGGAGAGAGAAGGAGAGAAAGAATTAAGAATTAAAGGGTTTTGTAAGCAAACATGTTTGAGGAAATCCATCTTGGTTTATCTGAATTCCTGTGGAGTACCCATTTATAACAGCTTCTGGTGCTGCCTAGCTGTCTACTTGAAATTCAGAAAAGGTGCTTTGCTTTGGATGGCTTAATTTTTATTCTTCTTTCGGTAGAAGAAATAAAAGTTATATGGACCACCAGGAAAACATCGGTATTAAATATATTTCCATTCATGGTAATAGGCAGCAACTGCATGAAAATAAACATTTTTCTTCCTTTTTGATTCTATGATTATAGGGCACTGATAGCAGGCACTTCAGAAAGTAAATACAGCTTTGCGAAGAAATAGTTTAGCAGGATTTTAAACTCCCTGTTATTCTTATGCTTGCCCCCTCCCCTGAGGAAGTACCCAAAGGCTGCTGTGGGTTTCCTGGGGTCTTCTGTGGTGGACTGGTACATTCTCTTTTTCTCTTTACTTCACTAACTGCTGAACTCTGAAGACTCAATTGTAACTCACCTTTGACCTGAAATGAGAAAAAGAACCATTAAGCCTTCTTTATATTTGACATTACAAGTACTGTAATGCCCCTTGGTTATTATCCAATCATGTAATAGAACCTTCAATGTTTGGTTTTCTTTCTTAATTTAAAGGATCCTAACACTGGACAGCTTCACAGTTCTGAGCCTGGAACTGCCCTGTTTAACAGTAGGGCCGTCTGATCTCCAGCTCCCTCTTCCCATGGATGGCCATCAGTACAGCTGTTAATACACTTTGAACTCTACATGGGGCTTTATAGGTTATTGATAGCAGAGTGCCTGATTCTATCTGCTCCCCGCTCCTCCCAACCCTTCAAGAAAGGAGGTCACCTGCATAACTCAGTTGGCAGCCTCAGGCAAGGACCCAGCTGCCCTGAGTGGGCCACTTGTCTTTCCTTCTCCCTGGGACGTGCCAAATTTCTCATCACTCCGCTGCACTTTTTCCTCCCGCAGCACTAGACTATTGTGAGCATGCCAGGCTGCAGACATCCCGCCCAGTTCTAGAATCATATAATTTAAAGATTAGAATCAACCTCAGGGATCATCTAATGTCTTGCTATTCAAACCATGGTCCTTAGACCTGCAGCATTGGCCTAACCTCGGAGCTCGTTGGAAATGCTGATTCCTAGGACCCTTGCAAACCTAGTAAATTACTGTCTGTTTTTTCTCAAGATCCCCAGGTGATTTATAAGCACATTACAGTTTGAAAAGCACTGACCTAATTTAACATGCCTTCTGATTTAACAATTTTATTGAATTCTTGCCTGTGCAAAGAAATAATCTGGAACTCTAAAAATTCTGGTTTAATTTTTTTTGCTGGGAAATATCTTGGGCATCACTTCCTCAGGTGATTATAATGTGCCTCTGGAATTTGGAAACATGGATAGATCTAAAGCAGTGGCTCTCAAAGTCTGGTCCCAGGACCACTAATAATAGTACCCCTTGTTAAAATGCACATTCTTAGGCCACCACCTAGACATAGGAAATCAGAAACTCCAGGATTGAGGCCCAGGAATCTGTGTTTTGACAAGTCCTCCAGGTTGTCCTGAAGCCAGTTCCATAACCACAGGTTTAAGGAGTAAGAATGCCCCAACCCTCACCTGAGAAAAATAGGCCTAGACCTGCAATGTCCTGTAGCTATTTTAATAGCCATTCATTTAAATTAAATAAAATTAAAGACTTAGTTCCTTAGGTGAACTGGCCACATTTTGACAACTCAATAGCCACATGCCAACTGGCTGTCTATGGAGCATACAGAGTGGCTAGTGACTACACATGGGAGAATACAGATGTAGAACATCCTCATCATCATAGAAAGTTCCACTGGACAGTACTGATCTAGAATTTGGATTAGAGGAAGACAGATATTAACAACAATAATAACCATAACATAAACAAGAATAGTAAAAATAACAATTCCCAGTTATGGAGTGGTTAGTATGGGTCAGATATTGAACCAAGCCAACAGATGACATGTCTCTTTCCCTTACTGATGTCCAAATAATTATCTAATTGTTGTTTTGGAGTCTATGAAGGATATTGTTGGGGTTGAAGATCAAAAAAGAAGAGCAGAAAGAAGAGAAGCAAGAAAAAGAGTTGCTTTCTCCATCAATAAAAAGACTTATTTTGAGGCATTGGGTTGGCTTTCAAGTGAGAGAACCATTGATGGAATACAAAGAAAATGTCAAACCAGGACGGAGTTAAACCAGCAAAATATCACTTCTAGAACCTTTTCCTTCTGTCCAAGACTAGAATGTGCTATGGAGCACTAAACCCAAGAGTAGTTAGTTAAATTGTCCATTTGGAGATCTCTTTGTTGGACCCTTTTGGAGCTTTGCATCCGGGGTTGAATCTTTCCTCAGTTAATCTCCTATAATAACTGTATATCCACCTGTGACTAGGAAATACAATTGCTCTCCTTTTGTGCTCAATGTGGTATCACACAAGTCCACCTGCATTAACTCCCCTCCACTTGTCCCTCAGTTCCTTCCGCACGCTTCTGGGTTACTGACTCACCATGCCATGTGACAAGTCCACTCTGCCACCTCCTTTTGTTGCCAAAGCTTTTCCAACTCCTGGCATGCAGGCAGTCAGTTCATGCTCTCTGAGACCTTTGAGAGCTAAACATGCAACCGTCAACATGGCAGCCCCTTCTCTCTGCTTCTGACCCCTATGCTCTGCTGATGACCCTTACCATCAAAGTTCCTTGGGCACAATGGCTGTCTTCCCTGGACTCTGGGAAGGCATGCATACCGCTTTCCATAATCCCTCATATCACCTTTGAGACTTGACCAGGCATTTGCAAGCCCCTTACCAAGACCCCGGGGTGAGGGATGGGGATGGAAATGGTGATACCAATCTAGAATCCGCAGCTGTTATAGAAGTGGTGATCCACTTGGGCTTCTGCTGAGACTCAGCTTTACCAAGCCCCCTGATTTTCATTACTAGTCAGGGAGCTTAATATCTCCTTTGTAGAACTGAGGCTTCTCCACAGATCAAAAGGTTAACTCAAAGGTCTCATCAAAGTAGCCCCTTCCATTATAAACAGTATGTCTGTCAGAAAGGCAAATTCCTGTCTCCCCCTAGAAGGCACAAACTTCTGGAAAGCCCCCAAGGTACAGTTTCCCAGCCTCCAAAAATCAAGTTTTGGTCTTGATTACACTGGCGTTTTACCTTTTACCTTCCACTCATCCACTTTTCCTTCTCCATTTTATTTTGCCTTTTCACAGTGAGAAGTGAAGAGGAGTACACAGGGGAAGTGTGGGGGCAAGGCAGCTTCCAGGCTCCCAGGAGAAAGTAACGATTGCTCCTACCTGTGAATAGAAGAATATGTGTCAACCCTTCCATCGATTTCTATATGCATGTTATCTTCTGTTCCATGTGCCCATCTCCTGGGCGCTTAGTAACAGACTCATAGAAGTTTCAAGCTGAAAGAAAGAGTTCTTCTAGCTCAGTGGATTTTCAAATGTGCTTTAGTGGCAAAAATCTCCCTTCAGACAAAACTTTACACAGACGCCCAACATATAAAGCAGAATAAAACAATGCTTGTCTGTGTAATAAACGCCGTGTACTCTGTTAGGTGTTTTGCATGCATGATCTCATTTGTTCCTCTCTACAGTAGTAAGAGGTTGAAACAAGGAAGGTGGGTGAAGCCCTCCCCCTACTCACTCTCCCCAGGACAGTCTGTTGGGCTCTGTTTAAATCATTGATCTGGCCCAGCCCTCATATCACACATGAGGACTCTAAGGCTAAGAGAGGTAAATCCACTTTTAGAAAGTAAGTTTTTGACAAGCCTAAAACTAAGGCTCAGGCCTTTCAGCTACCCATTCTACCTTCTTTTGGTTGCCCTACAATGCTTTTAATAGAGGTTGTTCAAGTCCTCAGTTAGAAGCTCTCACGAATAAACAGTTCCTTAGCTATGAAACTGGAAGCTCTTGACAAGATCACCCAAAATCGTAGCTATGAAACTGGAAAATTCTTGACAAGATCACCCAAAATCAACTAGCTACATAGTGCTGACTTTCTTTTCTTTCTTTACCGCATAAGATAGGTTGCCATAGAGTCTTTAAGCTTTAGGATTAGAGGAAAATTTGTAGGTGACTGTTCCTGTAACTTGGGATAAATGTCAAATTTTTTATTTGTTTTTATTTTTTTTTGAGATAGAGTGTCACTCTGTAACCCAGGCTGGAGTGCAGTGGCATGATCTTGACTCACTGCAACCTCCACCTCCTGGATTCAAGTGATTCTCATGCCTCAGCCTCCAGAGTAGCTGGGACGACAGGCACGCACCACCATACCTGGCTACTTTTTATATTTTTAGTAGAGACGGAGTTTCACCATGTTGCCTAGGCTGGTCTCAAACTCCTGGCCTCAAGCGATCCACCTACCTCAGCCTCCCAAAGTGCTGGGATTACAGGCTTGAGCAAATGCGCCTGGCCAATGTCAAAATTTTTGACTGAAAAATTTGCCTTGAGCTACAGACAAACTTTCGGAACCCTGTAAGTCTCATCACACACTTTCACCTATTTATAAAATGTTAATACTTTCCTTATATACACTAAATCGTATACTCTATGGAAAACTTTCCATTTGCATTTACTATGTTAAGTGTCTGGCATGCACTATCTAATTTGTTCTTTACTACAACAATATGAGAAGGTAGAATTACTTCCACCATCTTACTGATGAAATAACAGAGGTTCAAAGAGACGTTCATGGTCAAAGACATGTGGCCAGTAAGTGAGATGGATGTAGATTGTCTGGCTGTTGCTAATTTTGATATGCTGAAAACTGGGATACTCAGCTTCTGAAATGTTATCTGTATGATCCTCATTTAAAGCAGTGGCATAGAATGCCAAAGGGGAGCTTTCCTATTCCCTCCATCTTTGCCCATGCCATCAGTTCTGCAGAATCAACCCACTGGTACCTTGGATAGATAGTCTACATTGCTTCAACAAGGAGCAACAACTTCTGCCGTCTCACTTTTCTATGACCTAGACTAGCAGCTTCGAGTTGGATGAGGAATAGTGAGACTACTCTGTCCTCAGACTGAATGTCAAGCTGAGCCTCTTTGTCATGAAGGGTATCATTTCTATGGCCAGGACTGGCTCATTAACAGGTTTAGAAAAAGAAACACCATAGGCATTGGTAGGGAACTATATATAGCCAAAGAATTGGAGAAAGCCACTGGTTATAACAAAGCTTATAGGCAGGTGTTCAACTAATGCATGGCAACAGGTAAGGAAGAGACTCAGTAACTTTAAGAACTCTTTTAGAGCACATTTTTATATATGGTTCAAAGTTGTCCCCCCTCTTGATCCCACATCCCTTTGTAGTTTTAACAGTTTTTCTGCTCCCCCTGACTACAAAATACCCAGAAAGAGTAGTCTATGCTCACCGACTACAATTCTTTTCCTCCTCATCTCTCAAGAGAGTTCAAAAACACACTTTAATCAGATTTCCATTATCTACTTCTGCTCTTGTCAAGGTCATCAATGACTTTTACACTGCTAACGCAAACATCAGTTCTCAGTCCTCAACTCTAGCAGATCTCACAGATTGGTCATTCCCACTTTGAGACTCTCTCTTTACTTGGCTTTCAAAACCTCATTCCCTCCTGGTTTTCTTCCTACCTCCTTGGCCACTCTTACATGATGCTCCTTTACTCATTCTAACCAATGTCTTCAGCCTCTAAACCTTAACATGTACTAGGAATCAAATCTGAAAACTTTTCTCTACCGACACTAACTCTAGGTAGTCTCAAGAAATTCACCAATATACTGATATCTCCAAAATGTATATCTCTAGTTTGGAATTGGTATTTATTTTTCATTTCCACCAGAATATGTAATAGAAATTTCAAACTTAACAGAAACCAAACTCCTGGTGCCCACTCTATCCAAACTGTAACCTTCCCCATCTTAAAAAATGGCAACTCTGTTCTACAAGTTGCTCGGGAAAGAAAAAGGAAGAAACAACCTGACACCATCTTTAATTCCTCTCTTTCTATCATAGACCACAGTCAGCACACTGAGAAAGTCTAAAGGTTCTGTCTTGAAGATAAAGTTGGAATCTGACTAGAGTTGCCCCTTGGTATGTGTGGACAATTGATTCCAGGACCCCTGCAGATACCAAAATCCATGCATACCCAAGTCCTGCAATTGGCCCTGCCGATCCCTGTATTGGATAATTTAGCTTTCTGTATGTGTGGGTTTTGCATCTCATGAAAACTGCCTTTTGTTGAAAAAAAAAAATCCATATATAAGCAGACCAAGTGCCCACCTCTCCTGCAGTCATTTCTCAAAGGACTTGATAATTTTTCTTTACTCCACAAACATTCGTGAAATACTTGCTCCTTCTCAGGCATCACAAGTACAGAGATGACGGGATGTTTTCTCTTCCTTCAGTGCAGGGAGATTGAAGAGACAAGAGAATGGAGAAAAACACTTGGGTTGAAAATCAAACTTTGATATAGAATGTTTAATGTGATTAAAAAGTTTGCAAACAGTAGTTTTTGTTTTATTGTTTGTTTGTTGTTTGTTTGTTTTTGAGATGGAGTTTCACACTTGTTGCCCAGGCTGGAGTGCAATGGCATGATCTCGGCTTACTGCAACATCTGCCTCCCATGTACAAGCGATTCTCCTGCCTCAGCCTCCCAGGCAGATGGGATTACAGGCATGTGCCAGCACGCCAGGCTAATATTTGTATTTTCAGTATATACGGGGTTTCACCGTGTTGGCCAGGCTGGTCTCAAACTCCTGACCTCAAGTGATCCGCCCACCTTGTCCTCCCAAATTGCTGGGATTACAGGCATGAGCCATTGTGCCCAGCCTTTTTTTTTAAAAAATATAGTTTAAGCTACCTTTCCTCATTTCAAAAACAGTGAAGTTAGCTTTGTTTGCCTTTTCTCTGTCATGACTTCTGGAGAAAAGAGAAACTGACAACGTGTGCATCTTCAAGCAGAAGAGATTTTTGGTTCAAGGGTGGTATGGACCAAATGTAATAAAACTTCCCTGGCTTGGCCCAAAGATAGACCCAGGAAAATCTATGAGGAAGTATAATGACATCACTAGCACATAAAATAACTCCATGCTTCTGTGACATTCCTCATATTTGTGATCCTAATCTCTCACCAGTTAAGAATGACACGGTTTACCAATAATGCCTTCCACTTCCTCTTATCCAGAACAGGAAATGTCCATTTTTTCACACCAATTATACCCTGAGCTCAAGAACAGCCATAATTGCACAGGTGTTTTTACCTCTTCCTAGGACTGAAAAGGTTGAATATATAACAAAGTTTTGTATTTCTATCTCTCAGGGTCCTATGGTAACTAGTAGACCAAATCACCCATGAAAGGGAAATGTATACAGTCTGAAATTTGCCCCCTTCCATACACGAATGAAAACACGTGACAGCTCATCAACACTGGGCACAACCTCTTATGGCTGTGCGTTACCCATGCACACTCCTCGGCAGCAGGGATGCTGTGGATTGGTAACACACGTGCTGTGCAAAGGGATCTGCCTGTGGTCTGGAGACAGCAATGAAGAGAGCTCTGGAGTCTCAGAGGAAAATTTACAGCATACAAACCAGTGCCCAGATGAGCTCTTACCACATGTGCAAATGCACAATGAAGGGACACTGGAGTCACATTTTGGTGGCACACACCGCCCTAATCTCTCTACTGTTTACACTGAAGTTTTTTATACAGGTTTGCATCCTTGATTGATTGATTGATTGATTTCTGGAGATGCTTATGATCTTTAATCCATGGAGAAAGAGAGAGAGAGAGAGAGAGAAACAGGAGAGAAAGAGTGAAACAGAGGGGCTGTCCAGAGACACAGGAGGGGAATTTTTATTGCTTAAAATAGGAAGGTGGTGATTATTTTTATCTTAACTTCACATGGTGCTTGCTTCACCTGGGGCCGTCTTCCCTGAGTGTTTGAGAGAGAGGGTTGGAGGGATTCCGTCCTCCTGGCACTGCTGCCCCACCAGCCGGAGCTTCCTGCTTGCTTTTAACCTGAATGGGTTAACTTCATAAAACGGCAGCTCTTTATTCCAGCCTGAGATTTCCTATCGTACTTTAGGACCAGCGAACCGTCTCTTCTTTGATGGCACCTTTTGGCTCCACAATAGAAGCCAATTTGTTAGACTTCTTTACAGGTCAGGGGCTGCGTGAAGATGTGGAGGGCGCAGCAGTGGGCACTGGAAAATGAAGTTGTATTCGCTTGGCAAATTATACGTCTGCTGCACTTTATGGGCCCTGATTTCCTTCCCTCTCCTTTCCCCTTACTCTCTCTGCCCCCTCCCCATTCCCTTGGCTTTCCTTTAAACTGAGGAAGCGTGTATGTGAGATATCGTCACATATCCAGTTAATGTAGGTTAATAGATTGATTCCAGTGACACGGATCATAATGAACAGTAAATTGTTTTATCTCTTAAGTCTTATTTGGTCAGCCAGGAAAACATATGAGGTAATATGGCTTGGACTAAATGGACCGTATAATAGATCTCCTTCTAAAGAATCAGGACAGGGTGACAGCACCTCTTATGATTAATGAAAATAATAATGGTCCTGAAATTGAAATTTTTCTAATTTTTTTTCCCTTCTCCTCTCTTGACTGCCACCAAAAACTTCAGCCAGGAGATGATTTGTGTACAATAACTGGCTCTGACTTCTTCTTCAGCTAAGAATACACATTTAGGGAAAGGGGAAAGGGACGGAGGGAAGCAAAGGAATGAATTGGTTTATAGAATTCAAAACGTGCCACTCAGAGGGCTAGAAGAGCCTTGGTGCCAATTTCTTTTCCATAGAGTTTTACTGGAAAGCCTTCACATAGAGCATGAGAATTTGGGTAAATATCTTTGGCATCAGATATGTTAGAGGTGAGTCAGATTATTCACCTGGATTAAAATCTATTCTGTCTTTAGACGTTTTCTGAAACTACATCTTTACCTCCATTTCTCTTTGGGCAAAAGAGTTTTGTTGTCTTCCATATCTCTATATCAAGGCCTCTGTCTTCTCACTTTCTCGGAGAAAATAAGTGCATTTCTCAATTTCTCATGGAGTGGTACTTTGAAACTCTTTGGGAAGAAAAGGGAAGGAGGGATATTTTGATTGTTTATCAACAGATACAAAGGCATTACCCCTTTTGAAGGAAAAAATGACACGTTATCCTGATATGTTGTGTACCAAGAGACTTGCTCCAGTTGCAGATCATGAGGATCATAATGAAATTTGAGAATGTTCCTGTTCCTTGGTAAGAGAAAAAATAAGGAGATCCAGTGAAAAGAGTAGGACCTTCAGCTTCCACTTGAATAAGGACCATTACCTTCGAGTCATTTCTTCCACACTGCAGGTCACATATCATTTGGACAGCAGCCTGAGAAATGTGTTCAGGCTGTTTGAGGTGGAAGTGGCATACAAAACTGAGGCTACCCATCTTTCTCTCAGACTCTGTTCAAATTCTGTTCAAATTGATTTCCTAAGAATTTGTCTTGCACAATCTTAAGTACTTGCTTGTAGAAATTCTTCATGGCAATACAATCTATTCTATTGGGTTTTGCCAAAGCAAAATAGACAATTGTGGAATCAGGCAATACCAACAGGTAAAATCTTTCATTGCAAACCTTTGAGGAAATGTTGCTTTGACAAAACACTTGCTTACCTGTAGAGAATACAAATAAGACAGTGATGTAAATCCTATATAGACAATTATTTAGTGTCTCTTTGAAATCAAGCCTACTTCAAATAACTCCTGAAATTGCTTCATTGAAATTTTTACTTTTCTACCAGTTATCATTGCAAGATGTAAAACTAACGTCTCCATTCATTTATAAATAAAAAAGAACAAAAAATTTAAATATATCAAAAAAAGATGTTTTTAGCATATTTATAGTTCAAAAAAGCAGATTGCAAAATAACATATGACATGATTCTCTTTGTGGTTACAAGCTTATGGTTATACATCTTTATATATCTATATATAATTCATATCTGTATACTTATATTTAAATGAGATATACATGCTTCTCTTTGTCACATCATGAAAAAATGAATGATCAAACATTTAACTTTTGTCACTTTCTAAGAGATGAAATGTTGGAGGTGGAATGAGAAATTATAAATTTTCTCTGTAATTTTTGGCATATCACTATAAACAATTATTACTTTTGAAATAAAGTAGAAAATCATCAGGCTAGGCTTGATGGCTCATGCCTCTAATCCCAGTGCTTTAGGAGGCCAAGGCGGGAGGATCATTTGAGCCCAGGAGTCTGAGACCAGTCTGCATCACATAGGAGGGCTCCATCTCTACAAAAAAAAAAAAATATATATATATATATACACACACACACACACATATATATACACACATGTATATGTACACATATACACACATGTATATGTACACATATACACACATGTATATGTACATATATACATATATACACATATGTATATATCTGTGTATATATGTATATGTGTGTGTGTTTGTGTGTGTGTGTGTGTGTGTGTGTGTATGTATATGTATATGCCAGGCATGGTGGTATACATGACTATAATCCTAACTACTCAGGAGGCTAAGGCAGCAAGATCACTTGAGCCTAGGATTTCCAGGCTGCGGTGAGCTACGATTGCCCCACTATACTCCAGACACAGCGACACCCTTTCAGAAACAAAAGAAGGAAAGAAAGAAAGAATTGATTTAGAAAAGTGGGCAATATTTTTTTAAGAAAAGAGCCTCTTGAACTGTGTTTGAAAAGTGCTTAATTTTTTGAACGCATTTGGTGAATTTTCCTTTCCGGTGTATTTCTTGATATTCAATAAGAGCACACGGTTACGAAATAAATTTGATCTGCCTTTAACAAATGTGCTGACCTGTTATGCATTCCAGTGTGCTGTTTTTATATCTATTATTGCAGTTTATCTGTTTCATCTGTCTCTATAAATATATTTGGGATATTTATTCCTAATCCTTTTTTAACAAAAAAGTATTTTTTAAAATTTTATTATTTTGTAGACAAAATCTCTACTACTTGAAGTTGGAAAAACCTAAATTGCCTGGGAATACAAAGTATACTTAATAGGAAGTGACTCTTGGACCTAACATAAATGCTATGAATATTTTGTAGATGGTTTGGAGCTGGAACTAATTCATATTGGTCTGAAGTGCTCACTGTTCAGCCTTCATGAAGCCACAATGAGAGCTACCCTATTTGAGAAACCAAGTTGAAGGCTGGAAACTAAAAGGAAGTTCTTAAGTTAAAGGTTGAAATCTTCAAACTAAAATTAAGTGTCATATATATTCTTAATTTCAAGTAGAGATGATAGACTTGTTTATGATCCATGATGCTTGATTACATTAAACAGCTTGGAAACTATCTCATCCCAGAAGTCATTGTACAACATGGTAGAAAATGTCATTAAGTGCCATAACATCCAAGTAGTTTGTTGGAGGGGCAGAATCTATTCATTTTAGTTCATGCTTCTAGACGTCATCAATATAGCTTCCAAATGATCCCAAATATTGTTTATTCAACTGAAATGTTTCTTTCCTTCATTTTTTGTTGTGAAATCAAAACATCCATACTGGTTTTTAATTAAGCTCCTACCTGTTAATGTGTACAAATCTTTCTCACTTGGGCTTTCAATCATTTATATGGTGCATACTGAAAAATCTCGAGGATTGATTATTGAGAAAGTGATAAAGAGGAATTGATAGATACCTTGGATGTCTATTTGAAATTGATATCTTAAATTTGAAAAACCTCAAGGGATTAAACTTTTGCTGCATCCTTGACATCAAATTTTAAAATATTTAATGACCATTGTCTTTTGTTTTGGCATTCCCTGCGGAGTAGTCCAATATTTATTTTTAACCATCCAAGGTGCATAGGTAGAAAAAACAGGAATGAGATTTTATTTATAATGGCATACATTTGTAAACATCCAGAGGATTTGATTCACTAAATTTGTGTGTGTGTAACAAAGTACAGTTAATCAAGTCCTCTGGACATGTGCCTGTGCGTGTGTGTGTGTGTGTATGCTACTTAAGAGAAAGAGGATAAAATCAATCAATAAAATTATATATATACTAATTATGATTTTGTTAAAAACCAAACACACACATAGAATAGGAATTAGGAAAGACAGTAATCATCCCCAACTGTTAGGATTAAGGATTAGATTTAGGGGTAACAATTTTTTTCTTTTTAAATACATGTCTGCATCCTACAAATTTTAAACATGCTCATATTACTTGCATGACTATGAAAACAATAATAGCTAATTGTCCCTATGTGTCAGGGACTGGTATCAATACCTTACATAAACTAACACTTAATTTTCATAACCACTCTTTGAGATAGTATTATTTTTACCTAGATGTAGAAATTAGGAAGTCTAGTGTCACAGAGGTTGAGTAACTTGCTCAAGGTCAGATAGCGATAGCTGGCACATGCTGGAGCCAGGTACATACTGGTAGGTGATGGAGCCAGGATTTGAACCAGCTTGCCTGGGTACAAAGCATGAGCTTTCAGTACACTTTCTAAATAAAAGAGGTTGTCCGAACGCATTTTTGTGATTATATAGTCATTTAAATGATATTACCAAGGAAGATAACATTAGCTCCGGCAAACCGAAGTGTAAGATAACTACATCTGAATAAAAACAAACACATTAACATATTTCTGATGTCAAGGTTCAGAGTTGTTTAATTTTATATAATTTAATTTTCTTTATCCTAATTGTAGACTTTGCTGACATGTTTATGATGGGCAATTTTGACCTTCTGGTTTCACGCTCAAAGAGGGCATGCTATTAAAGACTGGGCTCTTGTAGCTGTGTCTATATGGCATCAAATAAAGTAGTGGTCTTCTGGTTAAAAGATCAATGTGGATAGACTAAATATTCCAAATGCCCAAAGGAAACAATTTCTTACTGCATCCACCGAATTAACTATATAGTCGTTGAATCTTTACTTCAGTTCAAAATGTGCATGGTCATTAAAGAAAACAAATACCTGCTTTACATACGTTTGCTCTTATGAAAAGAGCTTAGTTCAAAGAACAAAAGCTCTAGCCATATAAGACAGTAACTGCATGAGCCTATTGGCACCTAGTTTTCTCTTGGCAGATTCCCTTCGAACTCTAAAATTCTAAATTTAAATAAGCCCCCCCTTCTAAAATATTTATGTATATATAAAAATATATATGTTCCACTATCTGCAATTTTATACACACACAAACGCACACACACACTCCACTATTTGGAATTCTAAGCAAATAGAATAAGCAGTAGCTGCAAACCATGCTCTCACCTCCTACCTAACCCAAGGTTATGCTCTTGCCTGCTCCTCTGCCCTACCCATGAGGTACCCAGTACCTCCCATGGTGCCTCCTTCTGAGCCCTAGGAGCTTTAGGGTAATTATCAGGGCACGTTCTTAGACCCAGTCTTCTTCTCTGACTACCTGCCCAGAGGATGCAGAAGACCAGGAAACTCAGCCTGTTCTTTTGTCTTTCTGTTGTCCCACACTGCTCAGTTCTTTCTACCCTTGGCTATTTTGTTCTGACCTCTGCTCTACCTGGTATTATTTCTTCTCTATTTTCTTCCAGATCTTGCCCATTTATACTTCTGTCCCCCTTTTCTTTCTGCTCTTAGAGAAAATAAATAAATTTTATTTTTAGAAAAGCTAGTTACGTTTGATTATCATATGTAGTCCTTATCTGTATCTGGGAAAAGGCAAGCTATACATTTTTTAAGTTAAGCTAATCATAATGAAAAATAGCATCAACAACCATTGAAGCTCTTCTTGTAAGTGTACTAAAAGAGCTCTGGAAAATTTCTATAAAACTTTTGTCCTCCTTCTTCTCTAATTCTACAAATTTTCTTTAAATACCAAAAGCACAAATAACTTCACAGATATCTCTTATTACATATGTCTATCGATGTTGCAACAGAATTGCTCAGAATTTCAACCATTTGTAGGTTTTTTTTTTTAGCTAGCCTGGGAGCCTATGTGCATTTAAGCATTTTCTAAGGAATTCTCTGTTCTAGATTTCAAAGATGCTAATATATTCTTTTAGCATTCCCTAAATTTTCAACAATAAACTCACAGCTTTGCAGATTCTCATTCTGGTTCTTGGAGAGAATGTACGTCTTTACATATTTGCAGATTCATGTGTGAAACTTCAGATGAGCTTTCGGGAGCCTTGTGTTAATTAAAAAAGGGAAATCAATGGGCCTGTGAATCCACCTTTTCCTGGGGTTAAAATCCAAGAAGAAATTAAGACCAAGCTAAACAGAAAAACTACATGGGTGGGAGAAATATTTACCATGTATACACAACTCTCTCTCAAGCACACATAAAATACATTATTTTTTTATTGAAGAAAAAAGATATTAAAAAATCCAGTGACTGATTTTGCTTCTTGAACCAAATCAAATATTTTTTTGTCCGAGCTCTCATAACTGCAGTCTGCAGAGGTCACGGCCTCAACTTTCTCCTTCAGATGGTCTGCGAGTGGAATGTCCTTACCATTAAGGCTCCTTTTGTTTTCCTTGGGAGGGTTTTGCTTACACTGGCAAGCGGCTGAGACGAACCAAGGTTCTCTAGACTCTGTTTATTAGGTTTTTATCTTCTTATCAGAGTCTTCCTTCTTAAATCATGTCAGCATTTTACCACTCTTCAGGGATTCCTGGTGTTTTATTGTCTATGAACTGCTTGGGGGGTGGTCAGGGAGGGAGCTCGCCTAACAAATATAACATTTATAGAATAGTAGAACCAGAGAGGACGCCGCGCTCACTTATTATTCCCACACTCACCCGACGTTTCCTCTCCCCCTGCGGGTGAGGAGCCCCCGGGAAGCCCCTTGCCAGCTCAGCCCACGCTTATTTGTCAACGAAGTGACATGGCTTCTCTGTGGACAACCTGCTTTTCAGTTATTTTGAGTGGCTCTTTAAGCCCATATGTACTTGCTTAAGCCATTTTCAATCATCCAAAGAGACCATCGGGTGAGTGGGCGATTGCTTTGAACTTGAGAACATTATTGGGTTTCATTCGCAGATGTAATCTGGATGTAGGGGGTCCGTTTCTATACCTGCTTTTCCTACCACATCGGATTCAGACTTTAAAATAGCCTCATGCCAAAGTGTCCAAACTTCGTAGTCTAAGCACAAGGTTCGGAGGGAAGGTGAGAAAAATTGCCTAGCTTTAGCTAAGGCAGGGTTTTTATGGGGCAGTGGAGGGAGGTGGCCAGAAACCAGGAAGACAAGAGGAATGCTCACTGCTGGGAAAGTGAGTCATCTCTTTTCCCTTTCATTGCTACCCACATGACTCATCATAGTATTATATTTTTAACCATAGGCTGATTATGTCTAGTCACATGTGTTTAAAACAAGTTCTAAAAATAAGGTTAATTAGGAAAAAAACACCTTGTCAGAAAAAAAAAATCCACATCTTTTCATTGAGGTCATAAAGTGACTTTATTGTTATTAATACATATTGGTTTCAAAAGTGGTAAAAACCGTAAGACAATGGCAATAAAACAACTCCTAAAGAGGCATGAGGTTCTAAGGCAGTAGATTATGCTGATATGTGAATTCTTATAGATATAAATTAATTCTATGTATTAGGTTGGTGCAAAAGTAATTGTGGCTTCTGCCATAAGCTCATATAAGATGAGAGTTTGATCTACAAGGGGGGATTATAGTTATTAAAGAGCATTAAACTGCTTTCTAATGTTCATCTATCCTTTCAAAAAATATTTATTGAGTGCTTACCTGTGTGAGGCATTGTTTATCTTGGAATCCCCAGTCTACAGGGACATGGCAATAACTGCCTGGTGTACACACTGGTCTATGTACTCTTGTCTTAGTGCATTGTCCCGGAGAATATACAATTCTCTTTCTAGTGATGAGTAACTGTTTACTCCTACTCTTTGTTAAGACCTCAGGGTATGTATGTTCAGTATTCCATGGTAAGGAAGTCTGAATTCGATGGAGGATCACATGGGTTTCTTTTTTATTTTTTTCCCTCTAATGAATCTTGAATGACATTTCTTTTTCTTTAAGAGCATTTTCCCTACTTATTAAAGCAATAAGTTCTTGTGGAAAAGTGCTTAACATAACAGTTTCACGGCCAGCTTTCCCTTCCAGCTGATAACATCGCAGAGAAAGACGAACACAAGGCTTGGAAATTTGGGACTAAATGCTAACATGATTTTTTAGATAAAAATGAATAGTAATAAAAGAAGTTTGAAATTTTATCATGAAGACTTAAGTGCATTTTTCAAGTGAGTTTCTACTTAGCTTTTTTTTCCCCCTCAATTCCCTTATCGCTGCAACTCAAATTTGAGGGACTTATCGTCTTCACTAATCCATCACTTGAGCTTCATTTTCATGATTTTCTGTGACTTGAGTACTCCAACTATTTAGGGTTCCCCATACTGCCTCAGCATCAACATAATTTCACCTTCATAATTGATTGATTGTACCTTTCACAGAGAAAAATATGAATAAAGGCCTGGATTTTACTAGAATGTAAAAGATAATTGCTAATATAATAAAACACTTGGTAGGACTACTGCTCTCATGAAGTTTAACCTTCCAAGGCTTTCTAAACTTAGTAAAATTATATTAGTCATCTCCTTGTTGTTACTATTATAATAATTTCTTAAAGATACGATGGTTGACTCAGGGTTATTCATTTTTTCATCATTCATTCAGCTAGCATTTATTTATTAGCTGCTGTCTTCCAGACTTAGTGTCAGGTATTAAAAGGAAGAAGAACTAAACGTAATACTTATTTTTGTTATGAGCTCCTACTTGAGTTTCTTAAAGTTTGATTAGCATGTAAAGAAATATTTACAATACAGTAGATAAGAGCTATATGGCATCACAATGGGGAGAGCCATGGATATTTCGAAGACCCAGTCAAGTGGAAAGTTAGGTTCCAAAGAAAAAGTAGGAATTTAGGGGAGGAGTTCATATTTCAGGCAGAGAAGTGTTAGGCTTGGGCATAAGGAAAAGAATGTGCAGGAATTGCCCTGGGGAAGGCACAATTTCCCAGTAGCTGGCAGGTATTGGAGGAAGTGATTGAGGGGATATTAAGGGTTAGGATACCGTTTAGTAATGAAGGTCCCCTGTGCCCTGCAAGGAGATTTGTGAGGTTCACCCCATCCCTCTGCATCCACCCCAGTGAAATCAATTTTCAGACTCTATGTGGTCAATTAGCCTTATTAATTACAAACATTTTACTACTTTTTGAGTTTAGCCAGGCACATGATCACATCCATTTTATCTGTTACTATTTTGTTAAGCCATTGCTTTTTATCTAGGTTATAAGAATAAGACAGTGAAAACTACCCTTCTATAATACAACCAAGTGCAGCAGTCCCCGTTTATCCACAATTTTGTTTTCCGCAGTTTCACTTACCTGTGGTCAATGGGGGTCTGAAAATAGGACATCACTACCTGTGTGCTTTGGGGCCATTATTAAGTCAAAGAAAGGTTAATTGAACACAAGCACGGCAACAACAGGACAGTCAATCTGATAACAGAGATGGCTACTAAGTGAGTCATGGGCAGACAGTGCAGACAGCCGGGATCTGCTTCTCCAAGAAATGATTCATGTCCCACGTGCGACGGAGCAAGATGGCCCAAGATTTCATCACACTACTCAGAATGTGGCACAATTTAGAATTTATGAATTGTTTATTTCTGAAATTGCTCATTTACGTCACAATGCCTATAGCTATGCATCCCTTTATCTCATGACATAGACATTTTATATTTCACATCATCACAAAGAAAAGGGTGAGTACAGTACAGCAAGATATTTTGAGAAAGAGAGAGAGACCACATCCATATACCTTTTATTACGTCATATTATTGTCATTGTTCTATTTTACTATTATTGCTGTTAATTTCTTATTGTGCCTAATTTATAAATCACACTTTATTATAGGCATGCATGTATAGGAAAAAATATAGTGTATATAGGATAGTGTATATATGTAGATAGTGTGTAACTATCTATAGTTACAGGCATCCACTGAGAGTCTTGGAATTTATATGTATCTCTATATTATAGATATATAGATATATATAAATATACATATATAGATATATGTATAACTTTATATTAAACAAATAATATAATATATAACATTACGTATTTATTGTTATGTATGTAATATATAATGTTCTATTATGTATTATATACATTATACATAATGTATATAATATAATATATATAACTCATATCACCACAAAATGAAGTGTGTTTAAGGTTTTCCAGCCTATGATAATAGTACTTGTCCCAATTAAAAATAAGATTTAATATTTTAGCTGGCATAAAAGTAGACTTGAAGACAGAGGCAAATTTAAGACTCAGAAAACAATGCAGAATACAGAGCACTGAGGAGATGGAACTCGATGAAAAAAGCTTCAGGTGTGATCATCCAGATTCTAATTTGGATACTAAAATATCGGGTAGATTTCACCCGTGACTGAAAGTCACAGAAATGCTCCGATGACATGAAATTTTTCACATGCGCTACAAATGTGGCTAACCAAAGTATTATGATTCTATGTGAGAATAAAAAAATTAAATGTATAGACAACTAGAATTATTTTTCGATTATAGGACAAAGAGTCAACTGTTCTTGTAGATACTAAATTCACAGGGAAACTTAAGCTTATTTTGTTTCTCAAGGTGAACAACTTAGAAATCTTCTAAGCTGCAACTCTCTCTCTCTAATATATATATATATATATGAGATATATATGTGTGAATATATATAAACCAATAAGCATTGACACACTGTCAAATGTACTTTTGTGACTTTTCTCTTAAAATACTCAAACAACCATATCTTTCTCTATTTCCTGCACAGGTGATTTTGCAAACTTGGTTAAATGACACTTCTCAAAAATAAAATCTATTTGGAGAGAAAACTTTATGAAAAGGCAAATGTAGCAGCTAGTTCATTGCATCAGATCTACTGCAGTTCAAATGAAAATGTGAAGAAATTCCTCGTGAAGAATCATGTCAAAAGTTTACATTTGAACTAGTTTCCAAGAGATCATATGCTTTAACTCCAAGTTAAATGATGTATGGGCCATATCTCATCTTTTTCCTCCTCCCCTACTTCAACCTTTTCCCCAGTAATACCACATCTCCCATACTCACTCCTTCACGCAAACACATAACACACACATACCACCACTTCACATTCCTTCTCTCACACACATCACTCCACACACACACATACACCAGCACACACACATTCCATTCATTCACAATCATATATACACAAATAGACAAACACTACTCCACACTCACATACACATACACAGACACACACACACACCATGCTTTCAGATGTGCAAACACAAACACACACCTTTTGGACCTACTATTTATTATATTATGCATCCCTGTAGGATTATGGCTTGGCTATCTCAAGTGTTTAGAGTTTTATTTTATTTTTATTTTTATTTTTTATTTATTTAGAGACAGAGTCTCACTCTGTCACCTAGGCTGAAGTACAGTTGTGTGATCATTGCTCACTGCAGCTTGAAACTCCTGGGCTCAAGCAATCCTCTTGACTCAGCCTACCAAGTAGCTGGGACTACAACACCCAGCTAACAGTGTTTGGAATTGAAAGTGTGCAGAGCAGAGAATCATGAGACAAAAAGAGAAAAGTTAAAGAATAAAATTATTGACAATAGGTGCCCATCAAATTCTCATTCCTTCCTCCATGCTTGACAATTTCACATAGGCCTGCAAAGATTGGTTCTTACTTAAGAGTATATCAGAGAGATTCATGTCAAAGGCCCCCTTACCCCAACCTTGAGATTAAAGAAAATGCTATCTGCTGATGAAAGAAGACACATGAAGTATGGATCATGTAGAAACCAGTTTAATTTCAGCCTCTTCACAAAATAGCAGATTGGAATTTTCCTAGGAAGAGTTTGTATTTGTTTTGTTTTGTTACATTTTGTTTTCTAATTATAGACTTAAAAAACAAAACTTAGAGACTAAAGGAGATAGACGGCTAGCATGAATGTAAACTAACAACTACTTTTTATATAGAGCAAATGGACAACATATATCAGAAGCCTTTATAATATAAAGCCCACTGATTTAGTAATTCAGATATGTAAAATGCCGACCAAGGAAATTATCCTAAGTAAAGAAATAAAGTTTTGTGTCTGATGCCCTCATAGTGATCAATATTATATTGTTTACAGTGGCAAAAACTTGGATATAAGAAAATATCAACAACAGGGAAATGATTAGTAAATAATGAAGCATCCTCATAGTGGAACGATAAATAGCCATTAAACTCTGTCAGATTTTTTCTAGTAACAAAGAAAATGCATATAATAAAATTCAAAGTGTATGGCCAAATTTAAAATACTGTATACAGACTGATCTCAATGATGAGACAAAGGCAAAATAAATAAATAATAAAAGATTGAAACCAAAATACCAGTGGAAGTCATCTGTAGGCAATATGATTGTGGATGTTTTCTTTTATACTTTTAAGTACTTCCCAAATTTTACACAATAAAAATGAATTAAATAAACTGTATTCTAGAAACACAATGGGATTGATTAGCTCTATTTATTCAGCTACATTGGTTTCCATTTTCCCAGTGGTTTTATTATCTAAATTACATTATGAATAGTGTGAAACGCTTAGAGACAACACGCGTGCTTTTGATATGCTGAAAACATATTTCTTAGAAAAGCCGAGATGTTAGGAGAAAGTACATCAAATGCAACTTCAAACTTGTAAAATCTAGCTTAATACCAGTTTCTCATAGCTGGCATCTAGTTCCTAGAAAATGTGGGATGTTTCTATTACTGTTTGCAAGTTTTGAATGTTCTGAAATATTACCAAAGTTATACCAAAAATTCTAACAGTAGAAACAAACTATTACATTTACTTTTGTATCAAATGCAAAGTATGCATATGGAATGGATTAATCATTAATCACTTCTTCATTTACAAATCACTAGAGCTAATAAAATTATTTATAAATCACTAAGGCTAATAAAATTATTTTCTTTTTAGGATGAGGGAGACAAATATTAATTAAGGGCTTACTGTTCCAGAATGTGTTAGAGGTGCTTTAAATTCAGAGGTTATAACCCAGAGGTAAAGAGCTCATCCCCTGTCAATTACACAAAGCTGGGTTTAGTTCTCAGCTCAAGTACACAGTGTGACCCTGGGCAAATAATGTATCAGGTGCCGAATTCCTTATTTACAAAACTGGTATGGCAATGGCAGTGATTTCATTTGAGCCAAAGACAGAAGAAGCCATTTGTGCAAAGCCTCCCCAGAAACACAGCCTAGGGCCCATTCCTGTGAGTCATCCAGGGAGGCTAGAGGTTAGGGTACAGGTGGAAACAGAAGAGGCAGCAGGTGACGTTAGGCAGGAGGGCACCGGATTGAATGCCACTAGGTTTCGATTTTATCCTGAGGGCACTAGGGCACCATTGACTGGATGAAGTGAGAGGGATATGCTTTGTAAGCATTTCTGGAATTATAGTGCGGGGTGCTGAAAACTACTCTGCTTAAATGGCCAAGAACACATGTATCTTTGTTGTAGGTCACAATTGTATAGCATGACATGTTATAAGAGGTACAGAAAGTCTTTAGGGCAGCCTTTTTGATCTCCTGGGTATTGGGGAAATAAGGAAGGGTCCTATCCCTGGCTTCATGTTTTCCTGTGGATGGAGGGCCCGTGGCAAAGCTATCTAGTCCTTTCCTCCACTCCCTCCTCCCCAAGGGTGGAGCTGACTTACCTGATGAATGATGAGCCTGGCAGGGGGAACCAAGCCTACCTGGCTCAGCTGCTTCCTGATCAACCACTCCTGAAAAGGACTTACATTCTCTTGACCTTGCAGTTGACTTAGCAGAGAAGGCCTCGTCCTGACCAGGAAATCCCTGGTTTCCAGTGCTGTCTGTCACAGAGTGGTGAGTTGAATTCAGAGAAGAACCTCTTCGCTACCAGACCTAAGGCAACCTTCTCCCACCCAACCTGAATAAAGGTAATATTTTGATCTCCAGCTATGCAATTCCTGTCTTTCTAAGTTAGCTCAGAATTAGCCCTCCACAAAGCCCCACAATGGTTCTAAGAGCAAACCCTGTATCAAGAACTTCGGTTTTGAAGGTGCTTAGCACGGAATGAATATTTTCCACCAGTAGAGTAGAGCAGCTTTTTTGTTTGTTTGTTTTGTTTTAAGACGGAGTCTCCCTCTGCCACCCAGGCTAGAGTGCAATGGCACGATCTCGGTTCACTTCAAACTCCACCTGTCAGATTCAAGCGATTCTCCTGCCTCAGCCTCCTGAGTAGCTGGGATTACAGGCACCCACCATCATGCCTGGCTAATTTTTGCATTTTTATAGAGACAGGGTTTCACCATGTTGGCCAGGCTGGTCTTGAACTCCTGACCTCAGGTGTTCTGCCCGCCTTGGTCTCCTGAAATACTGAGATTACAGGCATGAGCCACCAAGCCTGGCTGAGAACAGCTTTATAATACTTGTTAGAGAGAACATAACAGCTGCCTTATATGCTAGACATATTACAGTATGGTCATATAATTCTCTTTCAAGAGATGAGGTAGGATTTATTTTCTATCTAAATCCATGTAACGATGAGCTGTGAGAGCAGACGGTCCTTCTGAATATATGAAAATACCACTGAGCAGAACTGTCTTGTTCTTGCATGCTATTAAAATGCTGTCAATTTGCAACAACAGGATGGCTAAAACACCCCTGATGTCATCAGACATTATGCTAGCATCAGCCAAGGAATCGCGGTCAATTTTGTTCATAATGACCATAGTGTGTTCACTGCTCTAGAAAGATATGTTAGGGCTGATGGAATTTTCACTAATATAATTATGATGTTTGCTATGCATTAATTCCCAGTGGATGAACAAAAGATCAAGTTGTTTTGCCAAATGCGTAATCGACAATGAAAAAGTAACCACTGTTTTGCAACTGGTACCAAAGTTGATTCAGCAAAGCATGACCTTAGTTCTTAAGTGTTTTTTTTATCTTATTATACGGCATTTCACCCGTGGAGAAACACTATGGACATTTTACAAAGTTAGGCTGCAATGAGCATAATAAGGAATTTGGGGTGTCATTTAGAGAATTGGGAACCACTCAAGGGAGTTCGTTCTGTAGAATTAGTTTAGTAGCATTGTAGGAATAAATGGACTGAACAAATCACTTCTAAAACAGGATACTTATACCAAATTTCCAAACTATTTTAAGTTGTCACATTGAATTTCTATGCTAAACAGCAAACAACCAAACCTACCAGTAAGATTTCAGTGACTGAGGAGTGTGCGTTTTCCAATTCTGTAACCTGACACTGGAGATTCCTTCTCTTTCCACATTAACAGGTTTTATATTTCTAAGTGACGTGATGAAGCCCATTAAATTGTCATTATGCTCCTGGCTTCAATCCACCAAATTTGGGGAGAACAAATTATATTCTTTATTTTATCAGTCTTGCTTAGGGATTACTTACAAAGTCAATTGGTCCTCCATCTAGAATAGCAAGAATACGCATACACATAAAAAAGGCACATTTTTAAAGAAACGAGCAGAAAAGTTACCTTTTTTCCAAACCTTCATCAGTTCTTTAATTTTGCCATTACAAGGCTATGACATTTCACAATAAAAACAGTCTTAAACAGTGGCAAAGAATTCGGACACCTACAATAGCATAACACCGTGTTTCAGTAATTTAGCAAGGGCATGATTAATTCAATAGTGGCACTACCAAAAAAAGAGCAACAATTACTCTTTTACTGCAAATACAAATGATTGTCTATCATCCTTATTAATTATTGTTATTACATTATAATAAGAATATTTGATGGTTTCTGGATGGTTAGGCGGTGAGCTGTGTTCTTTCCCTCATTCAAATACAGCTGCTTTCTTTCTTCCACAGAGCTTGTCTCTACACAATGTTTTTGCTATACCTCTTTTGCAATGAATGAATTTGCTTAAAGGTAGAAAATATTTCTTTACTACACATAAGGTCTGCAGATTTTGGACAGAGTCATGTTGCACTCGTTATATTTCTTCAAAGTTACGACCACTCTTACTTATAATTGTGTATATTGTGTTCCCTCACCCTAAAACACTCTTCCCTCTCTCCTCTATCTAGTCTCTTTCTGTCTAGATAACTCCTATCTCACCTGCAAGCATTAGCTCAGATACCACCTTCCTTCCTTCTACTCACTGTGTTAATTTGCTCTCATAGGCAGTCTCACAGCATCACTTGTGAAACTTACACAGCAATTGTTGAGTCGTTACCCTCTTCGGGAGGAGAAAGCCATTATCATAGGTATCTTAGCATATGTATCGGGTCCTCTCAGCTTCACCTGTGTTCAGAATCTTTGGCTACATATCTCAGCTAACACTGGAGAGACCCATTTGTGGGAGGACTCTTCCGGGCATTGCAGAGGCACAGGCTCACTTCATACCTATCCTTCACCAAGTCTTCATTACTGAGGCTGATACATATCCAAAAATGCAGGAGAATTAGCACTCTGTGTGGCCAACTTTTGTCCAGTGGAAGACCTGAGCCAATGGATAAAGTCTTCTTTCCTCCTCTAGATGTGACTATTCTGAGGCACAGCCATTTAAGTGATTTCTTGGAAAGCAGTTATGCAAGATCAGTTATAATAGCTAGCTCCACAAGTAACCCTAATATGGGTTCTTCTTCTTTTCTCCTCTGTTCTCTTTTTCTCTCACTTTTGCTTTCCTAGGATTGTACTTCATAACAAAGGGAGCACATTAAGTCATTGTCTGAGGCTCTGTCTGCTGGGGAACCCAGGTTATGACAGGCAGTAACTAGGATATAGTAGTTGTTTAATAAAGGGTTGTTAACTAAATTAATAAATACTTCTAGAATCAAAACTACTTTCTTAAATATTTATTGATAGTTCAAAATCTCATACTTTCCTTAAGAAACCCAAAGGGTTTGAGGTGCAATTTGTCATAACACTTGGATATCAAACATATGATAGAGAGTAGGTTACTGGCAAGAAAAGACACTGGGAGACACAAGTGTGGTTTTAGTCACTTGCTTACCCACTAACACCATGAACTTGCTCATGTCAGCTAAATATTTTGAGATATGGTATCCATATCTCAAATGAGATATGATATAGGTTTCTCACCTATAAAGTGAGAAACCAGATGAAATTTGCCTTTCTCAGCCTAAACTATACTGTGTCCTTACAAACTAGATCCATTACCCAAATTCCAAGTCTGGGGTAGAATGTGAGAAAAACAGAATACAAATGACTGAGATGTAAATTTCTAAGGGGACTAGTCAGAGGGGAGAATAGTCACAGAGAAGTACAGTTTGCCTCACTAATCTGTGGATCTTTGCCTGGAAATATCAGACAGGATAATGACCCCCATTCCTTTCAGATTCAAAATTCCACAAATTGTTGGAATACTGGCAGGCAGCAAAGATGTTGTGGGTTCAGTTCCAGACCACCGCCATAAAGTGAATATTGCAATAAAGCAAATCACACAAATTCTTTGGTGCATATAAATGTTTTGCACATAAAAGTTATGTTTATACTGTACTGTAATCTAGTAAATGTACAGTAGCATTATGCTTAGAAAACAATGTGCACACCTGAATTAAAAATCCTTTGTTGCTAAAAAATGCTAACAATTATCTAAGCCTTCAGCAAGTCATAATCTTTTTGCTAGTAGAGAGTCTTTCTTTCACGTTGATGGCTGCTGACTGATCAGGGTGTAGTGGCTGAAGGTTGGGTGGTTGTGGCAATTTCTTAAAATAAGACAACAATAAAGTTTGCTACATTGATTGACTCTGCCTTTCATAAAAGATGATTCTGTAGCATGTGACATTGTTTCACAGCATTTTACCCAAAGTAGAATTTCTTTCAAAATTAAGAGTCAATCCTCTCAAATCCTGCCACTGCTTTCTCAACTACATTTGTGTAATATTCTATATCTTCTGTTTTTATTTCAAAAATGTTCATAGCATCTTCACCATGAGCAAACCCATCTCAAGAGACCACATTTTTTGCTCATTCATAGGAAGCAGCATCTTATCCCTTTATGTTTTATTATGAGATTGCAGCAATTCAATCGCATCTTCATGCTCCACTTCTAATTTTAGTGCTCTTCCTATTACCACCACATCTGCAGTTACTTTTCCCACTGACGTCTTGAACTCATCAACATCATCTGTGAGGGTTGGAATCAACTTTTTGCAAACTTCTGTTAATGTTGATATTTTGACCTCTCCCCATGAATCAGTAATGTTTTTGATGGCATCTAGAATTGGTAATCCATTTCAGAAGATTTTCAATGTACTTTGCCCAGATCCATCAGAGAAATCACAATCTATGACAGCAACAGCCTCACAAAACGTAATTCTTAAATAAGAAGACTTGAAAGTCAGAATTACTCCATGATCCACAAGCTGCAGAATGGACATTGTGTTCGCAGGCCTGAAAACATCAATTTCCTTGAACATCTCCATCAGAGCTCTTGGGTAACAAGACATATTGTCAGTGAGCAGTAACATTTTTAAAGGAATATTTTCTTTCGAACAGTAGGTTTCAACAGCGGGCTTAAAATACTCACTAAACCGTGTTGTAATCAGATGTGCTGTCATCCAGAGTTTGTTGTTTCATTTATAAGAGCACTATAAGCAGAGTAGATTTAGCATAATTCTTTAGGGCCCTAGGATTTGGGGAATGGTAAATAAGCATTGGCTTCAACTTAAAGTCATCAGCAGCACTAGACCCTAACAAGAGAGTCAGCCTGTCTTTCGAAGCTTTAAATCCAGGCATTGGCATCTCCTCTCTAACTATGTAAGTCCTAGAAGGCATCTTCTTCCAATAAAAGGCTGTTTTATTTACATTGAAAATCTGTTGTTTGGTGTTTAGCCACCTTCATCAATGATCTTATCACTTCATTGATCAATGATCAATGAAGAGTTTAACCACCTTCATCAATGATCATAGTTAGATCTTCTAAATAACTTGTTGCAACTCCTGTATCAGCACTTGCTGCTTCACCTTGCGCTTTTACGGTATGAAGACAGTACCTTTCCTTAAACCTCATGGACCAATCTCTGCTAGCCTCAAACTTTTCTTTTGCAGTTTCCTTACGTCTCTCAGACTTCATAGAATTAAAGAGAGTTAGGGTTTTGCTCTGGATTAGGCTTTGGCTAAGGAGGATGTTATGGCAGGTTTGATCTTCTATCCAGACCATTCAAACTTTCACCATATCAGCAATAAAGATGTTTCACTTTCTTATCATTCATGTGTTCACTGGAGTAGCACTTTTCATTTCCTACACAGACTTTTCCTTTGTATTCACAACTTGGCTGTTTGGTGCAAGCAGCCTAGGTTTCGCCCTATCTTGACTTTTGACATGCCTTCTTCACTAAGCTTAATCATTTCTATCTTTTAGTTGAAAGTGATAGATGTGGGAATCTTCGTTTATTTGAACACTTAGAAGCCATTGTAGAGTTATTAGTTGGCCTAATTTCAGTATTGGTGTATCTCAAGGAATAGGCAGGCCTAAGGAGAAGGAGAAAGATGGGAGAACAACCAGCTGATGGATCAGCCAGAACACACAAAACATTTATCAGTTAAGTTCATCTTCTTACATGGGAGCAGTTCTTGGTGCCCCCAAGTAATTACAATAGTGCCATTAAAAGTCACTGATCACAAATCACGACAATAGACATAATAATAAAAATGGTTTGAAATACTGTGAGAATTCACAAAATGTGACATAGAGCCACAAAAAATATATGGTTTTGGGAAGATGGCACCAACAGACATGCTCAATGCAGAGTTGCCACAAACTTTCAATTTGTAAAAACTGCACTGCCTGTGAAGCACAATAAAGCAAAGCAAAGTTAAGTGAGGCTTGCCTGTACTTCAAAAAATATCCTATCTAATTGGAAAGAGTGAATTTACATAAGTAAAATAATTTTAAATTGTTATATTAATAAGTGCAGAAAGAAAATATTCAAAAGTGAAGAAAGAGAATGCAAGCCAAAGAACACTAATAAGTCACAAAGCCTTTTTCAAATGTTTAGCATATTACAAACACACACACACACACACACACACACACACACACACACACACACACAGAGGCATTCTTATAAGAGTAGGCATTCTTACCAAGTCTTTGTAAATGATAAATCAGCTCTTGTTTACAGTTCAAATCGATATTGGGCCAATGCCTCAATAAAGGATGAAGGATGTGCTTAGGCTGTTCTACTAAATCTCCATTTTAGATCATTGTAACTTCTTATTCTCTTTTACACCCACTTTAAGTGATCATAGATTGATTAAATACCCTAGACAAAAATTAGAGTCAAGTTATTTGAAGGCAAAAGGAAGACTCATATATTAGTATTAGTAGAGAAAGAATTCATGTCAGATGGCAGCTGAGCATAGGCTAAAGCCTCCCCACTCCTACTTCAAACAATAGAAAGGCTAAATAAAATATTTTAACATATAACATTAAAAACCATGACAGAGCTGAACCCTAAGGATGGGAAATCTTCAGAGGCTAGAAACAGAAAGAAAAACCTGTTGGTGGGGAGTACATAAACCAGCAAAGCCTACAGTGAGGAAATGGGGTATTTTTAGTCTGGCTATAGGACATGAGGCTGGAGTTCCAATATCCAGGCAGGGAAAACTAGATTTGAGGTTTTAGGCTTCAAGCATATAAGAAGTCTAAAATTGGGTTTTCTGCAGGCAGTTAGAGCTGGTCCTACAACACAGGTTCATAATCTGTGATGAAGAACTTCAATATTCCTACCTTCCAGTTAGAGGTTTAGCCCAGATGTATGCCATACATACATGACTATAGTAGAAAAAGCTCACTAAAATGAGATTGGGACATTTCATCTGCACTGCAGGAGGATTGATATTTTGAATTTAAAGACTGTAATTTAAAACTAGATTAGAGATGATATGTTTTGGGATAGGGCAGAGATATTCTCAAAGCTGCATTATAGAGAGCACCTGCAATTCTACATAAGATAACTAACGGATGATAAGCTCACCTATCAAGAATTATAAAATTTGAGGAGATGCAATGCCTTTTTTTTTTTTTTTTTGAGACGGAGTCTCGCTCTGTGGCCCAGGCGGGAGTGCAGTGGCGCAATCTCGGCTCACTGCAAGCTCCGCCTCCTGGGTTCACGCCATTCTCCTGCCTCAGCCTCCCGAGTAGCTGGGACTACAGGCACCAGCCATCACGCCGATGCAATGCCTTTTAAAATAATATGCATACATCCCAAATGGGTGAACTCACTCAGAGTAACTCAAGAAAGGGAAACAGCAATCATAAAGGTTTTACTCAAGTTAAAAAATGAAAGATGAAACACATCTTTTTTTTTTTTACTTGTGTCAAAGATACAATAGAAGGGCTAATACCCACAAAACAAGAATAAGGTATTATAAAACAAAATCTGATATATTAAAAAATTAAGTAAAATTCTGAAAAGAAAATCTACTCATTAAAATAAAAAATACTCAAAAGATGGTTGGAACAGTAGATTAGACACCATAGAAAATAAAATTAGAGAACTGGAAGACAGAAAAAGTTACAGAGACATAAAGTGGTAGAAATTATGGATAAAGGACTAAGAGCTTTGGAGGATAGAAACAGCAGCTCTAATATACATGTGAGGGAAGTCCCACAAGTAGAAACTAAAGAGACTTGTGGAAAGTCAATATTCTAAGAGACAAAGGATGAGAAATTTTCAGAAAAAAGAAATGAGTAGTCAAAAGTTATATCAAGTACTAATTAGGATGCATGTAATTAAGTCAGCACCTAGGTATTGCTATCACAACACCTCAAGGATAAAGAAAAAGAAAGATTGCCTATAAAAGCATGACAATTAGATCAACCACAGACTTTAGACACATCCTTGGGTGTTACTGTGGGTTCAAGTTATTAAGCATCAGATTGAAAAACATAGGAATACAGCTTTATGCAAATTCCTACCTTAGGATTAGAAACCCTGTGGCCTAGTTACCATTCACTCCTTAATTGGGATCAGAAATTCCCAGTGAGAGTTTGGGGGTCATGAATCCTGTAGCTTGATAGTTTCCTAGACTATCCCCTTGATGAGCCTCCTGCTCAGTTCACACCCTTATGTCCCCTGATCCTTTTTGACTGCATCTTGCTGGTCTAGTGTCTTCTTCCATCTACATCTTCAAATGGCTCTAGGCTCTTCACTGGGCTTTTTCTCAGGCCTGGGCCACAGATGAATGAAGTGAATCTTTGGTATTTCAGAGCAACTACTGGTTTTAAAATCAATTTCAAAGAGTGTGCATCCCCTTCCCATCATCACTGACAAAAAAAAATGGTACTCAACACTACATGAACAAGAGAGTTTTTTATTCACAGATTGGGCTTCATGGTGCATGCAGAGTTCAGAGTTCGGTGTCTCAGATACTCATTATAGAAAGGACTAAACACACACATACACAGAGAGAGAGAAAAAAAAATACATGTAGTTAAAATTCATTCTAAAGAAAAAAAAATTCATTCTAAAGAACCTCGGTATAAGAATTTAAGAATGAATGTTAATTATGGATTTTTCTGTTGAATGTAGCAATAGATTTCATCAGCCAGCGAAGGCAATCTATGGGTTATATCTAAACACAGTTGACCCTTGAACAACAAAAGGTTAGGGTTGCCAACATCCTGTGGAGTTGAAAATCCTCATATAACTTTTGACTCCCCAAAGACTTAACTACTAATAACATAAATGGTCCATGAACACCTATTTTCTATGTTATATGTATTATGTACTGTATTCTTACAATAAAGTAAGCTAGAGAAAAAATGTTATTAAGAAAATCATGAGGAAGAGAAAATATATTTACTATTTAGTTAGTGGAAGTGGATCATCATAAAGGTCTTCATAATTTTTATCTTCAGGTTTAGTAAGCTGAGAAAAAGGAGGAAGAGGAAAAGTTGGTTTTCCTATCTCAGGCATGGCAGAGTTGGACAAAAATTTGTATATAAGTGAACCCTCACAAGTCCAACCTGTGTTGTTTAAGTAGCAACTCTATGTACAATATCTAAGTATCTCTATTTGTGTAACTAATGGATAATTTTGCAATTTTTTTTATAATTATTATCTAATATCTCCTAAATGGAATCAGAAGGTACAGTTTCCTACATATTTTGTTACAGCATGGATGTCATCTCAATTTCAGTATTATTGAAAAATTCACCCTGGGTAAGAAATGGTTCACATTTTTCCTTTTTACCTACACTAGAAATCTAAAGCTTTAAAAGAAAAGAAGCTTTAAATAAAAGGAGCTGTTGGTTAACATTATACAATGACAGTCATTACAATTTCAAAAAATATCAAACTATTACAATTTTCCAACTAAATGAATGAGGATGCTTTGGGTTAAGTAAGATATTATTGTCAGGAATTTAAAAGTTCTTACATATAATAAAAATCTGTGAAGACTGCAGAACCATACGCATATTGTTGCTCCAGAAAAGTCAGGTAAAAAGTAATCAGATATTTTGGACAGCAGTGATCAAATAGCTGCCGTGAGTCTTACAACCTCCAGACAAGGACTCTGTGACCCACCTCCAAGTCATAGGCTTCTTGTTTCCCAAGCAGCATGTGTGTAAGGAAAGTAGGAAAATCAGACTCCTCAAAGATGTAGTAGACTGTTAGCTTGTTTGTTTAAACCTGCTTTCTGGGATAAGCTGTATCTTACTTTGCATTTGGGGCTGAAGGTTAGACAAGGGTCAAGTAGGAGATTTCAACACATCTGATGAAAGTTTGTTCTTCATGAGAAGAGGAGAACGTTTCACCAGTTAGGCCTAATGCCCTCATCTTAACCCCTTCGTATTATTCGCCTGTGTAAGGAGGCTCAGCGGCATAGGGCAATTTTAAAACTCAATGCACAAATCCATAACATTCATTATTATCTAACTTCAGAAACTACTCTCTAGCCTGAAAGCTCACTGTTCAAATATGACCTCGCATTAGCACCGGCCAGTTCATCCTGGACTGTGTTTGTGGATTAGGGACAAAGTGAAGACATTTTTTTTTTCCTTTCAAACAGAAATGATCACAACTAAATATCTGTGAAAGCCAAACAAAGGAATATTCTTAGATATTTAAATGCAACATGTACTTCCTATTCTTAAAAAACGAGTCACAATGATCTCAAATATTTTTCTAAGATGATTGTTCATTCTTTAAACACATTACTGTTTGTTTGTGAGGGTAAATTCTAGTCTTAAAGGCTTATAAATCCCTCTGATTGGTACTAAAAGTTCCCCCTGTCTCAGTGACATTGTTTTCACAGTTATATTTTAGCAGAGAGAGAGAAAAAAAGTATAAATAGGAGGAAAAGTTGTAGAGAGACAGGATAGCTGATCCATGGCTCACATTCTCAGTGTTTGCTTTGTAAACTGCTGCCACACAAAACTATGGCCATGTCTCGCTTATGACAGGGATACATTCTCAGAAATGCATCATTAGGTAATTTTTTTTTTTTGGCTCACTGCAACCTCCGCCTCCTGGGTTCAAGGGATTCTCCTGCCTCAACCTCCCTAGTAGCTGGGATTACAGGTATGTGCCACCATGCCAGCTAATTTCTGTATTTTTAGAAGAGACGGGGTTTCACCATGTTGGCCAGACTGGTCTCAAACTCCTGACCTCAAGTGATCTGCCCTCTTCAGCTTCCCAAAGTGCTGGGATTACAGGCATGAGCCACCGTGCCCGACCTCATCAGGTAATTTCACCCCGCGGTAACTTCACAGAGTGTGCTTACACAAACCTAGATGGTATAGCATACTATACACCTAGGCTATATGGTATAGGCTATAAACCTGTACAGCATATTGCTGTACTGAATGCTGTAGGCAACTGTAACACAATGGTATTTGTGTATCTAACCATAACCTAACATAGAAAAGGTAATGTGCTGTTTATATTGTTAAGATGTTACAAAAGCTACAACATCACTAGGCGATAGGAATTTTTCAGCTCCCGTATAAACTTAGGGGACTTATGTGACATAAGAACTGTACTTGCTATGCCCCAAGGGGATTAAGAGATGGGGAATAGGGAAGGGAGATGTTCTCATATTGGCATCCCCAAGTCTTTGCAATGACTTGCACTCCTGGCTCCAGGTCTTGGTTAGTAGACATTTGCTACAAGTCTACTGCTGAGTTTTAACATTGCACTTATCACTCTGTATTTCATCTTCTGATTCCTTGTCTATCTTTCTCGATAGACTATGAACAACTTGAGTACAGAGTCTCTGCCTCATTCGCTTCTCTATCTCTAGTGCTTGACACAGTTCTGAGAACAGAGCACATGCTCAATATTTAACCAGAGAATCAATGAACACTGAAGTCACACCTACTTGTAAAAAGATGCACCCACTTCCCTTCACCCTCTTACATACACTTAGATATAAATAATATTTGGGGTTCATCCAACTGAATTCCACGTACTTAATTAGCTGCATTTTCTTTTGCACGTAACTATTCCATCCTCCCACTGTGTCCTGGGTGAGTGCCCCCCAGCTCTGCTTTCCAAACTTTCCTGTTACTTCTCTGTTCCTGAGTTATGCAAAGCATCTTAAACACCTGGAAATAAAATATTTATGTGCTTCTTTCCATCCTTCACACCATAACCACAAATGAAAGAGGAAACTATTTTTAAATAATGCAATAATATCATAAAGTCAAATAGCATTCTGTGGGGAAAAAAACCAGATAGTAAATAAAAGTCAAGCTAGCCATTGAAGTTGTCCAAACTCCAATACTGAAAGAAAATAAGACAAATGTTTGAATTACATGATAAATCAAATTTAATGCAACAATATCATAATTTCATAATTAGTATTTTCTTTTGCATTACTTTCTGGTTAAATCCCAAAGCCAAACACATTTTAAAATACTTCTCCAACATACCATGGTTTAGAGGCCTGAGCTAGCAAACAACTCATAATGTTCTTTACTTCCTGTATCCTGTGTTTTATTCTAAAGTGGAAATAGCCAGGTGTAAAACTGCACATTCCATTTTTCTCATGCAGTGTGATTTTATTAGATAACTGTTTGGAATTAACCATATAATTAAAATTATAGCCATGACCTCGTCCTATTAAAGAATGGTTACAGAAAAATGACCCAAATGTAACATGAAACATGGTGGATATGCTCCTGTGGTTTTTACCTTAGGATCCTACCACCTTCTTAGCTTATTTTATATGTAAATAAGATCCTCCTTGCTCATGATGCTTCTCTGTCTCTTGTCAGTTATTTGCCATCTTTTGAAACAGGATTAACTGTTTCAATGACATGAAGCATATGTCTTTAATTCCCCAGCCTAACTTCCCTTGAACTTGATTTTACTTTTAAATTTTACATTTTCTTTTCTCAGTGATTCACCCTCTATTCCTAAATATCACAATCAGAACAGAAGACAACTCATTTACCCTTGATATTTTAAATAACCTAGACTTCTCACTCTCATTGTAGATCACAAACATCTTTTCCTGGAGCCTCACTCCTGCCATGCCAGATCTCATTTTTGCTCTGTCTAGCCACCCTGAAACGTCTTTCCTGCTACTCTCTATCCACTCAAAACTTACTATTTCTTAAAACTGGCTCCTGTCCTCTTTTGCTTCTTGAAGACTTTTCCTTACAAAAGCAATCTCAGAGACATATATCTTTCTCGATTAAAATGGCAATTTTCCACCAGCTTCCCATTTAACAATCAGGAACATACTGTTTTCCGTTGCTCATTTATTATTTTACAGTTATTAGTAGTGGCTCTTCCATGAGATTATAACAGGGGTTGCAAACTCTTTCTGTAATGGGCCAGACAGTAAATATTTTAGGTGTTTCCTGCCTTACAACGTCTGTCACAACTACTGAACTCTGCCATTTTCGTGTGGCAGCAGCCATACCCCATATGTAAATGAATGGAATGACTGTGTTCCAACACAACTTCATGTATGAACTCTGAAATTTAAATTGTATGCAATTTTCACGTCACATGAAATAACATTCTTTTGAAAATTTTCCCAACTGTTTATAAGTGTGAGAACCTTTCCTAGTTCACAAATCACACAAAAAGAGATGGCAGACTGGGTTTGGTCTCTGAGCCATAGTTTACTGACCACTGGACTATAAACTTCTTGAAGGCAGAAACTGATGTTGCAGTGTTCGAGAGTCCAACAGTTGTTCATCATTTACCTAGCCTAAGGCAAGGGACCAATGATTCTAGCCATCCAATCCGGGAATGTTTGGAGGGCCTGAAAAACGTTTTAGAAAACAGATATAAGAGGTTGAAACCTCAAGGAAGCAGGAACAAGAAGAGCCTCAACTTCTCTCTCCACTTCCTAAGTTCCCAGGATGTCTGTGTTCAAACACAGTATTTCTTTGAACTAAGCAGAAATCTTTGAAAGGGCAGAAGGCAGGCTCAAAGCCGCAGATGCCATTTTGAATACAAGCTTCATATGGTCTCCGTGGGAGTCTGTAAAACCCAGCACTCTCCTCTGTGGGAGTTCTTCACTTTTAGCGTGATGGCTCTGTATTTAATTACACTGTATATTTTCTTCTTTAGTGCTGTGATACAGAAAGACAGAGACACAGAGGGTGAAGGGGAGAGAGAGAGAGAGCTGTACTCCAGCCCTGCAGATTAGAAATGTCCTCAACATCCAACCCATGAAGCACACGAAGATACTCCCCCTTGACATTATTTATCTAGAATGCTCTCTTTGAGTTATAGTACCAAAGGGGGGAGATACTCATTTAATGAAGAGAGAGTTTAGTCCAGTTTAAAAGCCATAATTTTGTATGCATGTCAGAAAAACACATAATCTGAACAATAAATTCACCCAGCCAGACTGAGGGCCCACTTGCCACTGGAATCTGTTTTTCTTTTTAACATAATGAGGCGACATCCCTTTCCTTGGAGAGGAGAGTTCAATAGTTTAATTTTTGTTAACTGAGATCCCTTGTATGAAGGTAAATTACATTGCCTTTTCTATTACTAGCTCTGTTAATTGTCAAGCAATCAGAGTTTATGCACTCATCCAAGACAGCGGAGAATTTCCCATAATGTTACAAAATAAAACCTGACAAAGCACAATAATCTTTAGTTTATTGATGTGCTACCAGGCTGTTGAAAGCATCAGATCAGTAATGTGCTTTGATTAGGAAATTGGGGTCTAGGGAGAAATATTGGGAGTTAGAGAGAGAACATCAAGGCTTGCAGAAAAATATATTAGGAGTTAAAAGGGAAAAAAGATGTTTGTGGTGGGATTTTAGATTTTATGAAAAAAACACTGAGATCTTGTAAGGATTCTGAAGAAAAACACATCTGGGGTGGACAGATGAACTTTGGCCCCAGTGGCCAAAAAAGATTTATTTTTTTGTTGGGAGAGGTGCTGCATATCATAATATAAATAACACACACAATTTCCAGAGTTCCAGGAGAGGCACATTCTGAAGATAGTCGTTGCATGGTTTAATATACAAAAATTAGGTAGCCAGGATGGCAAAACGAAATCTAGATTTAGTTTTAAAAAAAGTTAAAAACAGGAGCTCAATAAAATATCCCAGCTGCTTTTCTAGTTTCCTTCAAATTCTACCTGCAATGATGAGAAAAATAACTCAACATTTGCTTGGAGCCTTGGGGACTTTTAAGATCTGCAAAATTTATTTTTGGAGGGTTATAGCCCTCTCTTCATGCTCTTTCCTGTGCTGTTCTGTTCTTTCCCCCGTTCCCTATCTGATAAGGGATTCTACCTTGGACTTGTCATGCCGGACACCCCTCAGGACTTGCAGGTATAACTTATGATGACAATATTCTGGCTTTGATGCTGAGCGAAATGAGGGTGCATGGTCATGAGTACTTCCTTCTGAGTACTTGAAGGGTTTACGTTTCCATTTTTAAAGTTTGACTTTGGTAATCATATTGACCCTAGGAATTAAGATTTGAGCTGCGTTATTAAATTGTTCCCATAGATTGGGATTTTGAGCTCTAAGAAGCTAAAGACTTTGCTTGCTGACAGAGAGCTTATTTGGGAGCCAGCTTTACATTAATATTGTAATCGTACTCAAACTTATTTTAGGAGTCAAAGGGAAACCATGTAAAAAAAAAACCTCCCATCATATCAAAGGAAAATGTTGATTAAACAACTGTCTTCACAATCCCAAATTCAAACTGTCCTAAAGCATAAAAGATGATAAATTTCTTATTTGGCAGTTTGGTATTTTAAAAACTGAGATGTATTAAGTGTAAGAGTTTGTAAGTGTGTATAGGAGGTAAGTGTGTATATGTGCAGAGGGGTTTGTGTGTGAGAGAGAGAGAGCAAGTGAACGAGAGGTTGAGATTCTCTACCTTGCAATAAAAGATGGCAAGGTGATAAATTAGTGCTCTCAACTGAAATTGATTACTTTGTGTTCCCATCCAGTTCATGTGGCAGCCACACAGATGCTCTGAAACACCTTAATGACACATTGGAGAAAACTTCTCAAGCGGGCCCTGTATAGTGTTCTTTCCCTTCCTCCCCTCATTGGCTCCCAGAGTGAACGTTGTGGATGCTGCGTACATTAGGGAAAAGGGCATGCAAACATTCCTCCACTCCCTCTTGCACAGAAATGTCTTTATTTTTTATCTCAGGAATCCTTTAGACAATCCTAGGAGCCTAAATGCTAAAATGACAAATGTAAGTGATTTTGTCTTCTCAATGCTCAGATTTATCTATTCCCGGCTCTCTGGAGAGGCAGCACATACAGCAAAAAGATGAAGCAGCATCGAGCCACCTAGAGGCAATCTTACCCAAGCCTGCCCAGCAAAGCAAAGCAAAGTTATGAGGCTTATTGCCATAATTGTAGATTAAATGAAACTGCCTACTTTACGCTCAAGGATTGAAAGGGATAAGTTACCACTATACTTGAATTAAAAGAGTACTAGGGAAGATGGACCATTACAATGAAGCCCTCAGATTTAAACAATTCAAGAAGTCTTATGGTAAAATCCCTAATGGGATATATTGATAACTGCTGAAATGTAATCAACTCCCTTCCATTGAAATTATGAGAATAGCTGATAACTTAAGAAATTTCAAAAATCTGTATATATATGAACATTTATATATATTTATATATTTATAATATATAAATATTCCAGAAATTTTAATAAATATTAAATCCTCAGTTACTATAAGAATTTTTACCAGTATAAAAATAATTTAAAAATAATATTCTACCACTTAAGAGTATTACAGCTTTGAAAGGAGACCCAGATTTCAATGTCTATGTAAGTCTGTAAATGGCTTTATTGAGCCTTGCAAACATTAATCAAAAGTTCTATGAGTTATTTATACATTGTTTTATATATGCTTAACAATCTACATCTATGTGTTGAATTATTCTTTGTGCTTAATAATTTTGAATCTGTACTAACTACTTTTTAAATATTCTGCAGGATTTAAACCTCATTCACTGATCATTTCCATTTGGTGGCCTTAAATACTGAAAAGTTGTCACAAGAGCGATGGTGATGTGATTGACTATGGTCAATGCAGGACATTCTAGTGGTCAATAAGCACAGGCAATGGTACAAGCTCCTTTAATACAGATAAAGCCTACAGCTTATTACCCAAATGAAGACAAAAGCCCTCAAGCCCCTTCCAAGGAAAGTGCCTCCCTCAAACAAGATTCTTCAGTTTCCTGAAGACATTCAATCTTCTCACCCTCAGAAAGGTCCTTTCCTCTCCTGGCACCTTCTCCAACTTTTCTGAGCCCTAGCGCTATCCCTTCTTGCTTGCCTGCTGCAAAAATCACTCCCCTGTACATTCCTGAGTGTGAGACTAGGTGATAGAAAGATCAGAGTTCATATGGCCCCATCTTCTAGCAAGGCTGGGTGACAGGCATCCCTTAGTCCTGCTACTGCAAAAATAGTGCAGTATGTACCTTATTGATGTCCACATAAACAAATGTTCCAGTAATGTGTATCTTTCTTTCTTTCTTTTTCCTTTTTTTTTTTTGAGACAGAGTCTCACTCTGTTGCCCAGGCTGGAATGCGGTGGCTTGATCTCGGCTCACTGCAACCTCTACCTCCCGAGTTCAAGTGATTCTCCTGCCGCAGCCTCCTGAGTACCTGGGATTACAGGCAAGAGCCACCATGCCTGGCTATTTTTTGTGTTTTTAGTAGACACAGGGTTTCACCATGTTGGCCAGACTGGTCTCAAATTCCTGACCTCAGGCGATCTGCTCACCTCGGCCTCCCAAAGTGCTGGGATTATATGCGGGAGCCACCGCGCCCGGCCAGAAATGTACGTATTTCTTAAAGAAAATCTTAAAGCGTATGTTGTGACAAAAACATTGGTTGCTTGCAAAGTAGTAGTCTCTTATTAGATCAAGCAGCATCGAAACTTTCCCACCCTTATTCCTCATCGGTTAAAGAAATAATCCCTCCATTTTGTAAGTTTAAAAAACTGCATTGTTAATATCTTCTACTTGAGCAGATCTTCAAGTTTAAAAGACCCACTTAACTTTTTAAAAAACCTCCCAAGATGTTAAAGGATTTTTGTCTGAGTTTGTATACCAGAGATTCGACTAGTTTACCAAAAGCAACAGTGACAAGTATAATAATAACTGTCTATCTTGCTTCTCAAAGTAGTTCCCCAGACATTAGCTTAGTGGCTAGTATATTCTGTATTCACAGATGAAGATACTGAACTGTCAAGAGCTCAAATGAGTTGTCCAAACTGGCTGGTGATTGTGCTCGGCAGGTATAGTTAGACTATAATACAGGGGAGTGAGGTGGGTAAGTTGGCTGTGGTGTCACCAGTGTCTCTGTGAGAGTTTTTTAACCCTACACATTTTGCACTGTGATAGAAAAAATAAAACTATGACCTGCATAATGCAATTTACATAGAGCTGTTTTCGTGTAATTCTAACAGTGTTATTGCATTTATGAAGTTCTCTACTTTCTTCTTTGTGATGGGAGTCACGTGGCCCCTCCGAGCCCCTTGATGTACCTCCTAGGACCAGAATAAAGCCTAAGCCTTTGTATCCTAGTATGTCACTGCAGTTAAAAAAAGCACACATTTGGAGATTTTTGAGGGAGGATGGAAACAAGATTGAGGGAAAAGGAAAGCACGTGTCTTTGTACCTTGCATCTCATTATGTTGATCATTACCAGTACGTTCGATTTTGCCCAAGAGAACTACAATATTCTGAACAAATGGTTTTAAAACATGTATTTTTTTTTTTTACCAGTAGGACCTTTTCATAAGTGAAATCTTATATTGAACCCTTTTTTATAAAGAGACAAATGCCAAGCTTCCCTGGATGTAGATAACTCCTTCATCCATTTTAGGGCTTCTTGAGATCCCCCCTTAGAACCCTACAATTCAGGAGGGTCTCATTTGAAAATAATTCTCCTAAACAATTGAATTAGAAACATCCTGCCTTGAGCAGAGGCCTTTTCTTAACTATATGTTATTGAGGGGTTGATTCAATCTTCCTCACCTCATTCATTCCCCTCTCGATATTTCTCCCCTTAAGCCCAAACCGAAACTGTCTTTTTTGTGTGATCTGATTAAATATTTCCTCATAGCACTGACAGAATTCTCTAGAAAAACTCCCCTTACCTTCACTTTTGTTCAGCTTTGAAGAACACTCTTCCTATTCAATAATAACTTATTGAGTATCCTCTCTATGCCAGGTACTGAGAAACCTGCAGATTTGTGTTTGTAGTCAGGAGATTCAATTCCACTTTGTATAAATCTGCCTTACTTTGCTTCTTGCTTAAAGAAATCTTGGATTTTTCAGAGATTTTTAACCAAAAATTAAAAAATCAAGAAGATAAGAATTGTCATTTCCATGGGAATCTTCAACTTAATGGTACATACACAATTTAAATAAATGGGAAGTCACATACAATTATACTCAGGGAAGTGTAAGCAGACTTTGTAAAATAGTTGTTGCATTCCTTCATATTGAATAAAATAATAAATTATTTGAATAGTTCTATTATCTATCCTTAACTGAAACATACAGTGCCTGTCCTATTTCTTCAAAAAGCTTGTTAATATGCAATCACCTAGTACAACTGCTAAGTTTTTAAAGGTCACCCATGTTTTATTCATAAAGGGTGGTTTTCTGGAGGGGAAAAAGGTTACAATGTCATGTAATACCATATTCTGATGGAGTATTTGCTTTCCAAGATAGGCTCTAATGGAATGGATGGAGAAACAGTGAGATTTGGGGACAGGGAAATAACTTGTTTCAGAGATATCAATAAAATTTCATTTAGAACAGGAAAACTTTGAAACTGGGGGGAGAGGGGGAACTTTCTCTACTTTTAACTATCAAGTAAGCATGACAGCCTGTGTTATTACTTACACTCACAAATATTTGGTTTTCCCCTAAGGCCAGGTACCTGGAAGGAAACATTTCCAGCCCCCTTGAAGTTAAAAGTGTAGCCATGTGACCAGTTCTGTCCAGTAAAATATGAGTGGACGTGATTGTGTCACCTGAAACTGAAGCATTTCATTGACATTATTTGAACTACCTGCAGCTCCTCCTTCTGTCATGGTCATGGGAAGGGCAGTATTCTAGATGTAGGGATTAGTATCAGGGGGCTGCTTAAAGTACCACTGCCCCAGTAATTTGCACAAATGCAAATTTGTTCAGAATGATTCTGCATGGGAAGGAAATAAACATTTGCTGTGTTGAGTCACTAAAATTCTGAGGTTGTTTACATAGTGCACTATTGCCTTTTCCTGGCTAATATATGGACCTAGTCATACCTTTTACACATATTAAAAAGTCAAGTCTCTTCCTTTCACAGCTAAGCATAATCAGCAAAAGATATCCTAATACTTACCTAGTTCATCAGCCTTTAATGGATGTTAATCCAACTTTCCAAGGTCATATATATTTACTAGAAACAGAGAATAAAAAATAATTTAGCTAGTCCTAATCCAAAGCTCTTTGTATAGCATCTAGTCTGTATTTTAAGATGAAATTGAAATAGTTGCTGTTTCCATCCTTGGGTAATCTTATCCCTTCCATTATTTTAAACTGCTCTTCTATGTAGAAGACAACAGAATTATCACCTCGAAGGATTTCTCCTTAAATTCCTCAAAGTATCTCACACTTAACCACCGAAACAACATCACACTCACTTTCCAGGTGCCATGATTTATGCATCACTTGACTCTGAACAATGGCAAACATATTTCTTTGTAGTAGGACTCAATAAGTGTTTCAATTTAATTGAATAAAAAATTAATTTCTATTTTTTCACCTTGATTCATTTGCACTGCATCTTTCTAATCACTGGAATTAAGAACCTCCAAGTCATCTTTTATTTCTTTTTCTTCCTCAACACTAAAGGCCAAATGGCTGCCAAGACCTTTCATGCTATTTTTACTTCATCTTCAAAAATCTACGCTCTTCTTTTCTGACTATTATTTCAGGCCTTCATCTCTCAAATGCAACTTACCTTTTCCATTTTAATCTCTGATTATTCCAATTTTTATATTGGTTCTGGAACTAAATCATATTTTCTTCCTTTCTCTCTATTTTATTTATGCGTCATTCTTAAAATTTTCCTTCTGGTCAGAAAGAGCAATTTTTATAGAAAGGAAGAGAGAGTTTGCAGTGTATAGGTTAAGGAGAGAGGTTTTAGAACCCAGCTCATCTGGGTTTGCATCTTGAAATCTGACTTCAGTTGAATGACTGCATATCCTTGATGTCACCAGTTAGAATTTCCATGCTTCACTTTAGTCATGTAGACAATTGTGACCTGATCTTAGCGCTTACCATTTTCATGCTTTTTGAGATCTCCTAATAAAACCTACTTATACACAAACACACTTGCAGACACCCCCCCCACACACATACATTGGTAAGCAATGTAAAAATTATGAAAGATTTCTTAGAGAAGGTGAAGGAAAGGCCCTACAACGCATCGCTCCCAGCAGAACCCTTTTTTCTCTACCACCGTCTACTCACTTCTATTTGTTCTCTTATTTATTCTCTTCTGGGCTTTTCCTTCTGGTATCTCAAATTTCTTGTCATTTTCCTTATGCAGAGCAAATTGGCAACTATAATTTTCTTGTGGTCTCACCCTTACTTTTAAACAGCTTCTAGAAATGTATTTTCCAAATATGTGCATTGTTCACCCTACAGTGATTTTCATTTAAGTTGTTCCTCCATCTTTAACCCAGGATGATATCACTGTCCTTATGTTTTGTGAGTATCCAGTAGTTTAATGTATGCAAAAGCTTGGGAAATAACCAATCATGTATCAGAATTATTATTATAGAAATATGAGTGTCTTATTTGGTGAGATATTTGTAGATGACAATCACTACTAGCACTTCTGGGGTCCAAATAAATCAGGATAAATATCAGGGGACAAAATGCAGATTAATTGCTAGATCAAGTCGTATTCTGTTTTGTTTTGTTTTGTTTTTTGAGACAGAGTCTCACTCTGTCGCCCAGGATGGAGTGCACTGGTGCCATCTTGGCTCACTGCAACCTCCACCTCCCGGGTTCAAGTGATTGATTCTCCTGCCTCAGCCTCTCAAGTAGCTGGGACTGCAGGCACACATCACCACACCTGGGTAATTTTTGTATTTTTTAGTAGAGATGGGATTTCGCTATGTTGGCCAGGCTGGCCTCGAACTCCTGACTGCAAGTGGTCCACCTGCCTCGGCCTCCCAAAGTGCTGGGATTACAGGCCTGAGCCACGGTGCTCAGCCTCAAGTCGTATTCTGATGCAGGTCAGGCAGGTCTTTTAGGGGCTCTCATTTGAGCAATAACGAGGGACCCAGGCTTTTTCCATCTTGTGTCGCCATGGGTGGAAAAGAGCACAAGAGATACACGGCCAGGTTAGAAGAGCCAAATATCATTTCTGCCTACATTCCATTGGCTTGAACCAGTCATTTCCATGCAAGGTACGCTGAGAAACAGCTGTTTTCTACTGGAAGGGGAAATAGGACTGGTGAGCCAATCCTTAATGTAAGGCCTGTGTTATTACTAAAGTAAAAACTGTGGCTAAGAAAATCTCAAGATAATACGCATGAGTAAAAATTTTGTAAAACTTTTGTACAAGATTAAGTTAAAATAAGATTTATTGACAATGAGACATGAGGCATACCTTTTGCTCTACCATTTTCTTACCCACTCATCTGAGGCAGGCTGACACTGAAACATACCCCATCCCCCTTGTGGATGATTCTCACCTTCTGGTATTCACTCCCTTGTGTAGCCCTTTCCCCTTGAGCGAGAGCTGGGCTGGTGATTGCTTCTAACCAATTGAATATGATAAATGTAATGGGATTTCACTTCCATGATTAAATTACAAAAGATGAGACCTTCCTTTTCTATCAGACTCTTTCTATTGCCTTCTGGATTTATATGCTTTAATAAAATAAGTGGTCATGTTGCAAAGGCCAGGTTGGCAAGGGATGGGGGTCCTCAGTCAAACAGCTCTCCAGATACTAGGTTCTGCTACCACCCTGAATGAGCTTACAAGTAGATCATTTCCCTGAAGTGGGACTCTCAGACAAGACCCCAGCCCCAGCTAACATCTCAATGGAAGCCTAGTCAGAGACCCTGAAATAGAGGACCTAGTGAAGCCACGTCTGAGCCCTTTACCCACAGAAACTGGGAAATAATGAATGTATCATTCTGAATTGCTAAGTTGGCTCTAATTTGTTACACAGTAATAGATAACTAATGTACTGTTCTGGTTAGTGTTAAGATTGCCTAACACATGTATGTATATATGTGTGTATACATGTATGTATGTATAAACATATACATATGTATATATGTGTACATATACATATATGTGTATCTCCAGTTTGAATTCAACTAAATGGTTTTAGAATACATCCATAATTTATATAGAGAAATCGATGCTTCCAAATCATCAGAGAGCATGCATTAGCACATTTCAACCAATATGAGCCAACATAGAAGATGAAAAATACAAATTTATGGTAAAGTGCAGAAATAGACAAAGTTAGGGTTAGAAAAAAGGGAAACCTTAAGATATGCAAATATTCGTTGTGCTAAATAAGAAAGGTGAAGCTGAATCAAACTTTAGGAAGCGTGTGAAATGCCAGCACAGACTCTGAAGGTTCATGTGCCTGTTGGTTTCTTTTCCCTTAAAGCAGCTTAAAAATGAGCCAAGCAGTTTGATAAGGGTTTTTTTTTTTAATCTATATACACTTCCTTTCTAAAAAAAGCCAAAGTCACACATTGTCTCAATTTGTGTTCACAAAAACCAGATGTATTTTTCTGAAAAGGATGCCTGCACTCCTGGCTCCCTTCCTCACTCCTCTATAGGTTCAGATAGAGCCCCAGTATTGTATCATAGACCATGAGATAAAACCTAAATTGTAAGGAAGTTGCACAAAGTAAAGCCTTCCAGTTGAAGTAATAACATAAAATGCATTTGTTTAGAGGCGAGGTTTTTATTTGTTGCTATGGCTGCTGTTATATTTTAAGAATATATTGTAATGAATGATTTAATTATACTTCTACCCAGAGACTTTGCAGAAAGGATGCAAATTTAAAATGCAACCAATTGATTAAATGGCTTGCGTATGTGTATAACACACACTTTATGTGACTCTATGTGAAGAGGACAGTGGGATCAGTGATTTGATGGTTGACAGTAGAATGTTCAATTCGACCTCATTCCATGTTTTTCCCCTTGGACCCAGAGGACAGTGCCAAAAAATTTCAGTTGAAGCTTAAGCAGTTTCAGGATTTTTCTTTTGACTTATTAATAAAAGACAGCTGGCAAATTAGCTATTTTTGAGTTTAGTAGCAGAGTTCATAATCAAATTTATCCATGTTTCCTCAACTCTTACTCCATGTAGGTAAAACTAAAAGAGCCATTTTAACTTGAACTTCGGATTCTGTGACAAATAGATACTCTTAAGGTGCTTTTACATACACTTCTGTGTATCAAGGCCTTTTCCTGTGTAAATGGATAAAAGGAAGAAGGTACCCAACCCACCCATTCTCAAATGACTCTATCCAGGACCCTTGCTTTGATTAGCTCAATCTCCAATTTAAAAATGCAAACGTGCCTGAGACCGTTAATGCGTCAATACAGCCATACTTTAATACGGATGAGTTTAGTCTAAGATGCATTTCTGAACAATTTAAATGAGATAGATAGGGGTGGGGAGAATGGGATTTTGGATAAAAGAGAATAGGAAGGCCATGTTAGCTTAGAGGGAGAAAGTGCCATTCAATGCACAGTGCAGTGAGTGGGGCAAGTGGCTTGGAACAGCTTTCAAACACTAGGACAGGGAAAGAAGGGCTAAAAGCAGGACCACCAGTGTATACGTTTATGGACTGCAATCTGTGATTGCAATCTTCCCAGGAAAAGAAACAAAAATGAATGACGATTAGGGGTGTGCAAATGCAACTTCCCCAGGTTTTCAGATAAACATTTTTAAATATTCTTTTTCAAAACTATTTTAAATAACTATTGTGTATGTGTGTGTGTGCATGCACATGTGAAATCCTAAAATTCAAATTATTCCTGCCTTGATGGATTTTCTGATTCCAAAATTCTTGATAAGCTCTGCTAAGCTGATCTTTCTCTCCCATTTCACTGGTGCCCCAAACATGTGCTTTGGCCAGCTCTGGCTACAAATATATTATTGCTCCAAGTTCTTACAAACAGAACACCAAAAACAAATTTTTCTGACCATTGATTATGCCTTCAAAACTACCATTTTTGTCATCTTTACCTGACATGTCCTTTAAAATGTGGTCTGCACAGAATGATTTAATTTCTTCACCAAATACTAACTTGCTCAATCCTTGCAACTTTTCTACCACATAGGGTTGGCAGATAAAATATAGGATGCCTAGCTAAAATCAAATTGCAGATAAACAAATACCATGTTAATATAAGCATGTGCCAAATAGTTGCTAAATCTGGCACCTACAACCTCACACCTGAAAGTGTCCCTTACCAGTCTTTATGGACCATTACATGCAATGACGGGACCATAAGTGGACCAGACACACAACATAGAATCTGAAGGACCATCTGCCCCATTTACTCAATGACTTTGGACACATCGAATATTTCAGAACTAATTGGAGGCACATCTTCTATGTACACAGTACATGCTCTGAGTGTCAGTTTCAGTGCTAGCCATAGCAAGGTAAAGCAACAGCTCTGTAGAAAAGCAGTGCTTCTGGACTCTGAAAATATGTTTTCAAGTTTTATTCTTTTCAAGAGGCATTTATTTTTCTCAACAAAAACTTAAAGTGGAGGTCTAATGTATACAGTATACAGAAACGGAACTTCTGTGTTTGAGAGCAGAGACCTGACTTTGCAAATTCTTGGCTCTTCCTTCATTGAAGACCATGGCAATCTCCAGTGGAGACTGGAACATTTAGGGCTCCAGCTGACACAGCATGTAAACCACGCTTTTAGTCCACTATCTTGAGTGTAATGCTGCTAACAAGAGAAGACACTGAAGAGAAAAGAAGAGATAAGAGATGCATTGCCTGCATTCTGGCCTCTTTTGCCATGTTCTCTGTTAAAAGCCAACATAGTTCACTTTGGCATGAATGCCATCAAAATAAAGGTTTTTTTATTTTTTGCTGTTTTTTTCTTCCTGTTTGGCAATATAAGGAATTCTCTTGGCCATTTAATGATTTACTATGTACAAATTCCCATGTCCAGATTTGGCGAAACAGCCCATCTGGATCTGCCCTAGGCAAAGAAATAATATCTCTGGCTAGATATAACATCAGTGTAAAGTATCTTAATATGGTTGGCCAGGTATGCGAATTCCCTGAAGGTATATGACCTTCATATATATATATTTTAAGAAGGCATATAGTTTAAGAAAGAAGGCAACTAATGGCCACTGGGAGAAAGATTTTGTTTTGGCCAGGCTTCATTCAGGACAATTTTTCAACCTCACTTAGCTAAAGGCAATGCTAAAAGCCACTTAACTCAAAGATCTGACTGTGTTTGTGTAAGTGTTTTATTATTACCACTTTATGCAAGTCTAAGAAACATGACTGAATCGTAAGTGAATGAAGCAACTCTTTACCCTTTACAACCAGTTAGGTCTTTGGAGTTATTAAACCAGCAAAAAGAAACAGTTTGTTCCAGCATTTAGACGGCAAGTGTGCTCACTAAATAAATCTCAACATAAATAAGGTTCTAAATCTATGCATTTATTAGGACTCTTTACCAGTGGTGACATTTCTTTGGCCTCTCTTGGAGTTTCTACTTTGCTTTTTTAGTTGAGACAATCACACTAGTAGGAAATATAGCATTAGTCATCTCTAATCTTCAGAACATGCCCTTCTTACAGAGGTATAATTTGACGAGTCTCAGAAACATTTCTATCAGAACAAAGGGATTGAGTAGGCACAAGCTGAGAACGTTTTGGGGAGGGACGACTTCACTGTGTTAAGTGTTTACTTGGCACTCTACAGCATCTTCATGTTGGCTATAGACACACTTCAGCCACAAAGCTAAAAAGAGCACATTTGCTTGTCTGACTGCCTTTCCATGTTTCATTATCTTAAACCCATCAAAGGTACATTTATTTTACTGAAAACTTAGTAAGTCAGTGTCAGAGCTACTCTTCCCATTTTTACAAATGGAATCATACATCAACTTTCAATTACCAGGGATATCTGGTAGAAGAAAAAAATTCACAGATTAATTCTGAATCTTAATTTGGCAATTGATTTCAGCCTTCCCTTCTTCAGAACAATTCTCGGTGAGCAGCCAGATGATCTAGAAAGTGACTGAATTGAGTAATAATAGTATCAATATTAATTATATGACTACGATTTTCGAAGTGTTTTCACATTCATCATCTCATTTAGTTTTCACAAACTCTCTGTGATGGAGATAGAAAGTGTGAGCTTTATTTCTCTTTCAACATGAGAAAACAGAGAATGAAAGTTCAGATCACTTGCCTAGGTATTTGGCCTGATTCTTTCTCTATAATACTATACCTAGAGAATCCAAGATTTAGCAACCGTAGTACCACTTTGTTACCTGTACATTCGTATTTGGTGAGCTGACAATGAGCTCATGAATTGAGGATATAAATACAGCAAACCTGGTTTTTAACAAAATGTTTTAACACTTTCATGGGATTCCTTCCCAAGATCCTGAGAACTCAGTTTTGTGAATTTCCTAAGCACTGTGTGAATTTACTAAGCCCACCTTTCTCTTCTTTCTTTTTGTTCATGGTTGTTTTATTCTAATGAGTAGTCTAGTCTATAGAACAATGTAAATCTTAAATGGTTTATACATTTTATGCTGTTAACAGGCCAAAATACAAGGCATCATTTACAATGGAAAATGGAATAACAAAGTTTTGTTCAAATGAAAGTGTCCTAACCTGTGCTGTTTTATATTCTAGATTCAAACACATGATCTAGAAGTTGAGAAGTTTCCAGAGAGTCAGATATCCTGCCTAAGATCTTTTCACTTCTTCTTACCACGTATAAATAAAAGACGACATTTTTGAGGCATGAAACACCGAGTCTCACACTCATTTGTCCTCTTATCATCTCCCTGTCTCTTCTGGCTCAAGAATCCAAAAGCCAGTATTCCATTCCTAGCTTTGGCAGAAGATGAGAAGCAGAGAAAAATGAAATGGAAATATCAGTCAGAGAATACTTGCCTTTATTGTATTTTCTTTCCTAAAACTAATTATTCTGGCTTGAGAAGGAGAAGAATAATAAAACGCTGTGAATCTTTACTTGATTTCAAAATTTGCTTAGATACAAAATATTGGGTAGGGCTTAGTTGAAAAGCTATTAGTTTTCCTTATGTTAGCTACAAGTTCAAACCCTTTCATGTGGTCATTTTTCTATTATTTCATAACATATTTCCCGCCTTTCAACTAAAAAGTAAATACCCTGGTTTAGAAACAATAAATTTGGTTTTCACTTTTAAAATAGAGCTAGAATGTAATTTGAAGGGTCAGGTAAACTGATATTGTCAAAAATGCTAGCAGCCAGACTCACGAATTTACACCTCAGCCATTTCCAACATACTAGGAATTCTAAGTGTCTTGTCACCTCTTACATATTCTACTGAGAGACCACAGTCCTGGAAGGGGAAGCCTTCCTGTGTCCTTTCCACAGCTTCTCCTACTGAATAAATTTTATTTATCTTTCAAGATTCAGTGTAGGTATCAACTTCTCCTAGCCCTCCCTGACTTCCCAGTTGTGTTGTTAGCCCCTTGTGGGTATCTCAAAATCCTAGACACTTTTCTTGGTGCCATTTGCACATGATTAAACCTGCAAGGTGGACCTCATTTTTGCCATTTGACACATACAGAAGCCAAGGTTCAGTGAGGCACAAGAACCTGCCCAAGGTCATGGTTGATTCAGGATTTATTTGTGGTTTGAATTCAGAGATCATCTGTAGACTGTACTCAGGGATTCTACCTGGGAAGGCAAGTTGGTTTATTTTACATGTACCTGAAGAATCATATCAACGTTATTGGTCAGCTTGGAAATGCTCACAGGGGAAATGTTCTAGGCTAAAATGCTAAGCAATGTGCTACAGGACTCTGCCATAGAAAGCTAGTTCAGTGAGCTACTTCACGGAAACAGGAACCCTTAACTGAATCAGTATTGGAAAGCCATACTATTCTTGGAGATTTGCAGCTCACATTAGCCTAGTTAAGGCTTTAAGAAATCCTGCAAGAAAATAACTGGTTGAACCTTGTTTTATTCATTGGCTCTCAAACTTATTTGATCGTAGAGTATCCTTATCATCCTTTAGAAATAATGCTTCCTGGAGAAAAATGTTCAGCAAGGTAGAACCTGGGGGCCTTGAGAACCAATTTCCCCATCTGGAGCAGACTAGGAACAGTTCCTGAGGAACTCTTACTCCTCTAGGCTGAGCTGGAGGACATATCCACCATATGATTAAAGAACTTTCCCACTGCTCAGCACAGGATTAGTTGTCAAGGCATTAAGATGTTCCTTTAATCAGCTCCACATGGTATCTGTACTTCAGATCTTTACACAGGATGGCCTCCTGAAATTCTCTGCTCTCTTTTATGCTTATCAAATATCTTAATGGGAGATGCACTACTCAGAAGTCTCATGTGTAACGCGGATGAAAAACAACAGCCCCTGTGTTGGGAATAGGAGTGTGGATATCTACCCTCTAGAGTCATTTTCCACCACCTCCCACGTGCACCAGAATGATCACCTCCAGGGCGTTTGGTTTAAATGCACTTTCTAAATTTTACAGTAGGTTCAGGCAAGATGAAAACAGAGTTAGATTTTTTCCTGCAATATTTTACCTATTCACACACTTGCTTTTACTGTATTTTATCTGGATGTTAGGTCACTGGAATACTTTAAGGACTATACAATGAATGGTCCCATCAAAGTGAATATTTTAATTATTGTGTAGATGTTGGCAAGCCTCCCACCCATCATATAGCACAGTGTTTTCCAAATGAGAATCCATGGGACAATTTTCCCTCTCATCTCAATAACTGGAAAATCTCTCCCACTTGGTTTTAGCCTATAGCCTATTATCTTATAAATCTTTGTAACTGATCACATTTCCCACTTTGCTTTGATCTCTAGAAAGTAAATTTGATGCCAAAATTTTGTTTACTTCCAGCAACTTTGTAATATCCCCATGGAAGTTAGGCCTTGCATATTAGTCTTATTCTGTCCTTTTTCCTTATCCAAATTTTTCCTTTACCAGAAGTCCTTCCATTATTTGTATTTATCCTATATTCACACACACATATACATATATGCACACATACATGTACACCTATGTGCACATATTTACGAACAAATTTAAATCCTTTGTGGAATGGGCCGGGGCATAAAGAATTAGTGTGTGTGCACATCTATCTCAGTGTCTAGCTTAGTGCCTTATGATAGAAGGTGCTAGATAAACATTTCCAGATTAATAAGTGGGGAGATGAAATTTATGTGAAACATCTTCGATGTCAAATTCTCCAGTAGCTTTATTAATGCTAACCTTTCTATTACATCCATGCTGGAAAATGCTTCTGAAGCATTTGCCTTATTATCACTTACCAAAGGAACTTCACAAAAGACCCTGCTGGTACATAACTATGCGTTGCTGATGACAGCTGCCAGGGTGCAGTGCTGAGAAGTGCTGAGAAGGAGCTGGGGCTGACTCCAGGCCTGGAAAGTGCAGGGTTGGTTAATGTTGTCTCCATTTGATAGAGAAGGCGAGAGTTGTGCACTGCCACCAACTCACCATTCCTACCTAACGGGAATGTTCTCAACAAAATAACTTCTTTTGCCTATATCTAATCCATGACATAGAAAAGAAACCAGTGTTCTCTTAAACAAAGACATATTCGGCCACTTAATAATTTCCAAATTTTCATTTGTTTCTGCAGTTATTCCTCCAATTGGTGTCAAAATCAATTAAGGAAAGAATCTTTAGCTTGGCATAGTTTTAATTCTGTTAGAACATTAATCTTCTATTGCCCTAAAGGTTTAGGATATCACTAAAACACTTTCCCATTGATTCCCACATGTATTTTTCACACAAGCAAGATTAAAATATATGTAAGCATGTTTCCGAACAAGCTGGTATAAAAACAGGGATTAAATTTTACTCACCACACTCCTAACTAAATTTCACAGATGTTTTATGTGAATTAAGGATTGTAAAACACTTAGAACAAAAGAGCAAGTGCAGTGATTACCTTAAACTCAGTTTTAATGCCAGACAAGTTATTGCATCTGTTACCAAATGGAATTTCAAATTAACAAATCTCTATAACCTGTTCATACCATTAAATGGAACCCTGGTATTTAAATGTCTAAATTGTAAAAATTTCAAGTCATAGGCATGAATTAATTTGTTTTGAAATTTAATACTTGTATGGAACTTGTACAATGGAAGGAAAATCGTTTCATGTAAGACAAATTATTTTCCAGAATTCTAGCCTGCCATAGTCTTTGACAAAATCATGTGACCTTTCTAACTGATTTTAATATTTTGGTTCAGTACTCATAGAATAATCTGCCCACCGCTGTTTCACATAAAGTTACTTCATTATCATCAAGAATCTGTATACAAAACCTTCTAAAATTTTGATATTGGGGAAAAAATTAAAACATCGCTAGGTAGCAATCATTTTCCATGGAATGGTTGTATTTCTGAGTGTTCATAGCATTACTTTATCCAAATATATCTCACATAGATATATTCCCTGAAAGGTATAAAATAAAGTGGATTGAGATGGATTAGACTAATTAATGGATATGAACTGGCCTTTCACCCTAAGAGTTGTGGACAAGTTCACTCTAGGAACTTAAATCAGGATTTGCTGTTGTAAGCCCTAGTAGACATCAATTCACATCATATAATTTGGCAGAGTTGGCCCAGAAATGAACTTGCTGTGGATTTGATCCTCCCAGTCATAGTTGGGGCAGCACAGGGAAAGAAAATAAAAGCATGTACAGACACACACATCCAAACCATTGCAAGTGTCTGAATTTTGTGAAAAAGATCAAAGGCTCCACTTTAAAAGGTTCTACTTGAATGTATTGGCTACCAATGAAAATCTTACAAAATAATATTATATTTTAGTTCATCACTCTGCTTTTAGTTAAGTTGAAGAATGAGAAGTAATCTATTTATTTATACCCTCATTTAAGTCTAGTGGATATTCATCCTGTAAAACAAATAGTATTCGAGGCATATAAGCATCATCAACTTTTACCTGAATTCCTCTGTAGTCTGATTAAAAATAAATTCCATAAAGAAATAACATTTTCCCAAAGAGCATACCTTTTTTGAAAATATATATCTTATTGCATTTACAAACAAACTCATTGTAAATATAAATAAATATACATATGTGTGTTTGTTTTAGTCTTATTTATAACTAGCCTATGAGACAGCTTTTCGGTGAGTACCCCGCTTTCTGTCCTAAACAAAAATCATGGACAGCTATCCCAATGATGAGAGTCACCAGTCAAGCCAGGACAGAAGGTCCCAGAGGAACCCCCTGCCAACTGAGTACTGCAGGGCTTGGGCCACAGGTCAGCCAGCCAGTGAGGGCGCTGAGCTGGTTTGAATAAGAAAGCTGTGAATGACAGAGGGGCGGATGGATTTCAAGGAAGCCTTCTGTCACGGTGACCATGCTAGCATGATGAAGCACTGCTCGGGGCCTTGGAGAGTAAGATTGCTGTTAGTGAATATTTGTACACTTGGCAGTAAGAATATTATTTTACTGTTAATGCAATTTTCTCAATACTTGGTGGCTGAAATACACAGCACAACCTTTTCTTAAAGGTCACGTATCCAAAAAAAAAAAAAAAAAGGAAAGGAATCCTTT